>NC_000009.12:76345552-76970552 GCF_000001405.40 Homo sapiens
GGACTACAGGCGCCTGCTGCCACGACCTGCTAATTTTTTTTAAATATTTTTAGTAGAGACGGGGTTTCACCATGTTAGACAGGATGGTCTCGATCTCCTGACCTCGTGATACACCCGCCTCAGCCTCCCAAAGTGCTGGGATTACAGACGTGAGCCACCGCGCCTGGCCTGTTTGTTTGTTTTTTGAGACAGAGTCTCGCTTTGTTGCCCAGGCTTGAGTGCAGTGGTGTGATCTCGGCTCACTGCAACCTCTGCCTCCTGGGTTCAAGCAATTCTCCTGTCTCAGCCTCCCGAGTAGCTGGGACTACAGGCGTGTGCCACCACGCCTGGCTAATTTTTGTATTTTTAGTAGAGACACGGTTTCACCATGTTGGCCAGGCTGGTCTCAAATTCCTGGTCTCAAGTGATCAGTGCACGTTGGCCTCCCAAAGTGCTGGGATTACAGGCGTGGACCACCACGCCTGGCCAAAGTCTTACATTTAAATCTTTAATCCATCTTGAGTTATCACCTATATGGTGACAGGTAGGGATCCAGTTTTATTCTTCTGCATATAGCTGTCCAGCTATCCCAGCACCATTTATTGACCAGAGATTATTTTTCCCACGTTTATTTTTGCCAACTTTGTCAAAAATCAGATGGTTGTAGGTGTGTGGCATTATTTCTGGGTTCTCTATTCTTTTCCATTGGTCTATGTGTCTGTCTTTGTACCAGTACCATGCTATTTTGGTTACTGTGGCCTTATAGTATAGAAATACTATGAATGTCTTTAGTTGGGTTTGAGATTTCCTGGGTGAATTAAGGATGATGATTTTGGGCATTCCGAGTCTCAAAAGTTCATCCACATAGTATCCTTGAGAATGTATTCAAGGGATGACTAGGAGTTAGTGGGTAAATCCTGAAGCTGTCCTGAGTGTTTGTACTTCTTCCTCCTGTATTTGACATCAACCCGTGAACTTGCCCAGTTGAAGTTTTCTGTCTTTGGTGCTCATTTTTTCTGCTATCATTATTTTTTTAATTTTAATTTTTTATTTAATGTTATTTTTTCATATAATTCTTTGCAGTGAGCAGTCCTTTCTTTACTATAGCACATATGTCCCTTGCTGGTTAGGAAAATGTTGTGCTATCATCTGGTTTTGCAACATACAGATACAAAATCTGGAGACAGGTTTTTCTCACGGGATATAAACTAGGTAGAAAAAAAGATGAATTCCTTCCTTTTTAAGTCATTAGCTCTCATAGTAAGAAATGAGGAGGCATGAAAGAATCAGAAAAAATTTAGCAACCTACATAAGAAATTACCAGCTAAATTATATTTCGTTCACTTTGGACTGCCCAATAGTTTTAGGATGTTAAAAAAGAAAAATATGTAAAAGCATGGAAGGAGGGGTGGAGCAGGAAAACATAGCATACTCAGGCTTAATATGTACCTTTCTCTGTAACTGACACCTCCATAATTAGCTCATTCCTTGCCTTCACACACCTAACTTTTTACTTATCCTCTGCATAAAATTTTATTTTTTCTATTTTTTTTTTCATTTTTGTTTTTTGATTTTGTGTTATTGTTTCTTCTCCTCATAAAATGGTTTGGAATCAAAACCCAGGCTGAGTAACCAAAGCCTCTTAACTCTCCCAAGCTGCATCTTTCTGTGTAGACTGAGGCCCATGAAGAGACCCCAGAAGTTGCTCTGCATTTGTTGAATTCATCCCATGGGGTTCAGTCTGAAGGAGAGCAGATGGTGAACTGCTCTGAGTTTTAAAGAAATGACAAAATGCCTATCTTTTAGGTCCCAGAGCTCCTGCAGAACCTTAGAAGCAATGATAGATGTAGGGTGTTAAACTTTAAAATAATAGAAAGCCTTCTGGAAATCAACAAACTGCCTTTTGCTAAAGATTCTGGGTACCCTAAGTGTGCAAGTTTTGCAATTAATTGGTGTAGGAGATGTAAATGAAGGCTGATTTGTCACCCAAAGCTGACATACAGTGCCCTTGGGTATTGCCTGGGATCTGGGCCTCAGACAATTTATTGTTGGTCTTCTAGAAAATGTAACCAAACTTGGCCAGGTGCAGTGGCTCACGACTGTAATCCCAGCACTTTGGGAGGCCAAGGTGGGCAGATAACCTGAGGTCAGGAGATCAAGACCAGCCTGGCCAACATGGTGAAACCCCATCTCTACTAACAAGAGTAAAACTCCGTCTCCAAAAATAAAAAGAAAAAAAAAAAAAAAAGAAAGAAAATGTAACCAACCTTATGGTAGGAATTTTGTGACCTAACCTAGTTATGGACTGTTCTCCCTCTTTTAGTGTTTTCTACTCTTAATTTATTTTATTGTAAATTGACAAATTATAATTATATATATTTATAGGGTACAAAGGGATGTCATGATATATGTATACAATGTGGAATAATTAAATCAAGCTAATTAACATGTCCATCAGGCCAGGCACAGTGGCTCACACCTGTAATCCCAGCACTTTGGGAGGCCAAGGTGGGCAGATCACTTGAGGTCAGGAATTTGAGACCAGCCTAGGCAACATAATGAGACCTCATCTCTACAAAAAAATAAACAAAATTTGGTCGGGTGCAGTGGCTCATGCCTGTAATCCCAGCACTTTGGGAGGCTAAGACAGGTGGATCACTTGAGGTTAGGTGTTCGAGACCAGCCTAGCCAACATGGTGAAACCTCATGTCTATTGAAAATACAAAAAAATTAGGCAAGTGTGGTGGTGCACACCTGTAGTCCCAGCTACTCAGGAGGCTGAGGTAGGAGAATTGCTTGAACCTGGGAGGCGAAGTTTGCAGTGAGCTGAGATTGCGCCACTGCACTCCAGCCTGGGTGACAAAGCAAGACTCTGTCTAAAAACAAAACTAAAGAATATATATTAGTTGGGTATGGGGTGTGTGCCTGTAATCCCAGCTACTCAGGAGGCTAAGGTAGGAGGATCACCTGAGCCCAGGAGGTCGAGGCTGCAGTGAGCCATAATTACACCAAGCCATGATTGCACCGTTGCAATATAGCCTGGGCAACAGAGCAAGATTCCACCTCAAAAAAAAAAGAAATCCATCACTTCAAATACTTAATCCTTTTTGTGGTAAGAACATCTGAAATTTACTCTCTTACCAATTTTGAAAGTACAATACATTATTGTTAATTATAGTCACCATGAGATATAATAGATCTCAAAAACATGTTCTTCCTGTCTAACTAGAACTTTATACCCTTTGACCAGCATCTCCCCAGTCCCCTCAGCCCCCCAGCCCCCAGCCTCTGGTAACCACCATTCTACTCTTTACTTCTATGAGTTCAATTGTTTTAGATTCCACATTAAAGTGAGAACATGTATCTACCCTTAATTTCTCTTCATTTAAAAAAAACTCTCTTGTATGTTAAAAATTGAAGTAAGACATCTAAGCTGTATTTTAGAAAAATGTAGAATGGGCTGGGTGTGGTGGCTCACGCCTGTAATCCCAGCACTTTGGGAGGCTGAGGTGGGAGGATCACCAGGTGATGAGATCGAGACCATCCTGGCTAACACAGTGAAACCCCGTCTCTACTAAAAACATAAAAAAAAATTAGCTGGGCGTGGTGGCGGGCTCCTGTAGTCCCAGCTACTCAGGAGGCTAAGGCAGGAGAATGGCGTCAACCCAGGAGGCGGAGTTTGCAGTGAGCCGAGATCGCGCCATTGCACTCCAGCCTGGGCGACAGAGCCAGACTCTGTCTCAAAAAAAAAAAAAAAAAAGAAAAAAGAAAAAGAAAAATGTAGAATGGGAAAAAGGAAGAATGGAAATAGGAGAAGATTGATTCTTCCATCAGAGACCACAATAACGTTCCAGAACATGTGGGAAATTCTGTATGAAGCTAGAGCTAAGATAAAAATAAAGTGGTTTTGAATTTATATCACTACAGGCAGCTTCCAACCTAAGAAGCAGTTCAGTACTAAAGGTGTTTATTCTCTAAGCTGTTGTTTGAAACTCAGAATTTATTTTTCCACAGAAACATTATAAGTGATTGAGCTCACAGTTCAGCCATGAAACGTCAATTTAACTATGTGAATGTAAATGACAGATCCATCGTTCTATTTCAAGTTCAAAAACCACCCTTTACAGGATTGTTCTGATGGGAAGACCTATACCAAGTTCCAACTTACAATACCAGGCACATTCTATGTCCATTAATCTTATGCTCCCATTTAAAAATTATCAGCAAAAATGTCCAGGACTTCCTAACAGAATGAGATAGATTTAGGTCTCCGGTCCCCAAACTTTCCAGAAGTTATTCCTTGATACCTGCATAGAATAAATGTTTGGATCAGTCCTTTTTGGGGTGTCTGAATTAGGAGATAAGAGTACTGTCTCCACAGGAAACAGGCTGCAGATTCAGACTTCTTCTATTTGGTGGCTCATGTGCTAAGGCAGATATGTGGTGGAAAGAGCACCTCAGCAAGGTGCAATTGACCTTGCATGCCTCTATAATCCCAGCTACTTGGAGGCTGAGACAAGAGGATCCCTTGAGTCCAGGAATTTGAGATCAGCCTGGACAACATAGCAAGACCCCATCTGAAAAAAAAAAAAAAGAAAGAAAGACAGATCAACGGATTATGAGTCAACAAACTTGAATTTGAATCTTGACCATCACTATGTAACCCTGGATAGGTGACATTACATGTCTGGGCCTTAGTTTTCATTTATCAATATTTTTAAAATGAGAAATAAATAAGATGTCAAATTTCTGAGAAGAGAACTTACAGCTTTCAAGAGAATTTCAAAGAAATGTATCACCATCATCACCACCCCAAAATTAAGAACCACCAAACAAAATGATCTGCTGAGTCCTTTTAGCCCTAGCATTTTAAGTGCCAAGTTTAGTGCCGTTTCTCAGTTAGAAACTGTCTATTCATGATTTATGCACTGAGTATTGCAGTCCTCCAAACACTTGGTAACATCCTCCACACTAGTTAAACAATAAGCAGAATAGCGAATAAAGGTTTTATAAACTTTCTACATGATTTCTCATTCTCTGAAACTCTTTCCTCTTGCTGTAATAAAAGATCTGTCATCCCCAAATCCTCAATTTTCAGACTGAGAGTCTACATAGATTGAACTAATTGTATAATTTCTACTTTGTGTGGGAGACTTTTTTCTTTTTCGTATCCTCAATCAATTCACCCTTCTGCTTCAATTTACTTGACATATTCCTTGTTCCTAAGTGTTCCGGAACAAAGACAGAAGTTGAAATCTAAGGTCAATCTCATAACTTAGAATGTTTTCTCTTTCAGGAAAAGGAGCGTTGAATTGTTTATCCTGTGTGTGGAGTTACCACCTCATGGGAGGGATCTGCACCTCGGACTGTCTTGTGGGGGAATACAGAGTGGGAGAGGTATGGAGGGCTGGGGGTCCTGGGCCTTCTGCTCTTTCTAGAGGGAAACATGAGCTTACTTCCTGCATGTCATTCTGGGCAATCAAAATGTCCCAAAATTCTCATACTATAGAAATAGTGTATGTTTAGTATTTTAAAACCTTCTACCGTTGCATCATGGAATAATGGTGCTACCCACCTGTAGCCTTAGCTTTACTCAAAAGGAACTGAGAAGATCTAAGATAATGGGGAAGTTAAGTCGTGAGGGCCTCGGAATGAATTCTACATTTGTTATTCATCACCATAGAAGTTTCAGTCAACATAAGAATACTATGTCAGAATACAAACTACCTTCTCTCTTACTTCTGTCTGGTCTAAGCAGAAATGTGTGAGTAACATAGGAACCACACAGCTAATGTTGGTCTTTTGCTTCCTTTACCACTTTACAGTGTATTAAGAAGAATTCATTTGCAGTGTTACAGCTCTTTAGAATTTCTGGTTTCTACCAGAAACCGCCCCCCCCTGCAATGTGAAAGAAAGGAAAGAAAGAAAGAAAGAAAGAAAGAAAGAAAGAAAGAAAGAAAGAAAGAAAGAAAGAAAGAAAGAAAGAAAGAAAGAAAGAAAGGAAGGAAAGAAAGAGAAAGAAGAGAGAGAGAGAAGGAAGGGAAGGGAGGAAGGAGAGAGAGAAAGAAAGAGAAGAAAGAAAAAGAAAGAGAAAGAAAGAGAGAGAAAGAAGAAAGAAAGAGAGAGAGAAAGAAAGAAAGAAAGAAAGAGGTAGGGAGGGAGGAAGGAAGGAGATTCATTTGCCATGGATTTTCTGAAACCATGAATTTTTTTTTTTTTTCTTTGAGACAGGGTCTCACTCTGTCACCCAGGCTGGAGTGCAGTGGCGCAATTACAGCTCATTGCAGCTTTGACCTCCTGGGCTCAGGTGATCCTCCCACCTCAGCCTCCTGAATAGCTGGGACTACCATGTCACTGGTCTACACCACTTACCCAAAGTTAGCCTTTGGGTTGGGGGTTCCCTCGCTATTGTCACTTCTGTGGTCACCAGAAAGATGCTACTGGAAAGGGGTCCCAGTCCAGACCCCAAAAGAGGGTTCTTGGATCTCACACAAGAAAGAATTCAGGGCAAATCCATAGAGTAAAGTGAAAACAAGTTTATTAAGAAAGTAGAGGGATAAAAGGATGGCTACTGCATAGACAGAGCAGCTGTGAGGGCTGCTGCTTGCCCATCTTTATGGTTATTTCTTAATGATACGCTAAACAAAGGATGGATTATTCATGACTTCCCTTTTTAGACCATATAGGGTAACTTCCTGATGTTGCCATGGCATTTGTAAACTGCCACGGCGCTGGTGGGAGTGTAGCAGTGAGAACCATCAGAGGTCACTCTCATTGCCATCTTGGTTTAGGTGGGTTTTGGCTGGCTCTTTACTGCAAGCTGTTTTATCAGCAAGGCCTTTATGATCTGTATCTTGTGCCAACCTCCTATCTCATCCTATAACTTAGAATGCCTAACCATCTAGGAATGTAGCTCAGTAAGTTTCAGCCTTATTTTACCCAGCCCCTATTCAAGATGAAGTTGCTGTGGTTGAAATGCTTCTGACCACGATGCCCAGCTAATTTTTTGTATTTTTAGTAGAGATGGGGTCTCACCATGTTGCCCAGGCTGGTCTCAAACTCCTGGGCTCAAGCCATCCACCCACCTCAGCCTCCCAAAGTGCTAGGATTACAGGTGTGAGCCACTGCGCCCGGCAAGACCACAAATTTCTTGATTATGTTTTCGAACTTTAGATAATAAGTAAATCTCCCCATGATGAAATTAACACAAACTAACATATTTACATATGAGCACTCTTTAAATTCTGGCAACAGCCGTCATTACAGTTTAGAGAAACTGAGGCTCAAAGAGGTTAAACAATTTGTTAAAGATTACAGCCTGGGCAACATGGTGAAACCCCATCTCTACAAAAAATACAAAAAAAAAAAATAGCTGGACATGGTGGCACATGCCTGTAGTCCCAGCTACTTGTGGGGCTGAAGCAGAAGGATCACTTGAATCCGATCACACCAGTGCACTCCAGTGTGGGCAAAAAAGTAAGCCCGTCTCAAAAAAAAAAATTATATGAGTGCTAAGTAACAAAGCTGGGATTAAACCTGAAGGATGAGATAATATGTGAGATGCAGGATTCAATGAGATAATAACAGCTGAGAAAGCACCTTGTCTGTGCCTGAAACATGCCAAGGTGCTCAACAAAAGCAATTTCCATTCCTTCTTCTTTTTCTGTCATACCATACTTCCAAAGTTACAGAAGTAAAATAGGAAAGCATCTTCCCTAACCCACATTTCCAGCACCAGTCAAGGAGCAACTTGTCGGGAGGGAAGCCACTTTCTTCTCATCTCTCCACTCTCTTCCCAAAGAGATTTAACTACTTGAGCTACACAGCCACAACCTATATTATTCTGCGGGCAGACCACAATAATCCAGTAACCACAGAGGCCAAGCAGGTCACTAACATAAATGCTGGGTCAAAGAAAACCACAGTGTAAGCTTGATGCTTGAAGGAAAGTGGAAATTGATGTATCACCTACATGTTGGTGACATAATAGCAAGTGCTGGGGATTATGTCAAATAGAAGAGTGGAAAGAGGGGTCATCGCCACGTGGGAGTGATGAATCCAGTGTTGACAGGTCTTCTAGTTTCTAAAGAGAAATTAGGAACAAATTTACATGTGAAATATCCCACTTTTGAGATGCGGGAAATGAATGCAAAATATTTTAAACTGAAAGTCAACAGTGTGGGCCAGACAAAACTAGTCCTTGACCTGAGCTGTCCTTGAGCACAGGAGCTGTCAGCTCCTAACCCAAACTGTTCTAGACGTCTGCTCTCCCACTGTTATTAGCAGATCTCAAAGGACAGGGCCCAGCCGTGATTCCACCCCATCACAGACAGTTGGTTCTTTCACCCAACACAGTTAAAATGGGCTTAGAACACACCATCCTTCTGCTGTCCCCCACACATCTCCCTCCTTATGAAGACAAGATGAGATACAATCTGGGAACTCCAGTGCCTTGTTAATCCCTTTACACTCAAAAGGAACCTCTTGATTGCTCTTAACAGGGAGAGAAGTTTAACTGTGAAAAATGCCACGAGAGCTGCATGGAATGCAAGGGACCAGGGGCCAAGAACTGCACCTTGTGCCCTGCCAACCTGGTGCTGCACATGGACGACAGCCACTGCCTCCACTGCTGCAACACCTCTGATCCCCCCAGTGCCCAGGAGTGCTGTGACTGCCAGGACACCACGGGTGAGGGAAGAGCAAGAGCAGCCTGCAGAGGAAGGGCATGTCCTCAAGAAGCCAATGGGAGCAGAGGGAGGGGGGGATGGAAAGTTCAGGAGAATCAATATGGCTACCTTTTTATTGAGTGCCTACTATGGGCCTACTGTACTTGAAACTTCATGACCATTGTCTCACTTCACAAGTAGGGATTATCAGTCCCATTTTACAGATGAGGAGACTGAGGCTCAAAGAGTTGGATTCGCATGCCAAGTCCATACCAATATTAAAAGTTTCATCTGGGGACTAGGCGTGGTGGCTCACGCCTGTAAATAATCCCAGCACTTTGGGAGGGTGAGGCAGACAGATGGCTTGAGTCTAGGAGCTTGAGACCAGCCTGAGCAACATGGCAAATCCCTCTCTACTAAAAATAAAAAATTAGCTGGGCGTGGTGGTGCATACCTGTAATCCCAGCTACCAGGAAGGCTGAGGTGAGAGGATCTCTTGAGCCCAGGAGGCAAAGATTGCAGTGAGCTGAGATCGCACCACTGCACTTCAGCCTGGGTGACAGAGCAAGATGCTGTCTAAATTTTTTTTTAAAAAATGGTTCATCTGGAATTAGATTTTCTGCTTGCCTCCAAGACTAGAACTCAAGTAGAGCTAGCATTTTATCTTTATGAATTTACTTTGTTCCTTTTTTTATTCTTCCCTCTTGGGAAAAAAAGAAAAGAACTAACTATCAAGGAAGCTGATGTCAATATTATCCTGATTCTGTTGAAGAATCATTCTATGAAAGTCAGCCCAAACCTAGGCCTCTCAGAGACTTATGACATTTTAGAAATGAATTTTTATTGAAGGCTAAGAAGTAAAACCCCCTTTACCAATTTCCAGTCCCTCAGCTATCCTCACGTCTAACCCCATCCATGTGGGTACTTGGTTCTCATTGGTCACAAACTTAGAAAGATCTCAAACTGACTGATTCCTTCTAAAAAAAGAAACATGGCCGGGCGCGGTGGCTCACGCCTGTAATCTCAGCACTTTGCGGAGCCAAGGAGGGCGGATCACAAGGTCAGGAGATCGAGAACGTCCTGGCTAACATAGTGAAACCCTGTCTCTACTAAAAATACAAAAAAATTAGCCAGGCGTGGTGGCGGGCGCCTGTAGTCCCAGCTACTCAGGAGGCTGAGGCAAGAGAATGGCGTGAACCCGGGAGGCAGAGCTCGCAGTGAGCCAAGATCGTGCCACTGCACTCCAGCCTGGGTGACAGAGCGAGACTCCGTCTCAAAAAAAGAAAAGAAAAGAAAAAAAAAGAAACATATATTCTTAAAATATACTCTCTAGTCCAGAAGTAGATAATTTCCTTGGGGTTCAGAAGTGACATTCACTGACAAAAAGCGATGCCATATTTGTGAGTTGGTCTATTTGTAAGTAAAGAAAATCCCAGACCCATAACTGCTACCAGCCATTTCTTTTTTATTTTTGATTAGCATTTTCTTTCTTTCTTTCTTTCTTTTTCTTTTTCTTTTTTTGTTTTGACAGAGTGTGGCTCTGTCACCCAGGCTGGAGTGCAATGGCACAATCTCGGCTCACGGCAACCTCTGTCTCCTGGGTTCAAGCTATTCTTCTACCTCAGCCTCCAGAGTAGCTTGGATTACAGGTGCCCACCACCACACCCGGCTAATTTTTGTATTTTTAGTACAGAAGGGGTTTCACCATGTTGGCCAGACTGGTCTTGACCTCCTGACCTCAGGTGATCTGCCCACCTCAACCTCCCAAAGTGCTGAGATTATAGGCGTGAGCTACCGCGCCTGGCTTGATCAGCATTTTCAATTGGGTTTTAAGTATCATCTTTCCAAAAACGTTTTCCTTCTTTCAGCTTTCCCACCCCCACGAGCAGCTGGTTTTCCCTGTTCTTCATACACACCTACATTCAGGGTCTGATTGCCTAATATCCATTCTGTGTCAGCTAAGAATAATAACTCTCACAACATTAATGCCTTTAAATGAAACCAGAAGTTTGTGCATGTTGCATGCAGAGTTTCTGAAAGACTGTTCCAACTAAGAACTATCTCGTCAGCTTTCCTGGTCCCCCTGCAGCTCTTGAAGAGCCACCTGCAGCAATCTGCGAAAGTATAAATGCTCTTGATTACCTGATCCTTCTTTACAGAGACACTCTGCCCCTTCAAAGAAACCATATCACAAAGGCTAACCCTGACTCTGCAGACCTGGGATGGAGAATAGTAAGCAAGGCATGACTGCATATGGCACCCTAGTAATTCAAACAACCTCAAAAGGTTTTCATATTGATTCTACTGCTTCAGGCAGTATTTATCTCACAGTACCACACACAGATTGCTTATCAATCTCTCCAATGCTTTAATGTTTTCTCCAGGGAAAAATTCTATGCTGAACTTGCTAATGATTAATGTAATAATGATAGGGCTGTTACTTTAGAAGAAGAAACTCGGCTTGATAGGTAAAATCCCATGAGAATGAAAATTATGATAAAATAGAAAACTTCTTTCTCACTAGCAAAAAAGAAAGAGAAATACATAGTCATGATGTATCAGATCTAATTGATCAATATTTAATAAGCAAAAAGCATTGCACCTTGGCAGCAGTGTTATATTCATTTATCTAGAATGAATATACCTAGAATGTACCTGTGTAGGATGTACCTAGAATTGCTCATGAAATTATCCCTTGAACACGAGAGATCCAAGAAGTTCAACAAATATTTATGAAAAACCTACCGTGTAACTCAGCTTGTACATCCAACATGGCCTCATGGCCTGATAGTTTTTTCTCTGGTTCTTTCATACTCCCATGTGGTGGGTTAAAGAATAGAAAAAAAATAGACATATTACCCAAATCATACCACCTGGAAAAATGAATAAGAAGTAAGAAAAATGAGCTCATCCTCATCACTAAAGTTACAGTTGAATCTTTCCTTCCATGAAACTGTTTTGGTTACTCCATATTCTCAATCAAGGCATCAAAACAGAGGCTGATGGATGACAGGGGTTGGAACTCCGGATTTCAAAACTCTTAATAATGGCTGGATGTGGTGGCTCATGCCCCAGAACTTTGGGAGGCCGAGGGTGATCACCTGAGGTCAGGAATTCAAGACCAGCCTGGCCAACATGGTGAAACCCCATCTCTACTAAAAATACAAAAATCAGCCAGGCATGGTGGTGTGCACCTGTAGTCCTAGCTACACAGGAGGCTAAGGCATGAGAATTGCTTGAGCTTGGGAGACAGAGGCTGCAGTGAGCCGAGCTATTGTGCTACTGCACTCCAGCCTGGGTGACAGAGCGAGACTCCATCTCAAAAAAAAAAACTCTTAATAATGATAGAAAAAAATTCCCTATCATTCAAGTTGATAGGATTTAAAGATAGTACTTCTTTTTCTGCCAGGCTAGGAGCATAAAACTCCAAGAAGCCAAAGAACTGTTGTCAGAGCCTTTTGTCCTAATGTCTTTAGACTGTAGCATGGAGCTAGGATTCCTGGATTTGAATTCTGATTGCTCCACAAATAAGGTCTTGTCTCTGACAATGTGACAATTCACTTCCTCTCGATGGACTTTAGTTTCCTCAAATGTCAAACAACAAATTGGCCTAAGTAATTTCTAAGGCCCCACATGGCTCTCAGAGTCAGTAGTTTTATAAATTATCTGCTCTTGCCCTTAAGTGGTGGGACAGTCATGTTGGCCCAGACTTAAGGGTACCTTGGGAGAGGACTCAGTCTTAGAAAAGAAGTTGGAATTGGGAAAGAAAATAGAGCATTTAGCAATAACTAAAGCTTAGTCCAAGATGAAGTATTTTCTTAGGAGGGAAATAGAAGAATCAGTTGATAATGTTGGACACCTGGTGACTGACCTACGAGGTATGGGGATAAGGGAACTCCCTTTGGATGGCAAACTGACCTTCTTTCTAGAAGGATTTATTGGCTTCATCAGACATAGGCTAGGATTCTCACGGGGTACATACTCCAATTTTATACAGTGGTATGCCTTCTAGGAAAATCAGAGACAGGCCGGGTGCGGTGGCTCACGTCTGTAATCCCAGCACTCTGGGAGACCAAGGTGGGAGGATCTCTTGAGCCCAAGAGTTTGAGACCAGCCAGGGCAACATAGTGAGATGCTGTCTCTACAAAAAAATTAAAATTAAAATTAAAAACAGAGGAAAATCAGAGACAGTGATTCTACCATTTTCAATTTTTAAAATAAAGGTGAAATTCTTTACCTCAGAAACTAATTTTCTCTATTCTATTTCTTTCACTTTTTCCCTCTTGCCTCTTCCTTTGAGGTCTTCTTCCAACAGACGAATGCATCCTTCGAACAAGCAAGGTTAGGCCTGCAACTGAGCATTTCAAGACAGCTCTGTTCATCACCTCCTCCATGATGCTGGTGCTTCTGCTCGGGGCAGCTGTGGTAGTGTGGAAGAAATCTCGTGGCCGAGTCCAGCCAGCAGCAAAGGCCGGCTATGAAAAACTGGCCGACCCCAACAAGTCTTACTCCTCCTATAAGAGCAGCTATAGAGAGAGCACCAGCTTTGAAGAGGATCAGGTGATTGAGTACAGGGATCGGGACTATGATGAGGATGATGATGATGACATCGTCTACATGGGCCAGGATGGCACAGTCTACCGGAAATTTAAATATGGGCTGCTGGATGACGATGACATAGATGAGCTGGAATATGATGACGAGAGTTACTCCTACTACCAGTAAACAGGCACTCCCCCACCAACACCACCATTCCACTCTCAGGCATGCCTGTGAGCATCACTGTTTTTGGTTTTATCCCCACACCAGGCTGATGTGTGAGTTTTTCTATTTGTCTTCTTTAACCATGAGTCCAACCAGAATATGTAAGAATGATGAAATACTTTGTTCTTCTTTTGAGTGGCTAAACTCAATTAACAGTTCCTGTTCAACCGTAATTGAAGAGCAAGGATAAAATTCAGAGGCATTTTCCTCAAAATAATGTGTTAAGACACAAAAATGAAGGAAGTGAAAACAAATGAGATTTGTACAAACTCTTCTATGTGATTTTAAAAAAAGGACAGCAGATCTATAGAAATTCTGTTTCCGAGCTGCATTGTGGAGGTGTCTGCTGCCTCCTGGTATTCTAATTTTTCTTTATCTAATTTTGGGGATAATGGAGGTACAAAGGAGTTGTTGGTTTGGTGGTGTTTTTCTTCCCTTTAGCTGTCTTTAGGCAGAAATTTGTTTTGTAAGGGCCAAGAAAAGAGGGCTCTTATCAATTGACTCCAGGCCACCCCTGGTGAGCAGAAGAGACCACCTGGGCTGGGCTGCTCAGGACCTACTTGAGATAAGGGAAGAAAAGAGAAGGTGCATCATAGCTGAGGAGCCATGAGGTCACCCCAGGCCCTAGTTCCTCCGCAGGAATCCAGAGTCACAACAATTCTAAAGGCAGAGCAAGCCCAGCGAGAAAGAAATAACTGAATTTCCAGGAACTGCACTCTCATGATTTTCTGGGTACTTTTCGCCTGGGAGACATCAGCTAAGACATCGAATAATAAAAGAAAAATGGCAGTGTTAACCTAACATAAAATGGAATAAAATGACAAACACTTCATCCGCTCTAAAAAATTCAGAGCTTTCCTTCATCAACAACCCATCACAAAACCGTGGACTCTCAATAGAAAGAGTTGGAATAGAGTCTAACATGGAAAAAAAAAAATCCCAATATGCTGCTCACAAGCTGTACTCTAGCTGCTGACCAGCCTTCCAGCACTGCTCATCACTATGATTTTTGTTTCTAGACTTCCTAGGCTTCCTTTTTTCCATTCTTCTGTCAAGTGTATTCTTGGATTCATGCAACTGAGGACAGTTTTTGTCCAGATTGTAACACAGAGAAGGGCTCTTGCTATGCAAAATGATGTTGGCAGGGTCTTACAGATTTCCTTGTCAAAATAGACCTTACAGGCAGTACTAGAAATGGAGCACCAGAAAGCAAAAATGACATTTTCAGAGAATGATGATAATTATAATCTATTGCACACCTACTACCAGATAACAAGCTAAGTAATTCCCCCCCAAAAATGCCCCACTTATCCATTTTGGTACTTACCATACTCCCATGAGGTTGGTATTGCTATTATTCTGTTCTTGTAGGAAACCTGAGGCTTACAAGAGGTTAGGTAACTAGTCCAAGGTCATGCAAAGCTCAACAAAATTCAAGAAAAAAGAATGATCACCCTAAAGCGTGTGTTCTTATAACTATGCTACTGAAATAAGGTGGGAAAATAAGCATCCTAAATATAATTAAAGTCATGCCTATTGTTTTAGTCTATAATATCAATGTTATCTTTACTAAATTCATGGATTTTCTTTTTTTAACATAATGTATCACTGACACAGAAAATCTTTATGAAGAAGTCTTCAGTTTACTAAAGGCTTGTGCTTCTTTAGAGGAAAGCTCTTAAAACAGGGTTGACAAACAGTCTCTGGAAAGAGCCAGCTAGTAAGTACATTAGGCTTTCTTGGCCAGAAAGTCTCTGTCATAACCACTCAGCTCTGCTATTATAGCATGAATGCAGCTGGTACATAACGGATGGGTGAGCTGTGCTTCAATAAAACCTTATTTATGGACACTGACATTTGAAATTCAGGTAATTTTCACATATTATAAAATTTTATTCTTCTTTTGATTTTTTTCAACCTTTTAAAATTTAAAAATGCAAAAGCTATTCTCAGTTCACAGCATTACAAGAACAGGTGGTGGGTCAGATTTGGCCAACAGGCTGTACTTTGCTGACTTTATCTTTAAAACAGTTTTCAGAGATCATACATGTACATGTATGATATGCCTCCAAAAATTTTGATCATTTAAAATTATCTCCTTGGCCAGGCGTGGTGGCTCATACCTCTAATCCTAGCACTTTGGGAGACTGAGGCAGGCAGATCACCTGAAGTCAGGAGTTTGATACCAGCTTAGCCAACATGGTGAAACCCCATTTCTACTAAAAATACAATAAAAATCTGGGCATGTTGGTGCACACCTGTAATCCCAGCTACTCAGGAGGCTGAGGCAGGCAAATCACTTGAGCCCGGGAGGCAGAGGTTGCAGTGAGCGGAGATGGCACCATTGCACTCCAGCCTGGGTGACAGAGCAAGACTCCATCTCAAAAAATAAGTAACTAACTAACTAACTAAATAAATAAATAAATAAAATTATCTCCTTGCCAGGACTGCTGGCTCATGCCTGTAATCCCAGCACTCTGGGAGGCTAAGGCAGGAGGATTGCTGACCCACCACCTGTTCTTGAGCCCAGGAGTTCGACATCAGCCTTGGACAACATAGTGAGACTCCCGTGTCTACAAAAAATTTAAAAATTAGCCAGGCATGGTGGCAAGTGTCTGTAGTCTCAGCTACTCAGGAGGCTAAGGTGGAAGGATCACTTGAACCCGGGAGGTCGAGGCTGCAGTGAGCTGTGATCTTGCTATTGCACTTCAGCCTGAATGACAGAGCTAAGACCCTGACTCAAAATAAATAAATAACATTATCTCTTCAAAATGTATCTGAAGCCCTGATAGTTCTACTTTCAATTCTTAGAAACATATAAAAATATATGCATGATAGCCATCATATCAATGGAAGACTTTCTCACCTCTGTGGTTGCAGTTAGCTTACAAAAACGAGCAATTTTGCTTATACTGTGTTGTTCATCTTCCTTGTTAATTCTAAAGCTCTGATAGACTGAGTTTGACATTTCTTTCTGTAAACTGGAAATTGTTTTCTATGAAAAAAAAACTCTATGATACACAGTTAAAGATTGGTTGAGGTTGAGATGAACTTCAATACTAAGAAAAATTGTGGTGTTCCTCTGTGTGGCCTGCAATGAAAAGAAGGCTCATGCTTGTGTATTGAGGTTTGACATCTTTCCTTCTTTGTTTTTAGTCATGCAACGTCATTCTTAGATGGCTTTTGAATACTATGCTAATGACTATCTAAATAGATAAATATGTGATTGGAAAACAAAGTCACCTTTTAGTTTTCTACTTGGAAATATTAAGAGAATCCTTGTAGACTGGAAACACACCAAAAGGCTGGGTAAAGCATGGGAGGTTCCAGTTAATAGAAAGTAATTTTAAAATTGGAAATAAAATTAAATCAAGACCAGATAATGCTATGGAGACTTACTTATTAAATAACTTTCTGAGCATTTTTATGTGCTTAGCATTACATTTTCCAAGTAAGAGATACACAACAAGAGTGCTATTTTTTCTTCTTTTTATCTTCCTACACTCAAAGACCAAGCTAGCTTTATCAATTCTGAATTTTCTCTCCTAAAAATCAGCTCAATCTGTCTTTCTGCCTCATCAGCACTGCCTCAATCTAAGGGAGGAAACCACCCCTCATATTGTCTTATGCCCAATTTCTGCCTCCAAAGAAAGAAGAAGTAAAAACTAAAAGGCAAAAATGAAATCCACAGGCAGACAGCCCGGCGCTACGCCCTGGGCCTGGCAGTTAAAGATCGACCTCTGACCTAACCGGTTATGTTATCTATAGATTCCAGACATTGTATGGAAGAGCATTGTAAAAATCCCTGTCCTGTGCTGTTTCGTTCTGATTACTGGTGCATGCAGTCCCCAGTCACGTACCCCCTGCTTGCTCAATCGATCATGACCCTCTCACGTGGACCCCCTTAGAGTTGTGAGCCCTTAAAAGGGACAGGAATTGCTCACTCGGGGAGCTCGGCTCTTGAGACAGGAGTCTTGCCGATGCTCCTGGCCGAATAAACTGCTCCTTCTTTAACTCGGTGTCTGAGGAGTTTTGTCTGCGGCTCATCCTGCTATAAATCAGGCCCTCGGTGTTTCTCATCTAGACCACTCATACTTCTTCCTGAAGTATTGTGCAGCTTTAATCTCCTTTTCTTTCTCTCCTGGCGTATTTTCTACCCTGCTATCAAAGGTCATTTCTAAGGTTCCTCAGATAATCCCATTCCGGGGTCCCCGTCACCTACAGTGTTTATGACATTCAAAACTTTGTTACATATGGCCACTGGCTCTGTCTCTGGACTTAGCACCCTCAATTTCCTGGCCCCCTCCTTATTTCCCAGCTTCTCCATTATGCTCCAACAGTACTGAATTGCTTCTAGGCTCTCCAGGATAATATACTGCTATCTCATGCCCTTGGGCACATACTGTTTACTCTCCTTGGAATATTCTTCTCCCACCTTAACCAGCTGGAAAATTCCTGACCTTCCTTGAAAAGTCACATGTCCTTATAACCTCCCCTAGGAAGTCTTCCCTAATTTTTGAGAAAGATAATCACTTTCTCCCATCTCTGCTACCTAGATACTCTGTGCATATAGCTTTTCATATCACCTTGTGATGTAATCGTTAGATTACAAAGCTGTATCCACCGAAAGACTAGGTACTCCTAGAGGCAGCTACTGTTTCTTTTCTAGAACCCAGCACAGTGCCCAGCAATTGTTTAACAATCAAGGATGACTGGTAGAATTGAATTTTAAGAAGACAAGACTCAAAGATATGGAGAAATGATCTAGGCCATATGTTGTATATGCAGTGCACTCCTGTTTAATCCTGACAGTAAATGGTAAGGAGGGGAGGAGGTGGTGCCAGTTACCCATGAAATAGCTACAAATTAGAGCATACAGATGTGGCTTCATGGGAAGATTTGTGCTTAGACTTAATTTGAAAAAGAGGATGGAGGCAGGATTCTTTGAAGAAGGCACTGGAGTTTACCTGACTTTTATGATAATAATTATAACAATCAATTACCAAGTATTTGTTAAGTGTCTAGCATGTGCCCAGCACTATTCTAGTTACTGGAAAAACAGCAACTGGGATCCATCAGATTTGAGTCCTCATGGAACTTTCAATCTAGTTGATACAGGAGCCAGAAAGAAATTATTTAGGCAGATAGTAAGGGTGAGAGAGTCCTCGATAAGATTTCCTTTTAATAAAAAGCAGCCCAAAAAATCATGGTGCAGGCATAGATAAGCAAGCTAAAAGCCTCCATAGGTAAATGCCAGCAGCTGTGCCAATAGAAAAGGGATACCTGGAAGGCAGGTGTATTCAACATGGAGGTTATCTTTTTCCTTTTCTTCATCACCACATGTGCAGTAAAAAAGCAGACAACATGGCACTGGCCAGGTAGAGACCCCATCTTCATAATAAAAGATTAGGATGGGATAGCTATCTTCTTTGCATACTATGCAAATGGTACACCTGGTCCAACCAACCTCTCAGGCCCTATGTAAATCAGACACCACCTCCTCCAGCTCCTCTATAAAATCCTGTGCATTTCACCATGAAACTGGAAGACCCACTTGGGCACCCGGAGAGAGCTATTCTCTTTTCTCTTTCCTCTGTTAAACCTCTGCTCTTAAACTCACTTCTTATGTGTCCGCATCCCCGATTTCCCTGGCATGAGATGACGAACCTCAGGTATTTACCTCAGACAATGATGCTGCTTTATAGTTAGGCAGAAAAAAGTACTGTAACTACCATTTTTAATGACATCTATGGGCCAGGCATAGTCTTTGGCACTTCACTCGTATGATGATCTTATTGACTCCTTACAACACAAATGCTATAAGGTGAGTAATCCCTTATAGCATTTTCTTTTTCAAATTAAGTCCAAGCACAAATCTTCCCATGAAGCCACATCTGTATGCTCTAATTTGTAGCTATTTCATGGGTAACTGGCACCACCTCCTCCCCTCCTTACCATTTACTGTCAGGATTAAACAGGAGTGCACTGCATATACAACATACGGCTTAGATCATTTCTC
The DNA here is from genome assembly GCF_000001405.40 of Homo sapiens. Lineage (NCBI taxonomy): Eukaryota > Metazoa > Chordata > Mammalia > Primates > Hominidae > Homo > Homo sapiens. The sequence continues at coordinate 76,364,981 of NC_000009.12, forward strand.
CATATCTTTGAGTCTTGTCTTCTTAAAATTCAATTCTACCAGTCATATAATCCCTCTTCACAAATGAGGAAGGGAGGCTCAGTGATGATACTCAAAATGCTGTAAGTCAAAGTGTCTGCAAATGATCAAACTGGGATTTGAATCTAGGACTCTCTGATTCATGTTTTTTCTGCTCTACCACTTGGCTGTTATGCAAAGAATTAGCCCAGCCTTTGTCTGTAATCTCTGAACCCTATTTTGGGATTAGTTTGAGCTGGGTGGAATTTACTATAATGGTGAGTCACCACAAGGCAATGCCAATGAGGTCCTAAAGGAAGCCTGCAGTTCAGGTGCACAATCTCATCCAGAGGCACAGAGATGAGGATCGGTAAAGAAAGAAACAAATTTAGGTGACTGTAAATATTAACCCTATGTAACTATGTTTCAACCCACTAAAAAATATTCATGAGAGGTTCTACCCCATAAAAGAAAAAATACCTGAAGAATTATGAATTTCCAAATGTGGATTCAGAGGTGGCATCAACTGGAGGTAAAATATTTAGAAAAACTGAAGGTAAAGACTTTAGGTGCTTAATACATACTTCTGACATTAGATCTCTCAAGATCTGTTCAGAGTTAACAAGGTTTGCTTTAGAATTCACAAAAAAAGAAACTGCTCCGTGTACTACCCAAGTGAGGAACCAAGTTTAGATGCCATTAATTGAAATACATAGTGGCCTTCATTTTACACTGTCATATAAGAAGTACAGGCTGGGAACGGTGGCTCACGCTTGTAATCCTAGCACTTTGGGAGGCCAAGGCTGGTGGATCACCTGAGGTCAGGAGTTCAAGACCAGCCTGGCCAACGTGGCAAAACCCTGTCTCTCCTAAAAATACTAAAATTAGCCAGATGTGGTGGTGGGTGCCTATAATCCCAGCTACTCGGGAGGCTGAGGCAGGAGAATCACTTGAACCCAGGGGGCGGAGGTTGCAGTGAGCTGAGATTGCACCACTTCACTCCAGCCTGGGCGAAAGAGCAAAACTCTGTCTCCAAAAAAAAAAAAAAAAAGAAATACAGATAAGACTTTCAAAAAAGAAATAGAATTTCTATCAATGCATGTTTGGCCTATATAGACTTTAGATCTAACTTGATCACCACACATTAACTAGCTGTAATTCAGCAAGGCACTCTGAGAATGAATAAACAAGATTAAAATTTGAGGTTATATTTTGGGGTTTTAAAGCCACTAATGCCACCTTGTATTATTCTCAAACATAGAAAAAAAAAAAAGTCATGAAGGTGAAGAAAGTTAATGACCAGATGTTTTGTTCATCTCTGTGGTTCTAGTGCCCAGCACACTACATGGTACAAGGCAAATATTTGCTGAGTGATTACAGACATGAAAATGCTTGTATATGTGTGCCTTCTAAGAGTAGAAGCCATGGAACTGGGTTCCATGGCCAAACTTAGCTGTAAGGAAGGCTGGAAAGCAATTATGTGATAAAGGGTAATGAGATTACCATGATGCACTTAGAAGAATCATGACTCATCTTCTGGGGCTTTGCAGCTCTAAATAAAAATCGATTTTCATTATCACGGAAGAGGAAGGTAGGGCAGGGTAGCTGTTAGGTTACCAGCAGCTAAGAATACCTATCCTATCCGCAAGACCCCGTTTCTATTTTTTTGAATCTTTTTTAATTAAAAAAAAAGAATATCACTCTAACAAAAGTGTTTACTGAGAACTGATCCCAGCCTGCAAGGGAAATTATATAAGGCTTATTAGATGAAGCAAACATCTGTTTGTGAAAGAGAGGATTATAATATAAGATCAGAACACGATTGAGGATGGAGAATTCCCATCCCTCTGACTAAGTTATTGTTACCAAGTGAAGCCACTTTGGGGGCTAGCAGTGTAATTCTGGACCTGGTGCAGACGTTGCTGTGTCATTTAAAGTGATTTTAATGTAAATGATAGAAAATTCAACCCAACTGACTTAAATACAAAAAAAATGTATTGGCTTAATTAAAAAGTGTAAAGGGCCCGGCATGGTGGCTCACCCTGTAATCCCAGCACTTTGGGAGGCCCAGGTGGGAGGACTGCTTGAGCCCAGGAGTTTGAGGTCAGCCTGGGCAACATGGCCGAAACCCCATCTCTACAAAAAATACAAAAATTAGCCAGTATGGTGGCACACATCTGTAATCCCAGCTACTCGGGAGGCTGAGGTGGGGGGATTGCTTGAGCCCAGGGGGTTGAGACTGCAGTGAGCCATGATCACACCACTACATTCCAGCCTGCACGACAGAGCGAGACCCTGTCTCAAAACAAAAACAAAAACAACTGAACATGGTGGCACAGCCTATTGTCCCAGTGACTAGGGAGGCTGAAGCTAGAGGACTGTTTGAACCCAAGAGTTTGAGGCTTCAGTGAACTATGATTGCACCACTTAACTCCAGCCTGGAGGACAGAGTGAAGCCCTGTCTCTTACTGAAAAAAAAAAAAAAAAAAAAGTGTAGGGTTAGGGGTGGGACCAGGTACTGCTGGAAATGAACAAGCCATGACCGCAGTACCGGTTTGTCTCCATCTCTCTCTCCTGCCTTTTGCTATGTTGGCTCCACTCTCACTGGAGTCTCCCTAAACACTGGCAAGATGGCTGCCGCCAGTGCCCGAGTTTGCATTCTCTTTGGTCCACATCCAATAGGAAAAAGGCCTTAGCTCTGATCCAAGTCTCTGAAAAGCTTTCCTGATATCTCATTGGCTTAGAAAAGGCATTTGCCTGTTTCTATGGTGTAAGTACTCTCATCATGGCCAAATTCAAGCTTCAACTGCCATACCACTTAATACAGAGTGAGAAAGAAATTGAAAAAAGCAAACCATCATATAGTATTTCTGCCATACAAATGCATTAGATGTAAATAATCTCAAGAGCATAGATAATAATAAAATGTAAACTTAAGAAAGATGAGTTGGGGGGGCATTTTTTACCTGTTTTTATATAACTTCTTTTTTTTTTTTTTTTTTTTGAGATGGTGTCTTGCTCTGTCGCCCAGGCTGGAGTGCAGTGGCGCCATCTCGGCTCACTGCAAGCTCCACCTCCCGGGTTCACGCCATTCTCCTGCCTCAGCCTCCCGAGTAGCTGGGACTACAGGCGCCCGCCACCATGCCCGGCTAATTTTTTGTATTTTTAGTAGAGATGGAGTTTCACCATGTTAGCCAGGATGGTCTCAATCTCCTGACCTCGTGATCTGCCCGCCTCGGCCTCCCAAAGTGCTGGGATTACAGGCGTGAGCCACCGCGCCTGGCCACTAATACAACTTCTTTAGTTGAAAGTTTTTGTAACTTAACTTTTAATGATAGCTGTATCTAACAAGTGACCCTCAGGATGGGCACAGTGGTTCACGCCTGTAACCCTCGCATTTTGGGAGGCCGAGGCAGGTGGATCACCTGAGGTCAGGAGTTCGAGACCAGCCTGGCCAACATGGTGGAACCTCGTCTCCACAAAAAATACAAAAATTAGCCAGGCGTGGTGGCGGCCGCCTGTGATCCCAGCTACTCGGGGGGCTGAGGCAGAAGGATTGCTTGAACCTGGGAGGTGGAGGTTGCAGTGAGCTGAGATTGCCCCGTTGCACTCCAGCCTGGGCAACAGAGAGAGACTCCATGTCAAGATAAATAAATAAATAAAATAACAAGTAACTCTCTAGATTCCTGAAAACTTAACAATTGGCTTTTGTAAGGTAAGAGAAGCCAGCTTCAACACACTACTCTTAAAAATATAATAATTTTTCCATAAATCTAGAACATACTACTCTTTTCTAAGTAGAATCTTCTCTGTGATTTTTCTCTCAGTATCAAATCTCTTATCCAGAATTTCCTCTTTTTATCTCATTTATTCCCACACTCCAGTGCTATGAGAAAGCAATATCAAATTTTTAATAATGTCTTAGCAACTCTCCTGCCTCAGCTTCCCAGTAGCTGAGATTACAGGTGCACACCACCGCACCCAGTTGAACTTTGTATTTTTAGTAGAGATGGGGTTTTGCCATGTTGGCCAGGCTGGTCTTGAACTACTGAGCTCAGGTGATCTGCCTGCCTCGGCCTGGGATTACAGGTGTGAGCCACCATACCAGGCCAGCAAACACTGTTTTAATTACAGTACACAATTCTGGAGTTCTGTCCACTACCACCTGCACGAACATGGGCAATTTCATGTTACTTGGTAAAAGAGTAACCCAATGTCTTCATTTTCTTTTTTTTCTTTTCTTTTTTTTGAGATGGAGTTTTGCTCTTGTTGCCCAGGCTGGAGTGCAGTGGCGTGATCTTGGCTCACCACAACCTCCACCTCCCGGGTTCAAGTGATTCTCCTGCCTCAGCCTCACAAGTAGCTGGGACTACAGGCACCTGCCACCACACCTGGCTAATTTTTGTATTTTTAGTAGAGACGGGGTTTCTCCATGTTAGCCAGGCTGGTCTCAAACTCCTGACCTCAGGTGATCCCCCCGCCTCGGCCTCCCAAAGTGCTGGGATTAAGGCGTGAGCCACTGTGCCCGGCCTTATTTCCCATTGCTGCACTTAAAAATCACCACAATTTAGCTACTTTAAACAACACTCATTTGTTATCTCAAAGTCAGAAGACCAGGTGGGCTCCCCTGGGTTTTTGGCTTAGGTCTACTCCAGGGCGAAATCAAGGTGTTAGCCAGGCTGGCCTCTTATTGAAGGCTCCGGAGGTGAGTTGTTTTCCAAGGTATTCAGGCAGCTGGCAGATTGTTTCTGGCAGTTAGAGGACTGAGGTTTCTTTTCTGGCTGTCAGCCAGGGGTCACTTTCTGGTTTTACGCTTGGCTCCCTCCTCTTCAAAGCCTGCAACTGTGCTTAGAATCCTTTTCATAAGCTGAATCTTTCTGACTTTGCTTCCACCACCAGCTGGAGATAACTCTGTGTGATTAGATTAGACCCACCTGGATCATTTCCCTTTGGCTGTAACAGTCACAGGCATGACACTTCATCATATTCAGTCCCGGGTTTTAGGGTGGGGAAGCTTAGGGGCCTACCACAGCAATAAAACTCCTTTGGAAATCAATTTAGCAAAATCAAAAGTCTTTTAAGTGTTTGTTCTATTTGAATTCACCAGTTCCACATTAAAAAATATTATAAGCAGAACCAGAGCTTTCACACACAAAATGTTCATTTTTGTATATAAAACTACTTCATAACATGTTAAAAGTAAGTTTATAAAGACTATACAAAATATGCTATTATAGTTACATATAATAAGCAAGATATAAAAGTTTATTATGTACACAACCATTTCCACTGTATTTTTGCAATTAAAAAAAATAAAGCCCTATGTTGATTATGCTAGCTAAACCGTAGAAAGCAAAGATAAGCAAGACATATGATCTGCCCTCAAAGAGCTTAGTAATTAGGTGGAAAAACATATATGTGTACAAACAGCCACAATATGAGAGAGAATGTGAGCATTGCAATAATTCAGAGGGTGGGGGGAAACAAAACATTGGAACACAAAGAAAGGGAAGGTTAGGAAAAGCTAATTTATTCACATGCAGGCTCTTTTGGAAGAAATGTTGAGAAAAGTGTTTAGGAGAATAAAAGGATCTTCAGAGCTTAGTAACTATAGACGTCAAGTCTCTAACTTGACTTTCCTGTGGTCTATACAATGGCAAGCACTTTTCAAGTGATCTTGAAATCACAGGTCAATTTCAACTCAACATGATAAAGGACTTTAATCCCTGAGCCAACCCAACCTCCTTGAAGTTGGCAGAGGCAAGGCAAAAGTAATAAGTAATGTCATCAATGGACCCTATTTTCTCTTCCCACCTAATTTTCCTTTTCTTGTGATAGTTTTCCGAGGAACCAATGACCCTAAGAAGTGGGAAAGTTCCACCAGCATCCAAAGACATTGGCTCAGTGCCAGCTAAACAAACTATACCCACACTTCGATTTCAATAATTACATCCCATTCTGTTCAAACATAGACTATTCCTAAGTATAAAGCTCTTCTCTTTTTTAAATCTCAGTGGTCTTTCAGCTCAGCTTTGTTTTAAAAAAAATCAAAGAAAAGGCCAGGCAAGGTGGCTCACACCTGTAATCCCAGCACTTTGGGAGGCCAAGGTGGGTGGGTCATTTGAGGTCAGGAGTTCAAGATCAGCCTGGCCAATATGGTGAAACCCCATGTCTACTAAAAATACGAAAATTAGCTGAATGTGGCAGTGCACGCCTGTATTCCCAGCTACTCAGGAGGCTGAGGCATAAGAATCACTTGAACCTGGGAGGTGGAGGTTACAGAGAGCCAAGATTGCACCACTGCACTCCAGCCTGGGTGACAGAAGGAGACTCCATTTCAAAAAAAGAAAAAAAGGAAAAAAAAAATCAAAGTAAAGGCTGGGCACAGTGTCCCACGCCTGTAATCCCAACACTTTGGGAGGCTGAGGTGGGTGGATCACTTGATGTCAGGAGTTCAAGACCAGCTGGGCCAACATGGTGAAACCCCATGTCTACTAAAAATACAAAACTTAATCAGGCGTGGTGATGCACACCTGTAATCCCAGCTACTTAGGTGGCTGAGGCATAAGAATCTCTTGAACCCAGAAACCAGAGGCTGCAGTGAGCTGAGACCTAACCACTGCATTCCAGGCTGGGCGAGGAAGTGAGACTCTGTCTTAAAAAAAAATACATATATACACACACACATACACACACACACACACACACACACACACATATATATACATATATATATATGTGTGTATATATATATATATATATATATATATATATAAAAGAAAAGACTGGGCACAGTGGCTTACGCCTGTAATCCCAGCACTTTGGGAGGCTGCGGTGGGTGGATCACTCGAGGTCAGGAGTTCAAGACCAGCCTGGCTAACATGGTCAAACCCCATGTCTACTAAAAATACAAAACTTAGCTGAGCATGGTGGTGCATGCCTGTAATCCCAGCTACTTGGGTGGCTGAGGCATAAGAATCACTTGAACCTGGAAAGCGGAGGTTGCAGTGAGCTGAGATCATACTGCTGCATTCCAGCCTAGGCAAGGAAGTGAGACTCTGTCTTAAAAACAAAAAGAGATAAACCTCAGTAGGTGATGCCATGATTAGATTTATCATTCCTATACAGTATTTATGTTTATATAGAGGGCTTGGCATAACAGAAACATCATGAGTTTGGGTGGGAGCCAAAGATTCCTAGGATGGAATTTCAGTTCTGACATTTGCTGATGTGGAATCTTGGGCAAGTTACTAAACTTCTGATTCTCTGTTACATGTGGAAAACTTGCATTCCTGACCTCCCAAGGTTGCTGTGAGGAATGAGATCCCACCATCAATACTCCTGGTATGCAGAAGGGGTTCAATAATTGTTAATTTTCCCTCACCCCTCCCATATCATTTTAGTAGCTGTGTAGCTTGTTAATAATCTTCCTTCTGTGAATCTGTTTTGACAGGATTTGTGAAGCAAGATTACATAAGAGAGAGAAAAGTAGATTTGACTTCTCTATAAACTTAATCTGGAACCAAAGACACACCCACTCAGCTCTTTTTAACAAGACCTTCCTTTTTTCCTCCAAAAAGCAATTACACTCTAATGAGTGGTTTTAAGTAACTAGATCATTAACTGGATTTTCTAACTTGATTTCTCAGCAGACAGAGAAACAAAAGGACTGCTCTTTCAGAAACCCAAAGTGATTTGCTTCTGAACCAGGAGAAAATAAAATACATTCTTGACTCAAGTCATCAAGTTTTGGTTAAAGGGCCAGAAGATCTATAAATACACTGGCCAAGTACTTGACCTCTGGTGAAATGTTTTTATCTCCCCTACAGCTTTTCCCTCTCCATAAAGCAACCATAGCTGCATCCCAGCAGGATAGTCTCTTGATAGAAATCCCATTTATACCTTGATCATCTAAAAGAATGCATGCTTCTACAATGAACCTCTCCTTTCTCTCCAAGTTGTGAAAAACTTGAATGTTCGAGTTTGGCTGCAATGCCACAGGTAATCTTAGGAGTATGCTGAGGACATTGGAAAAGGAGGGAGAACAATGATCCAGTCTTTCTTCTAGGTCAATTTTACTTTGAATGCATGGAGAAAACCCCTTAAGATGCAGGATTTGAAGAGTGCCCTGAGAAAAGAGTTGGAAAAGTGAGCATATCTGCACCACAGAGGTGAAAAGTCATGAAGGCATCCTTCTTTGTCTCATTCTGTCCTCAAATGGCTGTGAGTTAGGGACAAAGTTGCAATAGATTGTGTTCCCGCAGGGAAATTCAGCCAGCCAGTGCCTTGCCAAAAGCAGCAGCAGCCTGGACTTTAGACTTCAGATCAGAACCGTAGTTGTGCAACTGGGGCAGGCAGAGTCAAGAGATTAGGTCAGACAACCAGGTGGAAGCAAATCAGAAACCACAGACTGGGTGTTGCCGGGTTGTCAAAAGGTTGTATTTGGTCTGGATTTGAGAGTCTAGGTCTCAGGCCAACAAGCTTATAAAGGTGGCTTAAACCCTGTTTTCAGTATTGATCTGTTGCTTTAAAAAACAAAAAGGGACACAGAAACCAAATCAAACTGCTAATCAAGAAGTGATGAGTCAAAGGCAGAATCCTTGACAAAGGAGTTCTCAGCTGGACTCTATGATGTATATCCCTGGGCTGTGAGCAACCATGAGGGATCTTTGTGACTGATGCTCTAAGTTGCTCCAAGAACAATGTCTCTCTCTTCCTTGGCTTGTGATTGGAATTTTTATTCCGCATGATCCCTTTGGCTAAACTCCACACTGAGTCCTTTATTGACTTTGTAACTTCCTTTGCAGCACAGCTGTGTAACATCTGGATAATTTTTTGTCCTGTTTTTCTGCTGATTTTCACTTTTAAAGAGATGTTTGCCTATCAAATCAATTTAATCTCCTATAGATGGGTTTCTGATTACCTTAAATAGACTTGTCTCCTGACATTTGTTCGTGAGGGTTAAAGATTATGCACATGAAAGTCTGTCATAAACTATAAGTTGCTACACCAATGTAATTATTTCCTTGTTCACCTGTTATCTGTCCTAGGTAGGCATGCGCCACTTATACTGCAGAAACTGGGAGAAATCAAACAATATTCTCAGACCAACCATCTGGATTTGGCTTCTCAGAAAACGAATGAAGTCAATTGGTAGTGGCAACATAATTTGTGGTGTCCAGTGTAAAAATATTACAAATTTCAAGATGGCAGCAGCAGCACATGGGACCCATATAAGCACCAGGCCCTGGTCAGGCATGGTGGTGCACACCTGTAGTCCCAACATTCTGGGAGGCTGAGGTGGGCGGATCCCTTGAGCTCAGGAGTTCAAGACCAGCCTGGGCAACATGGTGAAATCCCGTCTCTACAAAAACTACAAAAATTAACTGGATGGGATGGTGGGCACCTGTAGCCCCAGCTATTTGTGAGGCTGAGGTGGGAGGATCCTTTGAGCCCAGGAGGTCAAGGCTGCAGTGAGTCGAGATTGTGCCACTGCACTCCAGCCTAGGTGACAAAGTGAGACCCTGTCTCAAAAACTAAAAATAAGCATGAGGCCCTGTGTTGTTGATTGGCCACAGGGCACACCCACAGAGCTGACCCTGATATTCAATATACTCACAGCACTGATCAGCTTGCAAAATGCATCAGCTACTGCATCTACCTCCACCCACAAGTGGATCAAAGAATTTAGATACCAAACTCACCCTGCCTGACCTCCCTGGGCTGTGGTAGCTTTGAGGGGAGGAGAACAGCTCTTTAAGATCTACAAATCATGTAAGCACTGAGGAAGATGGCTTGATATGGAAGGGGAAGAATTTCAGACATGAAAAGCTTAATTAAAAGCAAGCTGGTCTTCAAGTCCAGGATATCTTCATTCCCATTTCAGCTCCACGTGACACTGGCCAACTCATTTGACATAATATATACGGGTATGCATTGTGCGTTATAAACGTGTAAACGCACATGACAATTAAGTGTCAATTTTTACTGTTGCCCTTTCTAATGGTAGTTCTTGGCCCTTTTAGGAGACGCGCCCACATTCTGACCCTGGGCCGCACTAGTGTTGTCACTCTACAGCCTACAGCTCTATACTCTTTCCAAAGCAAGGTTAGGGATGGCTTTATTGTCCCAAATCACAAATCACCCTTTTTTTTTTTCCATTTCTTCTCTGGTTCTTACTCCCTCTGTGCTAAAAAAAACAAAAACAAAAACAAAAACAAAACCACCCTGTCAATTGGTTAATTTCCCATGCAACCTGCTTGGAAGTCTGCAATGCTTTGAACAGCAGGGTGTGGGAGGAAGTGTTGGCCCTACTCACCCTGCCTGACCTCCCTGGGCTGTGACGTCAGAGCTCTGTTTACATAGCTGAGGGACTGGGAATGCTGGAGTGGAGGAAGGAGGTGATGAATGATTCAGGAGGACACACAACATCCCTGCTTTTCTTTCCTGCTGGCTTCTCAGCTGCTCCAAGCAGCAAAGAGAGAAGAAATCGTAAGATTCTGCTCTGTCATTTGGAGCCATCTGTTTCCTTTCTTTTTCCTTCCCTAGAAACTTTTTTCAATAAACAGTATAAAGGAGACACCAGAGGATGTCTACAAGAGCAAATTCATCTTTCTTCAAATGTAGACTTTTGGAAACCTTTGGCATTTACAGAAAAAGTCTCCGATGCTGCTGTTCTTTCCTCCACATCTCAAATGTACTAGAAAAGATGACATGCTTTGGAAGGCCAAGGTGGGCAGATCACCTGAGGTCGGGAGTTTGAGACCAGCCTGACCAACGTGGAGAAACCCCGTCTCTACTAAAAATACAAAAAATTAGGCGGGCGTGGTGGTGTGTGCCTGTAATCCCAGCTACTCGGGAGGCTGAGGCAGGAGAATTGCTTGAACCGGGGAGACGGAGGTTGTGGTGAGCTGAGATCGCACCATTGCACTCCAGCTTGGGCAACAAGAGATAAACTCCATCTCAAAAAAGAAAAGAAAAGAAAAGATGACATGATAAGAGGCTCCCTTATTTACTGCATCTGGCTGAGGTAAAGAGAGCTAATGATTCCTTCCAACAAAATGCACTCAATATATATTTTCTAGAGGCCAGGTGTGGTGGCTCACACCTGTAATCCCAGCACTTTGGGAGACTGAGCTGGGAGGATTGCTTGAGTCCAGGCATTCGAAACCAGCTGAGTAACATAGGGAGATCCCATCTTTACAAAAAAATTAAAAACTAGCTAAGCATGGTGGTGCACACCTGTGGTCCCAGCTACTTGGGAGGCTGAGGTGGGAGGATCGCTTGAGTTCAGGAGTTGGAGGCTGTAGTGAGCTACAATCCCACCACTGCACTCCAGTCTGGGTGACAGAGCAAGACCTTGTCTCTTAAACAAACAAACAAACAAACATCTATTCCCTAGGGACCTACAATATGCCAGGCACCACATGGGGGTGATGAAGATAAAGTCAAATAAATTGGAATTTCTTTTGGAGACTGTATGTTCTTCAAGGTCAGGGATATTATTTTATTCCACTCTGTACCCCTAGCACATAGCAGAATGCCAGCATACAATAGCTACTCCATAAATATTTAAGGAGTATGTATTTGCTCACAGAAATCATTGTCTTGACCTGAACAAAACTGGACTGTGCACATAATTTAGGGAAGAATTTACTGTGTCTTTAAAATCACATTGTTATCTTTGGCCATGATAAAAAAAAATCTCCAGCACCACAAAAACAATTGGCATTTGTGAAGCACATACTGTTTTTTAGGTACCATTAGAAGCACTTTGCATGGATCAGATAGTTTCATCCTTTTAATCATCCTAACAACCCTATGAGGTAGGCACTATTGTTATCCGGGTTTTATGGATAAGACACTAAACCACAAAGAGGTAAAATAACTTGCCTGGCTCCAGAGGCCTTGATCTTGATCTCCCGTATTGCAGCTGCCTAATCCCTCCAAAACCAAGCACAGGGAGAACAAATTAAAACAGGAACTTTTCACTTTTTTGGACCACATTCACAGTAAAAAATAAAATTTACACCAACACTTATTTATAAAACTGAAGCAAAAGTTTCAGGAAACAATATTTATCCAACCAATATATTTTCCAATGCTTTCTAGTTTATTATTATTTTTTAAAAGATGACCAAAATCCACTAATTTGATCTCACAGTATATAGTTTGAGAAACTCTAGATTAGGGAAGAGAACCCAACCCTACGTGGCTGACTCTCAGCTTGCTGTGATGAAAACATATTCTCTTTCTGAACTTTCCCTTTTGGGGCAATTCAATTGCAATGTCTGTAGTATGCCCAATGCCTCCTTTAGCAGACTGCCTCCAAGAAGCATTTCAGACCCTGAGCTTCTGGAAGTCTTTCATCTGTCCCTCTTCTGGGTCACTTTACCTCTCCAGGCTGCCATCTTGAATGGAATCTTCTGCAAATATGACTCCAGTCATATCTGCAGACCTGGTCCATGGGAAGCATGCATCTTTGTCCACCCTCAACCCCCTACAGAGAGGATGAAAGTGCTGCCTTCTCTCTTCCTGCTGTGTTCTCTTGCCAATCCAGCCACAACTTCTCATACAATTCTTATGTCCCACCTCCTAAGCTAGGGGGACACAAGTCAAGCTCCCTGATTGATACTTAAAGGGGATATAGGCGGAGCACACTGATATCTCCAAAGGAATTCTTCCCCCCTCCCCTCTTCAACTCCACTCCCTTATAAATTGAAATTAGTTATGGGCAGAAAGGGTTTCACAATCTTTTAGCATGACCTGGATTTTCTAGGACTTGGAATGTGTATCAATTTGCATCTATCACGAAGATTTTACCCTGGGCAGCCTCTTCCAAAAGTATGAAGAAATGAAGGGCTCCTTATTTGCATCATCTTACAGATGGGTAGGCATAAGTGGAGGGAATGGGAAGAAATGAGCCAAGGCTTGGAATCTGGATAAGCAATCAGAGTTTGGGGATTACTAGGGAACATGAGCTTGCTATGGAGAGTCCAGGTGTGGTAAAACTCTACAGGGAACAAAAGATAGCTATGAGTCAAAGGAATAACAACAGGTAGGCCAAGAAGCTTGCCAGGGGCTTAGATTTAAGCTTATTCTCTCCTGACATTAGTTGACTATTCTGGTCCAGTCTGTGTTCTGGATCCTTGTTACATCCCAATTCCTCCAGGCTCAGAGACTTTGTTCCTGTCCACAGTGTATCAAGTTGATTAGGGCTTATGTGTCTATGAAGTTTCTGCCTTTTTGCTGCCTCTGCTAAAAGGTTGATCTCCAACTTTGCTAACTTTATCCTGGTGCCTGAAACAATCCAGCTAGCAGCGGCAAGAGCCAAGCAAAGGATGAACTGACATGTCCTACAGAAGCTGTACTGGTGGGCCTGCAGATCGTCCTCACTTACCCTCCAGCATCCACAGCTCACAGGGACCCGAGTCCCAGATGTTCACAACTCCAGGGCATGGCAGCTAAGCCTGATTCTACTAAGATTATGTCCCTCTGAATCTAAGCTGAAGACTAAGATTTGACGCTTAGCTCTGAGGTATATTGGCTACACCGTTTGAGTTGGTCTCAGTTTATCTTTGACTTTCAGTTTCTTCTGAAGTGCAGTAACAGTGACATCTAGCTAGATGGTTCAGATGTATTGTGATGAACAATGAAGTGATATAAAGAAAAGCACGTTGAAATTCTTGCTGCTACAACTGCTGAAATTTACCAGTTCAGTAGATGAAATGGAGAAAATATACTCTCTCACCTGTTGAATCTCTACAGTGAAACATGGGGACCTAATTTTTTTTTCTGGTTTTCTTTTTTTTCTTTTTCTTTTTTGAGACAGAGTCATACTCTGTCACCCAGTCTGCAGTCTGGAATGCAATGATGCAATTATGGCTCATTGCAGCCTCTACCTCCTAGACTGAAGCTATCCTCCCACCTCAGCCTCTGGAGTAGCTGGGACCACAGGCACACACCGCCACACCCAGCTAATTTTTGTATTTTTTGTGGAGACAGGGCTTCACCATGTTGCCCAGGCTGTCCTTGAACTCCAGGATCAAGTGATCCTCCCACCTCTGCCTCCCAAAATGCTGGGACTATAGGCGAGAACCACCATGCTGGCCTCATTTTTCTTTTTTAAAAATTTTTTTTCTTTTGAATGTTCAATGTGCATCCAGTTATCTCTGCTTATCTTTTAAAATGTTACAAAGAACGAGGTATCTTCAATGTAGTTAAGCTGTTGCAATAACAAAGCAAGACTGTCTAAAAAGGAAAACTGTCTAAAAAGGAAGAAAATAAACTTTCCAAAAGAGCAAAGAATCCAAGGTAACATTGCCTTCCATCTTCTAAAATTTCAAAAACATACTCAAACCAAGTCCACAGAAAATAGTAGAGAACCGAATAAATCAGCTGGTCAGATGAAGGGCCAGGGGAAAAGTCTGGTTTTGAAATATGCTGGGAAGCTCAGAATCTTAAGTTTTGTTGATTTCAGGAGATAAAATGTAAAATAAAACAAAAACTTCATTTGACAGAAATTCTGTACTAGATGAGGAGCCATTAATAAATTTGAAATATCCTCAAATCAGTAAGCAAAACAACTCCCTGGGCAACCCCAGAAAATATTTTGAAGGCTCAGAAAGACCTAAAGGGCCTCTGAAATGAGCCTGAAATTCCCATGACTGACTTGTGGTTAGCAGCTGGTATATGTTTACTTGGAGCCAAGCAGAACACACACCTGGGAATCCGCTCAGTGCCCTAGAGGTGGTGACTCCTAGGATTGACATGGACTGCTTCCAGAAAAGTGCTTGAGGCGCTGCCTATTATGTGTATGTTGTTGATGTGAAAATAGAGAATGTGAACCATGAGGGAGGAGGAAGGAAGTGTAAATAATCAAACCAAGCAGAAGTTACCTAGTACTTCTTAGCATTGGAGGCCTTTTTACGCAATGAAGTCTTCTAAGGAACCCATATATAAAACAATTAGTGTGACCTGAGTCCATGGGTGAGAATAAGTAAATGAATAAAAATAAAACAATTGAGAGTGCTGCACAAGCCAGGCGCAATGATCCAGGCCTGTGATTTCAGCTCCTTGGGAGACTGAGGCAGGAGGATCACTTGATGCCAGGAATTTGAGGCTGCAATGAGCCATGATCATGTCACTGCACTCCAGCCTGGGTGTCAGAGGAAGACCCTGACTCTTAAAAAACAACAACAACAAAAAGTGCTGAGCACAGTGGCACGTACGTGTAGTCCCAGCTACTGGGAAGGCTAAGGCGCGAGGATCCCTTGAGCCCAGGAGTTCTAGGCTGCAGTGAGCTATGATCACGCCACTGCACACCAGTATGGGCAACAGAGCGAGATCCCATCTCTAAACAAATTTAAAACAAACGAACAAATGAAAAATATTGCTGTCTTAAGGTTGGGAAGGGGCAGAGACCCCTTTGCTTGCTCATCACCAAGACACTTCTGTGAGGCCCCAGGGCTCTTTGGAGAACGTTTTGAAAATCACGGTTCTAAGTAATTATAGTTACTGTGACTGAACTAATTTAGCCCTAAGCTTCCTACAATCAAGATAGAGATACACTATGGACTGCATTTCTCCGCTTCAGATTAAAAAAAAAAAGTTTAGTCAGAATGTAGTTATATTTTCAGGTAAAATGCTCAATACATTTTCAGATGAAGCTGCTCAAAATTAAAGCAGTGAGTCCAAGTGTTAATCTGAAAAAAAAAGTACAATTTACTATCTCCTGTTTCCAGACTTATAGACCCTCATAGTTGCATTGTCTAATACAGTGGCCACTAGACACATGTGGCATTTACAGTATTTATTGATGAAGTGCTCTATAAGTATTTATTGATGCAAGTAAAGAAATGCTCTATAGAGTATGTGTGTGGGTTTTTTTCCACATTAATAGTTGGGCTCATTAAATTTAGAAGTACTTTACCTAAAAAGATGTCTAAAAACCTAATGAAAACATACTGGGCATGAAATTTGCAAATACAATATCCTGTTTAAAAATAAGTTGGCCGTGCACGGTGGTTTACGCCTGTAATCCCAACACTTTTGGAGGCCGAGGCAGGTGGATCCCCTGAGGTCGGGAGTTTGAGACCAGCCTGGCTAACATGGTGAAACCCCGTCTCTACTACAAATACAAAAATTAGACAGGTGTGGTGGCAGGTGCCTGTAATCCCATCTATTCAGGAAGCTGAGGCAGAAGAATTGCTTGAACCCGGGAGGCAGAGGTTGCAGTGAGCCGAGATTGCGCCATTGCATTCCAGCCTGGGCAACACAGCGAGACTCCGTCTTAAAAAAAAAAAAAAGTTCACCCTGGTTGCTAAGAGAGTAGATTTTAAGTGTTCTGCCCACAAATAAATGAGGTTAAAAAAGCATTCGATCTTTTGCTACTAAGTAAAAGAATATACAATATGGAAGATGTAAAGAAAAAAGTTCATCCCATGTTTCCCAACTTTCTGAACACTCTAGAAATACATAATTAACTTTTTTTTTTTTTGAGACTCTGTCACCTAGGCTGGAGTGCAGTAGCACAATCTTGACTCACTGCAACCTCCACCTCCCAGATTCAAGCGATTCTCATGCCTCAGCCTCTAAAGTAACTGGGATTACAGGCATGCACCACCATGCCTGGCTAATTTTCGTATTTTTAGTAGAGGCAGTGGTTTCGCCATGCTGGCCAAGCTGGTCTTGAACTCCTGGCCTCAAGTGATCCGCTGCCTCGGCCTCCCAAAGTACTAGGATTACAGATATGTGAGCCACTGTGCCTGGCCCATAATTAACTTTTTAAAGGCTAATTTTTCTTTTCATCAAGATAAACCTGCATGTAGTTTGAAGAATCAAATTGTTCTACAAGTTGTATTAAGAAAAAGAAACATTAACCTGTCATTAACATCACATCACATTTCCCATTTCTTAAAAGCAACCGACTTCAACCCTTTCAGCTATTTAAGATCTATCTCCCTAACTGTGAGATGCTTAGATTGCTGCTTGTTTCCAGGCTAGGCATCTATCTACTCATTCCCACTAACGCAAGATGAGCAGTTCTTCTCCAGATCCCTCCCTTCTGTTGCCACCCCTGCATACTTCCCATTTCCTCCTCCTCCAGTTAATATACATAACATTTTGTTACATAAAAATTCAGTGCTATAATTCTATGACCATGTAAATGATAGTCATACCTGAGCTATACAGAACTTTTTTTTTTTTTTGAGATGGACTCTCACTCTGTCACCCAGGCTGGAGTGCAGTGGCACCATCTCAGCCAGGTTCAATTCCCCTGCTTCAGCCTCTTGAGTTGTTGGGATTACAGACGCCCGCCACCACACTCGACTAATTTTTATTTTATTTATTTATTTATTTATTTATTTAATTTATTTATTTTTGAGAGGGAGTCTTGCTCTGTCACCCAGGCTGGAGTGCAGTGGCGCGATCTTGGCTCACTGCAAGCTCCGCCTCGTGGGTTCACGCCATTCTCCCGCCTCAGCCTCCCGAGCAGTTGGGACTACAGGCGCCCACCACCATGCCCAGCTAATTTTTTTTTTTTTTTTTTTTGTATTTTTAGTAGAGACGGGGTTTCACCATGTTAGCCAGGATGGTCTCGATCTCTTGACCTCGTGATCCGCCCACCTCGGCCTCCCAAAATGCTGGGATTACAGACGTGAGCCACTGCGCCTGGCTAATTTTTGTATTTTTAGTAGAGACAGAGTTTCACCATGTTGGCCAGGCTGGTCTTGAACTCCTGACCTCATGTGATCCACCCACCTCAGCCTCCCAAAGTGCTAGGATTACAGATGTAAGCCACGGCGCCCGGCCTACATAGAACATTGTTATTTGTCTGTACACAAGGATAAAGCTTGATGAGTTTTCAAAGTGAGCACACTAGGCAACCATTGCCCCAGTCTAGAAATAGGAGAGTAAAACAAGTTCCCAACACCCTTATGATCCTCCTGTCAACCCCATCCTAAAGAATCAACCTGACCTTTATTGCTGTAGATCAGTGGTCCCCAACCTTTTTGGCACCAAGGACCAGTTTCCTGGAAGACAATTTTTTCATGGATGGGTCGTGGGGATGGTTTCCAGATGACATTCTTCCACTTCATTGGATTATTATAAGGAGTGAGCAACCTAGATCCCTCGCATGCATAGTTCACAACAGGCTTCACTCTCCTGGGAATCTAATGCCCCCGCTGATGTGACAGGAGGCGGAGCTCAGGTGGTGTATTAATCCATTCTCACACTGCTATAAAGAACTGCCTGAGACTGGGAAATTTATAAAGGAAAGAGGTTTAATTGACTCAGTTCCACATGGCTGGTGGCTTCCCCCATGATTCCCCTGTTCTCTTCCTTGACACGTGAGGATTATGGGGATTATAATTCAAGATGAGATTTGGGTGGGGACACAAAGCCTAACCAGATCAGGTGGTAATGCTCACTCGCCAGCGGCTTACCTCCTGCTATATGGCCCAGTTCCTAATGTACTAATCCGTGGCCACGGTACCAATCCATGGTCTGGGGTTGGGGACCCCAGCTGTAGATGATTTTTGCCTGTTCTTGAAATTTATACACATACGTGTTTTTGTGAGGTGTCTGGTTTCTTTTACTGTTCTTTTTCTAGCTTTTTGAGATGAAAGCTTAGATCATGACTCATCTTCAATCTTCTTTGTCTAATAGTATTTAAAACTATAAATCTTTTAAGTGTTAGCTGCATTCTACAAATGTTTGTCACATATTATCATTCATTACAAAATAGCTTTACATTGTGACATTTTTGTATTTTTATGCCTAATTTCTTTCTCCATTGCATTGTGTTCAGAATGTTCTTTGTAGCAGTCCTTAGACATTTGCTGATACTTTTACATATCGCAGACAATAGCTGCAATTGAAATCATCACTTGATTAGCTGATAATAGTCATTCTCCAAGATTTAGCAAATTTCTGTGCAGGCTAAACAGATATAATAGCAGCCTCTATCCTCAAACTTTCAGCTTTTTTTTTTTTTTTTTTTTTTTTTTTTTGAGACAGGGTCTCCCTTTGTTGTCCAAACTGGAGTGCAGTGGCTATTCATGGGCATGATTAGAGCATACTGCAGTCTTGAACTCAGGAGCTCAAGCTATTCTCCCAGCTCAGTTTACCGAATAGCTGGAACCATAGGCCCACCACACCACACCCAGCTAATCTTTCAGGATTTTTGATGATGACCTCTCCAATTTTCCTGGAGATGTAGCATTGTTGTGGTTTACTATCCTGGCTTCTACTTGGCACTTGTAATGGTCAGGGAAGCTAAGTGGAAATTCTGTCAATAGTCAAGTATGTCTATCTCAAATATACACGTGGGAACAAAAAATAAGCACAGGGTAGGTCCAGGGACTTACTGAGCTGCCTGAGAAATGACAACCTGGGGTTCAAATTCCATTTATGACCTGACCTAAAAGGAAGCCAATTGTCAAAGAAATGTAGAGTCACAGCGACATCAGAGTATCAATGGTGAATTTGGAGCTGACAGCACAGTCACAGACTTAAGTCTCATAGTTCACCAATTCTCTTGTTGTTTAATATGTATTTAACCCATCCATTGACTTTTTAATTTCAATTTTTCTTTATAACTATATATTTCGGACAATTCTCAATTATCTGCCCAATTTTTACTTTACTTTAAATGTTAATAGAGACAGGATCTTACTATGTTGCCCAGGCTGGAGTGCAGTGGCTACTTACAAGTACCCATAACAGCACACTACAGCCTTGAATTTCTGGCCTCAAGTAATCCTCCTGCTTCAGCCTCCCAAATAGCTAGGATTATAGGCACATGCCACAGCACCCAGCTGCCCAATTTTTATACAACACCTTGCCATTTTACCATTTTTGTTACTCTTTTACTTCATTACACATATTAAACAGTCATTTCAAATTCTATATCTGATAACCCTGGATCTGCCATCTCTGTAGAGCTTATTTTACAATTTGTTTCTGGCATCTTTTTTGGCAGAATAGGTTAGTTTCTTGGCTCCATCTCTGAAGACCAGACTTCCACTTCCATCTCCCAATCAGAATCATGTTTCATGGTAAGCTCTAACTGCAGGCTGTAAGCCTCCATAGTTGAGGAAGATGAGAGTTCTGGGGATGACTGTTCAAAGAGTACCAGCATGCAACAGAGAAAGGCAAACGAGTTCTAAGTTGCTGCTTATGGGGTTGGTGGCAAAAGACAAGAAGGTTACAGAACTCTGTTTTGGGGCAGGAGTTATGCAAGGGAACCCAGACCTATCTATACTCTTCTGGCTCTTCTATCTCCAAAATGTAACAGGAACCCTTACTCTCAGGAAGTGGACTTTAGTAGTGATGCCCTGTGATTGCTCTCCAAATAAACCTCAGTCACTGTGTTGCAGGCATAAAACACAGGGGATCCTGAAGGCAAGGCCCTTTGTTGTAGAACTACAGCTGCCACCTATATCTTGCTCTTCAGGCAACTTCACACACTTAAGAGTAGCAATCAGCCAACAAATTCGAAATACATAAAGTAAGATTCAAGCTGACACAGGGAAAGAAAAAATATCACTTAGTCAAAATTTATTTCAAGGCCTGAAAACATTCAGACTAATCAAAATGGTACTACTGTAACTTCTTATAATACATAATATAAAAGTTTTTGAAAGATATAGACACAATTAACCCCTAAACAACACACTATCTGATTCTCAAAAGCAATGGCTATTTAACAAGATGTAAAAGGACAATAACATATCAAAGAACTTTCACACACCTAAAGATAGCATTTAGCAGCAAGTTAGTCAGACAAAACAAACACAAATATTTTCACATTTCCTATGTTTGTTTTTAACTTTACTTCATAAAGCCACTGATAATTGAGGTTTCTTTCAAGTATAAGATTTCTAAAATTAAAAACTGTTTTTGACATATTTTTATAAAGAAATAAAAAGCAAAACGCAATCCAACTATTTATATGAGTCCCTCTTCTCCAACAGCTTTAGATGTTTTTCTGAGTACTTTTTACACAGAATATTTTTATTAAAATCAGTTCTAATTCATTTATGCAGATTAGGGGAAAATGATTCATAATAAATTAACTTTAAAATTACCTTCTATCTGCTTCTACCTCTATCCCCCCATCACCACCAAATCTGTTGCTACAGTGAACTGTAGCAATGTACTGTTTGAGGGGGCCCAAAGCATCTGTAATCTTAATTTCCCACATATTAGTTAGTAGGAGGAAAAATCCACAGTATGAAGGCTATTTAACTAAAACTTTATGCTTTTCCCTCAAGCTGTAAGTACTCTTTAGCATTAAATTACATCGTGCATATACAACTACACCCATTTAGATTTGCCTTGGAATATAATTTCAAGGCCTTAAATATTAAAAATAATTTTATAACTATTTCATAGTTTAATTGGCTCTTAAATAGTTTTGCTAGGGAGGAAACATTTTGTGTTCTTTAAGAAATTGATATGTGTAAATGTGTTCACTTAAATCTTGAGAAAACCTAAGGATGAAGTCTGTTGTTTTGTTTTTCCTAAAAAAGGAAAAAAGAACCAAAGAAAAATGTTGAAGAACAAGAATATTTACCATTAAAAAGAAGAAACATTATCCAACAAAAAGGAGACATATAGATTTGAAAACACTTATTTTACTGTCTTCAACAACAACAACAAACAGATAGGCAGGGGAAGTCCAGAGGACTCAGAATTGAAGCAGCTCTATACAATAATGAAGGTGGTACAATGATGTGACTGCAAAGAAAATGACTAAAACAAAACTTTACAAACATCTTCATGTTTGTAATGTATTAATGCACAAAATATCAAAAATAGAAAGTCTGAGTTTCTTCCCCGCAGGTTTATGATAAACTATCAACCTTCTATTTAATGCATTTCCTTTTTTTTTATTTATAGAGATGGAGTCTCGCTATGTTGCCCAGGCTGGTCTTGAACTCATGAGCTCAAGCAATCCTCCCACCTCGGCCTCCCAAAGTGCTGGGATTACCGGTGTGAGCCACTGCACTTGGCCTTAATGCATTTACTTTTATAAGCCTTCTCTGTTTAGAAGTACACACTACACAAGTACATACATGCTGGCATTTTACCATGAAAATTTTAGTTTTCATCTCAAACTAGTGACTTGCCTTTTTACCCATACTTATACACATGTAATACCTTTCTAGTGGTACATTTTAATCAATATATATTTTTTAAATCTTATTTTTAACTCAATCTTTTTAGTGCTATGATATGATGGGCTTAATTTAATAGTTGAAGCATGATATGATAACAACATTGTACGGTTTAAACTAATTCACAACTGTAGTAAAGTGTTTGATTTTCAGTATATAACCAAGATGATGCTGAACAGTAATAAACACAGAAACACTAGAAAACAGTGAATGAATAAATAATACAATTTTTCATCAGTGGCCATTCATTATTTTGCTTTTAGAAACCTGGAAGAAATTGTCTTCTTTGATTTTCAAATGTTCTGGTAACTCTAGTCGTTTCTTAGCTTCTTCAATATCACCTTGAATTGCTGAAATAAGTGACTCTGCAGAGAGAATATACCAGGTAAAAATGATGAAAAACCATTAACATACTTTTTACTACTACTCTGTTTAGCCAATCCTAAAAACTCACAGGCTGGCAGTATCTCTGCACAGGGTAGATACCCAATAAATGTTTGTTCCATCACTCCTTCCAGGCCTAAGTCAATGGTACACAAAAGATATGTCCCTAGGCCGGGGGCAGTGGCTCATGCCTGTAATCCCAGCACTTTGGGAAGCTGAGGCGGGCAGATCACCTGAAGTCCGGAGTTCGAGACCAGCCTGGCCAGCATGGTGAAACCTGACTCTACTAAAACTACAAAAATTAGCGGGGTGTGATGGTGGGTGCCTGTAATCCCAGCTACTCAGGAAGCTGAGGCAGGAGAATCGCTTGAACCTGGGAGGTGGAGGTTGCGGTGAGAGGGGGCGTCACTGCACTCCAGCCTGGGTAACAAAGAGCAAAACTCTGTCTCAAACAAACAAACAAACAAAGGTATGTCCCTAATCTTATATTTTAAGAGAAAGGCATAGGCATAAATGTACACTGCAAATATCAAATGGAGGAAAAAAGCATTCACTATTATTTTTGGTTGGTATTTACACTTGTAAAAGAAACTTTATAACAGAGTTAAAACTATCACACTACACTAATACATACCTGGTAACATGTTTCAAATGTTCTCTGATTTACTATATCTCAAACTTCACACATTTTGAAAGATTTCATTAACTTCATACCGCTGGAGAGAAGCAGCCAGCCTGCTAGGTTCAAAGCTAGACTCCGTTATTTACTATGTGACTTTGAGAATGTTACTTAATCTCTCTGTGCCATTTCCTCATCTGAGAAATAGGCAAAATAATCCCTCACAGGTGAAAGAAGATAGATTCACGTAAAGCACTTAAAACGGTGCCTGGCATATATTAAATGCTCAAATATTATCTGTCCTGCCATCATTATTACTGGTAGTAGTGGTAGAGTTACCTGTGGTAGCAGTAGTAGTATTTAAGAAGATCAAAATAAGAACTTACCTAAAGAATCAAAGTTCTTTTCTGGTCTCAGGTAGCCAACAATGGCCACATTGAGGATTTCCCCATAGAAGTCCTCTTTGAAGGTATGCATGATATGTGTTTCCTATAGTCAAGAAATGTTACAAAGAGTGCTATCAGACTACAGTGTACTGAAATCTGAAATACATCTTCATGTTTATGGTGAGTTAATTTAAATGAAACAATCAACACTCCTTAAACTTTTAAAGATTCAGGTTAAAATCTAAGTGCAGTTTTTCCTAAATTTTCCCAGCACTCCTGTTTGGATCTTATAAACCTAACTGAGTGAGGTGACAGTGTCTGGCATGATTTGCTGTTACTTAAAAACAAACAAACAAACAATAACAAAAAAACTGACACGTATCCAAGGAAGTAAGTATCTTATCAAGGTGAGAAAACAGGACACCAAAGAGGGAATGAGCAAAGTATTAAAAGATGTTACTACTAAACAACTAGTTGTTAAGGTCAGTCAGCATTTGCACACGTCTGACACACAACATGTATGGAAACTTCAGAGTTTGGCAGAGCTGAGGACTGAAGGGGCAGGAGAGCCAATGCAGCTTCCTGATCAGGGAGTAAAGTGGCAAAAGGGTACACAGCACATTAAAGCAAAATGCCGCATGACGTAGAAAGTGCCTCAGAATCTAGTTCAGCTAAATCATCTGGGCAGTACTGTGGTTAAGAGGTTAAGAGCACTGACTTAGAGTCAAAAGTCTGGGTTCCCACACTTGGTTAACTGTATAACTAGCTTCCGCGGGGCTCAGTTTTCTCGTCTGTAATGGGTGGGGGGCGGCTTGAGTTAGAAGATACATAAAGTGCCCCATGACTTTGGGGCTATGAACCAATATATTCTTTCTTTTCAGTAAACATTTGAATAATAAAAAAGAAACTAAGATATGTAAGACTGGTTGGGTGCAGTAGTTCATGCCTGTAATCCCAGCACTTTGGGAGGCGGAGCCAGGAGGATCACTTGAGGTCAAGAGTTCAAGACCAGCTTGGCCAACATGGTGGAACCCGGTACTCTACTAAAAACACAAAAATTAGCTGGGCATGGTGGCGCATGCCTATAGTCCCAGCTACTCAGGAGGCTGAGGCAGGAGAATTGCTCAAACCCAGGAGGCGGAGGTTGCAGTGAGCCAAGATCACACCACTGCACTCCAGCACTCTAGCCTTGGCGACAGAGCGAAGACTCCATCTCAAAAAAAAATTTAAAAATAATTTTAAAAAATATGTAAGACCCTGACACTGACAATTACAAGACATTATTGAGAGAAATGGCAAACTTCCCAAAGTAATCTACGAATTCAATGCTGCCCCAATCAAAATCCTAGCAGGTTTTTTAAAATAGGAGAAACTGACAAGTGATTCTAAAATTTATATGGAAAAACCAAAATTATTCATGAAAATCTTGAGAACAAAACTAGAGGGCTTATACAACTAGGTATCAAGACCTATGATAAGACAAGCAAACCAAGTATGTATGTGAATTTTTGGACTCACACACATATAAGGTCACTTGATTTATGTCCCAGGTGACACTACAGCACTGTTGTGAAAGCATGGTATTTTCAATGAATAGGCTGGGTCAATTCTACATCCATATGGAAAAAAATATTAATTTAAATCCCTATCAGATACCATACTAAAAAAGTCAATTTGAAGATATGTCAGTCAATTAAACTTTTAGAAAAAAACCACAGACAAGTATCTTCATGACTTTGGAGTAGTCAAAGATTTCTGAAACAGATTATATAAAGCACTAACTATAAAAAAAATATTGAACTGGATTGTATTAAAATTAAGAACCTCTGGGCTGGGTGCCATGCTCATGCCTGTAATCCTGGCACTTTGGGAGGCTGAGGCAGGAGGACTGCTTGAGCCCAAAAGTTTGAGACCAGTCTGTGTAACATGCTGAAATCTCATCTCTATAAAAAAATTTAAAAATAGCCAAGCATGGTGGCACATGCCTGTGGTCCTAGCTACTCGGGAGGCTGTGATGGGAGGATCACTTCAGCCCAGAAAGTTGAGGCTGCAGTGAGCTGAGATTGCACCACTGCACTGCAGCCTGGGTGACAGAGCAAGACCCTATCTGAAAATACAAAACAAAACAAAACTCTGTTCTTCAACACACCATTGAGAAAAAAAAAAAAAAAACCACACACACACACACAATGAAAGAAATTTGTAATACAACAATACACAGTTCCAACAAAGGAAGTGGATCTAGATGTGTTACTAAGAACTTATTTAAGGTCAGTAAGATAACGCTTTTTTTTTTTTTAAAGGACAAAGGTCTGGCACAGGCACTTCACAGATGTGTGTTACTGGCAAAGGCAAGCAAAAGTTCAATTTTCCACTGGTAAGATATGCCTATGTTTCAAATTCAATTTTTCCTAACACTCAAAAGGCATTCCTTAACTGGCTGTATAATAACATTTTTGTTATCTAAGTAGCTAAAGACAAATTAGTTATGGGCTATTGTCCCCTCCCCTTCTTTTCCTTCCTCATTCAACAGAATGGTATTTTGTGATCTTTCGATTGTTTTCCTTGTCTCCAAAAAATAATTTTCAAATCATTAATACTGAAAAATAACTGAAATACTGAGCAAAATGTTAAGTACTTCTGCGTCATTACTATTGCTTACGCCAGCATTTAGCTCTGTAGTTTTCCAGCAGTGACACACTTCACTTCTATTAACTCCACACAGAACAAAATTTAGCTTCACTGTAATTTGTTTTTGCCACACATTTGAGCTGACAAAAGATTCAGCCAAATCTAACAGATAAAACACTGAAGTTGTGGGGTCCTGTAAAGAGTAGGGCAGAAAAGTATACCCTCAGGTGGTTTAAAAAGGAAAGAGAAAAGCACCAATGTGGGACTGTATCAATAAGCACCATCCTCCATCCACCATCCATGTAGTAAACTGTTTTATCTTAAGAGGGTGACCAAGCGCAATTGATGCATGAAGTAAATGGTGAATGAAGTGCATTAATTGTGGCAAGCTCAATTTTATGAAACAGGCTTTTAAATCATTTTTATCTTTGGTCAAGTGAGTCTTTCACAGACAGCAATTATCAAAGTCAGTATTATAATTTTGGTTTGTAACTCCACTCTTTATTTTCTACATAATTTAAAAAATAAATGCATAAAAAAACCAATTATTAATCTTTGTTATTGGGTACCACAATGTATAAGGATGTAATCTGAGCCAGATGCAGGCAGTGGCATGTACCTATAGTCCCAGCTCTCTGGAGGCTGGAGGAGGATTACTTGAGCCCATGAGTTTGAAGCTACAGTGTGCTACAACCTGGCCTGTGAACAGCTACTGCACTTCAGTCTGGGCAACATAGTGAGACCCCATCTTTAAAAAAAAAAAAAAAGATGCAATTTCTGAGTTCTGTATGCTATTGAAATTAAGTTGGTATAAACTCAAATTAAACTTTTAGAATTTCAGGATGTTAAATATAAACCCCATGGTAACCACAAAGACAGTATCTATAGAAATACACAGAAAGCAATGAGAAAGGAATTAAAATGTCACTACAAAACAAAACAAAACAAAAAGCACACTACCACAAAAGGCAGTAATAGAGGAAATGAGGGACATAAAAGTTATAAGGCATATAAAAAACAAATAGCAAAACAGTAGATGTCCCTCCTTATCAGAAATTACTTTAAATGTAAATGAATTAAACTCTCCAATTAAAAGACAGAGATTGCCCAAAATTCCAGTATTTGAACTACGTTGTGATTACCACTGATAAGCTATTTCTGTAACGAATACTGTAATATATTATTCTAAGTCATCATACCATTTTCGGTTACAGAGCAAAATATAATGCTTACCATAGACTTCTTCGTATTCTTGTAATATGGGTTCCATCCTATGCTCACCACCATCTTATGGACATCTCCACTTCCAACACTGGCCCAACCATAGTAAATACCAGTGGATATATCAGCTGGAAGATTATCTACCACTTGCTCAGGAAAATTAGCTAAACAACAGAAGAAAATATTTTGAGTCTTACAAATTTCGTATTAAATGCCTGTAGCCGAGTGCAGTGGCTCATGTCTGTAATTCTAGGACTTTGAGAGGCCAAGGCAGGAGGCTCATGTTGAGCTCTGGGGTTTGAGACCGGCCCGGGTAACATAGTGAGATCTTACCTCTATTAAAAAATTAGCTGGGGATGGTGGCCTGCACCTATAGTCTAAGCTACCAGAGAGGCTGAGGCAGGAGGGTCAGTTGAGCCCAGCAGATGGAGGCTGCAGTAAGCTATGATCGCACTACCACTGCACTCCAGCCTGAGTGGCAGAGCCAGATTCTGTCTCAAAATAATAATAAGAAACAAACATTTGTAAAAATCACATGCAAGGCTAATGTAAATCATTACATTCACAAGACTCCTACAACTTTGCCTGTAAGTATCAATCCCATCCTTCCATTTTCCGGCTCAGATTTCCCTCTCCTATTCATGTGAATAGGTTATGAATAAAGTACCAGGTAAGTATATAAAGCTCTCCAAAAAAATCCATACTCTTTGAGTAGGATGCAAAAAACAAGTACCAGAGTAGATGGATTTTTTCAGATCTGTTCTTTCCTAACCAGGTACTGAATCACCTGAAAAGTTTCTTTCTTTTTTTTTTTTTTTTGAGACGGTGTCTCACTCTGTCGCCCAGGCTGGAGGGCAGTGGCACGATCTCGCCTCACTGCAGCCTCCGTCTCCTGGGTTCAAGCGATTCTCCTGCCTCAGGTTCCCGAGTAGCTGGGATGACAGGCACGCGCCACCATGCCCAGCTAATTTTTGTATTTTTAGCAGAGACGGGGTTTTACCATGTTGGCCAGGCTGATCTCGAACTCCTGAGCTCAGATGATCCGCCCGCCTCGGCCTCCCAAAGTGCTGGGATTACAGGCGTGAGCCACCACGCCCGGCCAAAGCTTCTTATTTTTCAAATACACAAGCTCAAGGCTGACTTAACAAGTCAAGACGCAGCTCTGGCATGTATTTCTAAGGATGAATTACAGTCAGGTCTCGATTATTGAAATTAATGTAGACAGACCAAGAAGGTTAGCTGACTCTCATTCAACTACCTATGTTATCATTTGGACATTACATAATTACAAATTAAAAACAAAACCACCTTAGACCCGGCTTGCGAGTTCAGCCGTTCTGGCCCACGTTACGTCTCTAATGGGCAAGACAAGCGCAATGCTTGACCAACTGTACCTTGGCTGGCCAAGGAGGCGTGAACGGGGAATCCTGCGATTCATCTCGGGCTTCCGGCCCTCACCACCCCTCAACCCCGTCCCCGCGGAGCTCGGAGCCAGAAGCAGGGACAAGCTCCCTCAACCGAGCCAACGGTCCTCCGCCACAGACAAGGGGATGCGGGAGGAGGAAGGGTGTGCTCTCTGCCCGCGGTCCGGAGGCCCCACGCCCCGGTCCCAAGTCCCCGGCTGCCGTCTCTCCCCGCTCCCCACGTGACCCGGCCCGGGGGACTCTGGCCGCCCTGCTCTCACCTGTGGGGATGCCCAGCTGCTTGGAGCCGCGGCCGAAGCCCCGCACCACTTGACCCCGGCAGAAGTAAGGCAGGTGCCTCATAATGCAGTCCGCTCGGGGAATGGGCTGCGGCCCGGTCTGCGCGTCCTGCGGAGCCGCCGTCGACGCGGCGCCCAGACCCCGGACCAGCCGGGGGACAGGAGCGTGAGCTCTGCCTGCCGCGGGGGCGCACCAGTGGCCGGACGACGCCGACCACAGGCCACTGCGAATCCCTGACGCCGCCGACCCAACAAATACCGCCGGGCGCCTGAGGAGCTGCGTCTCCGCTGGAGGGCAGCGGAGACAGCCGAAGTAAGTGCCGGGTGTGAGCGGGGTGGGGGGAGGGGGCGGCCCGAAGCGCAGAGCCGGCCTCCGCGCCGCCGGCGTGCGCTCCCTTCCTCAGCCGAACGCCTCGAGCCCGCTCGGCTTCCGTAGCCCCGCCCCATCATGGCCCCGCCCCGCCGCTGCCTCGCCCGGCTCCCGCCGCAAGCTCCCGCTGCAGGCTCCCGCCCCAGGCGCCTAATGTCTGGATCCCGGGCTTCGTTTCAGCCCCTGGCGATGGGAACTAATGTGGAAACCCCGTTTTCAGCCTGAGAGCCGCGAAAGCACAATTCTCGAACAATTCTGGTTTTTTTTTCTCCTTCCTCCTGTTCATAACAATCCGGAAGCCAAAGTGAGACGCTCTTTAGCTCCTTGGCAACCGCTGGGTTGAACGTCAGGCATCGCTCGTTCCGTTCGCTCTTTAAGTATTTATTAAAGCTCCAAAATTCAGCTCAAAGATCGCCTCTTCACAGAGGCTTTTCCTGGCCGCCCTACCAGAAGCGGTCGTCCTCCAGGACCACTGACCACGTTCTGGAGTTATTAATATATTCGAATGTAAGCTCCAAGGGAGAAGTCCCTGTCTGTGACGCTGTTAACCCCAGAGACTAGTGGAAGGTTACCGACATGGGCGGTGACTGTCCCCTCCAGGCTGTCTTCTTGACAATTTCACAAGCCCGATAACAGGCCGTCCCTCTACTGCAATGCAGATAGAGGCCTTCGTACCCTCGGAACTGTAAATACGCACGCTCCTAGGGAAGTAGCTCTGGGCTCACTCACAGGATATGCAGGGTGCAAGGTTATAAGAAGGTGCATCCTCTTAACGTCTCGAAGACAAAGAAGTTTTTTATTTATTTTTTTAAATTTTTAATCAATGGAATCCAGAGAAGTTTAATTTTTTTCTTTTTTGCTCTATACATTTGTATAAAATTCTGTGCAGACCGTGTAGTCTCTTTCTACCTTACATGTATGCATCTCTGATAAGATTTACCTGATATTAAATTTATGTTCTAGGCCAGGCTTGGTGGCTCACGCCTGTATTCCCAGTAGTTTGAGAGGCCGACGCGGGAGGATTGATTGAGCCCAGGAGGTCGAGGCTGCACTGAGCTATGATAACGCCACTGCACTCCAGACTGGGCGACACAGTGAGACACCCTCACCCCTTAAAAGAACTAGAGAAGAAGAAGGAAGGGAGGGAAGGGAAAGGAAAGGGGAAGGGAAAGTGAAAGGGAAGAAAAGGGAAGGGAAGGGAGAGAAGGACCCAAAGAAGCAATTATGGTCAGTTACTTATCTATACGGAATTAAACAAAGAATAATGAGAATAACGATAATAGTAATACCGGTAGTAAGAGTAGTAATAGCAAGTTGTGAAAAGCAATTAAGTTATCTGGAGAGGCTTAAGAGTTATTTTAGCAAGGTGTGTACAGGATTCTCTCACTCTTGACTCCCGTCCTTAATAAGAGTGCTGCATTCCTTCTAATATAGGGAGGATGTCTCTCATATGGTAATTTCATCTGCTTCTAAGAAACAGAAAAGAGGTCAGAATGATTTTTTTGTATCTATTGTTTTTCAAGTGCTTTTAATTCAAAATAGTCAATATGCAAGAATGGTATATTTTTAACTTCATCAGCAGTGATACACCTAATAAGAAAAGCCTGGAGGTGAGAACTTGATAAATCATCCCTGGGTCTTACGCCACTAAGCCCTAGGTTGCAAGAAGGTATGAGAATTAAATGAGATAAAATAATTAAATGAATCATAGGAGGTAAATGAGGAGGGGTGGTTTTAAGAATAGAGAAAATGCTAAGTATTTTTCACACTGTCTCATGTAATCCTCTCATCAGCTTTGTTGGAAAGCATTAACCTAAACGTATAAAAATGGGCGGGGCATGGTGGCTTACGCCTGTAATCCCAGCACTCTGGGAGACCGAGGTGAGCGGATCTCTTGAGCTGAGGAGTTCAAGACCAGCCTGGGCAAAATAGGGAGACTTCCGTCTATCCAAAAATTTTAAAATAAAAATAAGTAAGAAAGAGAGAAAAAAGAAAGAAAAGAAAAGAAACAAGAAAAAAAAGAAGAAAGGGGAAAGAAAAGAAGAGGAGAAAATAAGAAAGAAAATTTTAAAAATCAGCCAGGGCCTGGCACAGTGGCTCATGCCTGTAATCCCAGCACTTTGGGAGGCTGAGGCCGGTGGATCACTTGAGCTCAGGAGTTGGAGACCAGCCTGGGC
Organism: Homo sapiens; assembly: GCF_000001405.40. Lineage (NCBI taxonomy): Eukaryota > Metazoa > Chordata > Mammalia > Primates > Hominidae > Homo > Homo sapiens. Next base: position 76,396,655 of record NC_000009.12, read on the forward strand.
AACATGGTGAAACCCCGTCTCTACAAAAAATACAAAAATTAGCCGGGAGTGGTGGCGCTCACCTGTGGTCCTAGATACCCTGGAGGCCGAGGCACAAGAGTCGCTCGAACCTGGCGGCAGTTGCAGTGAGCTGGAGATCACGCCACTGCACTCCATATGGGGCAACAGAGCGAGACTCTGTCTCAGCCAGGTGGTGGTGGCTCGTGCCTATAGCCCCAGCTACTTGGGAAACTGAGGAGTGAGGATCGCCTGAGCCCCAGAATTTGAGGCAGCAGTGAGCTGTGATTGAACCACTGCACTCCAGCCTAATGACAAAGCAAGACACGGTCACTAAAAAAATAAATAGGCCGGGCGCAGTGGCTCTTGCCTGTAATCCCAGCACTTTGGGAGACCGAGGCAGGTGGATCACCTGAGGCCAGGAGTTCAATACCAGCCTGGACAACATGGCAAAACTCGGTCTCTACTAAAAATACAAAAATTAGCCAGGCATGGCAGTGAATGCCAGTAATCCCAGCTACTCGGGAGACTGGGGCGGAAGAATCGCTTGAACCCAGGAGGCGGAGGTTGCTATGAGCCGAGATTGCTCCATTGTACTCCAGCCTGAGTGACAGAGCAAGATTCCTTCTCAATAAATAATACATAAATAAATAGATAGATTTAAAAAAAAAAAGGAGAGTCTTGTAGAATGTTTAAGATGGAGCAGTCAGGCTCCAATCTTTAAAACTACCATTTACATGTCAAGTCATATGGGTAATTACTGTGTTATCAGCATAGGATATAGAAGAAAGAATTTTTTTTTTTTTTTTTGAACCAGAGTCTCACTCTGTCACTCAGGTTGGAGTGCAGTGGCGCAATCTCGGCTCACTGCAACCTCCACCTCCCGGGCTCAAGTGATTCTCCTGCCTCAGCCTCCCGAGTAGCTGGGACTACAGGTTTATGCCACCACGCCCGGCTAATTTTTGCATTTTTAATAGAGACAGGGTTTCATCATGTTGGCCAGGCTGTTCTGGAACTCCTGGCTTCAAGTGATCCACCTTCCTCGGCCTCCCAAGAAGGAAGAATTCTGATCATTTTCCACCACCGCTCAATAGCGTTCAATGGCTCCTCCCCTCTGACTGAAGAATAAACCCTCCAAGAGTTGTACTTCTAAGAACTCCCATCAAGTACTCAATCTGTTGATCAAAGCAGACCCCTCCACCTTGCTTCAGAGGCCAAAGCATATGCTTCAAATAATTCAATAATTATTCTGTAGGCTATAGGATTTATAATTTTTCTTCTTCATTTGACTCCAAAAATATGCTACCTAGCATTCTCAGTAAATCTAGAGTTGAGAGTCTATGTGTCTTTGCCAAACTTACTGCTTTTAACCAAGGAAGTATTCTAAAACGTGTTTTTTATTTCCCCCTCTGAACTGCACTTGCACATCCTTTCAGCTGCCTGTAGGGAAAGAGTCCACTTCTCTGGTTTAATTTGTCTCTGTAGAAAGAAGGATCACAAATAAGACTAAAGAGAAAGTAGAACTGGCAGCTTGTGAGGGAAAAGAAGGCTTATTCTAAGTAAGCAATGAAAAATGAATCTGAAGAATTCTTAAAATTCAGCAATAAGAAAATAAGCAACTCAATTAAAAAATGAGCAAAAGATCTGAATAAGCATATGAAAAGATGTTCAACATCATATATCGTGAGGGAAATACAAATTAAAACAACAATGAGATACTACTATATACCAATTAGAATGGCCAAAATTCAGAACACTGACAACACCAAATGCTGGCAACCATGTAGAGCAACAGGAACTTTCATTCATTGTTGGTGGGAATACAAAATGGTACAGCCCCTTGGAAGATAATATGGCAGTTTCTTATAAAACTAAACGTACTTTTACTATGTTATCCAGAAATTGTGCTCACTTATATTTAATCAAATGAGGTGAAAACTTTTATCCACACAAAAACCTATTTGTTTTTGCTTTCCGCGCTACCTACAGAGGGGCCCATACGGCGTTGTTCTGGATTCCCGTCGTAACTTAAAGGGAAACTTTCACAATGTCCGGAGCCCTTGATGTCCTGCAAATGAAGGAGGAGGATGTCCTTAAGTTCCTTGCAGCAGGAACCCACTTAGGTGGCACCAATCTTGACTTCCAGATGGAACAGTACATCTGTAAAAGGAAAAGTAATGGCATCTATATCATAAATCTGAAGAGGACCTGGGAGAAGCTTCTGCTGGCAGCTAGTGCTATTGTTGCCATTGAAAACCCTGCTGATGTCAGTGTTATATCCTCCAGGAATACTGGCCAGAGGGCTGTGCTGAAGTTTGCTGCTGCCACTGGAGCCACTCCAATTGCTGGCCACTTCACTCCTGGAACCTTCACTAACCAGATCCAGGCAGCCTTCCGGGAGCCATGGCTTCTTGTGGTTACTGACCCCAGGGCTGACCACCAGCCTCTCACGGAGGCATCTTATGTTAACCTACCTACCATTGCTCTGTGTAACACAGATTCTCCTATGCGCTATGTGGACATTGCCATCCCATGCAACAACAAGGGAGCTCACTCAGTGGGTTTGATGTGGTAGATGCTGGCTCGGGAAGTTCTGCGCATGTGTAGCACGATTTCCTATGACCACCCGTGGGAGGTCATGCCTGATCTCTACTTCTACAGAGATCCTGAAGATATTGAAAAAGAAGAGCAGGCTGCTGCTGAAAAGGCAGTGACCAAGGAGGAATTTCAGGGTGAATGGACTGCTCCAGCTCCTGAGTTCACTGCTACTCAGCCTGAGGTTGCAGACTGGTCTGAAGGTGTACAGGTGCCCTCTGTGCCTATTCAGCAGTTCCCTACTGAAGACTGGAGCGCTCAGCCTGCCACGGAAGACTGGTCTGCAGCTCCCACTGCTCAGGCCACTGAATGGGTAGGAGCAACCACTGACTGGTCTTAAGCTGTTCTTGCATAGGCTCTTAAGCAACATGGAAAAATGGTTGATGGAAAATAAACATCAGTTTCTTAAAAAAAAAAAAACCTATTTGTTTTTACCCCAATCCATTTTTACCCCTACTCCCACTGAATGCAAATGGAATGGATGAATGGATGTTTTATTTCTATTTTATTTTATTTTTATTTTGTTTCACATGGATGTTTATAGCAGCTTTATTCAGAATTGCCAAAACGTGGAAGCAACTGAGATGTCCTTCAATAGGTGGGATAAACAAGCTGTTGTATATCCATATAATGCCATACTATTCTGTGCTAAAAAGAAATGAGCTATCAAGCCACAAAAAGACCTAGAGGAAACTTAACTGCATATTACTAAGTGAAAGAAGCCAGTCTGAAAAGGCTACATAACACATGATTCCAATTATATTACATTCTGAATAAAACTATGGAGACAGTAAACAGATCAGTGGTTACCAGGGTTTGGGGAAGTTGGAGGTCGGAGGGAGGGATGAATGTGAAGCACAGGGGATTTTTAGGGCAGTGAAACTATTCTGTATGATACTGTCCTCATGAATATATGACATTATGCATGTATCAAAACCCATAGAACTATACAGCAACAGCAGCTGCCAACCTAAAACTGCTCTAAAAAGTAGAGTCTATTAGTTTTTGAATAATTAATCTAAAAATTTCTGACTTGGAGTCTGACATCAACGTTCACACCTTCCACACCTAAATAGTTACCAAGTCTCTCCCAATCCATTTTTACCCCTCCTCCCACTGAATGCAAGCCATGACCCCTTACCTGCACAGGTGTAGCCAACTCTATTCTCCCAGCCTTAGATTTGACACTAGTCTCTCTCTACTGCTTTTTCGTGCTGCTATAACCTTTCAAATGCCAATCTGATCAAATCACACTAAAAGTCATGTTCTGCTTCCCTCTGTCTTAGGATCAGTCTAAACTAAACCATTGTTCACAGATTCTCCCTATCACACTCCTCAGCTCCTGCCTCTACATTCTCTACCCAGAAGCCCTAGGGAACTTTACCAATTCCTCTAACTCACTCTTTGGACTTCATATAAACAGGCTTCCTAGCATGAGACAATGCTACCAGTAGGCCAGAGAGCAAGGGAACCCTGTGAGTCAGGTATGCTTGACAATGCCTTCCAGAGAGGTGGGACTTGAGCTGGAGCCTTGGGGCATGTGTGAATCGACTAAACAGAGAAGAGGAAAGAAAAATGTCTAGCTAGGGAGAGTTCCTGTGATCATATTTCCAAGAAAGGGATGTGCAGTAAACAAGCCAGAACTACTAAGCTCTACTGAGAGGTGATAGAGCTTAGTAGTAGGTAAGGGGGACTCTGGCTCTTACACCAGTTTCCTGTCTGTGAGAAAATAATCACCATAGCACCTCATAAAGCATTTGAAAGATTTAAGACTTAATGCATGTGAAGTAACTAAATCAGTGTGTAATGTGTAGTAAGCCTTCTGTATTGGCTGTTATGATGATGATTACCTGTTGGTCTGCTATAGAAAATTCATTATAACTGGACTACAGTCCAAATAAGCTGGCTGAGTGTAAGTGTCTTCAGAATTCTACCTTGGAAAACAGACATGTAAAATTCTACATAAAAGCCCAATATAGAAAATAAATAATGTTTTATTTATTTATGTATTTACATATTTATTTTAGAGATGGGATCTCGCTATGTTGCCCAGGCTAGAGTGCAGTGGCTATTCACAGGCAAGCTCATAGCACACTATAGCCTCGAAATCCTGGAATTAAGCCATCTGCCTGCCTTGGCCTCCTGCATAACTGGAACTACAGGTGTACACCACCATGCCATAAAAACAAGTGTTATTTTATAACCACAAATGTATTTGTGGTTCAAACTCATAAAATTTACTTCATGTAGTACAAATTTACTCAATAAGAACACATTAATGAAGTTTACAGTGTAAAGAAAGAAAACTAATTTTTTTCCTCACCCCTAATGCGTTGTTAGAAGGGACCCCCTGTAACAAAAAACAGATTATCAAAGCAAGAGCAAACATGTTTATTATCATGTATATTTTATATGTATATGGGAGATGCCCAGGGAATGAATAATTCTCAAAGAGGTGACTCAGACCTCTAGCTTATATAAACTTCAATAAAGAACATTAAGGACCAGCACAGTGACTCACTGCTATAATCCCAGCACTTTGGGAGGCTGAGGCCAGAGGATCCCTTGAGCCCAGGAGGTTGTGGCTGCAGTGAGCCATGATCATGCCACTGCACTCCAGCCTGGGTGACAGAGCAAGACCCTGTCTCAAACAAACAAACAAAAAACACACTACATTTCTAAAGAAAGGACAAGACAGAGGAAAAGAACTTTGAATCTCTGGAGGTGGCAAATTGTGGGAAGGCAAAATAATGATAGATGAAGTCCACTTAGCAAAGCTTATTAACGTAGATTCCTCTTGTGCCATCTCCAGCCAGATGAGGGCTACAGTTGTCTTCAGTGGTTAACTTTTGTCCTTCCGGGTACAGAGGGAAGAAGGGCACCTTTGTCTTTGTAAATCTGTGTCCTGCCACTAGGTAAACAGAGGAGAGGCAGAGAGCTTTCCTGTATCTGCTTCCTCCCACTTGCTCTTAGCTTAAAAATTTTTTTGTCAAAGAGGCATATTTTTTGGTTAACACATCCAGTTTTCCTTCAACACTCTCAACTACATCCGAATTTGCTTCCTATCACTGTTTGTACTGTTGTATCATATTAAATTCAGAAAACATATTTTAAAATAACATTTTGAAAACTAAATTCATAAAAGACATTTTTAAATGAAATGTGCTTTGAATATTTAGAACCTTTTGAAGCACACAAATTGTAAATTACTCATCTGGTCTAACATTGTTATTTTGCACCAAAAAAAAGCAGACTGAGAGCCTACGACCTACTAAACCCAAAAGAAAACAGAGAGTCTACAAAATGCTGAGAAGCTGTCCATCCGTTTGACAATGGACCTAAGATCACCTTTTCTGAAAGAGTTAAGTGATCTCCAGGTCTGTCTGCTATATGCAGCTGCCTCATAATAACCCATAATGAAATGTTTATTTGGCTGATTTTTTTTTTTTTTGAGACAGTGTCTCACTCTGTTGCCCAGGCTGGAGTACAATGGCATGATCTCGGCTCACTACAACCTCCACCTCCTGGGTTCAAGTGATTCTCCTGCCTCAGCCTCCTGAGTAGCTGGCATTACAGGCACGCGCCACCACGCCCGGCTGATTTTTGTGTTTTTAGTAGAGACGGGGTTTCACCCTGTTGGCCAGGTTGGTCTCAAACTCCTGACCTTGTGATCTGCCTGCCTCGGCCTCCCAGAGTGCTGGGATTACATGCATGAGCCACCGTGCCCAGCCCTGATTGTTTAATAAATACACCGCACATATGGAAATGGAAGGTTGTCAGTAGTACTAATAAACAATTCTTATACCTATATGGAATGTAAACCAAATTTTGTCAACTTCTACCCACATGAGACACTAAAAATATCTCTGGAAAATTAGATTCTAATGTCAGGTCAGGCCTGAAAACCAAGAGCTTACCTACAATATCAAATGTTTTAGAAAAAGGTATTCCTTCCTTCATCCATTCATTCACTGGCTGCTTTAATAGGGTCCACTCCAAATCAAGGGTGTGATGATTACTAATTTTTAAAAATCGATACTCCACAAATATTTGAGTACCTACTGTTCCTTGTGTATTTCCTGTATGGCTTTTTGATTTTTGTTTTTTGTTTTTGCATTGAGCAAAAATTGCTTGTATTACAGGGGAAAAACTATGCAAATGCAATGTTAAATTCTCACCACCAAAACCAAAAGCACTACAAGAATTTCATTCCTCATGCATCCACAAGATGGCATATTAAAATTTTGCTTTTTACTGACATGAACCTAGAACTGCGGTGACACATGAAATAAGAACTGCAAATGGAAAATGAAAGTTAGGGAATGAGGTTCATCAGGCCCTGTGCTAGACACGGGAGGATTCTGTACTCAGAAATGTTTGGCCTGCTCATTGCTTCATGTGCTTGGATCTGGTTCTTTGGTGAAGCATGGCTACTGCATTCTATCTTCTTCCTCAATCACAAAAGATAAAAAGACTGTCTTAATTTAGAAAGTTAATGCTTTTTGATGTTTCCTTTGAATATATGTTTCACTATAGAAGAAGAAAATGGAGAAAGAGAAAAAGGAGGAGAAGAGCACCTAGAATTATAGGCAGAAGAATTCAGACTTCTTTCCCATTAAAAAATTGTTTTTAATTATACATTTGGTGCAATGATGGTATAGGAGATAAAGATGCTAAAAATTTCTGAGACGAAGAAGAAGGAAAACTTTCTAGGACACTGGACTCTTTTCAGAATAATGAGTAAATATGTCTGAGATTCTGGAGATGAACTTTGACCTCTGTTCGGAGTAATTCCCCTTCTAAGGCAGGATTTACTGATAGTGAAATTAACCATTCTTTAGTGTCCATGACAGCCGTCTGTCTTATGTTCTCTCAAATTCATGATACCTTTGGAATGTGACCGTGATGGCAAAAATATAGGTGTTACCAACAGTAATTACATATAAAATTATTTCAGTTTGTCTTCAAAATTACTGGTGTTTCCCTCCTTTTTTCTCACAATGATGATATAAAATTTTAGGAATTTTTTTTAATTTTAGAATTTTTTTTCTGTCCAATATATAAAATAATACAGCTACTTAGAAAATTGGTCTAATCTGCTGATGTGTCAGCATGAACTATATATTTAGAAGATGAAAAATAAAAGTGTGTAGTGGGGTGGTGGTATAGATTGGAAAATTATTACCAGCTGAATAAAAAATAGTAGGCTAAATTAAAAATGCTCCCAAATATTTTTCACTCCTTTTATTGAGAGGGGAAGCCCATTTCCTCTCCCCACTAAAACTGACCTGGTTGTGAAATTTGACCAATAAAATCTGGCAGAAGTGATATCGTGTAACTTCAAAGGTGTGCTTACAGAGAACTGTAGCAACTCTGTGATAGGCTTTGAATGCTCTCTGTTAGAAGCTGGGCATGATATAAGTCCAGCTACCCTTCTAGAGAAAGAGATATATGAAGAGAGGCCTGAAGTATCCTGGACATTTCAGTCTCAAATGAGCTCCTGGAAGGAATACTGCTCAGGTGAGACCCAAGCAACCCAGAAAATAATTTGAAATAATAGATTATTTTAAGTCATCTTTTTTTTTTTTTTAAACAGAGTCTTGCTCTGTGGCCCAGGCTGGAGAGCAGTGGCGTGACCTCAGCTCACTGCAATCTCCACCTTCCAGGTTCAAGATTCTCCTGCCTCAGCCTCCCAAGTAGCTGGGATCACAGGCGTGTACACCACCATGCCTGGCTAATTTTTGTATCTTTTTCTAGAGATGGGGTTTTGCCATGTTGACCAGGCTGGTCTCAAACTCCTGGCCTCAGATGATCTGCCCGCCTCAGCCTCCCAAAGTGCTGGGATTACAGGCATGAGCCACCAGACCCAACCCAAGTCATCAAATTTTGAGGTGGTTTGTTCTACAAAAATAGCCAAACCAGCTAGTGAGCTCTGTTTTGCCAATACTTTTTTCCTTTAAGTAGACTTTTTTTAAAAAGCAGTTTTAGGTTCACAGAAAAATTGAGAAGTACAGAAAGTTCCCATATACTCCCTGACCTTCAACACACACACACACACACACACACACACAGGCTTCCTCACTATAGACATCCTGCACTAGGCACTAGAATGTACATGTTACAACTGATATATGTGCATTGATGTAATATCACCCCAAGTCTGTAATTTACATGAGAGTTCACTCTTGGAGTTATACATTCTATGGGTTTACACAAAGGAATACCGACTTGTATCCACCATTATCGTATCATACAGAGCATTTTCACTGTCATAAAAATCCTCTGTGCTTTACTTATTCATCCCTCCCTCACCCCTAATCCTTGACAACCACTGATCTTTTAACTGTCTTCATAGTTTTGCCTTTTCCACAGTGACACATAGTTGGAATTATAAAAGATGTAGCATTTTCAGACTGGCTTCTTTCACTTAAAAATATGCAGTTAAGTTTCCTCCACGTCTTCATGGCTTGATGGCTCATTTATTTTTAGCATAGAATAATATTCTATTGTCTGTGTGTATCATAGTTTATTTTCCTATTCTCCTATTGAAGGACGTCTTGATTGCTTCCAAGTTTTGGCAGTTCTGAATAAAGCTGCTCTAAACATCAATCTGCAGGTTTTTGTGTGAATATAGGTTTTCAATTAATTTGGGTAAATACCAAATAATACAATTGCTGGATCATGTGGTAAGAGTATGTTTAGTTTTATAGGAAACTGCCAAACTGTGTAACAAAATGACTATACCATTTTGCATTCCCACCAGCAATTAAGGAGAGCTCCTGTTGCTGCACATCCTTGCCAGCATTTGGTGTGGTCAGTGTTCTGGATTTGGGCCCTTCCAATAGGCCTAGAGTGGTAATTTGCATTTCTCTGATGACATATGATGTGGAACATCTTTTCATATGCTTATTTGCCATCTGTATATCATCTTTGGTGAAGTGTCTGTTCAGGTCTTTTGCTTATTTAAAAACATCAGACCAGATGCAGTGGCTCATCTCAGCACTTTGGGAGGCCAAGGTGGGAGGATTGCTCGAGCCCAGGAGTTCAAGACAGCCTGGGCAACATAGTGAGACCCTTTATCTACAAAAATATTTTAAAAATTAGCTGGGCATGGGTGATATGTGCCTGTAGTTCCAGCTACTTGGGAGGCTGAGGTAGAAAGATCACTTGAGCCTAGGAGATCAAGGCTACAGTGAGCCATGATTGTGCCACTGCACTCCAGCCTAAGCAACAGAGCAAGACCCTGTCTCAAAAAAAAAAAAAAAAAAGAAAGAAAGAAAAAAGAAAAATTGGCTAGGCGTGGTGGCTCACGGGTGTGGTGGCGTGCACCTGTAGTCCCAGCTACTCAGGAGGCTGAGGCAGGAGAATTGCTTGAACCCAGGAGGCGAAGGTTGCAGTGAGTCGAGATTGTGCCACTGCACTCCAGCCTGGGCAACAGAGCGAGACTCCATCTCAAAAAAGGAAAAAATCATCAGGTTGTTCACTTTCTTCTTGTAGAGTTTTAAGAGTTCTGGCCAGGCACAGTGGCTCATGACTGTAACCCCAGCATTCTGGGAGGCTGAGCCAGGTGAATCACTTGAAGCCAGGAGTTAGAGACCATCCTGACCAACATGGCAAAATCCAGTTTCTATTAAAAATACAATAATTAGCCGGGCATGGTGGCTCATGCCTGTAATTCCAGCTACTCAGGAGGCTGAGGTACCAGAATCATTTGAACCCCAGAGGCAGAGGTTGCAGTGAGCTGAGATTGTGCCATTGCACTTCAGCCTGGGCAGCAGAGAAAGACACCATCTCAAAAAATAAAATAAAAAGTCATTCCCATACACAAGGTCATCTAGATTTTCTCCTATGTTATCTTCTAGGAATTTTATAGTTTTGCATTTTACAAAATGATCCATTTTGAGTTAATTTTTTTTTTTTTAGCTTCTGGGTCAGTGTTCTCTATTGCCACACTACTGCACTGCATTTACACTTCAAATTTCTAAAATAGGATTTATATATTATAATAGAGTTATTTTTCTCATTTTGAACTAATTTTGGGCATGAGTATAAAGTCTATGTCTAGATTCTTTTTTTTTTCCTGCATGTAGATGTCCAGTTGTTCCAGCAGCATTTCTTGAACACTCTTGTCCATTTTCTCCTTTGCTCCTTTGTGAAACATAAATTCACTATATTTATTTGGCTCTATATCTGCCTCTCTGTTCTGTTCTATTGATCTATTTGTCCACTTTTTCATCAACACTACTATGTCTTGATTACTTTTAGTAAATCCTGTAGCTTTATAGTAAATCGTGAAGTCAGGTAGTGTCAGTCCTCTGACTAACACTCATGCATGATTATGTTGGCTATTCTGGGTCTTTTGTGTCTCCATATAAACTTTAGAATCAGTTTGTCAATATCACAAAATAACTTGCTGGGAATTTGGTTGGTATTCTGTTGAATCTATAGATCGCATTGAGAAGAACGGACATCTTAACAATATTGAATTGCCAATCCTTGAACATGGAATACTTCTTCATTTATTTAGTTCTTCTTTGATTTATTTCATCAGAGTTTTGTAGTTTTTCTCATATAGATCTTGTACATATTTTGTTAGATTCATACCTAAGTATTCCATATTTTGGGGTGTTAATATAAATGGTATTGATATTATGTTTTAAGTTTCTAATTCCACTGGTTAATTGCTGATATACCAGAAAGGAATCAAATTTTGTGTGTTAATCTTGTATCCTGCAACCTTGCTATACTTATTTATTAGTTCCAGGAATCTTTTGTTGTGGTGGTTTATTCTTATGGATTTTCTACGTAAATGTTCAGATCATCTGCAAACAAAGACAGCTTTACTTCTTCCTTCTCAATCTGCATACCTTTTATTTCTGTTTCTTTCCTTACTGCATTAGTTAGGACTTCCAAGTATGATTTTAAAAGGGAGTGGTAAGAGGGGAAATCTTTGACCTGCTCCTGCTCTGGGAAAGCTTCTAATTTTTCATCATTAGCTGTGGGGTGTTTTTGTAAATGTTCTTTATTCTATTGAAGAAGTTCCCTTTTATTCCTAATTTGCTGAGTTTTTGTCATGAATGGGTATTGGTTTTATCAAATAATTGTTCTGCACCTATTAATATGATCATGTTTTTTTCTTTTTTAGTCTGTTGAAATGATGAATTATTAATCATTAATTTTCAAACATTGAACCAGGCTTACATACCTGGAATAAATTTCCTTGGTCATGTATATAATTTTTTTTTCTTGCAGCCTCAGTTCAAAGGATCTTTTTACACATTGTTGGATTTAACTTGCTAATATTTTGTTCAGAATTTTTACATCTATATTCATGAGATACTGGTCTGTAGTTTTCTTGAAATATCTTTAGTTTTGGTATTAGGATAATGCTGGTCTCATAGAATGAGTTAGAAACCACTTCCTCCGCTTCTATTTTCTTTTCTTCTTCTTCTTTTTTTAGATGGAGTCTCACTCTGTCACCCAGGCTATAGTGTAGAGTGGCACAATCTTGGCTCACTGCAGCCTCTGCCTCCCAGGTTCAAGCAATTCTCCTGCCTCAGCCTCCCAAGTAGCTGGGATTACAGGAGTGTGCCATGACACCCAGCTAATTTTTGTAATTTTTAGTAGAGACGGGGTTTCACCATGTTAGCCAGGCTGGTCTTAAACTCCTGACCTGAAGTGATCCACGCACCTCAGCCTCCAAAAGTGCTGAGATTACAGGTGTGGGCCACCATGCCTGGCCTCTTTACTTCTATTTTCTGAAAGAGATTATAGAAAATTAGTATGATTTCTTTCTTAAATATTTAGAAGAATTCACTGGTGAATTTATCTGGGCCTGGTGTTTTTTGTTTTCGAAGGTTATAATTGTTCAATTTCTTTAATAAATATAGACTTATTCAGAATGTATATTTCTTCTGCATGAGTTTTGGCGAACGTGTCTTTAAGGAATTAGTCTATTTTACTTAAATTATAAGATTTGTAGACATAGAGAGTTTCATATTTCTTTATGATTCTTATAGTGCTCCCAGCATTTGTAGTGATGTCCCCTCTCTTATTTCTGATGTTATTAAGTTGTGTGTGTGTCTCTCTTTTTTTCTTGGTTAGCCTGGCTAGAGGCTTATTGATTTTATCAAAGAAACTGCATCTGGTTTCATTTATTTTCTCTATTGATTTTCTGTTTTTATTTTTATTGATTTCTTTTTTGGACTGTGGGGAGGTGAACAGAGTGTTGCTGTATCACCCAGCCCAGAGTGTGGTGGTGCAATCTTGGCTCACTGCAAACTCTGCCTCCTGGGTTCAAGTGATTCTCGTGCCTCAGCCTCCTGAGTAGCTGGGATTACAGGCGGGTGCCACCATGGCCTGCTAATTTTTGTGTTTTTAGTAGAGACGGAGTTTCACCACGTTGCCCAGGCTGGTCTCGAACTGCTGACCTCAGGTGATCCACCTGCCTCGACCTCCCAAAGTGCTGGAATTGCAGGCATGAGCCACCGCATCTGGCTGATTTTTATTGATTTCTGGTCTAATTTTTATTATTTCTTTTCTTTTGCTTGCTTGGGATTTAATTTGCCCTTTTTTTTTCTAGTTTCTTAAAGTGGAAGCTTAGATGACTGATTTTAGATATTTTTTCCTATCCAATATATGCATTCAATGCCCTAAATTTCCCTCTAAGTACTATTTTCACTGCATCCACAAATTTTGATAAGTTGTGGTTTTATTTTAATTTACTTCAAAATATTTTAAAATTTTTCTTGAGATTTCTTCTTTGACCAATGTGTTATTTAGAGTATGGTTTAATTTCCAAGTATTTTGGGATTTTCTAGCTATCTTTCTGTTACTGGTTTCTAGTTTAATTCCACTGTGACCTGAAATAATATATTGGATGATTTATAATATTTAAAATTTGGGCTGGGCACGGTGGCTCATGCCTGTAATCTCAGCACTTTGGAAGGCCGAGGTGGGTGGATCACCAGAGGTCAGGAGTTGGAGACCAGCCTGACCGACATGATGAAACCCCATCTCTACTAAAAATACTAAAATTAGCTTGTCATGGTGGCAGGCATCTGTAATCCCAGGTACTCTGGAGGCTGAGGCAGGAGAATCGCTTGAACCCAGGAGGCAGAGGTTGCAGTCAGCTGAGATTGTGCCATTACATTCCAGTCTGGGTGACAAGAACAAAACTCTCTTCAAAAACATTAATTAATTAATTAAAATAAAATTTGTTAAGGCTGGGTGCGGTGGCTCAGGCGTGTCATCCCAGCACTATGGGAGGCCAAGGCAGGCAGATTATTTCAGCCCAGGAGTTCAAGACTAGCCTGGGCAACATAGCAAGACCTTGTCTCTATTTTTAAATAATAAAAAAAGTTTAAAAAAATAAAAAACTAATAACATTTTTTAAGGTGTGTTTTAGGACCCAGAATGTTATCTATCTTGTTCCATTTGAGTCTGAGAAGAATGTGTATTCTGCTGTTGTTGGGTAAAGCAGTCTAGAAATGTCAATTATACCCCATTGATGGTGCTGTTGAGTTCTGTTAGAGAGATACTGTAGTCTCCAAGTATAACAGTGGATTCATCTGTTTCTCATTGTATTCCTATCAGTTTTTGCCCCACATATTTTACAACTTTGTTGTTAGGCACATATACACTATGGATTGTTATGTCTTCTTGAAAATTGAGCCCTTTATCCATTATATAATGCCATGCTTTATCCCTGATCATTTTCCTTACTCTGATGTCTGCTCTGTTAGAAATAAATATAGCTGCTCCCACTCCCTTTTGATTAGTGTTAGCATGGAATATCTTTCTCCATCCCTTTACTTTTAATCTATATATGTCTTTACATTTAATGTGGGTTTCTACATAGACAACATATAGTTGAGTCTTGTTTTTTAATCCACTCTGACAATCTCTGTATTTTAATTGGTATATTTAGACCATTGATATTAAAGTGATTATTGATATAAATGGATGAATATTTACAATATTTGTCACTCTTTTCTATTCATTGTCTTTATTCCTTGTTCCTGTTTTTGACTTCCACTTTTTCCCTGCCATTTTGGGGGTTTTTTTTGTTTGTTTTTGAAATTTTTTATTATTATTTTTTGAGACAGGGTCACACTCTGTTGCCCAGGCTGGAGTGCAGTGGCATGATCATGGCTCACTGCAGCCTTAACCTCCTGAGCTCAAGTGATCCTCCTGCCTCAGCCTTCCACATAGCTGAAACTACACATGTATGCCACCATGCCTGGCTAATTTTTGTATTTTTTGTAGAGATAGTATCTCACTATGTTGCCCAGGCTGGTCTTGAAATCCTGGGCTCAAGCCATCCACCTGCCTCAGCCTCCCAAAGTGCTGGGATTATAAGTGTGACCCAATGCACTCAGCCCATTTGTGATTTTACTTGAGCATTTTATATGATTTCATTTTCTCTCCTTTTTTAACACATCAATTATACTTTTTTTTTTTTTTTTTTTTTTTTAACAGAGTCTTGCTCTGTGGCCCAGGCTGGAGTGCAGTGGCATGATCTTGGCTCACTGCAACCTCCACCTCCCGGGTTAAAGCGATTCTCCTACCTCAGCTTCCTGAGTAGCTGGGACTACAGGCATATGCCTCCACACCCAGCTAATTTTTGTATTTTTAGTAGAGACAAGGTTTCACCATGTTGGCCAGGCTGTTCTCAAACTCCTGGCCTCCAGTGATCTGCCCGCTTTGACCTCCCAAAGTGCTGGGATTACAGGCATGAGCCACCATGCCTGGCCAATTATGCTTCTTTTAAAAAATAATTTTTTGGTTGCTATACAGTTTGCAATATACATTTACAACTAACTGAAGTCCACTTTCAATTAACACTATACTGCTTTATAGGTAGTGCAAGTACTTTATAATAACAAAATATTTTTAAGTCTTCCCTCCTGTCTCTGGTATTATTGTGTAGTGCATTTCACTTAATGAATGCTTATATTTTCTTAGTGAGCAGAAGCATACATAAGCATAAGTGTATGTATATACACCCAATCAAATACATTTTGCCATTATTATTTGAAACAAAATGTTATGTTAGACCAATTAAAAATTTTTTAAGTTTTTATTTACCTTAACTTATTCTTCTCTGATACTCTATCTTTCCCTATGTAGATCCACATTTCTGACCTACATTATTTTTCTTCTATGTGAAGAATTTCCTTAATATTTCTTACAAGGCAGATCTACTAGCAACAAATTTCCTTAGTGTTTGTTGGTCTCAGAAAGTCTTTATTTCTACTTCACTTTTGAAGAAGAATTTCACAGGATACACAATTCTAGTTGGGAGTTTTTTTCTCTCACCACTTTAAATATTTCACTTCACTCTCTTTGTAGTGATTTCTTACAATTTTATGTTGCCTCAGCATCCATTTTGAACACAGGTTTAATTTTCTCATATTGGAAACAGGGCTTAGTCACCCTTGACACAGCTTCTGGTTCTCTACTTCATCCCAGTTCCTCAGTGGGGTTGATCCAGATATCTGCTTTATACGACTGCTTCCTGGTGACCACCTCCCTATCAGACAGCTAGATACAACCTACTTGACTCACCTTGCTGAACCCCCTACTGCACTGATTGTGCAGATATGCCACAGTGACCACTTCTCAGTCACAGCATGATTTCATGTACTTGTATCTACTTCCTCTAAACCCACTAATTAGAACTTCCCAAGGGAAACCTGCCTGGATAATGCCCTAGACCCCAATAAAGTCTTCAGCCCATGGGTTCCTCATTCTCTCTCTTGCTCCTTGCCTGCTGATTGAGTGTACACGTCCCAAATAGCTCCCTACTTCCTGTTGGCCCCATGGGGCATGCTGCTGTCTTCTCTCTGGGATCTGAAAGTAATATACTGCTTGTGTTATTTCATGTTTTGTTTGAATTACTTTCTTTGTGTCTCAGCTGAATGACACATCTAAACCTAACTTCTTTCCTGGCCAGGGCTTTTCTGAAGAATGGCTATCTTGGTAGAAATAAACTGGACACAGGTCAGACAAGAGCCATAAGGATATCTGTCACTATAAACAAGTTTCCTGTGAGTGGGACACCTGGTCACAGGTCAGACACTTAGACATCCAGCTGTTTGTCAGGCTAAAGAAGTATCTCATGAAAGAAACATTGTAAATATTCACAACCAAATCTCCTGGAGCCATGTGAGAGAGGACAGGAGTTTACTGCCATTCTCCAGAAAGAGACCTTAAGATGAAATTACAGAAAAATAGAACACTCTTCTTGCTTGTGTGGTTTCTGAAGAGAAGTTGGTTGTAAATTTTATGTTTCTCCTCTATAGGTAAAGTGTTTTTTCCTGTGGCTTCTTTCAAGATATTTCTTTGTCTTTGATTTTTGGCAGTTTGCATATGATATGCCTAGGGTTTTTTTTGTTTTGTTTTGTTTTTTTTTTTTTTGTTTTTTTTTTTTTTTT
Source organism: Homo sapiens (assembly GCF_000001405.40). Classification (NCBI taxonomy): domain Eukaryota; kingdom Metazoa; phylum Chordata; class Mammalia; order Primates; family Hominidae; genus Homo; species Homo sapiens. The sequence goes on from NC_000009.12 coordinate 76,413,685, forward strand.
GGCATTTATCCTGCTGGATGTACTCTGAGCTTCCAGCATATGTAGTTTGATGTCTGACATTAATTTGTGGAAAGTCTCAGTCTTTATTGCTTAAAATATTTTTTCTATACTTTTCTGTCTTTCTTCTCCTTCTGGAATTCCCATAACATGTATGCTACACCTTTTGTACTTGTCTCACAGTTCTTGGATATTCTGGGTTTTTTTGTCCAGTCTTTTTTGTTTCTCTTTGCTTTTCAGTTTTGGAAGGTTCTATTGACACATTCTCAAGATCAGTGATTTTTTCCTCAGCCATGTGCAATCTACTAATAAGCCCATCAAAGGCATTCTTCAGTTCTGTTACAATGTTTTTGATTTCTAATATTTGTCTTTGATTCTTACTTAGAATTTCCATCTTTCTGCTTATATTGACCATCTGTTCTTGAATTCTGCCTACTTTCTCAATTAGAGCCTTTACTATGTTAATCATAGTTGTTTTAAATTCACAATCTGGTAATATCAACATCACTGCCATATCTAGTCTGATTCTGATGCATCCTCAGTCTCTTCAAATTCTGTTTTGCCTTTTAGTGTGCCTTGTCATTTTTTGCTGAATGACACCTTTCAACAAAACAACAAAAAGTACACCTTTAGCGATGTGCTGGTAAGATTTGAGGGGAGGAGAAGCATTCTATGGTCCTATCGTTACCAGAAAGCAGTCCCAGTCCAGACCCCAAGAGAGGGTTCTTAGATGTCATGCAAGAAATAATTCAGGGTGGTCCACAGAGTAAAGTAAAAAGCAAGTTTATAGAGAAGTAATGAAACAAAAGAATGGCTATTCCATAGGCAGAGCAACCAGGGGGCTGCTGGTTGACTATTTTTATGGTTATTTCTTGATTAGATGATAAACAAGGGGTAGATTATTCATGAGTTTTCCAGAAAAAGGATGAAGAGTTTCAGAAACTGAGGGTCCCTCGCCTTTTTAGAACATGTAGGGTGATTTCCAGAAGTTGCCATGGCATTTGTAAACTGTCATGGTGCTAGTGGGAGTGTCTTTTAGCATGCTAATGCATTATAACGAACATATAATGAGAAGTGAGGACAACCAGAGGTCACTTTCATCTCCATCTTGGTTTCGGTGAGTTTTGGCTGGCTTCTTTACCACATCCTGTTTCATCAGTAGGGTCTTTACAACCTCTGACGTGTGATACCAGTCCTGTTCACCTCCAGTCTTATCCTGTGAATAAGAATGCCTAACCTCCTGGGATGGCAGCCAAGCAGGTCTGGGCTTTATTTTACGTAGCTCCTATTCAAGATGGAGTTGCTCTCCTTTAAATGCCTCTGGCACTATAATTAGGTCTTAGGCATTTAGTAAGCCTTTATGTGCCCTTTAGCTGTGAACTTTTTTTTTTCCTTGAGACAGAGTCTCATTCTGTTGCCCAGGCTGGAGTGCAGTGACACGATCATGTCTTACTGTACCTTGATTTCCTAGGCTCAGGTGATACTTCCACCTCAGCCTCCTGTGTAGCTGGGGCTACAGGCACGCACCACATACCTGGCTAATTTTTGTATTTCTTGTGGAGACAGAGTTTCACCATGTTGCTCAGGCTGGTCTTGAATTCCTGGGCTCAAGCAATCCACTTGTCTCAGTCTTGGTAAGTATTGGGATTACAGGCATGAGTCACCACACCTGACCTTGACGGTGAACTTCACATACTGTCTCTGCCCCTTGGATTTTTCCCCCCACCTTAGGTGGGACAGGATGGCTAGTGGAAGCTGGAATTAAGTCTCACATATTTGTCAGAGTCCTATGCATACATATGTAATTAAGATGATTTTTCTCTTGTTAATTTATCATCTGTCAATTTAATTCATGGCCTAGCCAAAGAACCTAGAAGGGTAGAGGGAAGCCATTTCCCCTCCCATGAAAAGCAAGAGTAGAGCAGTGTGTACAGTTTTCTATTTACATAACCAGATATAAAATGGGATTCTATCTTTGTTTTAACAAAGCATCAATAAAATAATTATTCAATGCCAAAGCACATGTGAAACAGATCTTCCACATGTAGAATTCACAAAGAAAGTTATTGACAACTAATTACACAATGCTTGGGCCCCCTCTATCCCCAGAAAACACAAGAAAAACCCAAAACCCTGAGACTTCCTGTTTGTCTTTCCATTGTGATTTTGTATGGTGTGCCCACAAATCATTATTCAATGTTTTTTTGTTCCACTGCCAAGATTGCTCTCATGCTTCCTGGTAATCACAGGGGCTGAAGCAGCAGCCAACTATTATTGATATGGACAGGAGGCAGGGAAATACTGAATAGAAGAGGGCAGTTCCCTGGCAAAGGCCCTACCCACAAGCCTGGGCCCACAGCCCTAAATGAGAACTTCACATCCCTGTTTTCCCACTCCAATGTTGCTTTTTCCAAAACTGCCCTGGCCCATCATACCCCCCATCCCATACCCATAAAAACCTCAAATTCCACTTACAGACAAGCAGAGTGTCATGGCAGAGAAGGAAAGAAGAGAAGAAGCATCTGACTGTCGAGATGAGTTTGGCCAGGGACGGCTGAACTCCAGGGGGAAGATTATCTTCCCACTCCATCCCCTTTCCAGCTGCCCATCCCACTAAGAGCCACCTCCTTCACTCAGTAAAACCTCTGCATTCACCATCCTTCAAGTCCATGTGACCTGATTCTTCCTGGATGCCAGACAAGGACCAGGATACCAAGAGGGCAGAGAGTAAAATGCTGTCGTGCTGACTCTCCTCTGAGCCAGTTAACACTTAGCCATCCATGAATGGCAACTGCTAAAAGAGCATTAATTGTAACACACCCCTAGATGCTGCCATAGGGCCAGAGCCCAGAAGTGCTTGCCCCAGCCTTGGCACCTGCTTGCCTGCACGCTCCCCCTCCTGCAAGGGGTTTGAGTGGGGGGCTGAGTAAGCGAACCACACCCCTGTTGCAAGTCCCACGAAGGGATCCAGGGAACTCTCCAGTCTCACTACGTATTTAACTAACACTATGGCATAAATTCTTCTTTTAATTTTAAGTTTTGAATAAGATGAAAAAGCTTTTTTGTGATACTTAGGAATTAAGAAGATATGATCTGGCTGGGTGCAGTGGCTCACGCCTGTCATCCCAGCGCTTTGAGAGGCTGAGGCGGGTGGATCACTTGAAGTCAGGAGTTCAAGACCAGCCTGGCCATCATGGTGAAACCCTGTCTCTACTAAAAATACAAAAAATTAGCTGGGTGTGGTGGTGGGCACCTGTAATCTCAGCTACTTGGGAGGCTAAGGCAGGAGAATCATTTGAACCTGGGAGATGGAGGTTGCAGTGAGCCAAGATTGTGCCACACTCCAGCCTGGGTGACAGAGCCAGACTCTGTCTCAGAAAAAAAGAAGATATGATAAAAAATGTGTCACTTATCTGCCTTAAATCTAAACAATGAGTTAAGAAATGTTTTCTTTGAAATAGTTTATAGTTATTTATGAAGCTCATGAAATTATTTGCTTTAATAACTATGGGTGAAATAAATGTAATCCTACCTCAGTGCCTTCTTCAAAATTATAATTCAGAGGTTATGGACATAAAAATGCCATCTCCGCAGTAAATGAAGTTGACAAATATTCAACAAAATGTGCCCTAGTCTTTTTTTACCCACCTGAGTATGTATCACAATGTAGTGTTGGAAGGAAAATTTTCCTCTACCCACTAGTTTCAATTGCTTGGGGGCCTGAAGATTAACTGACAATAGATGGATGAACAGAACAAGAATTATTTATACATGCACTCATTACTCAGTAAGGAGTAACTGGATAAGAAGCCAGAGGTAAATGTTTTTACGTCAACTGAACAAAACAGGGAGGAGTTAAAACTTCAAAGGGGAAGAATGAAAGGTACTGTTGGCTTTTCTGATGTTAATAGCTAGCTGAATTCACACTTCAGTATTCTCCCAACAGGAAACTCCTTTGGTGGGTGGGGGAGCCAAAGGCATCTGTATTTTCAGGAGGCCCTGCTTAAGTTTGGATAATGTTTATTTCTGTAGCTGCTGGTTGTACAGGCATTTTCAGTTTAAAATAATTTTCATATCACTTTTGTAGGCCATTAATTTCTTCAGTAATTTCTCAGCAACTCATAGCACCCCAGTAAGATCATGGCAAAGCTCACACATCACCCACCTGTATGATTGTAGAGGGGCCAAGGGAAAGCGTCCGTCATCCTGTTAAGGGTTTGTTGAAAATTGTTGATGAAAAGAGTGAAACTTTGTAAAATATTTAAGAGATTTATTCTGAGCCAAATAGAAGTGACCATAGCCCATGACACAGCCCTCAGAAGACCCTGAGAACATGTGCCCAAGGTGGTCGGGGTACAGCCTAGTTTTATACATTTTAGGGAGACATGAGACATCAATCAAATACACGTAAGGTATACATTGGTTCAGTCCAGAAAGGTGGGACAACTCCAAGTGGGCAGAGAGGGGAGGAGGGGTTCCAGGTTATAGGTACATTTAAAATATTTTAGATTGGCAATTGGTTGAAAGAACTACTATCAATAGAAAGGAATATTTGGGTTACAATAAGAGGTTGTGGAAACCAAAGTTTTATCATGCTGAGAAAGCCTCCAGGTAACAGACTTTGGAGAAAACAGATTGTAAGTGTTTCTTACTAGACTTAAAGTCTGTGTTGATTGTACATGCTGGTCAACTTTTTCTGAATTCCAAAAGGGAGGAGGGTATAATGAGGCATGTCCCACCCTCTCTTCCCATCATGGCTTGCACCAGGTTTTCAGGTTAATGTTGGAGTGCCCTGGCTGAGAGGAGGGGGTCTATTCAGACGGTTGGTTGGTGGGCCTTAGAATTTTATTTGTGGTTTACAAAATGAACTGACAAAAGGCAGATTAAAAAGCAGAAAAAGGCATACAAAATTTATTTAACATGCATAAACATGAGGGAATTGCAGGGGTAGGATTACCCAATAACCCAAATGAGGTCCAGTTGCTTACATACTCTTGTTCACAGGGGAAGGGGAGTTGAGGGTGTAACAATTTTGAGGGGCAGCAAATGATTTTTAGGGGAAATGAATGAACCTGGGAGACAGGAATTAATCTGTAAGTTATTCTCTTTAGAATTTGAATGAGCCTGAAAGGCAGACATTGTTTTGTGAAAAAATTCATCCAGGTGTGGTTACATTACTCAGTCTTCTTTTCTGTGATAGGTAATGAGATTTCGGAGAGGGGATGGAAGGCAATTGTGTTTTCTTTGTGGGTCCAGTCTTAAAGGTGATAAAGGAATATCAGAGAAGAGCCTCATCCTGTGCCTTGGGAGAGACAAAATGTTAGTGGAGGCTGGAGGGGGGTGTCAGAGAGACCTCGAGGCTGCTTCTTTTAGTTCAGTATACCAAAACACCATATTTTGGGGTATCACTTTTCTGAGTCCCAACATTGCCTCCTCTATGGCTGCATAATCTGTATAACATCAACAGTCATTCTTTCTTTCGATTCTCAGTGCTTAATCCCTTATAGCCCCCATCCCAATCATCACCATCTTATTTACATGATTATTGGCTGTCACAATCCCCCTCCAGAATATACACTCCATGACAACAGACTTTGTCCATCTTCATTACTGTGTCACCAGAGCTAATACCATGTCTGGCACAGGGTTGTTACTAAATACATATTGGTTGGTAAAATAAATGGAAAATAAATAGTTTAAAGTGTAAGCTGGGCGTAGTGGGTCATGTTTGTAATTCCAGCACTTTGGGAGGCCAAGGCGGGAGAATCGCTTGACCCCAGGGGTTCAAGACCACCTGAGCACCATGGCGAGACCCCCGTCTCTACGAAAATTAGCCAGGCATGGGGTGTGGCTGTAGTCCCAACTACTCAGGAGGTTGAGGTGAGAGGATCCCTTGAGCCCAAGATGTCTAGGCTGCAGTGAGCCAATATCATGCGACTACACTCCAGCCTGGGGGACAAATTGAGACCCTGTGTCAAAAAAATAAAAAAGAAAGAGAAAGGGAAAGAAAAAATGTAAAGCAATGTTTCCATCTGGAGCAGTGGTGGAGATCATACTGCTACATTGTGACTTAACAGAATTGAATCCTGACATAAAATGTACTGTCTAAAAATAACATTTACTAAATAAGTTGAGCAGCCACCACACAGTTGCTACTCTCTAACACCAGCACCTCTATCTTGCTGAGCTCCAGCCAAAGAAGGAAGGTAAGTCAGGAGGTGTCTCCTACTTACCATGGCTCCTACAAAGCTGGCACCCGGAAAACATCTGGCTACAAATGCCTTTCCCAAGAGTGCACCCTCTACTGGAGAAATGAAGAAACCTTAGCATTACAGGCTTGATACTGTGGCACTCCATGAAATTAGATGTTATCAAAAGTCCACCAAATTTCTGATTTGCAAACTTTCATTCCAGTACCTGATATTAGAAATTGCTTAGGACTTCAAAACAGATTTGTGTTGCCAGAGCACAGCTATTGGAAGCAAGTGAGGTCTATTGTAGGAAGCAAGTGTGGTCTATCATGTGGGACTTCCACCCTGGGTGCTCTCTGTATCAAATGTGTAACAGTGTTTTTTGTTTGTTTTTATATTTCATTTCTATTTATATTTTTAGAGACAAGGCTTTGCTCTGTCACCCAAGCTGGAGTGCAGTGGCGTGATCATAGCTCACTGCAGCCTTGAACTCCTGGGCCAAGTAATCCTCCTCCCTTAGCCTCCCGAGAAGCCGGGATTACAGACACACACTACCAGGCCTGGCTAATTAAAATAAATTATTTAGAGAGAGGGGTCTTGCTATGTTGCCCAGTCTGGCCTTGAACTCCTGGGCTCAAGCAATTCTCCAGGCTCAGCCTCCCATTTAGCTGGGATTGCAGGCACAAGCCACCACACCCAGCCCAAAGTATAACAGTTATGACTAAAGACATCCAGCTAGCATGCTACATAGATTGAGAATATGTTTAAGAATCTACTATGGCTGAGTGTGGTGGCTCACACCTGTAATCCCAGCACTTTGGGAGGCGGAGCCAGGAGGATCAATTGAGCTCAGGAGTTTAAGATCAGCCTGAGCAACATAGCAAGACCTCTTCTCTACTAAAAATAATTTTAAAAAAATAGCCAGGCTTGGTGGCATGCAGCTGTGGTCCCAGGTACTTGGGAGGCTGAGGCAGGAGGATGGCTTGAGGCCAGAAGTTCAAGATTGCAGTGAGCTAAAATCACACCACTGCACTCCAGCCTGGGTGACAGAACAAGACCCTATCTCAAAAGGAAAAAAAAAAAAAAAAAGAATCCACTATGAAAGGAAACATTTCATTCTCAAAACAAACAAATGAAAAATCCTCTCATCTTCCTGTTAGTGGTGGTTCTGAATGTTTGATATTTTTTCCTCATGGGGTCAAAAAGTACCTAAGTATATAAATGCAAGTGGAAAAATAGGGGATAGAAATCAGATATTGACAGTTTTACCATTTTCACTTGTGTGCGAATTGTTAATATGAATGTGGAAATATAAAGCACTGAGGCAAATCAAAATGTTTTATTAAACAAGTGTCAGCAATTCACCTTTATAACAATTATAAATAAACTTGTTAGATTTTCCTGGACAATGCCAGCATTTGGATTTTTACAAATAAGTAAATGTTGGCTGGGCACAGTGGCTCACACCTGTAATCCTAGCATTTTCGGAGGCCAAGTCGGGCAGATCACACGAGGTCAGGAGTTTAAGACCAGCCTGGCCAACATTGTAAAACCCCATCTCTATTTAAAAAAAATACAAAAATTAGCTGACCATGGTGGTGTGTGCCTGTAGTCCCAGCTACTAGGGAGGCTGAGGCACGATAATTGCTTGAACCCAGGAGGGAGGCTGAGTGAGCCGAGATGGAGCCATTGCCCTCCAGCCTGGATGAGAGAGCAAGGCCCTGTCTCAAAAAAAAAAAAAAAAAAAAAACCACAACAAAAAACAACCCACACAATTTAATGTCTTATTGATGGCAACTCAATTTGTTTGTAGGTTGTTTTTTTTTTTTTTTTTTTTTTTGGAAATGGTCTCACTTTGTCATCCAGGGTGAAGTGCAATGGCTCAATCACAGCTGTCTGCAGCCTCCACCTCCTGGGCTCAAACAATTCTCCTTCCTCAGCCTCCCAAGTAGCTGGGACTACACATGCAAGCCACCACACCCGACTAATTTTTGTGTTTTTTGTAGAGCCAGGGTTTTACCGTTATGTTAGTTCATTCTTAGGCTGCTATGAAGAAATATCCAGGACTGGGTAATTTATAAAGAAAAGAGGTTTAATTGACCCACAGTTCTGCATGGCTGGGGAGGCCTCAGGAAACTTACAATCATGGTGGATGACACCTCTTCACAGGGCAGCAGGAGAGAGAATGAGTGCAAGAAGGGGAAACAGCAGAAGCTTATAAAACCATCAGATTTCATGAGAACTCACTCACTGTCATGAGAACAGCATGGGAGAAACCACCCCCATGATTCAATTATTAATACCTCCCACCGGGTCCCTCTCACGACACATGGAGATTATGGGAATTAAAATTCAAGATGAAATATGAGTGGGAACACAGCCACACCATATCAGCCATGTTGCCCAAGATGGTCTCGAACTCCTGAGCTCAAGAGATCCACCCGCCTCGGCCTCCCAAAGTGCCAGGATTACAGGTGTGAACCACGGCACTCAGCAGTAGCATCTTAATCTACGGTATATTTCATCCATTCACTATGCAGATAGATAGTTCTTGATTTATGTTAATTTTATTTATAATTTTTTGGCTTTATTATGGTGGAACAATGATATGCATTCAGTAGAAACCATACTTTGAGTACCTATACAACCATTCTGGTGTTTTTTGTTTTCATTTTGTTTTGGTTTTTTTGAGACAGGGTTTTGCTCTATCACCCAAGCTTGAGTGCAGTGGTGTGATTATGGCTCACTGCACTCACTGCAGCCTTGACCTCCTAGGCTCAAGTGATCCTCCCACCTCAGCCTCCAGAGTAGCTGGAACTACAGGTGCATGCCACCATGCCCAGCTAATTTTTGTATTTTTTGTAGAGACTAGGTTTCTCCATGTTGCCCAGGCTGGTCTCAAACTCCTGGGCTCAAGCAGTCTGCCTGCCTCAGCCTCCCAGATTGCTGGGATCATAGGCATGAGTCACTATGCCTGGCCTAACCATTATTTTTTTCACTTTTAGTACAATATTCAATAAATTACATGAGATATTCAACACTATTATAAAATAACCTTTGTGTTCAATGATTTTGCCCAATGGTAGACTAATGTAATAAGTATTCTGAGCACATTTAAGTTAACCTAGGCTAAACTATGATCCTCAGCAGGTTAGGCATATTAAATGTATTTTTGACTTAAGGTATTTTCAATTTATGATGGATTTAGCAGGACATAACCCCATTGTAAACTGAGAAATATCTATACTTTTCTAACTTAGTCGTCCATGATCACCACCACCATTGCCATCACCCTTGCCATTAGGCATCATGTTTTCCTCCTTGGAGGTTGCCGTGGTTTAAATGTGTCCCCCAAAGTTCATGTGTTGGAAACTTAATCCCTAATGATGCAATGCTGTTGGGAAGTGGGGCCTAATTGGAGGTGTTTTGGTCATGAGAATTCCAACGTCATGAATGAATTAATGCCAATTATAAAAAGGCTGACACTGTGAGCTCATTCTCCTGCTCTCTTGCACCCTCCCTTTGCCTTTCCCCCATGGGATGATGCAGCAAAAAGGCCCTTGCAAGATGCTGGCCCCATGACCTTGAACTTCCTAGTCTTCAAAACTGTAAGCCAATAAATTTCTGTTTATTATAAATTATCCAGTCTCATGGATTCTGTTATAACAGCACAAAACAGACTAAAACAGAGGTCAGTCATCACAGTTACCAGTTTTGGCAAGCTTTTAATGAACAAAAGAATCACTTAATTTGTACTGCAAAATGGCATGTTTCCTGCAGATCTGCAATGAGAAAGGAACAGATGATGTTACGCTTTTTTTCTCAAGCTTCCATGAGATGGGGATTCAACAACTCTTCTAGGAATAATATAAGCTATGACATAGTTTGATGAAATCCATAGAAGTGAATTGATTTAATGCCATCATTAAAATTTCCACTGTAGAATGGCAAGGAATTTATTGAGATAGTATCCTTTTTGTTGTTGGTGTTTCTAAATACAATCTGAAATAATTTGTTAGATCAAAGGCTTGCTTTTCCTTGAACCTGACAGAGTTGGTTCACAGTAAAATTTACCACATCAGAACTATTTGTTGACATATTACTTTCTACCTTGCATTCAGCACTAGATGCTAGAGATTACAAAGAATGGTTTGCCTTGGAATCAAAGGTGTAGCAATTGACTGTGTAAACATTTTCTGAACTGTGATGTTGCTAAGAAGCCAGCAGGAGTGGGGGAAGAATTGAAGAGTGAAATGAATATCCATCCTTATAGACAGGCAAAAATCAGACTGTAATATTTTGTTTAATCTTATAAAAAGTATCTAGTATTTCAACACTTTAAAAGTCCTTGCATTTTTCAAAAGCTAGGCAGAACCTGGAATCAAGGCCTGGGTCCTGGGGAAGCAGTCTGTGCAGCAGGAGCCTGCCTCGGGTGCACATTTGAACTAGGGGAAAAAAAGTTGTTTCTACCTGTAGTGCCTCTCCAGCTTCCACTACTGACACAGCTTAACATTGTGCCAACAGGCAAAGGAACAATATTTAAAAGACCTAGGTCCATTTTCACAGAGTAGGTAATGAATGAATTTGGAACTGAGAGGCAATAAATGGATAATAGCACAGCAATTAATGTGGACTGGTGTCGGACTTCAGGTAAGGCTGGATCTTGGAGTAGCCCAAAAAGTTTGTAATAAATAAACTCTTTTTTCATCTCAAAAAAAGAAAAAAACTAGATAGACAAGACCTGGGCCTTAAAGTCTTTCTGTTTCACAGAGCACGCTGAGTAATATAAAACTGGATGATAGATAACTAAATCTCTTTTTGTGCCCTATTCAAAATGGAAAGGTCAAAAGTGGCATATTGGTGTTAAGACAAAGGTGATTCATTCACCACACCTCAGAAAAGAGTAAAAATGAAATTAGCCATCTTGTAACTAAAATCAACACAAATGTACTTGGTCTAGAACTTTCAATAAAAAAGGACATCGAGGCTGGGAGTGGTGGCTCACGCCTGTAATCCCAGCACTTTGGGAGGCCAAGGCAGGTGGATCATGATGTCAGGAGATTGAGACCATCCTGGCTAACACAGTGAAACCCCGTTTCTACTAAAAATACAAAAAATTAGCCAGGCGTGGTATCACGCGCCTGTAGTCCCAGCTACTTGGGAGACTGAGGCAGGAGAATGGCGTGAACCCAGGAGGTGGAGCTTGCAGTGAGCCGAGATCGTGCCACTGCACTCCAGCCTGGATGACAGAACGAAACTCCGTCTAAAAAAAAAAAAAAAAAAAAAAAGACATTGAACCATCACAAAAAGTTCACATGAAAAACGTCACCCAAAGCTAGTAAGGAATAGTATTTTAATTTATTTTTTCAGACAGAGTTTCACTCTTGTTGCCCAGGCTGGAGTGCAATGGCACGATCTTGGCTCACTGCAACCTCCGCCTCTCAGGTTCAAGTGATTCTCCTGCCTCAGCCTCCTGAGTAGCTGGGATTAAAGGTGACCGCCAACACGCCCGTCTAATTTTTGTACTTTTAGTAGAGACAGGATTTCACCATGTTGTCTAGGCTGGTCTTGAACTCCTGACCTCAGGTGATCCACCCACCTCGGCCTCCCAAAGTGCTGGGATTACAGTCATGAGCCACTGCACCCGGCCTTAATTTAATTTTTAAAATACGTATTATTTACTCAAAATATGGACAACCAAGCTTATGTAACAGCCCAGTGGGTTCATGTTGCCTGCTACCTAGACAAAGCCAATTTATCAAGAGAGGGGAATTGTAACACAGAAAGAGTTTAATTCATGCAGAGCTGGCTGTATAGGAGACCTGAGTTTTATTATCACTGAAATCGGTCTCCCTGAAAAGTTAGAGATGGGGGTTTTTAAGGACAATTTGGTGTGTCAGGGCCGGTGAGTCAAGAGCGCTGATTGGTTGGGTCAGAGATTAAATCATAGAGAGTCGAAGCTGTCCTCTTGTGCTGAGTCAGTTTTTGAGTGGGGGCCACAAGATCAGATGAACCAGTTGATTGATCTGGGTGGTGCCAGCTGATCCATCAAGTGCAGGGCCTGCAAAATATCTCAAGCACTGATCTTAGGTTTTACAACAGTGATATTGCCTACCCAGGAGCAATTTGGGGAGGGTCAGAATCTTGTAGCCTCTAGCTGCATGACTCCTAAACCATAATTTCTAATCTTGTGGCTAATTTGTTAGTCCTACAAATGCAGCCTAGTCCTGAGGCAGGAAGGAGGTTTGTTTTGGGAAAGGGCTGTTATCATCTTTGTTTCAAACTTAAACAATAAACTAAGTTCTCCCCAAAGTTAGTTCGTCCTGCGCTCAGGAATGAACAAGGACAGCTTGGAGGTTAAAAGGAAGATGGAGTTGGTCAGGTCAGATCTCTTTCACTGTAATAATTTTCTCAGTTATAATTTTGCAATGGTGCTTTCCATTCTAGCCCTTTGGGAGGCCAATGTAGGAGGACTGCTTGAGCCCAGCAGTTCAAGACCATCCTGGGCAACATGGCGAAGCCCTGTCTTCGCAAAAAATACAAAAATTAGGCAGGCATGGTGATGCATGCCTGTAGTCCCAGCTACTCAGGAGGCTGAGGTGGGAGGATCACTTGAGCCCAAGAGGTCAAGGCTGCAGGGAGCTGTGATCATGCCACTACACTCCAGATTGGGTGACAGAGAGAGATCGTGTCTCAAAAAAAAAGAAAAGAAAAATTAAATTAGATAATAAATTTAAGAATAGGCTGGGAGTGGTGGTTCACGCCTGTAATCCCGCACTTTGGGAGGCTAAGGCAGGTGGATCACCTGAGGTCAGGAGTTTGAGACCAGCCTGGCCAACATAGCAAAACCCCGTCTCTATTAAAAATACGAAAAATCAGCCAGGCATGGTGGTGGGCACCTGTAATCCCAGCTACTCGGGGGTGGCAGAGGGTAGGGCTGAGGCAAGAGAATCGCTTGAACCTGGGAGGCGGAGGTTGCAGTGAGCTGAGATCATGCCATTGCACTTCAGCCTGGGCAACAAGAGTGAGACTCCATCTAAAAAAACAAAACAAAACAAGAATAAATATTCATTGTTATGGGCTGAGTTGTGTCATCCCCAAATTCATAAGTTAAAGTCCTAACCCCTAGTTCCTCAGAATTGACTGTGTTAGTTAAAATGAGATCATTAGGGTCAGCTCCAATCCAAAATGACTAGTATCCTTATATGACAAAGAAATTTAAACACAGACATGCACAGAGAAAAGATCATCTGAGGACACAGGGAGCAGACAGCCATCTGCACGATAAGGAGAGAGTCCTCAGGAGACACTAATTCTGCCAACACCTTTTTTTTTTTTTTTTGAGATAGGGTCTCACTGTGTTGCCCAGGCTGGAGTGTAGTGGCACAGTCTTGGCTTACTGCAGCCTTGACGTTCTGGGCTCAAGCAATCCTCCTACCTCAGTCACTACAGCTACGCACCCATGCTCAGTTAATTATTGTATTTTTTGTAGAGGCAGCGTTTCACCAAGTTGCCCAGGCTGGTCTCAAACTCCTGGGCTCAAGCGATCTGCCCGCCTCAGCCCCCCAAAGTGCTGGTATTACAGGCGTGAGCCATCATGCTTGGCCAGGGGTAATATACTTCTGACAGGGGTATAAATTGGTATTACCTTCTGAAGAAAAATTTGACAATAAATATTAACCTTAGAAAGTGAATACACTTTGACATATCAGTTATACTTTTGAGAATGAATGATATAGAAATATCGATGTTGTCAAAGATGTTTATTACAGCATAGTTTATACATGTGAAAAATTAAAAATTTCCTGATAATAAAAATTAAAAGGATTAGTTTAGGAAATGTTAGCTCTTGGCATGTAATCCCAGCACTTTAGGAGGCAAAAGTGGGCAGATCACTTGAGGCCAGGAGTTCGAGACCACCCTGGCCAACATGGTGAAACCGCATCTCTACTAAAAGCACAAAAATCAGCGTGGTAGCACACACCTGCAGTCCCAGATAGTTGGGAGGCTGTGGCATGAGAATTGCTTGAACCCGGGAGGTGGAAGTTGCAGTGAGCCAAGATCACGCCACTGTAATCCAGACTGGGCAACAGAGCAAGACTCTATCTCAAAAACAAAACAAACAAACAAACAAAAAACACATGAAAAACATTAAAGGCCAAGGCGGGCAAATCACGAGGTCAGGAGATCGAGACCATCCTGGCTAATACGGTGAAACCCCATCTCTACTAAAAATACAAAAAATTAGCCGCGCGTGGTGGCGGGCGCCTGTAGTCCCAGCTACTCAGGAGGCTGAGGCAGGAGAATGGCGTGAGCCCGGGAGGTGGAGCTTGCAGTGAGCCGAGATCGTGCTACTGCACTCCGGCCTGGGTAAAAGAGCAAGACTCCGTCTCAAAAAAAAAAAAAAAAAAAAAAAACTTAAAAAAAAAAAGAGAGAGAGAAATGGAGAAATGTTGGCTCCTTAAGCTAAAATACAAGTAGTCATTACAATTGCTATTTTGGCAGGTCAATTAGATATGCATAAATTTATTTGTTTAATTTATGAGCTATTTTAAATACATAAAATAAATGAGAATAATATGAATACCTATCACTGATTTTAAAAATGTTAATATTTTGACATATTTGCTTTTTTTGACTTCTGTTTTTAAAAAGAAACAGAACATTATAGATCCAGTTAAATAATCTTTGTGCCCCTCCCCAATGGTATTTTCCTCCCACCACCATCTTCATCCTCTGAATGGTAACCATTGTCAAAATTCCCTTCACTCAACATTGTATTTTCAAGATACCTTTACTTTGAATAACGTAGCTGTTGCGTATTCTATTTTTTTTTTTTTTTTTTGAGACAGAGTTTCGCTCTTGTTGCCCAGGCTGGAGTGCAATGGCATGATCTCAGCTCATCGCAACCTCTGCCTCCTGGGTTCAAGCGATTCTCCTGCCTCAGCCTCCTGAGTAGCTGGGATTACAGGCATGCACCACCACACCCGGCTAATTTTGTATTTTTAGTAGAGACGAGGTTTCTCCGTGTTGGTCAGGCTGGTCTCAAACTCCCGACCTCAGGTGATCTGTCTGCCTTGGCCTCCCAAAGTGTTGGGATTACAGGCATGAGCCACCACGCCAGGCCTCTTTTTTTATTATTATAGCTTTTATTTTAGGCTCAGGGATACATGTGCAGGTTTGTTCTTAATATTTAGATAAACTGCACATCACAGGGGTTTGGTGTACAGATTATTTCATCCCCCAGGTAATATATTGCCCAATATTTCTTCTAATTGTGACATAATGTTCCATTATATGAGTACACTATAATATACATTTCTTCTTTTGATCAGTCACTTTGTTCGGTTTTTTTCTGATTCTATTCCTATAGCATGCACAAGGTTGCCATGAGCATTCTTGTACCTATTTCCTTGGGCACATGTGTGAGATTTTCTCCAAGGTGTATATTTGAGATTTGAATTGCTGAGGCATTGAGTATATGCATCTTTAACTACACTAGATATTGCCTCAATGCTTTGCAAAGTGGTTGTATCAATTTATACTCCCATTGTGTATCAAGTAGTTTTTGCTGTGTAGCAAATCATTCCTTAATACAGTGGCCTAAAAACCAACATTTATTATTTCTCATGATTTTTTGGATTGGCAGCCTGTTCTCCTGGGCTGGTGATCTTGGCCAGGACTGGATTTTCTAAGATAGTTTATTCATATGTGACAGCTGGAGTCTCTCTCATCATTTAGGAGGCTAGGTCCAGCTTGCTCACATACAAGCAGAAAGATTCTTGCCAGCAAGAAAGTACAAGCCCTAATGAATAGAAGGTTTTCAAGCCTCTGTTTTCTTTCTTTTTTTTTTTTTTTTTTTGAGACGGAGTCTCGCTGTCTCCTAGGCTGGAGTTCAGTGGCGCAATCTCGGCTCACTGCAAGCTCCGCCTCCCGGGTTCCTGCCATCCTCCTGCCTCAGCCTCCTGAGTAGCTGGGACTACACGCACCCGCCACCACGCCCGGCTAATTTTTTGTATTTTTATTAGAGATGGGGTTTCACCATGTTAGCCAGGATGGTCTCGATCTCCTGACCTTGTGATCTGCCCGCCTCGGCCTCCCAAAGTGCTGGGATTACAGGCGTGAGTCACCATGCCCAGCCTCAAGCCTCTATTTTCATCACATTTGCAAATGTCCCATTAGCCAAAGCAAGGCACATGACCAAGCTCAGATTCAAGGGGCAGAGAAATATACTCTAGCCTTTGGTGGCAAAAGAGACAAAATTATATAGTAAAGCGTTATGTATACAGGAATGGGAGAAATAGGTGGCTGTTTTTTTGCAACCTACTATATACTGGCAGTGGGTGAAAGTTCTATTTCCCTACATTCTTGACAACACTTGGTATTACATGACTTTTAAATTTTTTGCCAATCCGAGAAGGATTTAAAAAATCTCATTATTGTTTCTATTTTAATTTGCATTTTTCTGGTCATTAGTAAGGTTGTATATCTTTTCACATAATTATTGACAGAACACTCATTTTTTTTTTAACAGGGTTTCACTCTGTTGCCCAGGCTGGAGTGCAGTAGTGGGATCATGGCTCCCTGCATCCTTGACCTCGGGGGCTCAAGTGATCCTTCCACCTCAGCCTCCTCAGTAACTGGGACTAAGGGTGCTTGCCACCATGTTCGACTAATTTTTTTTTTTTATTTTGGTAGAAATGAGGTCTCACTATGTTGCCTAGGCTGGTCATGAACTCCTGAGCTCAAGCCATCCTCCTTCCTTGGTCTCCCAAAGTGCTGGGATTACAAGAATGAGCCACTGCACCTGGTTAGTCCTCTTTTTTTTTGAGACCAAGTCTCACTCAATGGCCCAGGCTGAAGTGCAGTGGTGCAATCTCAGCTCACTGCAACCTCCGCCTCCCAGGCTCAAGTGATTCTTGTGCCTCAGGCCCCTGAGTAGCTGGGAATACAGGTGTACACCAAACCACACCCAGCTAATTTTTGTAATTTTAGTACAGATAGGGTTTCACCATGTTGGCCAGGCTGGTCTCGAACTCCTGACCTCAAGCAATCCACCTACCTTGGCCTCCCAAAGTGCCGGGATTACGGGCATGAGCCACTGTACCTGGCCTCATCTCTTAAAGTAACATGCACACACATACACAGGAAAAAGAATGAAAGAATATATATTGGAGTAGTTCAATTTGGGTAGTGGAGTTACAGATGATTTTTATTTTCTCATATCTAAATTTTCTAAAATGAACATCTGTTACAGAGGGAGGAAAGTAAATGAATATGTTAAAACGTCCTGGCAAAATCCCCAACTGGGCTAACAATAACTAGGTGCACTGAAATTTAGTTCTGACACTAACCACATGGAGTTAGCATCAGACTCCACAAGGTAAGGCTCAATCCTCCACAAGACTGCCCTCACATCAGATGCCAGCCCTTAGCAGGGACCCCAGGTCATCCATACTCTGACCTACTCGCTACAGATTTGGGGGTCCCATGATCCACTCAGTTTCAGTAACTTGCTAGGACAACTCACAGAACTCAGGAAAGTGCTACACTTATGATTATAATTTTATTATAAAAGTTACGCATAGGGTGAGGTCTGGGAGAGAACACAGAGCTTTCTTGCTCTCTCCTCTTGAAATCAGGAAACATCACCCTCCTAGCACATCAATGTGTTCACCAACCCGGAAGTCCCACTGAGCCTCCATGACCAGAGTCTTTTATTGGGGTTTCATTATCTAGGCATGATTGATTTAATCACTGTCCACTTGATTGAACTCAATCTCCAGCCCCAGTCGCCTCTTTGGAAGTCGGGAGGTCAGGCTGATATCAAAGCGCCAACCCTCAAATTAAGCGGTTGGTCTTTCCAGTGACCAGTCCCCTAGCTGTAGCCATCCAAGAGCCTGCCATTAATACCTCATTAACACAACAAAGACTCCTATCCCTTAAGAAATTCCAGGCCAGCCACGTTGGCTCATGCCTGTAATTCCTGCACTTTGCGAGGCGAGGTGGATGGATCAATTGAGGTCAGGAGTTTGAGACCAGCCTGGCCAGCATGGTGAAACCCCATCTCTACTAAAAATGCAAAAATTAGCCGGGTGTGGTCATGGGCACCCATAATCCCAGCTTCTTGAGAGCCTGAGGCAGAAGAATCGCTTAAACCCGGGAGGCAGAGGTGGCAGCAAGCTGAGATTGCACCACTGCACTCCAGCCTGGGCAACAGAGCAAAATTCTGTCTCAAGAAAAGGAAAAAAAAGGAAAGAAATTCCAAGGGTTTTAGAAGCTCCTTGCCAAAAGCATGAGACAAAGACCAAATTTTTTATTGGGTGACCTAAATATATTACATTTAGTATATTACATAAAATACATTACATCTAGTCCAAAAAAAATGTAGGCAATCCAAATTAAAATTGTCTAGTGAAAATATGGGCAATTGAGTCTTAAAATGTCTAATATCTAGTTTAATATATTTGTTTGTTTTTTGTTTTTTCAAGACAGGGTTTCACTCTGTTGCCCAGGCTCAAATGCAGTGGTGTAATCATGGCTCACTGCAGTCTCAACCTTCTAGGCTCAAGCGGTCCCACCTCAGCCTCCAGAGTAGCAGGGACTACAGGCACGCAGCACCATGTCTGGCTTATTTTTGTATTTTTTATAGAGACAGGGTTTCGCCATGTTGCCCAGGCTGGTTGAGAACTCCTGAGCCTAGGTGATCCGCCTGCCTGGGCCTCCCAAAGTGCTGGGATTACAGGCGTGCTCCACTGTGCCCATCCTTAGTTTAATATTGTCTTTCACATACTGATAGCGGTAGGAGGCAGTCAAATGACTAGGCAGATGGGGTGGATCCCTGGTAAAACCCCACCTTCAAGCCAAAGGCAGTTTAAAGCCTGAAAGCCAAGCTAAAAGTCTTGCATAAACATAGGAACTGGATTGAGAATCTCTTTCTATTTGTCATGCTTTCCTTTGATTGATCCTCACCCTTCACCTATTTTATATATACCTTCTCTTTCCTAATTGTTTTTTTACAGTCGTGCTCACCTTTGAACGGTGCCTTTGTTTTAGGCTTTTTTGGATACTCACAAACCAATTAGCATGCACTCCTGCCTTCTGAGCCCACAAAAGCCCCATACCCAGCCACACTGAGAGAGAGACCACCCGACCAAGTGGGAGACCACCCTTGTGGCCCCTCTCTACTGAGAGCTGTTTCATTAGCTGTTTCATCACTCAATAAAACTCTTCTCTGCCCTCCTCACCCTTCAATAGTCAGCATAATCTCATTCTTCTTGGATGCGGACCAAGAACTTGGGACCCCTCCGAATGCAGGTACAAAGACGACAGTAACACTGTAGCCCTCTGCCCTGCCCCCTCTTCGGAGCTCAGCAGTTGCCCCACGTAACGGAAAGCAGCAGGGCCAGGTCATCCCCAAACCTGTGGGCTGGAGTGGGGCAATGGGACTGACAGAACTGTTAACGTGCCCCTGTTCATCAGGCTGTGGAGGAACTAAAACAGCTGTTAGCACACTGTAACACCCCCTCTGGGGCTTTGGGGTTGCAGGTTTTGCTGTTTGTGTGCCACGGCGTACCCCTCATCTGTATGCTGGAGTCCACCATGGGAGTCACTTGCCACATGCCTGGGCCAGCCACTAGCCCCACATGTAGACTGCTCCTGTGCTGGCCTTTGGAGAGGCCAGCCAGACCCTGGACTCACTTGCCCACACACCCCCTCCTGCCAGGGGCTGAGTGCTGCAGTCGCGGTGGCCACAGGATCCATGCTGGAGTGCAAGCCAGGCACAGTTTGGCAGGCTGAGTGGGCAGGGTGCCTCTTGCAGGGAGCCCTGGGCTGAGGGAAGCCTGGGCAGGGGTATCACCGGCTGGAGGTTTCCTGCTGGCAAGGTGGTTGAGAAAAATCCTGTGTCAGTACCAGATAGTAGGATGTGTGATGGATTTAAGACAATAGGGGATTCTGACCCTTCTACTTTCTAGTGGCTGTGACTTCAGCCCTCAGTTTGTTGTCCTTCAGTGAACCTCCTCATATCCCTCAATTGTTGCAAAGTGCCACTGAGCTGATGCCTGTGAAAGAGCTCTGTAAAATTCAAAGTTATATAAAAATAATACAGCAGTTCCTCCTTATTCTTCGGTTCACTTAATCTATAACCTAAGAAGTAGAAGTTACAACTACATGCTGCATGACTCAGATCAGAGTCACATCTCTCTCAAGGCTTATAGTGTTTGGGGGATTTCAACAGCTTTTACATTTTATTTTCACATTATGCATAGGAAAAAGCATAGCACTTACAGGGTTCAGTACTATTAAGGATTTCGAGTATCCACTGGGGGTCTTGGAACGTATCTCCTGTGGATAAGGGGGGACTAATGTAGTATGATTATCATCATCAACAGAAGCTATGACACCAGGATAAATAGGCTAGAGAGAGCTCTCTGAGCCATAGGTCATGTTCAGGACTCACTATTGTGGGAAGTCAGGGACCCCGAATGGAGTGACTGGCTGGAGCCATGGCAGAGGAACATAAATTGTGATTTCATGGACATTTATCACTCCCCTAATAATACTTTTATAATTTCTTATGCCTGTCTTTAATCTCTTAATCCTGTTATCTTTGTAAGCTGCGGATGTATGTCACCTCAGGACCCTGTGATGATTGTGTTAACTGTACAAATTGATTGTAAAACTTGTGTTTGAACAACATGAAATCTGATTGTAAAACATGTGTGTTTGAAAAATATGAAATCAGTGCACCTTGAAAACTAACAGAATAACACCGATTTTAGGGAACAAGGGAAGACAACCATAAGGTCTGACTGCCTGCGGGGTGGGGCAAAAAGAGCCATATTTTTCTTCTTGCAGAGAGCCTATAAATGGATGTGCAAGTAAGAGAGATATCGCTAAATTCTTTTCCTAGCAAGGAATATAATATTAAGACCCTAGGAAAAGAATTGCATTCCTGGGGAGAGGTCTATAAACAGCCACTCTGGAAGTGTGGTTGAGATAAGGACTGAAATACGCCCCGTCTCCTGCAGTACCCTCAGGCTTATTAGGGTGGGGAAGAAATCCCACCCTGGTAAATTTGAGGTCAGACCAGTTCTCTGCTCTCGAACCATGTTTTCTGTTGTTTAAGATGTTTATCAAGACAATACGTGCACAGCTGAACATAGACCGTCATCAGTAATTCTAATTTTGACCTTTGCCTTGTGATCTTTGCTTTTGTCCTTGCCCTGTTTCCTCAGAACCATGTGATCTTTGTTCTCCCTTTTTCCCTTTGAAGCATGTGATCTTTGTGAGCTACTCCCTGTTCATACAGCCCCTCCCCTTTTAAAATCCCTAATGAAAATTTGCTGGTTTTGCGGCTCGGGTGGGCATCATGGACCTACTGATATGTGATGTCACCCCTGGCGGCCCAGCTGTAAAATTCCTCTCTTTGTAGTCTTTCTCTTTATTTCTCAGACTGGCCAGCAATTATGGAAAATAGAAAGAGCCTACGTTGAAATTTTGGGACCAGTTCCCCCACTGGTCCCAAATTCAGCCTCAAGAAGACTGAATTAGTCAGCTCCCACTACCATAACAAGTTACCACAGACTCTGTGGCTAAAACAACAGAATTTATTTCTTCACAGTTCTGGAGGCTAGCAATCCAAGAATAAGGTGCCAGCAAGTTTGGTTTCTGGTGAGGCTTCTCTTTCTGGTTTGTTGATGGCCATCTTCTCACTGTGTCTGTCCTCTTGTGTGTACCCACAAAGAGAGAGAAAGAGTTCTTAGGTGTCTTTTACTCTTCTTACAAGGACACTGGTCCTATTGTATTAAGGTCCCAGCCTTATTACCTCATTTAATGTTAATTACATTCTTAAAGCCCTATCTCCAAATACAGTCACATCAGAGGTTGGGACTTCAACATATGAATTTGGGGAGGGACACAATTAGGTCCATAACAAAGACCATAATCTTGAGTGGAAAAGAGTCCTAAGATTAGGGTTTTCACACAGTGAAGGGTCTTAAATTTATTGGTACATTCAATCCTGGAGCACTTCCTTTAGTAAGAATGACAGAGTGCTAAGCAGTAGTTCCCATATCTTTTTTTTTTTTTTTTTTTTTTGAGACAGAATCTCGCTCTGTCACCCAGGCTGGAGTGCAGTGGCACGATCTCGGCTCACTACAACCTCTGCCTCCTGGGTTCAATTCTCCCTCCTCAGCCTCCCCAGTAGGTGGGATTACAGGCATGTGCCACCATGCCTGGCTAATTTTTGTGTTTTTAGTAGATATGGGGTTTCACCATGTTGCCCAGGATGGTCTTGAACTCCTGACCTCAGGTGATCCACCTACCTCGGCCTCCATCTTATAAGAAAACATCTGTGTAACAAATTAGGATAGGGTTGTCCAAAGGGTGTTTGAGGAACATACCTTCCACAAGTGGTGGGAATTTGGGGGAAATTACACCATTTCCCTGCTTAGAAAGTCACAATGCCTTGGGAGGCAGAGGCAGGCAGATCACTTGAGGTCAGGAGTTCAAGATCAGCCTGGCCAACATGGTGAAAGCCCATCTCTGCTAAAAATACAAAAATTAACTGGGCATGGTGGCATGTGCCTGCCTGTAATCCCAAGTACTCCAGAGGCTGAGGCAAAAGAATCACTTGACCCTGGGAGGTGAAGGTTACAGTGAGCTGAGATCGCACCACTGCACTCTGCACTCCAGCCTGTGCGACAGAGTAAGATTCCATCTCAAAAAAAAAAAAAAAAAAAAAAGGCACAATAGCATATTAAAAACTGAAAATTTCGTCCATTTACTCAAATAACATTTATTGATTTATTGAATGCCTACTATTTTCCAGTCACAAGCTGTGAGTAAGACAGGAATTAATAGGAGCAACCTAACCTAATATAGGAAGTAAAGGCAATGGATAGTTGAATGCTGACTCCCTCAAAATGGATGGATAGCACCAGGCTTAGTTCAGTGCTTGTTGAGGTAAGAGAGATTGTCAGACAGAAAACCAAACACTGCATGTTCTCACTCATAGGTGGGAATTGAACAATGAGAACACTTGGACACAGGGTGGGGAGCATCACACACCAGGGCCTGTCGTGGGGTGTGGGGAGGGGGAAGGGATAGCATTAGGAGATATACCTAATGTAAATGATAAGTTAACGGGTGCAGCACACCAACATGGCACATGTATACATATGTAGCAAACCTGCACATTGTGCACATGTACCCTAGAACTTAAAGTATAATAATAAAAAAAGAAAAGAAAAAAATAAATATATGGGGAAAAAAAGAGAGAGAGAGAGATTGTCAGAAACATGTGAACAAGAGCAACTCCATCTTGAATAGGAGCTGGGTAAAATAAGGCTGAAACTTACTGGGCTGCATTCCCAGACGGTTCAGCATTCTAAGTCACAGGATGAGCTGGGAGGTCGGTACTTAGATACAGGTCATGAAGATCTTGCTGATAAAACAGTGTGCAGTAAAGAAGCCGGCCAAACCCCACCAAAACCAAGATGGCAATGAGAGCGACCTCTGATTATCCTTACTGCTACGCTCCCACCAGCGCCATGACAGTTTACAAATGCCATGGCAACGTCAGGAAGTTACCTTATATGGTCTAAAAAGGGGAGGCATGAATAATCCACCCTTTGTTTAGCATATCATCAAGGAATAACCATAAAAATGGGCAACCAGCAACCCTTGGGGATGCTCTGTCTATAGAGTAGCCATTCTTTAGTCCCTTACTTTTCTACTATACTTGTTTTCACTTTACTCTATGGACTCGCCCTGAATTCTTTCTTTTGTGAGATCCAAGAACCATCTCTTGGGGTGTGGATCAGGACCCCTTTCTGGTAACAAGATCATTTTCATAACAAGAGTCTTACTGGCTTCTTGGAAGGGTGAGGGCAAAGCAGAATATTTATTAGGTTTGTGGAATCTGGAGTAAGGTGGCTATTTTGATATAGAGCTTGATTAGGAT
The DNA here is from genome assembly GCF_000001405.40 of Homo sapiens. Lineage (NCBI taxonomy): Eukaryota > Metazoa > Chordata > Mammalia > Primates > Hominidae > Homo > Homo sapiens. The sequence goes on from NC_000009.12 coordinate 76,437,841, forward strand.
TGGACAAGTATGTGACACAATGGTTTAGCATTGGTGGACACAGCAAGGTGAGAGTTCCCAAGCATGTCTTAAAGAGTAAATGATCTTTTGATTGTATCTATTTTCCTTGGAAAGTGGTACTTACTTTAATGAGGATAAATTGAGTAGTCTAGTGTTTGGACTAATGGATTTTCAGAAAGTTCCTAGAACAAATAAAATTTTTGTCCATTTGAACCCAAAAGTATCTGAGACAGGTCTCAAGCAATTTAGAGACTTTATTTTGCCAAGGTTAAGGACATGCCTGTCACACAGCCTCAGGAGGTCCTGATGACATGTGCCCAAGGTGGTTGGGGTACATCTTGCTTTTATACATTTTAGGGAGACATAATGCATCAATCAATACATGTAATATTTACGTGGGTTTGATCTGGAAAGGTAGGACAACTCAAAGGGAGGTGTGGGGGGTGGCTTCCAGGTCATAGGTAGATTTAAAATTTTTCTGATTGGTAACTGATTGAAAGAGTTATCAGTAGAAAGGAGACACGAATGTCTGGGTTATAATAAGGTGTTGTGGAGACTAAGGCCTTATCAGGCAGTTGAAGCTTCTCAGTAGCAGACTTTGTAGAGAGTAGACTGTAAACTTTTCTTATCAGACTTAAGGTCTGTGTTGATGTTAATGCTGAAGGGGTATAATGAGGCATATGTGAGCCTCTCTTCCATCATGACTTGAATTAGTTTTTCAGGTTAACTCTGGAATGCCCCTGACTGAAAGGAGGGGTTCATTCAGATGATTAGGGGAGCTTAGAATTTAATTTTTTGTTTACAGCCATTTCATCCTTCTGAGTAAAAATTTCCTGAAATAAGAAAGTCAGGTAAATGTACCAGGGGTTTCCAATCTTTTGGCTTCCCTGGGCCACATTGGAAGAAGAATTGTCTTGGGCCACACATAAAATACACTAACATTAATGATAGCCAATGAGAAAAAAAAAAAAAAACTCATAATGTTTTAAGAAAGTTTATGAATTTGTGTTGGGCCTCATTGAAAGCCCTCCTGGGCTGCATGCAGACTATGGGCCTTGGGTTGGACAAGCTTGATAGATAGTAAGCCGTGTATGTGTGGGCAGTAAGTTTTGATTTCTCTAAAGAATCTTAACTTCCCTTACACATTTGACCACAACACTCTTTTCTTTTCTCGTCAGACTTATTAACATTTCAAAGAACAGACCATGATAAAACATGAAAGTAGGAAATAATTTCTATGAGAGTGTTGTAAGCCAGTGGTTCTGAAAGGGTGGTTCCCAGACCAGTAGCTTCAGTATCACCTGGGAACTTGTTAGAATTCCTCACCTACTAAATCAGAAACTCTGATGTGCAGTCAGCAATCTGTGTTTTCTTTTCTTTTTCTTTTTTTTTTTTTTTTTTTTTGAGACAGTCTCACTCTGTCTCCCAGGCTGGAGTGCAGTGGTGTGATCCCAGCTCACTGCAACCTCTGCCTCCCAGGTTCAAGTGATCCCTCCACCTCAGCCTCCCTTGTAGCTTGGATTACAGGTGCGTGGCACCACGCCAGGCTAATTTTGGTATTTCTAGTAGAGATGGGGCTTCGCCATGTTGGCCAGGCTGGTCTGAAACTCCTGACCTCAGGTGATCTGCCCAACTTGGCCTCCCAAAGTGCTAGGATTACAGGCGTGAGCCACCATGCCTGGCCCCATTTGTGTTTTTAAAAAGGAAAAGAAAAAATGAAAAAAAAATTTTGTCTGCATTTCCTTAGTAGAGATGGAGGTAAATCAGTTGTTGGTAAAAGCTGTGTGCGTCTTTCTTCAGATTGTGACTCATATTCTTATGGCTCTCTCCTCTTTGAATTCTTTGAAAACAGTGCTCTCCTTGCACTAATATGAATGCAATAGTGAGGAATATAAAATTTATTCAATATTTTAGAAGGAAGCTAGAAGAGAGAAGTTGTACCACATGATATCAAGATTGCACTTAAAAATAAACCAAGGCTGGGCGCATTGGCTCATGCCTGTAATCCTAGCACTTTGGGAGGCTGAGGTGGGCAGATCACCTGAGGTCAGGAGATCGAGACCATCCTGGCCAACACGGTGAAACCCTGTCTCTACTAAAAATACAAAAAATTAGCCGGGCTTGGTGGTGGGCACCTGTAATCCCAGTTACTTGGGAGGCTGAGGCAGGAGAATCGCTTGAACCCAGGAGGCGGAGGTTGCAGTGAGCCGAAATCCCACCATTGCACTCCAGCCTGGGCAAGAGCGAAATTCCGTCGCAAAAATAAAAAAAAAAAAAAAGAAAAAATGAATAAACTAACAAACCTTTTGAGGTATCTCATGTCCCAAATCTCTCTTCTTGGCTCAGCATCTCTTCCTGCTCCTGACCCACATCACCTTCTCTCTGAATTTTCTTCTAAGAGCAGTTCAGTTCAATACCCACATGACTTTCAAAAGTCTTAACCTCACCTACTAGTTAATATAATCTTCAAGGAATTTAAAGGAATTAAATTGAAGACTTTGTTTGCCTTGTGAACAAAAAATTCCCCAGTTGCCAGGTTTCACTAAAGCTGTGATGAATGAAGGTGACATCAATCTACATTTCCCTGATTTATATTTGCTCCACAGGTGAGGAGGAAACCTGGGTTACAGTGGTACCATGTTTCCAGTGTGTCCTCATCAGATTCCGGTCCTTTTCACTATGATGTTGCAACCTGTGTGTCCCCCTGCCCTGTGTGGGGCTGAGGTCCTGCACCCACCTGTCCTGTCTCCTTCCTGATGGTTGCTAGGACCAAAACCCAGAGGGGAGAATGAGCTGCACTCACAGGGGATGACTTGGGGACTGGGTCCAGAAAGTGGCTCATCCACAAGAGCTTGTTTAGAGCTACCTAAGAGGAGTCTTCCCTGGTCCCAGACTTGGTTGCACGTTAGAATCAGCTGGGGAGCTTTTAAAAATGCCTATGCCTGCCGGGTGCAGTGACTCATGCCTGTAATCCCAGCACTTTGGGAGGTTGAGGCGGGTGGATCACAAGGTCAGGAGATCAAGACCAGCCTGACCAACATGGTGAAACCCCATCTCTACTAAAAATACAAAAATTAGCTGGGCATGGTGGTGCATGCCTGTAATCCCAGCTACTGAGGAGGCTGAGGTAGGAAAAATTGCTTGAACCCGGGAGGCGGAGGTTGCAGTGAGCCAAGATCACACCACTGCACTCCAGCCTGGGCAACAAAGAGAGACTCCATCTCAAAAAAAAACAAAAAAACCTATGCCTAGGCCACATTCCATAGCAATCACATCAGAATCCTTGGTGCAGGACCTAGGCATCAGGATTTTTGTTGTTGTTTGAGACGAAGTCTTGCTCTGTCACCCAGGCTGGAGTGCAGTGGCGCGATCTCAGCTCACTGCAACATCCGCCTCCCGGCCTCAAGCAATTCTCCTGCCTCAGCCTCCAGAGTAGCTGAGACTACAGGTGCCCACCACCATGCCTGGCTAATTTTTTTATTTTTAGTAGAGACGGGGTTTTACCATGTTGGCCAGGCTGGTCTCAAACTCCTGACTTCAGGTGATCTGCCTGCCTCGGCCTCTCAAAGTGCTGGGATTACAGGCATGAGCCATCACCACTCTCAGCCAGCATCAGGATTTGTTAAGGTTCCATAAGTAATTCCAGTGGGTAGCAATGGTGAGAACCATCAGACTAGATGATGTACAAAAAGTCCACATTATGCTAAGACATTATAACAATTTTGTTCAAAACACTTCACATAATTAAATGGGCTATATTTTCATCATAGTATCTGTTTCGTATGTGGGAAATTTGAGACACGAAGAAAGTGTGAGTCATACCAGACAGACCATAGGTGAACTGTTAAGGAGGGAGAAGCCGCAGTGTCACCTTCCACAGTCCTGCTCCCATTAAGACCTATGAAGTGGAAAATGCAGATTATTCTTTGAGGTTTCCTGGGACCAGAAAAGGTCAGAGACTCTTAATGGGTAATGCAGACAACTGGAATGCAATCATCAGGTATTCATTTCTGTTTTAAGGTTTTATGTCTGAGAAACCTGAAACCTGAAGAAGTAAAGCAATCATGATTTTTTAAAAACTTAATAATATGGTTTTGGATTTAAAAAGAAAGACTGACTCAGAGCTGGGGAAAACACTCACTTGTGATACGGATCAATGTGAAAACAGCTTAACTCTGTTCCATGGCAATTCGCACAGTGTGACTCAGAGACACCTCTCTTCACCAGCTCTGGCTCAGGGGATGTGAAGCCAGAAGCAGAGGTCACAGTGACTTCATCTGAGAAGGACTTAACTGACCATTGCTGGTTTTGAAGCCGGAGGAAGGCCCACAGTCAATGAATGAGAGAGGCTTCGAGAAGCTAGAAATGGCAAGGAAATAGATTTTCCTCTAAAGCTCCCAGAAAGAAACACGGTTCTGCTGACACCTCGATTTTAGGCCAGTGAGACCTGCTTCAGACTTCTGACCTACAGAACGGTAAGAAAATAAATTTGTGTTGCTTATAGCCATGCTGTGTGTGGTAGTTTGTTACAGCAGCAATAAGAAACTAACACAGTTGTGACCAGGCGCCATGGCTCATGCCTGTAATCCAAGCACTTTGGGAGGCTGAGGTGGGCGGATCACTTGAGGTCAGGAGTTCGAGACCAGCCTGGCCAACATGGCAAAACCCTGTCTCTACTAAAAATACAAAAATTAGCTGGGCTTGGTGGTAGGCGCCTGTAATCCCAGCTACTTGGGAGGCTGAGGCAGGAGAACCACTTGAACCCGTGAGGCAGAGGTTGCAGTGAGCCAAGATCATGCCACCGCACTCCAGCCTGGGCGACAGAGTGAGACTCCATCTCAAAAAAGAAAGAAAGAAACTAACACAGTGGTTTTATCTGATTATCCGATTATCAGAAGTAGTAAGAGAAATGTGAAAATGGTTCTTAAGTTACAAAGTACCATATGAAGATAAAGTATTCATTCATTTATTCTCTTATTTATTCATCAAATATTATTGAGCTCCTCCTACTTTGAGCCAAGCACTTTTATAGATGTTGGGAATATACTAAAGCCAAAATGGATTTAAAACAAAACAAACACTGGCCAGGCTCAGTGGCTCATGCCTGTAATCCCAGGCTGTATGTGGGGCATGAGAGGAAGCAGGAGATGTCAGGTGAGATACAGCAGTAGCATGGCCCAAGGTGGTAGCAATGGAGATGGGTAAAAGGGATCCTAATCTGGATATATTTTGAAATAGAGGCCAGGTTCAATGGCTCACACCTGTAACCCCAGCAATTTGGGAGGCCAAGGCAGGCAGATCACTTGAGCTCAGGAGTTCGAGACCAGCCTGGCCAACATGGTGAAACCCCGTCTGTGAAGACCAGCTCGGTTGGGGAGACCCTAACCCAGTGGTGCTAGAGGAATTAAAGACACACACACAGAAATATAGAGGTGTGAAGTGGGATATCAGGGGTCTCACAGCCTTCAGAGCTGAGAGCCCTGAACAGAGATTTACCCACGTATTTATTAACAGCAAGCCAGTCATTAGCATTGTTTCTATAGATATTAAATTAACTAAAAGTATCCCTTATGGGAAACGAAGGGATGGGCCGAATTAAAGGAATAGGTTGGGCTAGTTAACTGCAGCAGGAGCATGTCCTTAAGGCACAGATTGCTCATGCTATTGTTTGTGGCTTAAGAATGCCTTTAAGCGGTTTTCCACCCTGGGTGGGCCAGGTGTTCCTTGCCCTCATTCCGGTAAACCCACAACCTTCCAGCATGGCTATTATGGCCATCATGAACATGTCACAGTGCTGCAGAGATTTTGTTTATGGCCAGTTTTGGGGCCAGTTTATGGCCAGATTTTGGGGGATTTGTTCCCAACATCCGTCTCTACTAAAGATACAAAAGCTAGCCAGGTGTGGTGGTGCATGCCTATAGTCCCAGCTACTTGGGAGGCTGAAGCAGGAGAATCGCTTGAACCTGGGAGGCGGAGGTTTCAGTGAGCCACTGCACTCCAGCCTGGGCAACAGAGTGAGACTCTGTCTAAAAAAAGGAAAGAAAGAAAGAAAGAAAGAAAGGAAGAAAGGAAGAAAGGAAGAAAGGAAGAAAGGAAGGAAGGAAGGAAGGAAGGAAGGAAGGAAGGAAGGAAGGAAGGAAGGAAGGAAGGAAGAAAAAAAGAGCCAGAAGCATTTGTTGAATTGGGTGTGTGCTTTGTGAGAAAGAGAGGCAAGACAGATGACTCCAGGAGTGTTTGGCCTGAGCAACTAGGTGGAGTTGTCAATGAGTAAGTCCGGGAGAAAAGTGGGAGAAGCAGGCTCCGGGAGAAGAAGATAAGGAGCTGCGTATTGGACATGTTTGTTTGAAATGCCAATTTTACCTGTAAAGGGAGATGTTTACTAAGCAGTTGGAAATATGAGTCTGGAGTTCTGAGGACAGGTCCAGACTAGAGATAGAAATCAGAGCGATGTCGAGGTTAAATCTAGATGTACTTAACAGCATGAGGTTGGATGAGGCCATACAGAAGGGCTGTAGAGAAAAAAGAAGAGATCTGAGGCCTGAGTCGTGAAGCTCTGCAGGGTTAAGAGGCCTGGGGGAAGAGGAGGAAACTGAAGGCTGACAAAGAGTGACGAGAACAAAACCATGAGGATTAAGAGTCCAGGTGAGGAAAAAGGGTTTCAAGGTCAAGGAGTGACGATTTGTCTGAAATGCTGCTGAGAGTACAGGTAAAACAAGTTTAGATAAATGTCTGCTGGATTTAGAACCACAGAGCTGAAATGGACAGGGGCAGTTTCCCTAGAGGCACGGGACTAAGCACCTGATTAGAGAGGGTTTAATATAATTTGGAGACACCAGATACAGGCAATTCTTTTGACACAAAACAATCAGGTTCTTCCAGAAACTCCCTTTTCTGTTTTCACAAGGAGGCTGATGCCCTCTTGGGCCCTCTGTGTTGTTCTGGAGACCTCAGCTCTTAGCCTGCTGAAGGCAAGGAACAGGCGACAACCACAGCACCTTCTTCCCTGACCACAGCAAGGGGGAATGAAGGTCAGTTTTCTATGAAGCAGGAGTCAGTAAACTGCAGCAAACTATGATCACACCTGTTCATTTACGTGCTGTCTGTGGCTGCTGTCACACTAGAGGGACACAGGTAAGAGGTTGTGAGAGAATAAATAGCCCACCATACTTCAAATATTTACTATCTGGCCCTTTCCAGAAAAGGAAAGCTCTGCTATAAGTAGAGAATTAGGGCAGTAGCTAAGGAGGAAGGCGTTCAAGAAAGGGTTGTCAAAAGGAGAAATAACATTTTTGCATGCTGATAGGAACGATTCTGTGGAGAGAAAAAAAGTTGAAGTTGCAGAAGAAAGAATTGCTCGGATGATGTTCTCAAGTATAACATCAGAGGATGTTATACCTGGAATGAGGATCAGGTGCCCCAGTGGAAGGGTTGGCTTTACTAGGAATATAGACACATGTATCTCTCATTATCACTGTATGAAAAGATGTGGTACCTTACACATGAGAGCAATGTAAAGTTTAAACTCTTTGTTTCAGGTTTTCCTTTCCTTATTTATTTATTTATTTTTTTGACAGTCTCACTCTTTCACCCAGGCTGGAGTGCAGTGGCTCAGTCTCGGCTCACTGCAAACTCCACCTCTTGGGCTCAAGCGATTCTTGTCCCTCAGCCTCCCGAGTAGCTGGGATTACAGTCATGTACCACCAAGCCCAGCTAATTTTTGTATTTCTTTTTTGGTAGAGATGGGGTTTCAACATGTTGGCCAGGCTGGTCTCGAACTCCCGAGCTCAAGCGATCCTCCCGCCTTGGCCTCCCTCAGTTTTTACTTATTAGAATTGGCAAAGATAAAAACTGTGGCTAGGTGGGGTGGCTCACACCTGTAATCCCAGCAATCTGGGAGGCCAAGGTGGAAGGAATGCTTGAGGTCAGGAGTTCGGGACCAGCCTGGACAACATGGTGAGACTCCTGTCTCTATAAAAAATAGAAAATACGAAAATTAGCCAGACATGGTGGTGTGTGCCTGTTCCAGCTACTCAAGAGGCTGAGGAGGGAGGATCTCTTAAGCCCAGAAGTTTGAAGCTGCAGTGAGCTGTGGTCAATTACACCACTGGACTCCAGCCTGGGCAACAGAGCAAGACCCCATTTCCTAAATAAATCAATAAATATTATTTTTAAAACCTGTGATAATTTGCTCTGTTGGTGAGTGTGTGGGGGAAACAGGAAGTCACACATTGCTGGTGAGAATGTAAATTGGAACAATTTCTCTGTGGAAGACATGAAGAGTCATCAGGAAGCTTAAGGCCTGGGAGTTCCTAGGGGATCATCTATCTAGAAAATTTACCCTGGGAAACTGACCTTCAAGTCTCCCTTGCAGAGATTATGCAGGAATGCACTGGAGTGACTCCAGTGCCCTTCTCTGGTCAGGAACATAGCCAGGGTCTCCAGAACATATAGAGGGTGTAAGACAAGGAGAGTTTTTGCAGAAGCTGATGGGAGCCAGCACACAGCACCCAGGGAAGTTTGCCCTTGTGGAAAAGACGGCTGCCAAAACTCCCGCTCCATGCAATCTTCTTAGAGTTTAAATTCTCCTATCCTTTATCAAGGTCTAAGGAACTTGTTTCTTTTGCCTGTGTCTGATGGTATCTATTGCCAATCATCTTCCCCCACACAGAGGGTGAGACCTATCAACTTTTTAAATGCACATACATTTTGACCAAGCAATACCACTTACGGCAATTAATACTACACATATGTTTTATATATGTGTGAAGACATTCACTGTAGCATTGTTTATAATAGCAAAAAACTGGAAACAACTGGAATGGCCATTAGGGAACTATTTGAATATCATGGCATAGCCCCGTACTGGATAGACACTGAAAAGAACAAAGAGGCTTTATATAAACTAATATGGAATGATTTTCCAAACGTGTTAAGTGAGAAGAAGCAAAGTAAAGAACATATATGGGCCAAGCATAGTGGCTTGGTGTTTACATACATTAGATGTTAGAGGTACATACTAAAGAGGCAGTTTAGGCTGGGCACAGTGGCTCATGCCTGTAATCCCAGCACTTTGGGAGGCTGAGACGGGCAGATCACTCGAGTCCAGGAGTTTGAGGCCAACGTGGCCAACATGGTGATACCTCATCTCTACAAAAAATACAAAAATTAACTGGGCATGGTAGCGTCCACCTGTAATCCCAGCTACTTGGGAGGCTGAGGTAGGAGGATTGTCTGAGCCCAGGAGATTGAGGCTGCAGTGAGCTGGGAGCGTGCCACTGCACTACATCCTGGGCAGAGTGAAACCCTGTGTCAAAAAAAAAAAAAAAAAAAAAAAAAAAAAGAACAGATATGGATGGTATGTGGATATTGCTGAATTGCTTCTTCCTTTTCTTTTTTTCTTTTTCTTCTTTTTCTTTTTTGGAGACAGATCTCACTCTCACCCAGGCTGGAGTGCAGTGGCTTGATCACCACTCACTGCAGCCTCAACCTCCCGGGCTCAGGCAATCCTTCCACTTTAGCCTCCTTAATAGCTGGGACCATAGGTGTGCACCACCACGCCCCAGCTAATTTTTATTTTTATTTTTTTGTAGAGAGAGGTTTCACCATGTTGCCCAGGCTGGTCTTAAACTCCTGGGCTTAAGCGATCGGGCTGCCTCAGCCTCCCAAAGTGCTGGGATTACAGGCATGAGCCACTGTGCCCAGCCTAAACTGCCTCTTTAGTATATACCTCTAACATCTAATGTATGTAAACACTAGGACTGATTTTCACCCTATTTCTTAACTTTTTTATAGTTATACATGTGATTTTGCACACTACCACCAGAGGGGGCCTCTGCCACACTTCACGCAATATTTACAAGTCAGTATGGAGGATGTTTATTAAATAATTTTTATATCTAGAACATTCTTGTTCATTTAGCATAGGCATTTTGGTGCTCAGCTTTAAAAAAACTCTGTGAGCCCCCTGGCTCATCCGTCTTCTTTAGCATGTCAGTCCACAATCCCTGTGTCCAGTACGCCCTGACCCTGTCATCTTCCTTTGCTGTGCTGGATTCCTGAAACTGAAAATGCCTCACAACTTCTATGCACTCTTACCCTCAAAAGAGTGCATTTAGTGGCATGGCTGTGCCAGCCGTCTTTGTCCAGATGGCTTCCAGATAGGAATCACTGAGTCCAGGAATACTTTGAGAAGCCTGGAGAGCCTCTACTCTGAAAGTTTATCATCACTGCAAACTCAGCGAGTCCAGATTTTGCTCAACACATGCTGTCTGCTTTCTGTTTACCCCTCTAGTCTTTACTAACAGACACTTTATATATATATATACACACAGCCAGGCGCGGTGGCTCGCGCCTGTAATCCAAGCACTCTGGGAGCCCGAGGCAGGCGGATTACTTAAGCCCAGGAGTTTGAGACCAGCCTGGGCAACATGGTGAAACCCTATCTCTACAAAAAATACAAAAATTAGCCAGGTGTGGTGGCACGTACCTGTAGTCCCAGGTACTTGGGAGGCTGAGGTGGGAGGATGGCTTGAGCCCAGAAGACTGAGGCTACAGTGAGCTGTGATCATGCCACTGCACTCCAGCCTGGGTTGCAGAGTACGACCCCACCTCAAAACAACAACAGCAGCAAAAAAATCTTATTGAGGCATGGTTTAATAAAATATAGCTGTTTAGGTGTATAGTTCCATGACTTCTGACCAACCTACTAACCCAGGCAATTATTACCACAATCAAGATAAAGAACATTTCTATCACCCCAAAAAGCAAATGCCCTCCTCTCCCCACACTCAGCCCCAGCAACAACTGCTCTCCTTTCTGTCACTATAGATTAGATTTGCCTCTTCCAGAATTTCAGATACATAAACATGAATCAAACGGTCTGTACTCTTTCGTGTTTGGCATCTTTATCTCCACATAAGGTCTGGAGATTCATCCATGTTGAAGTGTGAATCAATTTTGCTTTCTTAAATGTCATTCCATTATTTTAATATGATATGCTGCAATTTGTTGATCCATTCAGACAGGTACTTCTTTTAACTTGTTTTTGCTGGTAAACACCCTGATGGGCATCTGCTCACTGTACATGTCATTTTCTTTTGGACAGAAATGCTAAATTTACTATTATTTGTTCATTTATTTTATGTTTTTCCAAAATGGAAACATCTTTCTGAAACAATGGGAAAGGGATCAGAATATGCCACCCCAGGCTGGGCATGGTGGCAGGGCCTATAATCCCAGCATTTTGGGAGGCTGAAGTGAGAAGATCCCTTGAGGCCAGGAGTTTGAGACCAGCCTGGGCAATAAAGCAAGACCCTGTCTCTACCAAAAACAAAATAAAATAAATTAGCGGGGCGGGGTAGTGTGTACCTGTAGTCCTAGCTACTTGGTTCAAGATGACAGTGAGGTATGATCACACTACCACACTCCAGCCTGGGCAACAACAAACAAGACCCTGTCTCTATAAAAAACAACAAAAAAAAAAACAAGCAAATAAAATGATAATAGTAAAAGTAAAAAAGAATGTGCCACCTCAAAACATGCCATATTGGCATAAGGATTATTTTGAGCTAAAGGCAACTGAGAAACAGCAGACACAAGCAAAACTCTTTGCCCTCTCTCTTTCTACCTACAAACGTTTGCCTAATTTCCCTTTGCAAAGGTGATGCCCTCTCCCATACCAGAATAAGGTGAACAATTCATCTGCATAACACACCTCACTAAACAAGCCTTAATTACCATGCCTTTCCCAGTTACCTTCCCACAATTTACCCACACCAGAGAAGCGCAGCCTCTCCCCATTTCCCTTGTCTAGTAGCTTCCCACACTTTATCATCCTCTGTTAAAATGCTGTATAAGCTCCTGGGTCTAAGCACCTCTTTGGGATTTTCACTTTTTTTCTGTGAAGCTTACATATGCAAACAAAATAAACCTTTTCGTTTTTGTTTGTTTTGTTTTGTTTTTGAGACAGAGTCTCACCCTGTCACCCAGGCTGGAGTGCAATGGTGTGATCTCGGCTCACTGCAACCTCTGCCTCCTGGGCTCAAGTGATTCTCATGCCTCAGCCTCCCAAGTAGCTAGAATTACAGACGCCCAGCTAATTTTTTGTATTTTTTGTAGAGACAGGTTTTCGCCGTTTTGGCCAGGCTGGTCTCAAACTCCTGACCTCAAGTGATCCACCAGCCTCAGCCTCCCAAAGTGCTGGGATTACAGGTGTGAGCCACTGCGCCCGGCCCTATTCGCCTCTTTTTATAAATTATATGTAACTGATGGTGTGTAAATTCTGTCCTGTCTGGCAATAATTTAATTGGTTCCCGCCATCCCCACCCTATGAAAATACCAGTTTTGTTTCCATTTGCAATTCATCTTAACATTCCTTTACTCCAGATAAATCTGTGCTTTTTGACTTTTCCTTTGAAATGTTTATAACGTACATCTGATTCCCTTATAGCATATGCGTAAATTCCTTAACAGATGTGCACTTTTATATTTGTATGAGTCATGATTTTATCTTTCTCTGAAAATTATTTTTTAACAACCCTTACATTGTTTACAGTGTTTCGATTCTGAAATCTTTGTGTATTTGTAAAATTTCCTACATAGGATAAATTCCTAGATGAATAGTTGTCCATAAGTATCCATGTTGTCCAAATGCCTTCTAGAAAGTTTGTAGAAATCTCTACAACAGAGAGCAGCACAGGAGTCTGTATTCCTACACCTTCATCTATATTATGTTTATCAATCTTTTTCAACTTTGCCAATCTGATAGGTAAAAAGTGATTTGTAGTTTTAATTTGCTTTTCTTCAATTCCTATTGAAATTGAGCATCTTTTTATGTGGATTTCTTCTTTAGTGAAGTATCTTATCATGCCCTTTGCCCATTTTTCACCTGGTGCATATTTTTACGTAAACACCCCTTTATTTGAAAAATTAATTTTTGCTTACATACTATTGCATATATTTTCTAGTTTGTTGACTTTTAACTTTGTTTATGATATATTTTGTTATGCATACATTTAACACTTTAATGTATTAACTATATCAAACTATTTTGTGTGTGATTTTAGCTTTGTTGCCATTCTGAGAAATGCTGCCTGCTCTTAAAAGGGATCAACCTGTTTCTTTTTAAAAACATTAAAGAACTTACATGTATGGGTTTTAGAAACATATTTCAGGCTTTACTCTACCTGGAATTTGCATGCTTAGGAGCCACACTTTCTTTTTTTCCTGGACAGTACATTTATGATTGAATTTGCTTTCTCCATGCTTTGAAAGTAGTACCTTACTCTTTTATGTCTTCCTCATGTTCTTTTCAATGTAATTTGATTAAATTTCTAAAACAATTCAAAACTAATTTTGTAGCATTTGTCAAAATAAATCTGGATTTAGGCAAGGGGAGACTTTATTCAAAAGGATTATTGCAAGAAGAGGATGGGTGGCTATCATAAAAGGATGAGGAGAGCTCTTTAGCCAGTGCTATTTTTCAGAAAAACAAGGCTCTGGCAAAGATCAACACTGTTGACCTCCCTTTTGTTAATGATAAAAGAATATTATTCACCACTGAGCAATTCAGATGCAATCCTAAGCCTCCTACATGGGGTGAGTCAGGGACTAAGAAACGGTCTCCTGGGGACTCTGGTTGGTGTTGTTCCCACAAAACCAGCTGAAGCATCTGTTGAAAGGTGGTGGCAAAAATCAGTTGTTTAAGGGTCAGGTATCTTAAAATGAGGAATGCCTACCATTAAAAAGATAAATGTTAATTAAAAGTTTTAATATAAAAGGCCAAAGAAATATTAATCTTGGCATCTACAAGCCAAGGAGAGAGGCCTCAGAAAAAGCCCAACTCTGCTGACACTCAATTTTGGACTTCCAGCCTCCAGAATTGTGAGAAAACAAAATTCTGTTGTTTAAAGTACCAGTCTATGGTACTTTGTTGACAGACCTAGCAAAGTAATATACCTACAGAGAAAACTATGAAGTAGATAATTAGCTGTCTGTCATATACCAGCATATTGTAGCAGACTAGTCAAGCTTAAGGTTATATATCTTGTGACTTTTTTATAGCCATACACTTCCTTATAGTACAACTTTTCTTTTCTTTTCTTTCTTTCTTTTTTTTTTTTTTTTTTGTTGTTGTTGTTGTTGTTTTGAGATGGAGTCTCTCTCTGTCGCCCAGGCTGGAGTGCAATGGTGTGATCTCGGCTTACTGCAACCTCCACCTCCTGGCTTCAAGTGATTCTCCTGCCTCAGCCTCCCGAGTAACTGGGATTACAGGCCCCTGCCACCACATCCAGCTAATTTTTGTATTTTTAGTACAGATGGGGTTTCACCATGTTGGTCAGGTTGATCTCAAACTCCTGACCTCAGGTGATCCACCCACCTTGGCCTCCCAAAGTGCTGGGATTACAGGTGTGAACCACTGCACCTGGCCTGTACAACTTTTCAGTGTGGCAAGAATGAACACATCATTAGCAGACCAAAATATATTTAGCCTCTCTGTACTAAAAAAAATTTACATAAGCTTTAAATTATGCTCCACTAGTCTATCTTACTTAGAAATGATCTAGGTACTTATATTAGACCATTCTTGTATCGCTATAAAGAACTACCTGAGACTGGGTAATTTATAAAGAAAAGAGGTTTAATTGGCTCACAGTTCTGTACGCTGCACAGAAAGCATGGCTTGGGAGGCCTCAGGAAACTTACAATCATGATGCAAGTTGAAGGGGAAGCAGGTACATCTTACACGGCTGGAGCAGGGGGAGGAGAGGCAGGGAGGAGGTGCCACATACTTTTAAACAACCAGATCTCATGAGAACTCCATGACAAGACAGCACCAAAGGGATGGTGCTAAACCATTAGAAACCGCCTCCAGGATTCAATCACACTCCATCAGGCCCCACTTCCACAACTGGGGACTACAATTCGATATGAGATTTGGGCAGGGACACTGATCGAAACCATATCACCCCCGAAGTGGGAAGGGCTCCCTACCCAGCTAGTTTCCCCTTCAGCCAGACCAGCTGTACCCTACTTAATCTTCAATCTAAGGAGCTTTACCTACCTGCCAGCCCACAGAACTATTTGAACAAGCCAATTACATCCTCCCGTGGAATAAAAGGTTACCTCACTCTTGTGCCATTACTACAAAGCCTGCCTCACACAGCCCCTGCTGCTTCAGTCTGCTTTCAAATGCAATTCCCATGTGGCTCTGCCTGGCATGCAATAACCTCCTCACCCCTTAGGCTGTGAGTATGTAACTGAAAAAACTGTAGCCAATCTCATCTGCCCAGTATTGGGTGTCATCTGTTCAGCCATCTCCTGTTTAGCACAGGAGATCCCTGCTTCACCAGTGCTGTGAAGAGAAGGTGGTCAGAACAGAAGGGAGGCCTAATCTTGAGTGACCATGAGTTGAGGAGCTGGAGTGGGTAGGAAAAGGTGTGTAGGAATGGGTAGATGGGTGAAGGAGGTGGACAGATTAAATCATTCAAGGCAACAAAAGAGAAGGTTTAAAGTGGTAAAAAGGAGGGATGAGGATGATGGGAAGGGAGAAGTCTTAGATGAGCTGGTTTAAGGAGATCTCATGTTTCCCAAAGAGGCCTTTGAGGTTCTAGGTTACCTTTAGTAAATTGTGCCATTTTTGAGGCTATTAAACTGAATTAGTGCCATAATAGCAGGTACTCAGTGGGGGAAGAGGAGGGCATCTGATAGAGTGAGAGTTACCCATGGCATTAGTGGATAGTCAGCCCAAAGAAAAGTCTTTAAAGGAGCCAAGAAAAACTCCCACTTGATTAATTCCCTTGAACAATCCCCAGGTCGAGGAGCTGAGGAAACACAGAAGTCTCACAGGAGGGCCAAAGCATCTCTTTGCCTGAAACAATCAAAGTAACCTCTTACTGTTCTTCAACAGACAAGATGGCCAGAGCACTGGTTCAAGACTTGAACTCACCCAAGAGTCCTCAAGTCCTGAACATGGCACCTTTACCTGGGTGGGGCTGGTGGAGGTCCCTAGGTGAGTTCCAGTCTTGAGCTGGATCACAGCAATGAGAACTGTCAAATAAAAACCAAATCCAGATCTAGGTAAGGAGAGACTTTATTTAGAAGGATTATTGCAATAGAAAAAGAGAATGTCGCAATAGGGGAGGGACGGCATTCTAATAGAATGCTTCAACCATAAGATCTGCAAGCTTTTGAAAGGTCAGGCAGAAAAGGGTTTTTCTTTTTTTGGTAGTAGTAAACAATGTTAAAAAGAACCAGTATCGGCTGAGTGCGGTGGCTCATGCCTGTAATCCCAGCACTCTGAGAGGCCAAGGTGGGAGGATCACCTGAGGTCAGGAGTTTGAGACCAGCCTGACCAACATGGTGAAAACTCGTCTAAAAATACAAAATTAGCTGGGCATGGTTGGTGCATGCCTGTAATCCCAGCTACTTGGGAGGCTGAGGCAGAAGAATCGCTTGAACCCGGGAGGCGGAGGTTGCAGTGAGCTGAGATTGCACCACCATTGTACTCCAGCCTGGGCAACAAGAGCGAAACTCTGTCTCAGAAAAGAAAAAAAAAAAAAAAAAAAAAAAAAAAAGAACCAGTATCAGGGAGTGGGATGAGCAGGTGGCCCAATCAGGCAACTGATCAGGACAGAGTTTCTTTGTGGTCAGCTGGAAAAGGGCTTCTTGGGAGGGGATGTGATATGGTTTGGCTGTGTTCCCACCCAAACCCCACCCAAATCTCATCTTGAATTGTAATCCCCATAATCCCCACGTGGTGAGGGAGGGGCTTGGTGGAGGTGATTGGATCGTGGGGGCAGTTTCCCCCGTGTTGTTTTTGTGATAGTGAGTGAGTTCTCAGGAGATCTGATGGTCTTATAAGGCTGTTTTCCCTGCTCTTGCTTGCTCTCTCTCATCTGCCGCCGTGTAAGATGTGCCTCTTCCCCTGCTGTCATGATTAAAAGTTTCCTGAGGCCCCCCCAGCCAGGCAAAACTGTGAGTCAATTAAACCTCTTTTCTTTTCTTTTTTTTTTTTTTTTTTTTTTGTTAGACAGAGTCTCACTCTGTCGCCAGGCTGGAGTGCAGTGGCATGATCTCAGCTCACTGCAACCTCCGCCTCCCGGGTTCAAGCGACTCTCCTGCCTCAGCCTCCTGAGTAGCTGGGATTACAGGCGTGCACCACCACGCCTGGATAATTTTTGTATTTTTAGTAGAGACAGAGTTTCACCATGTTGGTCAGGCTGGTCTCGAACTCCTAACCTTGTGATTCGCCCGCCTCAGCCTCCCAGAGTGCTGAGATTACAGGCGTGAGCCACCGCACCCAGCCTTTAAACCTCTTTTCTTTATAAATCATCCAGTCTCAGAAATGTCTTTATAGCAATGTGAAAGCAGACTAATACAGGACATTAAGGGGCTTATTCCAAATTCCAATGCTGGTTTAGGCTGAGACTAGATTAAAGGGCAAAGACCTGATGGAAGGAGAAAAGCCTCATTGAAGTTTGATCAAGTAAGGTATTTGCCCAGATTGATCAGTAGGGGCAAATGGTTCAGCTAACCATTTATAAGATGAGAATGGAAATTTGGAGCGCATGTCTATGGCCTTGTTGTAAGTGTGAAAGGATGTTATCCATGATGATTACCTAAGTCATTTGGGGAAAGGTGGTTCTATGTAGTTAGTGGTTTCTCAGAAAATACAGCCGGGAGAGGATGTTCACTGGTCTCCAGTAACACAAAGTATAGGTCAAGCAACACCATCCCCTTACTTTTTTTTTAATTTATTCTTATTTATTTATCTATTTTTGAGATGGAATCTTGCTCTGTCACCCAGGCTGGAGTGCAGTGGCATGATCTTGGCTCACTGGAACCTCCGCCTCCCAGATTCAACCGATTCTCGTGCCTCAGCCTCCCCAGTAGCTAGGATTACAGGCATGTGCCACCGCACCCAGCTAATTTTTATATTTTTAGTAGAGACGGGGTTTCGCCATGTTGGCTAGGCTGGAACTCGAACTCCTTACCTCAAGTGATCTGCCCACCTCGGCCTCCCGAAGTGCTGGGATTACAGGCATAAGCCACCATGCCCTGCCTCTGTCCCGTTATTTGATTGTACTTGTAACTATAGTTTTATTATGACATTTTAAGAATATATTGCTATTGTATTAATCATTACTATGACAGCTGTGTTTATCAGACACTTTCCCACATCTATAATATTAGGAGAGTTGGGTGTTTGTGATCATGAGTTTGCTCCTTGTGCTGGTTATTGAAGTATGTCTTAGAGTTCAAACTCAAGCTTCTATCTTCTGCTTTGTGAGCCAGGGCTGGGACTTAGCAAATCACATTTCCTATAAGGTTTTGCTTATAAGGGGTGCTTGAGGAGAGGGACTTGCTACTTTATAGCTGCTTACTGTTCCTGTCCATGTTACCAAGCAATGGCTCTTCTCCCTGGCTGCAGCAACAGCTGGTTCCAGTTTCTTAGATTTGTTTGTTTGTTTTAATCCACCCTCTCCCATCCAGCCTCAATATTTACCTTCAGAGATAAAAGCACCAGCTG
This sequence comes from Homo sapiens, assembly GCF_000001405.40. Lineage (NCBI taxonomy): Eukaryota > Metazoa > Chordata > Mammalia > Primates > Hominidae > Homo > Homo sapiens. The sequence continues at coordinate 76,456,370 of NC_000009.12, forward strand.
GGTACCGCCCCCTCCTTTGAGGTCTGACTCCCAGCCAACCAGGGGCCCTCTCCTGGCTGTTAGGTTCTGATAACCCCAACACTTCCCCTCTCCCCAGCTCTGTGCATGGCAGCTGCTTCCTGCAGTTACTCTCTCTCTGTTACTACAATGTTTTTGCCTTGCCAATCTTCATGACCTTAAATTCTCTGTAAAAGTAATTGCTGTGATTTCTGTTTTCTGACTGGGCCCTGACTGATACACCCCTAAGCATTCCAGAAATACCTTCTAAACTACTTGTATAGATTTATGGGTGTATGTTATTGCAGGCATTAAAAATAAGTGGGCTGGGCAAGGTGGCTCACACCTGTAATCCCAGCATTATGGGAGACTGAGGTGGGTGGATCGCTTGAGCGTGGGAGTTCAAACCCAGCCTGGGCAACATGGTGAAACCCTATCTCTACAAAAAATACCAAAAAATTACCGGGCATGGTGGCACACACCTGTAGTCCCAGCTACTTGGGAGGTTGAGGTGAGAGAATCACCTGAGCAGGGGTAAGTTGAGGCTGCAGTGAGCTGTGATTGCGCCACTGTGCTCCAGCCTGAGTAACAGAGTGAGACCCTGTCACATACACAAACAAAATGGATTACACTTATGGTATACAGGCAGTATCCAACTGACAAACAAGATATATTCCAAAAGTTAATTCATAAATCTATTGCTTGGCCACCACCCCTGGTTAATTTATCTATTTTTATTTTGTAGAGGTGAGGTCTGGCTATGCTGCCCAGGCTGATCTCAAACTCCCAGGCTCAAGTGATACTTGTACCTCGGCTTCCTAAAGTGTTGGAATTACAAGCGTGAGCCATTGCAAACAGCCAGCTATATTTTATTTTTAATTAATTAATTTATTTATTTTTGAGATGGAGCCTTGCTTTGTCACGCAGGCCAGAGTGCAGTGGCACGATCTCAGCTCACTGCAACCTCCACCTCCCGGGTTCAAGCGATTCTCATGCCTCAGCCTCCTGAGTAGCTGGGACTGCAGGCACACGCCACCGCAGCTGGCTAATTTTTGTATTTTTAGTAGAGACGGGGTTTTGGTATGTTGGCCAGGCTGGACTCAAACTCCTGACTTCAGGTGATCCACCCACCTCGGCCTCCCAAAGTGCTGGAATTACAGGCATGAGCCACTGTGCCCAGCCCCGGCTATACTTTAAACTTATGTTTAGCAATTAACATGTCAGTATTTTAACTTACAAATGACTCAGACATTTAATGAATATCTATTACTTAATTTAATATGTTCGAAATTTCAAGTCACCAAAAAAGATTTTTAAAACTATTTTTAAGTAGACAAATTTTATAAAACAAATTATTTTTAAAAGTTTATAAACTTTTATTCCATTTACATTTACCTAATCTACTTGCTCTTAACAATTATGCTTGAATTGCTCATGAAAAATTTCATGAGATATTAAACAAAGCTAGCCATTGAAGGAGTTCAGGAGTTTTTCCCAAAATCATTTCCTCTCCCCTAAATTGTCCCTCCCCAATGAAGAGGATACACAAGCTCCTAAAATCTCAGTTTTTGTTGGGGGAGGCAGAGGGAATATTAGTTTTTCTTTTCTGTGATACCCCCTACACGAAATCTGTGTACTTTTTCTCTTGTTAATCTACCTGCAGTCAATTTATTTCATAGACTTAGTTATCCAAGCCTCAGAGAGTAGAGGGGAAGTCTTTCTTCCTCTATACCATCATCTTATGTTAATTTTTGTTGACAAATCAGGCAAGTGTCAAACATATCACAGTCTAATGGCCTCTGAGTTGGATTTTTTTTTTTTTTTTTTTTTTTTTGAGATGGAGTCTCGCTCTGTTGCCCAGGCTGGAGTGCAGTGACACGATCTCGGCTCACTGCAAGCTCCGCCTCCCGGGTTCACGCCATTCTCCTGACTCAGCCTCCCGAGTAGCTGGGACTACAGGCGCCCGCCACCACGCCTGGCTAATTTTTTGTATATTTAGTAGAGACGCGGTTTCACCATGTTAGCCAGGATGGTCTCGATCTCCTGACCTGGTGATCCGCCCGCCTCGGCCTCCCAAAGTGCTGGGATTACAGGCGTGAGCCACCGCGCCCGGCCAGAATTTTTTTTAAACAACATGGAAACAAATAAGACCTCGTTCTGTTTTCTAGGAGCTAAAAATCCAACGAAAGAAGACACAGACACAATATTCCCCTTGTTACAAAGAGAACTGTGTCAACTTTTATAACTGACACAAAGATCTGTGCTATAAGGGCGGGGAAGGTTTTTTCCTACTTTCCACAGCACTGTGGATTGTTCCACAGTTTAATTTGATCTTAATTTTTATGTGGAAATACACATGAATGTAATGAGTTCTTAAATGCTAAATTTAGGAAGCAAGGTTCGTTAGGGGAGAGAAAAAAACACCTACATGGTTATCTCTAAACTTTACATATCGAGAACCTTGGAATTTAATTTTATTGTTGTTCTGTAACATATTTTCATGTTTAAAATCAGAAAAGGCAGCATTTCTCGAGTTTCCTGCTTTCGAGGAAGGGAGGCATAAAATGTTTAAAAAGACGCCGCTCACACACCTCTTAAGAATCAGAGCACAGTGAGGAAGAGGAGCGAGGAAGCACTAGGATCGCAGCGCTACTCCCAGACCACGTCAGTGCCCAGAGGGCGCCCTCGCCTGTAGGCGGGAACCGCGAGTCCGCAGCAAGTCCCCAGCCCCGAGCTCGCGCAGGTGGGCGAGGCGGGGACGTGGTGGGCGGGGCCTAGAAAGGCGGGGCCTCTGGGGGCGGCCCCGGGGCGGGCCACGCTGGTGTGAGGGCTGCAGGCGCAGCTCCGGAGCGCCTAGAGCGCGGCGCGGGGCGGGAGCTTGGTGGAGCAGGAGCGGCTGGGCATCCTCCTGAGACTCCGGGGTCAGACGCCCACTCCAGGTAACCGGCTCTCCCTCGTGTTCCCCTGCTCGGCCGCCCGGCGGTGGGGGAAGGCTGAGAAGGATGGGTGGGAGGGAGCCGGCTCTCAGCCAGTGCCCCGTGGCCCCGGGCGGGCTGGGCTCCCCCGCGGAGGAGGAAGCAGAACCGGGGTGCGCCCGGGACCGGAATGGAGCGGCGCCTCTTCCTTCCACCTTCATTTTCCGTCCGCTCAGTGGGGCTGGGACGCCGGTGCCCCGTGTCCCCTGAAAGTCACTTTCTGGCCTCTTGCCCCTGGTCCGTGTAGCTTAGATGTCGGAGGGGTTGGCTGCGGGCGTGGATAGGCAGGGAACGAACAGACTCGCTGCCATCCCATGGGTGCCAGGGGCTTAACTTCATTTAACTTCATTGAATCCTAACGCCAGCCCGGCTAAGATGCATTTTCACCCCTACTTTACTGATAAAGAGGCCAACGCTAGGATAATAAATGACTCACCCTGGAGCAAACTATTACTAATAAGAAAAGAGACGTTAGTTTAGGGGCTCCGAAGCCTCTCCTTTCCTGCTCCCTCGCTTTCCTTCTTCTCGCGGCAGTCTAGGAAACTCGCGCGCAGGGTCTATTACGAAAACAAGTGATTCGTCTTAAAAGCATTTTACCCCCTCCTAGGTTTCTCTTTCCTCTTTTTTTTAAGTATCTCAGGCAGATTCCTCCAAGTTTTGGTTATTAGGTTTTTGAAATGGAAGAAGCCCTTGCTCACTGCTTCTTTTCTCCTGGCAGCGCTTTCTGCGCAGCACAGGCACCCTCGCCTGTCACGCCTCCCTCTCCTCTTCCCGTCTCCCAGCGTGGATGAGGGCGCCTGCAGATCCCGGCTAGGGCACGGACCGCCTAGGCCGAGGTAGGTTCTGTAGGCACCTGGCATGCTGTAGATGCATATAAACGTTGCCCTGTACACCCTTTGCCTTGTTATTTCTTTCTGCAGAAAAGAGAGTCGGTTTTTTACACATAATGGGGCAAGAGGCCAATTGGGAAGATATATGGTGTTCAAAGAAAGCCGTGGTGCCTTGAGATGAGAATGCGGCCACAGCTTTTTGTGGGCTGAATTTGATGGGTGGGAGGTGAGAGACGTGGTCTGGAAGTTGTCTCTTCGTCTGGCATTCTGCCCCCCTTCCAGAGCTGTTCTGAAAGGCCGGTTTGTTTTATAGAGGGGAGGAGGAGGGCTTAGTAGTTTTTAAAGATCAGTGTAAATTACCTGCTAGGAGCTTAGGCAATTCCAGGCAGGCCCCCCTGCTGGAGGCTTTCGTAACAGATTTCAGTTCTAGCAGGGAGGAAAACTCAGACTGTGTAGATACCTGCTTTTTCTTAAAGGAATTTTTTTCGGGCCCTTAAAATGGTAGTTTTGGGAAACTGATTTCTTAGAAATGGCAAACTCCTTTATTTTAAAATACAATATACCAAACTATGAATTTACTTTTAAAAAGTTTTATTGGCCGAGAGGTTGATATTTTTTCCATTTCATGATGAGGGTTTGACGGTCACTGCCACCTCCTCTGCCCGTCCTTCAACTTGGCCCTGTAAAGGATCTCCTTAGCCTTGGCCCCAAGTTTGTACTAGATTCTATCCTTCATTAATTATAGTTCATTCTTGATTAATGATAGCAATGCTTCCACTCACTTTTTAAGGAGTTACTCCTTTTCCGTTTGTAATTGAATTGCTTAACAGTAAGAAAAACGTTTTTCCCTAAAACTGGGATCACAAAATCCACTTTATCCACATGGACTAAACAGGTAATGCACAAGAGTGCTTGGTTGGGCCCAGGTGACTGCAGAGGAACCTGCTAAGGCTGGGTGGATATTGGCCATTTCCACCGAGTATCCATGCAGGAATTCCCATTCAGCCATACAGTGTAGGCAGCTTTTTTTTTTTTTTTTTTTTTCCACGAATAGCTGAGAACTTTTACTTAAAAATAAAAAATGTAAAGCCTGATTTTAAATATTGGCTCATATTTTTTCCTTTTTAGAACACAAAGAGGGCCGGGCGCAGTGGCTCACACCTGTAATCCCGGCACTTTGGGAGGCCCAGGCGGGTGGATCACGAGGTCAGGAGTTCAAGACCAGCCTGGCCAAGATGGTGTCTCTACTAAAAATTCAAAAATTAGCTGGGCGTGGTGGCTAGGCGCCTGTAATCCCAGCTACTCGGGAGGCTGAGACGGAGAATTGCTTGAACCCGGGAGGCGGAGGTTGCAGTGAGCCGAGATTGCACCACTGCACTCCAGCCTGGGTGACAGAGCGAGAGTCTGTCTCAAAAAAAAAAACACACACAAAGAGCCTGGGCATGGTGGCTCACACCTGTAATCCCAACATTTTGGGAGGCTGAGGCAGGTGGATCACTTGAGGTCAGGAGTTCAAGACCAGCCTGACCAACATGGCAAAACCCCATCTCTACAAAAATATTCAAAAATTAGCCAGGTGTGGTGGTGGGCACCTGTAATCCTAGCTACTCAGGAGGCTGAGGCAGGATAATTGCTTGAACCCGGGAGGCGGAGGTTAGGATGAGCAGGGATCGTGCCACTGCACTCAAGCCTGGACGACAGAGTGAAGCTCCGTCTCAAAACAAAAATCCCACAAAGAATAAAATCAAATTTGTTTCATGCATCATCTGTTTGCAAAACTCTGCCTTAAAAACTGCTACTGTACACGGTGATTATATTCTCCGATGAATGGAAAATTCTGAACTGTGATGTAGATATTGTACATTTTTCATGAAATGAAGTGGTAGAAAACAGAAATTACTACTGGAAATGATCCCTTCTGACTGTCAAATTCTGTTTTCTATGAAGTGTGTGGTATTTCAGCTATACTGTATTTTTTTTTTTTTTATAGAGCCAACCAAGGACTCTTGTCACTATTTTTATTTATTCTAATGAGAAATGTATTCATGGTTCCAGGTCAGTATGTCAAATGTCTAACTCCCTGTCTTAAAAAGGGAGTTCCCAAATGACTGTTCATATAACCATATGTGTTTCTTGTGGAGACTGTCTGTATTCTTGGCTTTGTCACTGGATTTGTGGCTTAGTGCTGTCACGTTTCCTATCTGAGGCAAATGCCATATATGTTTAGACCAGCCTTTCTCAATTGTGGCACTTTTGCCATTTTTGGCCAGTTAAATTCTGTTGTGGGGGCTGTCCTGTGCATTGCAGGATGTTTAGCAGCATCTCTGGCCTCTACCTACTAAATGCCAGTGCACCCTCCCTGCAGTTAAATGACCCCAAATGTCTCCAGACATAGGCAAATGTTCCCCGGAGAACAAAGTCATCTTTGGTTGAGGAACAAAATGAACCTATATTTAAGATGGTCTAAATGTTTCTGAGATGGTCTAAACATTTATAAGCTTAACAATTAACTTGAAACTCTTCAGGACTAGAGAAGCTATTTGTAAATTTAAACATCTGACGCCTTGAAACACCTTTATCATAAAGATAACTAAACCAGTGTTCTTTGTGAATGGCCAATGTGTCCTGCCAGTTTCTTTTTTTTTCTTTTTCCTATTCTGAGAAGCATGCCCTGCCAGTTTCTATCTCCAAAGAAATTTCAAGCGTTCAGTGTATTTGTTAAATTTCATAAAGTTTAAAAAGTTGAAAATGAAAAAGGAATTCTACGGTAGTTTTAAGTAGAATTTAGTTTTAAGAAAAATTAACCTCTTTTTAGCTAACAGCAATAAAACGAAGACTGCTGTGTATTTCTGTAATCTGAAAAATCTCGACTTTCTCAAAGGGAGCGCTACATAATGTATGATATAATTTATATCAGAAGAAAACATGTCCTAGAAATGTAACCCTCTTTCTTAGGACTTACATGTGCTCAGGGAGGTTGAAAACAACCTTGATTATGGAGGATGCCTCCTTAGCTGGGGATTAGCTATCCACTGTTCCCTTCCAGAAATCAAACTAATTTGTAAAACTCAGGACTGGCTACATAATTTGTGGGGCCCCTTGTTAAAAAAATTAAGAATTTGAACATGGTGACCACAGAGCATTAAGCCAAGCACGGCCCAGTGTGACTGCGTTGGTTGCCCACCCATGAGCTGGCCCTGGTGAAACTCTTTATTCATAGCTAAGAGTAAGGTTGTGGTCACAAATGCAAATCTAAACCGTGAAATGTTACTGCTGCCACTAGGCACCTGGAGTTTCTGCTTCCTTGATTGTTCTTCTGTTTCCAATGAGGAGTCTGCATGTATTTGGTCATCAATGCAATAATGTTACTAAGAAATCCTCCCATGATTGATTTTTCGTTTGCTAAAGAGGTAGCCAAATGTTTGTTCATTAGAGTCATGGGTACTGGAGCAACCTATTTATTCAGGCATTCATTGAACAACTATTTACTGAGCATCTGTTAGATGCCCGGCATTGCTCGCTCCAGGGCCACAGCTGTGAACAAGATGGAGGGTCCCTGCCTTTATGAGCTTATGAGCCAAACACATAGTCACACCGGCTCAGGCTATCACAATCTTAAGTGGTACTTAGGAAAGCACAGGGTGTTAGGGGAGCATGTGACCTTGAGACCTAACCTGGTTGAGGGGAGAGGGACTGTTCAGGGAAGACCTGCTTAAAAAATGATATTTAAAATAAGGCCTGGGGGCAGGTATGGTGGCTCACACCTGTAATCCTAGCACTTTGGGAGGCTGAGATGGGAGAATCGCTTGAGGCCAGGACTTTGAGACCAGCCAGGTCAACATAGCGAGACTCCCATCTCTTTTTTTGTTTTTTTTTTTTTTTGTAAAAATAATAATAAAAAAAAGGCTGAAGGATTAGTAGGAGTTAGTGAAGTACATTAGGGGATAAACTTAGAGGCTGAAAGAGTTGAGATCAAGAGTAAAATATGTCTTGGGTCATTTTTAGGATTTTGGACTTTAATGTCAGCATAGTGGAAACCCACTTTTTGTTTGTTTGTTTGTTGCAGACAGGGTCTCACTCTGTTGCCCAGGTTGGAATGCAGTGGCACCATCTTGGCTCACTGCAACCTCCACCTCCCAGGCTCAGGTGATCCTCCCACCTCAGCCTCCTGAGTAGCTGGGACTACAGGCACACGCCACTATGCCTGAGTAATTTTTGTATTTTTAATGGAGATGGGGTTTTGCCATGTTGCCCAGGCTGGTCTCAAACTCCCGAGCTCAAGCGATCTGCCCACATTGGCCTCCCAGAGTGCTGGGATTACAGGTGTAAGCCACCATCCCTGGCCACTAAAGTGTTTTTGATTTGTGGTTGTTTTGTTTGTTGAAGACAGTGTCTCACTTTGTTGTCCAGGTTGGAGTGCAGTGGCTATTCACAGGTGAGATCATAGCACACTTCAGTTGAACTCCTAGGCTCAAGTGATCCTCCCACTTCAGCCTCTCAAGTAGTTGAGACTATAGGCATGGGCTACCATATCTGACTAGAAGTAGTTTTATTTTAAACCCATCAAGTCCTGAGTCCTTCATGTTTTCTCTAAATTCTACTTAAAAATTGAATATACTTCTTTAGTTCATCTCTCTCACATTTTCTCAAAGGCAGATACTGGGCCAGATAGCACTTCCTACATTCTTCTCAGAAATGTTCTTAGGCAGATCCCTGATATGGTGAAATATCCTCTCAATTTTCCTTGTTAGGGCAGGCAGTAGTGTTGCTCACATTCCTCCAGTTCATTTTCTCCAGTTTCCAATGAGATTTTTTTGTTTTTGAGACAGTCTTGCTATGTTGCTCGGGCTGGAGTGCAGTGGCTATTCACAGGAGCAATCATAGCACACTGCCATCAAACTCCTGGGCTCAAGTGATCCTCCTGCCTCAGCCTCCCTTGTAGCTGGGACTGCATAGGCCCTGCTGTGCCTGACTCTGATTTGAGTTTTTTTTTTTTTATTTTTTTTTAGACGGAGCCTTGCTCTGTCACCCAGACTGGAGTGCAATGGTGCAATCTCGGCTCACTGCAACCTCTGCCCCAAGTAGCTGGAATTAGATGTGCGTCACCACACCCAGATAATTTTTGTATTTTTAGTAGAGACGGGGTTTCAGCATATTGGCCAGGCTGGTCTTGAACTCCTGACCTCAAGTGATCCTCTCACCTCGGCCTCCCAAAGTCCTAGGATTACAGGTGTGAGCCACCGCACCTGGCCTAATTTGAGTTTGTAAAATGATCGCTGTTGCTGTGTAGAGAATAGTTTAGAGAGGTAGGTCCTGCTGGCACGTTTGGTGTCTTTGTGCAAACCCAAGAAAGGCTTCTATTCTGTGTGGACCAATTAGAAAAAATGCACCACTGTGTCCCAGCTAGGCCAGGTCAAAAGGCTTCAGCCCCCTGAGCCAGACTTGTTACGCAGGCACAGCCTGTGCAATCATGTGGCCACCCTGGGGAGGAGGAGGGTGGATGTGAACAAACAGTGCTTTTGCAGTCACCCAGTGATGGCGTAGCAGCACTGGATAACGCTTAATGACAGGTGAGGATTGAGATTGAGTGAGATTGGGTTTGTAGTTAAAATCAGCAAGAAGGTGGTGATTATTTGGATATGGTTGATGGAGAGGGAGGTAGCAAGGATGATTCAAAAGTTTCTGGCATAAACAACTGAGTAGGATGGGATGGTGGAACCATTATGGTGATTGAGAACACAGGAGGAGGAGCGGGTTGGCACGAGGTGTGGGAGGGAAGATAATGCCTTTTTGGATGTGTGTTTTGTTTGTGAGACATCCAAGTAAAGATGAGGAGTAGACAGTTGCTACTCCTGGAAGAGATCTGGGGTGGAGATACATGTTTGGGAGCTGTTGCATGTAAGTATTACTGCATAAAAAGCACTCATCCAAAGAGGGTGTAGAATGAGAAAAGAAAAGGGCTGGACCCGTAGAGTTTGATCACTGTATTTGGTAGAGGAAGAGAGGCCTGTTAAGGGTACTGAGAAGTGTGATATTCATGCAGGGCAGGGAGGAAATGAGGGGTCTATGATGTTTTGTTTTGTTTCAGATTGAGATGGAAGAAATTTAAACATGCTCTAATGCTACTGGGATTTTGTTTGTTTTGTTTTTGACAGGATCTCTCTCCATTGCCCAGGCTGGAGTGCAGTGGCACAATCTTAGCTCACTGCAACCTCCACCCTCTGGGGCTCATGCCATCCTCTCACCTCAGCCTTCAAGTAGCACCAAGGGTGTACAGCACTACGCCTGGCTAATTTTTGTATTCTTTTTCTAGAGACGGGTCTCACCATCTGTGTTGTCCAGGCTGGTCTCAAATTCCTGAGCTGAGGCAATCTGCCCACCTTGGCTTCCCAAAGTGTGGGATTATAGGCATGAGCCACTGTGTCTGGCCACTACTGGGAATTTTCTGGTAGAGAGGAAGAGCCTAAAGATGCAGGAGGGTAAAATAAATGATAGGACCAGTTTTCAGAGAGGGTGAGAACACAGTGCAGAATTTGGTCTTTGATGGAAGGACGGAGGGAGAGGATGGATAAAGATGCTTTAGATTTTGGGTCCAGAATCGTGAGGACTTTTTCTGAAGGAAGTGGCAAAACCATTGGCTGAGTTTGGGGTGTGTCTGTGTGTGCAGTCAGATATTTCTTCAGCCAGCATTTAGTAAGCATTTTCTAGTGCCAAGCTTTGTGTTTGGCTCCCTGGAAAGTGTTATGAATGATGATTACCTTGAAGCTTGGCCCTGTACACCTGAAATAGCCTTGCACCACTTTTTCTACAAATTGCTTCCTACCTTTGACCTTACAGGCTTGTTAACTAAAGGCAGTAAATGCTCAGCTGATCTTTTTTTTTTTTCTTTGAGATGGAGTCTTGCTCTGTTGCCCAGGCTGGAGTGCAGTGGCACGATCTCAGCTCACTGCAACCTACGCCTCCCAGGTTCAAGCGATTCTCCTGCCTCAGCCTCCCAAGTATCTGGGACTACAGGCACCCGCCACCGCGCCCAGCTAATTTTTTGTATTTTTAGTAGAGATGGGGTTTCACCGTGTTAGCCAGGATGGTCTCAATCTCCTGACCTAGTGATCCACCCGCCTTGGCCTCCCAAAGTGCTGGGATTACAGGCGTGAGCCACCTCACCCAGCCTCAGCTGATCTTTTGATGGGCATCAAAGCCACTAGGGGTGACAGTCCTGGAGGGGAAGGACCTTTTCAAGCCCCTTCCACATCATGCAGGTTCATGTTCCATGTCATGGTTCTCGGTGTTGGCTATACATTAGGAACACCTGTGGAACTTTTAAAAAAACCTGACACCCAGGTCAAACTCTATATCAATTCCATCAAATCTCTGGTAGGGGGACTCGTTATTGGTCCTTTTTGAAAGCTCCCTGGTGGTTGCAGTGTACAAACCAGATTGAGAGCTACTTGCCTGTTGAGTGGCCCTGAGTCCAGTTAAAGCCACTCTTCTGTGTTGAGCTCCAGCCCCTGCTGCCTGGAGTTTACTGCATTTGTCAGTTGTGTGGAACAGAAAATAAGGCTGAGACCAATTGTGTAGGACAGAAAACGAGGTTGAGATTATATTGGTATCCAAAGCAGGAAGCGAAGGACAGTCCTTTGGGGGTGTTGAAAGGAAGTGTAAGAACCTCTATTTATAATTTTATAAGCATTTAAGGTCAAGAATGCCAGTGGTCCCTCTTTCAGTGTTTTTTTTTTTTTTTTTTTTTTTTTTTTTGAGACAGTCTTGCTCTGTCGCCCAGGCTGGAGTACAGTGGCACAATCTCAGGTCACTGTAACCTCCACCTCCCAGGTTCAAGCAATTGTCCTGCCTCAGCCTTCTGAGTAGCTGGGATTACAGGCACATGCCACCATGCCTGGCTAATTAGTAAATACAGGGTCTCACCATGTTGACCAGGCTGGTTTCGAACTCCTTAACCTCAGGTGATCCGCCTGCCTGGGCCTCCCGAAGTGCTGGGATTACGGGCGTGAGTCACCGCGCGCCGACCCTCCTTCAGTCCTGTGTCTTGTACGGTGAATGTGGTTTCTAAGGTGGATAAGGAGGCAGGGATTCCTTGCCTAGCTGGAGCCCTGCTCACCTGGCCATCAAGCATACTGTGAGATGTTGCAAGTTAGGAGCTATAGAGTGTCATCGAGTTGTTTAATTTTAGAAACACAAAGGCTTTAAATTAGAGCATCTCAGGTTAGACTTGTCCCTGAGCGGGTGATAGGTGTACTGAGATACTGCATTTCTCTCAGCCCTCTCCCTTAAGCCAAGAGAGCTGAAGCTGATGTTTGATGGTTACCTTTTGGTATATATGTCATGGCATGAGAAAGAATCACTGCTTTAGTCTGTAGAAGCTTTGTCGTCCTTTGCCATGCCCTGGGGAGGGAGCAGGACCATCCTTTGCACCCATCAGAGCATTCCTAGTTCTTTTGTTGCCAGATACGTAAGAGTGGTTGAGTTTACAGGTGTCTGCATCTCTCTTTAGCAGAAAGATGGGGTTTCAAATGTGTTGCCTCTTTCCAATTTTGCTATGCCTATCAGTAGTCAGATATTTTGGGGAGAAGGGAAAAATCCAAGGTAAATGTGAGGTTCTTACAGTGAATTACTTTTCAAAAGAAATTTCTGCTACCAAGGGGCATTTGGGAAGTGGCTGTGTGGAGAAGTTTTCATTGTAATGCGAACATATTGCCAAAAAATATTGTACATTTGTGAGTTATCAAAGCTCTCAAAGGAAAAAAAATTAAAAACTGGGAAACAGAATTGTCATACTACTTTAATTGAAAAGTAACAATGAGTTTTTAATCCATTTGTTAACTTTATGGGGCACCTGCAGACTATTTTGATTAGTCTTTACAATTGATTGAAACCCACTGGGCAAATTTCGCCAAAAAACTATGTGATTGGTGGATAGAGGAAACTAAGTGTCAAGATTTAGGTAGCAGAGCCAAGAGTGCACTACTATAATTGAAGTAATAAGTTTTATTGCATCCTCCAAGTTTTTGAATTATGATACATGTAATTTATTAGTACAATAGTGAGAGACAGGACTAGCTGGATTTCCTAGGCCCACTAAGAATCCCTAAGCCTAGCTGGGAAGGTAACCGCATCCACCTTTAAACATGGGGCTTGCAACTTAGCTCACACCCGACCAATCAGGTAGTGAAGAGAGCTCACTAAAATGCTAATTAGGCAAAAACAGGAGGTAAAGAAATAGCCAATCATCTATTGCCTGAGAGCACAGCGGGAGGGACAATGATCAGGACATAAACCCAGGCATTCCAGCCAGCAACGGCTACCCTCTTTGGGTCCCCTCCCTTTGTATGGGAGCTCTGTTTCCACTCTATTAAATCTTGCAACTGCACTCTCTTCTGGTCCGTGTTTGTTACGGCTTGAGCTGAGCTTTTGCTTATTGTCCACCATTGTTCTTTGCCGCTGTTGCAGACCTGCCACTGACTTCCATCCCTCTGGATCAGGCAGGGTGTCCGCTGTGCTCCTGATCCAGCGAGGCGCCCATTGCCGCTCCCGATCGGGCTAAAGGCTTGCCATTGTTCCTGCACGGCTAAGTGCCTGGGTTCATCCTAATCAAGCTGAACATTAGTCACTGGGTTCCACGGTTCTCTTCCATGACCCATGGCTTCTAATAGAGCTATAACACTCACCGCATGGCCCAAGATTCCATTCCTTGGAATCTGTGAGGCCAAGAACCCCAGGTCAGAGAACATGAGGCTTGCCACCATTTTGGAAGTGGCCTGCCACCATCTTGGGAGCTCTGGGAGCAAGGACCCCCTGGTAACAGTAGTAGATACATAGAATTTTTAAATAAACATACTTATATTAAGGGTACTCTTAGGGTCTATACTAAGAAATTTTGCATGCTTGTCATTAAAAGCTTTGAGTCCAAGTCCTGTGTGTGTGTATATGACTTTGACTCTAAGTCAAGTGTAAATGTAACTGTATAGATATGCCATGTATATAATGTAAATAAAATATATACATATATTTATAAATAAGGCAGTCTGAAAACTTGCTTGCTGGTGAACTTTAAAACAGCCTCTTTCTCGTGATATACCCCTCCAGTTTATCCAGTGGAAAAGAAAATTACTGCTGGATTAAAAACAAGTGCTTAGGCTAGGTGTGGTACCTCATGCCTGTAATTTCAGCACTTTGGGAGGTCGAGGCAGGCAGATCGCTTGAGCCCAGGAGTTCGAGACCAGCCTGGGCAATATGGTAAAACCCCATCTCTACATAAAAATACAGAAATTAGCTGGGTGTGGTGGTGTGCGTCTGTAGTCCCAGCTACTCAGGAGGCTGAGTTGGGAGGATTGCTTAAGCCCAGGAGTCGAGGCTGTGGTGAACTGTGATTGGGCCACCACATTCAAGCCTGGGTGACAGAGCAAGACCCTGTCCCAAAAAAAAAAAAAAAAAAAAATGCTCAAACTAAAGAGTGATAAATACATTGTATACATGTCTTGTTTCTCTTGAAATGTGTACATTTTATCATTCCATAATGTATACATCTATCAAAACATCACATTATACCCCATAAATATATACAATTATTATTTGTCAATTAAAAATTAATTTTTTTTTAAAGCCACTTAATGTGCAATTTGCAGACGTCTTCTGGTTAGTCCAAGATTCAGCGGGGGTCAGGTGATCAAGAATTTCCTGAAATCAGCAGCTGGATCCAGGAATGGGCTTAGGACACCATCCCAGACTTTGGGGCCCGCCAGGCTTGTTTGTCCTCTTCATGTAAATGCAGAACTTGCCTCTGAAATATGCCTAATCCTTTCATATAGGTGGAGCCCCTGATCTCATCCATTGTCTACACATTTCTCACATCTGTTATGCTAACCAACACAGTCCTTGTATTCACCTTGTGAGGATCTGGTTCTCACACTACTTATGCTAATTAACAAAACCTCTGGTTTGCAATTAAAAATCCTGAAGCACATGCTATATCTGCTGCTGGAGTGCCCACCACCATGGCTGGCTGATTTTTGTATTTTTAGTAGAGACGGGGTTTCACCACGTTGGCCAGGGTGGTCTAGAATTCCTGACCTCAGATGATTTGCCCACCTCGGCCTCCTAAAGTGCTGGGATTACAGGTGTGAGCCACTGTGCCCTGCCACACTTGTCTGTCTTTATGCCTTTGTTTCTTGTAATTTATGGGACCACAGACTCCACCCCTATACTGAAGACCTAGTAATTGCTCCCAGAATTGCTCCCAGGAATGTGCTCCTGCCTGGGGCGCTTGACTTCCACAAACCCCAGGGTATAGATAAAAACCCGTGCATGTATGTCTCACTGCTATGCAGAAGTGTTTTTCAAGTCAGAAATAGACAGCCCACCAATTTTGTTGTTGATTACTTGTGGCAGAAAACTTATGAGTTCCCTGAAAATAAGAGGCATGGCTATAAAAATACAGGATTTAAAAAAACATGTATAAGTGGAAATTAGTACCTTTAACATAAGTGTTTTCCAAAGACATTTCTGACCATTTTGAGGCATGTCCTCTGTGCTGTATTCTCCTATTAGGAAAGACACCAGTTTTTGATGGTAGATGTGATTTTGCAGCATGTCAGAAGTTAGCATTATGAGGTAGATTGGTCATGCTCAGTAATATTATTTTGGGTCAAAATAAGATGTAAATTTTTTTTTCTTTTGAGACCAGTCTCGCTTTGTTGCCCAGGCTGGAGTGCAGTGGCATGATCACAGCTCACTGCTGCTTCTCCCCAGTCAGCTCAACTGGTTCTCCCACATCAGCCTCCCGTAAATATTTTTTAAAAATGGACTAGGGGCTGGGCATGGTGGCTCAGCCTGTAATGCCAGCACTTTGGCAGGCTAAGGCTGGCAGATCACTTGAGGTCAGGAGTTCGAGACCAGCCTGGCCAACATGATGAAACCTCGTCCCTGCTAAAAATTAAAAAAAATAGCCAGGTGTGGTGGCGTTCGCCTGTAATCCCAGCTACTCAGGAGGCTGAGGTGGGAGAATCACTTGAACCCGAACCCGGGAGGCGGAGGATGCAGTGAGTCAAGATCGCACCTCTGTACTTCAGCCTGGGCAACAGAGCGAGACTTTGTCTCAAAGAAAAAAAGGAAATGAGAAAAGAGAATGTGTGACTGACACCACAAAGAAATGTCAGATGTCTCTTTTGGGGTTCTGTGGGTGGCCCTCCCTCCCAAAAAAGTAGAATTGAGTGAAGGGAATGCAGTAGAGCGTGAAAGAACACATACCCACAAGGGTGAAGCTGCAGGCTCTGGTTAAAGGCAGCTTTCCACTAGATCTTGACCCTTATGCCCCAGGGCCTCAGCTTTTTCTTGAGTTACAGAGGAGGGTGCAACTTGGGGCTAGATGGACTTTTTTGTTATGGACTTGCCATATGCTCTTCTTGTAAGTTTTCTTTGTCATGTAAGTTTGAGAAATGCTGAATACCATGTCTCTGTCTTTAAATATTTACAGTAGACCTGACTGTCTTAAGGGCTAAGAAATAAGGAGCCAAACCAGCAACAGAGAATCTTGTCTTTCTTTTCTTTTCTTTTCTTTTCTTTTCTTTTTTTTTTTTTTTTTGAGATGGAGTCTCGCTCTGTCACCCAGGCTGGAGTGCAATGGCGTGATCTCAGCTCACTGCAACTTCTGCCTCCCAGATTCAAGTAATTCCCCTGCCTCATATTCCGGAGTAGCTGGGATTACAGGCGCCTGCCACCATGGCTGGCTAATTTTTGTATTTTTAGAAGAGACGGGGTTTCACCACGTTGGCCGGGGTGGTCTAGAATTCCTGACCTCAGATGATTTGCCCACCTCGGCCTCCTAAAGTGCTGGGATTACAGGTGTGAGCCACTGTGCCCTGCGACACTTGTCTGTCTTTACGTCTTTGTTTCTTGTAATTTATGGGACCACAGACTCCACCCCTAGCCTGAAGACCTAGTAATTGCTCCCAGAGCTGCTGTTTCCAGCAACACTAGATGCTTCCTGAAGTTTCTTTCAGCTCTACAATGGATGCATTGTTCTAAAAATAGTTTCTAACTATATTGACCAAGCCTATAATTTCCTCCAGAAACCTCAGCATATAACCTCTGAGTGAATTCCTGGAGAGCAGGGAGCATGTATTATTTATGTTTGTATTTTTCTCCCCAGAGCCTAGGAATCTATTTTGTATAATAGATTCTCAGTATAGAATTGAGTATATTGAAGTATTTGTTAGTAAACTGGAAATATGGATTTTCATTTTTGAAGTCTGAAAAAGTTACCCTTAGACATGAGCTCAGATTTGAACAAAAGTCAAAAAAGGGAAAATAATGAATAATAATACATTGCCAATATTAAGGGCTCATTATTTGTCAAATACAGTATAAACATGTTACAAGTTAGCTCACTTACTCTTTATAAAAACTCTAAGGTATATATGATAATTTCCCCAATGAAATTGTTTAAAGTTAATTAGTTTTTTAAAAAAACAACAAAAACGCTGAAGCTAGGAGAGGCTAAGAATTTGCTGAAGTTTGGGTTGGGGAATGATGACTCCCAGGTCTCCTGCTGGGGCAGTCCGGTTGGAGAGCTGAAATCATTGCCACTGTACTCTTCTGTGTCTCAGATGTAAACAAACCCAAGAGAAAATATTCAGGACTGGGCACAGTGGCTCACACCTATCATCCCAGCACTTTAGGAGGCCTAGGTGGATCACTTGAGCCCAGGAGTTCAAGACCAGCCTGGGCAACAGTGCAAGACCTTGCCTCTACAAAAAATATAAAAATTAGCCAGGCATGGTGGCATGTGCCTGTACTCCCAGCTACCCAGGAGGCTGAGGTAGAAGGATCGCTTTGAACCTGGGAAGTCGAGGCTGTAGTAAGCTTTGGTTACGCCACTGCACTCTAGCTTGGGTAACAGAGCGATACCCTGTCTCAGAAAAAGAAAGAAAAGAAAAGATTCAGCCACTAGTAATCAAAGAAATCACAAAGTGAAACCTTGATGATGTACCATTTTACAGTTGCAATATCGGCAAAAATAATTATACAGTATATTCATATACAGTCATTTAACATTATATATAATTAAAATGTATAGTAAATGTAGAGAAAATGGTATCCAGATGTTACTGGGGACAGTATAAGTATCGTTTATTTGGAAGGCAGACAAGAGGCACAGAAACTTACAAGTAGTGACCTAAAATCCTTATTCCTGGGAATTCCAAGGAAGTCCTTTAAAAGCAAAGCAAAAACAAAGCTATGAATATACAAAGCTATTCATAGTTCATATTTATAACAGTATAATTTGGAAATACCCTTAATATCCAACCATAAGATAAACTAATTGTGACAAAAACAAATGATATTTTGATAGCCAATAAATCAAAAAAGAATAGAAAATGAAATCCCTGCTGCTATTACATCTGAGCAAAAATATAAGTGTATTGTGCAATGTTACGTACCAGAAGAGAACATGGAACGTGAACGCAGAGGATGTGTAAGTGAAGTTAGATTGTCAATGGATTTTTGTTTTTGGGAAATTATATGCTTTGCAAATATATTTAATTGGAGCTTATTTTGGAGAACTGTCACCATTTTATCCCAGTTGGCAATTTTTAAAGAAAATTACTGAAGTGAACATAAAAAATGGAAACATTTCAGAAGTGTTTGAATAAACATCCCCTCTCCAAAAAAGAAGATCCTCACTGAATAGTTTTGGGTGTGTGCTTCTCAGTTTTTCCAGTGCATGTTTATAATATATTTATCTGGAGGCTGGTTTTTTTGTTTGTTTTGAGACGGAGTCTCGCTCCGTTGCCCAGGCTGGAGTGCAGTGGCACGATCTCGGTTCAAGCGATTCTCCTGCCTCAGCCTCTTGAGTAGCTGGGATTACAGGTGCCCGCCACCACGCCCGGCTTTCTCTGAACATACTGAGGTGCAGCTCATCTTTGAATACCACATCATCTCACATACCTCTTTTCATGTCATTACAATGAGAATTACTTCATTCTTGGCTTTAGTGCTAATTTCAAATTCAATAACTGTACCAAAATATAATTTAGATGATGTGGAAATGGAGAATAAAGATTGCCGCTCAGGTTTATGAAGCTGTTTAAAGGGCACATTCACAGCTTAGATCACAAATCAGTCCCTGAGGGTTGAAGAGGTTGCTCTGATGTGTCTTAACACTGAAGCCTCCAAAAAGAGAATCTGTAACATTCATATTCGCAGGAAGATTTGGGGGATTCCAGAGCTCCTCTCTGGAAAAGACTATGAGCTATAAGGCACACTTAACACAAAGCATCCAAGATGCTGCCCTACATTTTTTGGGAGAAAGGAAGTGGATTTTGTAATATTTGGACATTTGATGTTTTTTATTTTTATTTTTTGAGTTCATGCTAATTGAATAGACCCACGGAGTAGTGTGGGAGACAAGCCTGAGACTTGACCGAGGCCACTAAGGGCTCTCCAAAGCACCCACATGGATAGCTTCACGGAGACAGAGTGATGTGGGATTCAGTGCTGAAGTGAGAGACGACGATAATTCCTGTTTATTGAGCATGTGCTGTGTGTACCAGTCACTGTGCTTGGCACTTTACAGATTACTTAAACATCACTGAACAAATGAGAGGAGTCATTACCATATCTCCATTTTTCAGATGAGGAAACTAAGGCTCAGAGAGGTTAAGCAACTTGCGGAAACCATGCATTTAGGAAGTAACTAACATAGGCTATGTCTTCACTTCTGTTTGACTTCACACTTCTGTTTTGCTCCGTGGCCTCCAACAGTGAATGATGTTGATTTCAAAGAGGGGCAATCATTGTGGTTTGGGAAAGGACCAGAGGAAGGAGTTGAGCTGGATTTTGAACATGTAGAGGAAATTGGGGAGACAGTGCTTTTTATTTTTGCTAATGGTTAGCCTTTTGCCATCTGGAATAAGGATACTTAATCTGACAGTCACATTTAGCAAACTGAAAATCCAGATTTGAGGGCTATCTCTAAAAACAAGGAATCTAGAATTTGGGAACTAGCATTTCTAAGACCAAGCCATTTAGGAGGCTCAAGTACTTAAAATTGGGACCGTTCAGAAAACCCAAGACGTGTGGCCCATGTGACACACAGGATGGGTGACCTCAGGGCCAAAAACCCAGGGCCACCTAATCTTTAAGAGGGGACAAAATGAACTTTAATTTTCCAATCCAAAATTTTGTTTCCATAAAACCGTGGTGTTCTATTTGGTATTATAAACTGCCTACTTTTAGATTTGAAAAAAAAAAAGAGAAAAAGAAAAAAGTCCATTACTCTTCAGTGTGGAATTTCAAAGTAGACAATGAGATCTTTTATTCTCATTTTTGGCCTGCAATGATAATGAGGTTGAAGATTGCTATTTAAAAAAAAAAACACTGTTTGTTTTCTGTATGTATATATAAACAGATATTTCTGCTCAAGCCCATCAAAGTCAGCCTCTGCAAATGAAGTCTCCTGCCTGAGAGGACAGGTTTTTTCCATGTAAAACTGTGTTTCGCTGTTACTTATACTTTAAGCAAATTGGGGTAACAGTAAATGTGCACAGGCAGTCGGAAACACACTGGCCTTTTGGAGAAACTTGGACAACCTTTGTTCTTTTATCTCTAAACTTTCATGACACTAAACTCAAAAAGGTTATTTTTCAGACAACCTGCGGTCATACCTACTTATATTTCCCTTATTCTAATATATTGTTCTTCACTGTCTTCTCTTAAATTAATTTTATTTATTTATTTATTTGTTTAGACAGAGTCTTACTCTGTCACCAGGCTGGAGTGTAGTGGTGCAATCTTGGCTCACGTTTGAAACCTCTGCCTCCCAGGCTCAAGCGAGTCTCGTGCCTCAGCGTCCCGAGTAGCTGAGATTGCAGGTGTGCACCACCACGCCTGGCTAATTTTTGTATTTTTAGTACAGACGGGGTTTCACCATGTTGGCCGGGCTGGTCTCGAAATCCTTGCCTCATGTGATCTGCCTGCCTTGGCCTTCCAAAGTGCTGGGATTACAGGCACGAGCCACTGCGCCCAGCCTCTTAAATTAATTTTTAAAAGCCTCTTCTGGGGCCTGGAGTGGTGGCTCACGCCTGTAATCCCAGCACTTTGGGAGGCCGAGGCGGGTGGATCACGAGGTCAGGAGTTTGAGACCAGCCTTGCCAACATGGTGAAACCCCGTCTCTATTAAAAATACAAAAATTAGCTAGGCATGGTGGTGCGTGCCTGTAGTCCCAGCTACTCAGGAGGCTGAGGCAGGAGAATTGCTTGAACCTGGGAGGCAGAGGTTGCAGTGAGCCTAGATCATGCCACTGCACTCTAGCCTGGGCGACAGAGTGAGACTCTGTCTCCAAAAAAAAAAAGCCTCTTCCATGTAACATTCTTCATCTCATTCACTTACCTGCTCTGAAGGTGCATCTAGTCACGTCGTAGTAAGACAGCTGCATCTTTTAAAATCATAACAAAGAGACTGAAAACTCCCAAGGTTAAATCTGAGGAAATTCAGTGCATTAAGCATATTTGCACTGTTGTGCAGCCATCTCACCCTAGCCATTCCTAGAACTTTTCATTATCCCAAACAGAAACTGTACTCATGAAAACAGTAGCTCCCCATTCTTCCCTCCCCCAGCTCTGGAAACAACCATGCTACTTTCTGCCTCTGCGCATTTGACTACTCTAGGTACCTCTGTAAGTGGAATCCTAGTGAGAGGTGAAGCCAGCTGGGCTTCTGGGTTGAGTGGGGACTTGGAGAACTTTTGTGTCTAGTTAAAGGATTGTAAATGCACCGATCAGCGCTCTGTGTCTAGCTCAAAGATTGTAAACGCACCAATCAGCACTCTGTAAAAATGCACCAATCAGCGCTTTGTAAAATGGACCAATCAGCACTCTGTAAAATGGACCAATCAGTGCTCTGTAAAATGGACCAATCAGCAGGATGTGGGTGGGGACAAATAAAGGAATAAAAGCTGGCCATCCCAGCGAGTAGCGGCAACCTGCTCAGGTATCCTTCCATGTAGTGGAAACTTGGTTCTTTTGCTCTTCACAATAAATCTTGCTGTTGGTCACTCTTTGCGTCCGCACTACCTTTATGAGCTGAGAGGGTCTGTGGCTTCATTTGTGAAGTCAGAGAGACTATGAACCCACTGAGAGGAACAAAGAACTCCGGGCATGCCATCTTTAAGAGCTGTAACGCTCACTGCGAAGGTCTGCGGCTTCATTCCTGAGGTCAGGGAGACCACGAACCCACGGGAAGGAAGAAACTCAGGACACATCTGAACATCTGAAGGAACAAACTCCAGATGCATCATCTTTAAGAGCTGTAATACTCACCGGGAGGGTCCGCAGCTTCATTCTTGGTGAGTAAGACCCAGAACCCACCAGAAGGAATAAATTTCAGACACAATAGCATATCTGTTTTATTGTGTCTGACTTACTTGAGTTAGCATAATGCCTTCAGGATTCATTCATGTTGTACCCTAAGCCAGAATTTCATTCCTTTTTAAGACCAAATACTGATCCGTTGTATGGATATACCACATCTTGTTTATCACGTGCTTTTTCTTAACCATTAGGATGGTCTTCATTCAGATACAATGCAATCATGGACATTCCTTTGGCTTTCAAGGGAATTAATGAAATTTGTATGGGTAAAGCCATATATGTATTTCTAGCAATACATTTTATTTATCTATTTTTATTGTATTTTAAGTTCTAGGGTACATGTGCACAATGTGCAGGTTTGTTACATATGTATACATGTGCCATGTTGGTGGGCTGCACCCATTAACTTGTCATTTACATTAGGTATATCTCCTAATGCTATCCATCCCCCTTCCCCCCACCCCACAACAGGCCCTGGTGTGTGATGTCCCCCTTCCTGTGTCCAAGTGTTCTCATTGCTCAATTCTCACCTATGAGTGAGAACATGCGATGTTTGGTTTTTTGTCCTTGCGATAGTTTGCTGAGAATGATGGTTTCCAGCTTCATCCATGTCCCTACAAAGGACATGAACTCATCCTTTTTTATGGCTGCATAGTAGTCTATGGTGTATATGTGCCACATTTCTTAATCCAGTCTATCATTGTTGGACATTTGGGTTGGTTCCAAGTCTTTGCTATTGTGAATAGTGCCGCAATAAACCTACGTGTGCATGTGTCTTTCTTTATAGGAGCATGATTTATAATCCTTTGGGTATATACCCAGTAATGGGATGGCTGGGTCAAGTGGTATTTCTAGTTCTAGATCCCTGAGGAATCGCCACACTGTCTTCCACAATGGTTGAACCAGTTTACAGTCCCACCAACAGTGTAAAAGTGTTCCTATTTCTCCACATCCTCTCCAGCACCTGTTGTTACCTGACTTTTTAATGATTGCCATTCTAACTGGTGTGAGATGGTATCTCATTGCAGTTTTGATTTGCATTTCTCTGATGGCCAGTGATGATGAGCATTTTTTCATATGCCTGTTGGCTGCATAAATGTCTTCTTTTGAGAAGTGTCTGTTCATATCCTTCGCCCACTTGTTGATGGGGTTGTTTGTTTTTGTTTGTAAATTTGTTTGAGTTAGATTCTGGATATTAGCCGTTTGTCAGATGAGTAGATTGCAAAAATTTTCTCCCATTCTGTAGGTTGGTTCTTCACTCTGATGGTAGTTTCTTTTGCTGTGCAGAAGCTCTTTAGTTTAATTAGATCCCATTTGTCAATTTTGGCTTTTGTTGCCATTGCTTTTGGTGTTTTAGACATGAAGTCCTTGCCCATGCCTGTGTCCTGAATGGTATTGCCTAGGTTTTCTTCTAGGGTTTTTATGGTTTTAGGTCTAACATTTAATTCTTTAATCCATCTTGAATTAATTTTTGTATAAGGTGTAAGGAAGGGATCCAGTTTCAGCTTTCTACATATGGCTAGCCAGTTTTCCCAGCACTATTTGTTAAATAGGGAATCCTTTCCCCATTTCTTGTTTTTGTCAGGTTTGTCAAAGACAAGATAGTTGTAGATGTGTGGTATTATTTCTGAGGGCTCTGTTCTGTTCCATTGGTCTATATCTCTGTTTTGGTACCAGTACCATGCTGTTTTGGTTACTGTAGCCTTGTAGCATAGTTTGAAGTCAGGTAGTGTGATGCCTCCAGCTTTGTTCTTTTGGCTTAGGATTGACTTGGCAATGCGGGCTCTTTTTTGGTTCCATATGAACTTTAAAGTAGTTTTTTCCAATTCTGTGAAAAAAAGTCATTGGTAGCTTGATGGGAATGGCATTGAATCTATAAATTACCTTGGGCAGTATGGCCATTTTCACGATATTGATTCTTTTCCTCCTGACAAATTTACAGTTTTCCGCTTTGTGGCATAGACTGAGGGTGTATTTCATCTTTCCTGCAAAGTCAATAGGCAGAAAGGGTAGGTGTCAGTTCTTCCCCCAGGCTGTCAGCTGGTGTGTCCCTGGTGTGCCTTTGGGAGAGAGAGCATGGGGAAAGAGGATGCTTTTTCTTCTGTTAACGTGCTAATAAATACTATTTTCATTAATGAGTGAAATGCAAGGGTTATTTAAATGACATTTTGTCTCAAAGTAGTATAATGATTACAAGAAAAAAATTCTGTAGAACTTTTCATGTCATTAATTCAGGCATGGAGAACTGATATTTTTTCTTCTGTATGTAAACTACACAGATGAAACCTAATTTTATTTAATTTCATCTAACTTAGAGGCATCAAATTTCATTATGTATTTTAACATTTTTTATATAATTATAAAATATGTTTTAATATAGGATTACTCAGAAAAAAAAAATAGCTGGGCGTGGTGTCTCACGCCTGTAATCCCAGCACTTTGGGAGGCCAAGGTGGGAGGATTGCTTGAGGCCAGGAGTTCGAAACCAGCCTGGCTAACATGGTGAAACCCCATGTCTACTAAAAATACAAAAATTAGCCAGATTGGTGGCGTGTGCCTGTAATCCCAGCTACTCAGGAGGCTGAGGTTGCAGTAAGCTGGGATTGTGCGACTGCACTCCAGCCTGGGCAACAGAGCAAGACTCCGTCTCAAAATAAATAAATACATATATATATATGGGATTAAATGGTGAGTGGAATTGTAAAAAGAAAATAGGAATGGAGAAAAGGAAATTCCTGTACCCCTTCTGCTTGATCAAGACTTTAGGACAAGCTTGTCCAACTCACTGCCAAGGATGGCTTTGAATTCTGCCTGATATACATTTGTAAACTTTAATACATGAGATTTTTTTTGTGATTTTTTTTTTTTTAAGCTCATCAGCTATTGTTAGTGTTAGTGAATTTTATGTGTGGCCAAAAACACTTCTTCTTTTTCCAGGGAATAAGGCCCAGGGAATCCAAAAGATTGAACACCCCTGCTTTAGAACATTGATTTGTATCAGTTATATATAAAAGCTGATTAGCCATCTTTATAGGTCTTAATTTTATCACTACCTGTAAGGCTTTTTAAAAATGTAGTTCTTATTTTAATTAGAGTTATAAATGCACGTGATTTAAAAAAGAAGATATTTCCACAAGCGTGTCAAGAACTACGAAGGGTCTGAGATTTTACCCTACTTGAAAGTTAACAAGCCTGTTAACAATTTTCATGGATCCTGGCAAAAGACACAGACTCCTGGGCCAGAGATGAAGTGCCATTTATGACCTATATTAAGCAGTAGCAGAGGATCAGCATTTTTCTTTTAGGTTGCTAGAGCCTTAATTCCCACAGGGCAGTATGAAGAGGGCCAAGTGATAACTACAAACAGTGGGTTGCATTATGGGAAAGAAACCCTGAGCTTAGAGAAGCCAAATCTTTTATAGTGGGCAGTAAGCATGCTGTGCTTTGCCCCAGGTAACATTGTCTTTATTATATTGTCAGTAAGAAGGTTTGCCCTTTGCTAGGGAGGGAAACACCATCTCTGTCTTTCTAGGCTGTTTGCTATAAAAATAGCCTTGAAAAAATTATCTGGAACAAAAAGACAGTGCCTCACTTGCAAGATGTACAGAAATGCAAGCCACCCATGGCGAATTGCCTCCCAACAAAGAGTTGTACTTACGAAAAACAGCATGCTTCTCCCAATGGCCCCCCAAATCTCCTACTCCCTAAAACTCCATTGTCCATTAGAAATATAATGTGAGAAATAAAATTTTCTAGTAGCAGCATTAAAAAAAAAAGAATCAGGGCTGGGCGTGGTGGCTCCATGCCTGTGATCCCAGCACTTTGGGAGGCTGAGGCGGGCGGATCACGAGGTCAGGAGATCGAGACCATCCTGGCTAACACGGTGAAACCCTGTCTCTACTAAAAATACAAAAAAAAATTAGCCGGGCGTGGTGGCAGGCGCCTGTAGTCCCAGCTACTCAGGAGGCTGAGGCAGGAGAATGGCGTGAACCCAGGAGGCAGAGCTTGCAGTGAGCCAAGATTGCACCACTGCACTTCAGCCTGGGCAACAGAGGGAGACTCCATCTCAAAAAAAAAAGAACTGGTAAAATCTTTTTTTATCCTTTTGAGACAGGGTCTTGCTCTCTTACCCAGGCTGGAGTGCAGTGGTGTGATCATGGCTCATTGCAGCCTCAATCTCCTGGGTTCAGGTGATCCTCCCACCTCAGCCTCCTGGGTAGCTGAGACTACAGGCATGCGCCACCACACCGGGCTAATTTTTTTTTTTTTTTTTTTGGTAGAGATGGGAGTCTCACTGTGTTGCCCAGGCTGGTCTCAAACTCCTGGACTCAAGTGATCCTCCTGCCTCAGCTTCCCAAGGTGCTGGGATTATAGGTGTGAGCCACTGCATCTGGCCAAATTAACAGTATATTATCTTTAATCTAGTATATCAAAATTTTATAATGTTAATATGTAAACAGTATAAAAAAGTGAAATATTGAAATGATACATGTGTCTAATATTTGTATTACAATGTAATAATAGTATCTTACATGATGTCATTAAAGTGAAATATAGTCCTACCGAAACAGTAATGTGTTTAAGGGAAAGACATTTAATACTGCTTCAAGTTTTAAAATGTAAATAATTAAAATTTTAAAAAAGTATTTGTTGAGACTAGCCTCATTTCAAGTGCTCAGTAGTTGCATGTGACTACTAGCTAACATTCTCTACTGCATAGCCCTGAAGTTAACCATTTTCAACTTTTTACAGATTTCTTTAGGTGTGTATTTTCATATCTCTAAATAATAATGCTTATATGGTTTCTAAATTATTCAGCTTTAAGTTCTTTCTACTATTAAGGAGGGGTTTTTTTTTTATTGTTTTTTGTTTTAATAGAGACAGGGTCTTTCTCTATCACCCAGTCTAGAGTGCAGTGGTGCAATCATAGCTCACCGCAGCCTCGAACTCCTGGGCTCAAGTGATCCTCCCATCTCAGCCTTCTGAGTAGCTGGGTCTACAGGCGTGCACCACCACACCCAGCTAATTTTTAAATTTTTCTTGTTTTTGTAGAGATGGTATCTCACCATTTTACTTAGGCTAGTCTCAAACTCTTGGGCTCAAGTGATCTTCCAACCTCAGCCTCCCAAAGTGCTACGATAACAGGCACAAGCCACCACACCTGACCATTAAGGAGGGTTTAATTCTCTTTCAACCAAAACCCTCCACCACACTTGCACTCATTTCCTGGCTGTCTCTCATCCCCAAAGTCAATGATTCTGAAAAACTTTTTGTCGTGTGTGTGTATTTTTAAATATGAGATGGGGTCTTGCTATGTTGATTCAGGTTGTTCCAGGCTGATCTGGAACTCTTGGGCTCAAGTGTTCTTCCCGCCTCAACCTTCCAAGTAGCTGGGATCGTAAGTGTGTGCCACCATGCCTGGCCTGAAAACTTTTTTATTTCAGCACTGTTTATACTTTAAAAAAATCACTGAGGATCACAAAGAGCTTTTGTTTATGTGGGTTATATCTATTGGTATATATTCTATCAGAAAGTAAAACTGAGGCTGGACATGGTGGCTCACGCCTGTAATCCTAGCACTTTGGGAGGCCAAGGCAGGAGGCTTGCTTGAGGCCAGGAATTCAAGATCAAGTTTAAGTCCAGCTTGGGCATCATAGTGAGACCCTATCTCTACAAAAATAAGCAGCCAGGTGCACCTGTGGTTGCAGCTACTTGAGAGGCTAAGGTGGAAGGATCCCCAGGAGTTTGAGCCTGCAGTGAGCCAAGATAATGACATTGTACTACAGACTGGGTGATGGATTGAGACCCTGTCTTAAAAAAAAAAAAAAGAGAGAGAAAGCAAAAAACTTAAGTATTACTTCTGTGAAAATAACAATGATAAGCCCTTTATTTTAACATAAGTAATTTCTTGTGAAAATCTTTTCAGAAAAATTGGAAGAATAACAGTGTTTTTGTATTTTTGCAAATCTCTTTTACTGTTTGACTTAATAGAAAATACCTGAATTCTGATACTTCTGCACTTATTCTGTTGAAAACAAACACATCATGTAGACCCTGGAAAACTGCGCCGTATATAACACAGAGGGAGTGAAAAGGGTGCAGAATGGCCTAGTATTATTATGAAAATAGTTTTGAGACCCTCTGTATATTGTCATGCTTTTTGTTTGACCACAACTCAATGTTTATATTACTATAGCCATGTATAAACTGAGCATAGCATACCATGATTGCTTTTTTTTTTTTTTTTTTCTGAGATGGAATCTCACTCTGTTACCCAGGCTGGAGTGCAGTGGCACCATTTTGGGTCACTGCAACCTCCGCCTCCCAGATTCAAGTGATTCTCCTGCCTCAGCCTCCAGAGTAGCTGGGACTACAGACTCGTGCCACCACACCCAGCTAATTTTTGTATTTTTAGTAAACACGGGGTTTCACCATGTTGGCCAGGCTTGTCTCAAACTCCAGACCTCATGATCCGCCCACCTTGGCCTCCCAAAGTGCTGGGATTACTGGCGTGAGCCGCCGCGCCCGACCATGATTTCTTTTATTGTACATACTTGTTGGCATATTTTACTCACTTGTACTCAATGGCATTTTTTCATATTGTTTGTTTATTATATGTACTTTTATGTTTTTTGGAGATGGAGTCTCACTCCGTCACCCAGGCTGGAGTGCAGTGGTGCTATCTCGGCTCACTTCAACCTCCACCTCCCAGGTTCAAGTGATTATCCTGCCTTAGCCTCCCAAGCACCTGGGATTATGGGCGCATGCCACCACACCCGGCTAATTTTTTGTGTTTTTAGTAGAGACAGGGTTTTGCCGAGTTGGCCAGCCTGGTCTTGAACTCCTGACCTCAAGTGATCAGCTTGCCTCGGCCTCCCAAAGTGCTGGGAGGCCTGCATTTTACTTATTTAATTCTGGCCTGCACCTGGCCTGCATTTTACTTATTTAATTCTGAACTCTACCTTAGTTATCAAAATCTCTTCTAAATCCATTAATTTACAGCAGGGGTTCTCTGTTTCTCTCAAATATTTTCTGGAGCTGTTTACTTGCTTTAATTAAGGACTGGTTTCTTCCTAGTACTCCCACACAACCATCATCTTGGGATCTGTCTTTGTAATCCTAGGATTTCTGTTGCCTCTCATTTATATTGGGTCCCTTGATTACTGGATCCTGTCTCTTCCTTTTTTTTTTTTGAGACAAGGTCTCACTCTGCTGTCACCCAGGCTGAAGTGCAGTGGCTCAGTCTCACTCATTGCAACCTCCGCCTCCCAGGTTCAAGTGATTCTCCTGCCTCAGCCTCCCAAGTAGCTGGGATTACAGGTGTGCGCCACCACATCTGGTTAATTTTTGTATTTTCAGTAGAGATGAGGTTTCGCCATATCGGCCAGGCTGGCCTGAACTCCAGACCTCAAGTGATCTGCCTGCCTCGGCCTCCCAAAGTGCTGGGATTATAGGCGTGAGCCACTGTGCCTGGCCAGATCCTGTCTTTTTCTTAATGGGCAGTAGAGCGCAAACTTGGGGGCCAGATTATGTGAGTTTGAAGCCTAGCTCTTCTGCTTACTAGCCATATGACGTTCGAAGAGCTATTTAACCTCTTTATGCCTCAGTTTCCTTATCTGGAAAATAATACTTTCTATGTAGCATTCTCCTGAAGATTCTATGTGTTAATACGGGTAAGCCATTTAGAAGAGTTCCAGAGCATATTAAGCACTCCAGGTTAGTGATGTTGTTAATGCTCTTACAGTTGCTGGTGAATTTCATCTTTTAGTGGCATACTTCTCATAGTAACCTGCTGAGAAAGGTGCATGTGACTTTGCTGTATAAAAATGCCTTTCTGTTACATCACATTTGACCAATAGCTTGGCTGGTTATTTAGAATTCCAAGTTGAAAACAGTTTTCCTTCAGAATTTGGAAAGCATTGCTCTATTTTAGTCTACCTTTCAGCAGAAGGTGGGCTGTAAATTGCACGGTCTCAGCTTTCCCCATAGCCTGCTTTAGGATTCAGCTTCCTGAGATCTCCAAGTCAGTTATCATTCACTACCTCTAATTTTCAAATTTTTGATGCTACTACTTCAGTTATATTCTTTGTGTTTGAGGGACTTAGCCTTTTTTGAAAAATTGCTTATTATCATTTTATCTTAAACAGAGTATGCTTTTAGATATCTTCAGTTCCTGCAAGTTTGTGGGGAACTAGAAACAGAACTCTTTTCTGGCAGTCAAAAGAGAAGAAAGAATAGGGCTGGGTGCAGTGGCTCATGCCTACAATCCTAGCACTTCGGGAGGCAGAGGTGGGTGGATCACTTGAGGTCAGGAGTTCGAGACCAGCCTGGCCACAATGGTGAGACCCTCATCTCTACTTAAAACAAACAAACAAACAAACAAACAAAACTAGATCTAAATTTTTAGCAGAAGAGCTTGGCCGGTTCCTCATGGCCAGCCACAGTTAGGGTCTCAGCAGTTTGTTCAGTGTGAGACCACAGAGGAGCTAAGCAGCTCACTGCAGGGAGTCACAGACAGGTATCAGAGACTACCCTCCAAGCAGGGCAAGGTTGTGGTGGGGACAGAGACCAAATACCCTAAGATGAGATGAGGCTATGAAAGTGCAATTGGCCAGAAAGAACTCCACCCTGAATGGCAAGGCCTTCGCCTTGTGATCTTACCTGTTTCCTGCTCCTTCCCTTGACCTACCTTGGGTGGCGTTTGGGCTCCCTCACTTGGGTCACAGTCCTCCGAGATACTGGCATGGCTTTGACATCAAACACAGTAGTTGGTATTTTGCTCCAGTCACAGCAGCCTCTGGGACACTGAACAGTAGTCCTTGGAGAGTCAGTGAAATTGATAAGTATTCACTGGGACTAGAAGCCAACTGAACTTAGACCATGCTTCCTGCTGCCGAAGGGCAATAGGTTGGTGACCCAGGTTTATCCATCAGCGGTTTGTTTATGCATAGATGTGTGCATATGCTTACGTGCATATGTAGGCATGAGCCACCGCGCCCAGCCAGTTTTGTCTTCTTGAAGATGTCTCTCCCAGGGCCTTCTGACAGGTTCCAGTCTGCTGTGGTTGTCTGTTGGCTTGTTATATGGCCTAGATGTTCCTTGACCTGGGGATTCTCTTTTTTTTCTTCTTCGGTTAGATCTCCTTTCTGATTCTTACATCCTCCCCTTTCTTGGTTAATAATGCATACATATATTTGAGACAGGGTCTCACTCCTGTTGCCTAGGCTGGAGTGCAGTGGTGCGATCATGGCTTACTGCAGCCTTGACCTCCTGGGCTCAGGTGATCCTCCCACCTCAGTCCCCTGAGTAGCTGGGACTACAGGTGCACACCACCACACGCAGATAATTTCATATTTTTTGTAGAGACAGAGTCTCTCCGTGTTGCCCAGGCTGGTCTTGAACTCCTAGGCTCAGGCGATCCACTCGCCTCCACCTCCCAAAGTGCTAGGATCAGAGGCATGAGCCATGGCACCTGTCTAATAATTATTGAATATAACTCATTCTCCAGTAGCTGGACAGTAGCTGGAATACATTTTGCTTCTGAATCCATTTGATGTGGCTTAGTTTCCCCCCTCCCCTGAAAGTATATGCAGTATTCTTCCTCCCATTGTTCTGACATTTCATGATTAATGAATACATCTTGGTGTGGGTCTATTGTCATCCACTGTGCTGATACCCTAGAAGATTTTGCAATCTAGAAACCATTCTTTCATTTTGGGAAATACTCTTGAATTATTTAGTTGACGACTTCTTTCCTTTTTTCTTTTTCTTCTGTTTTCTTTTTCTGGAGCTCTTGTTATTCGTATGGTAGGTCTCCTGATCTAGTTCTCTAAATTACTGTATGTTTTGTTTTATTTTCTCATCCCTCAGTTTGTCTATTTGCTTAACTCGCTGTGAGTGTTTCTCACTTTATCTTCCAACCCTTTTATTGAGTTTCTCTATTTTTGGAGCTGGAGTCTTGCTCTGTTGCTCAGGGTGGAGTGCAATGGCACAGTCTCCGCTCACTACAACCTCTTCCTCCTGGGTTCAAGCGATTGTTCTGTCTCAGCCTCCCAAGTAGCTGGGATTACAGGCACACACCACCATGCCCCGCTAATTTTTGTACTTTTAGTAGAAACAGGGTTTCATCATGTTGGCCAGGCTGGTCCCAAACTCATGCCTTAGGTGATCTGTCTGCCTCGTCCTCCCAAAGTTCTGGGATTACAGGCCTGAGCCACTGTGCCCAGCCTAAGCCAGCGCACCTGGCCGAGTTTTTCATTTTTGCTATCATGTTAATAATTTTCAAGGGCTCTTTTTATTTGCTAGTTCTATTTATGTGGTTTCCTGTTTGTTCTAGTCATCTATTGCTATGAGGCAAACCACTTCAAATGTAGTAGGATACAACAATATCATTTTATTTTTTTGCTCACACATTCTGTTGGTCAAGAATTCGGTGAAGACTGGAGTTACTAGGGGCTGTAGTCATCTGATGGCTTCTTCACTCACATGTCAGACATCTGGCTGGGATTACTTGAAAACAGGGTTCAGCTGGAACAGTTGACTAAGGTACCTATATCTGGTCTCTCCATGTGGCTTCTTACAGCATGGAAGCTGGTTCTAAAAGGGAGCCTCTATCTAGAGAGCACATTTTTCAAGACAACTGGGCGGAAGCTGCATGGTTTTACATGACCTTGCCTTGATGGTGACATAGTATTTCTTTTGCCAAACTTTATTGGTCAAACCATAATCATAATGTGTCTGGAGTTGGTTCCTTCTGGAGGGTTCTTGGTCTCACTGACTTTAAAAATGAAGCCGCAGACCTTTGCAGTGAGTGTTACAGCTCTTAAAGGTGGTGTGGACCCAAAGAGTGAGCAGCAGCAAGATTTATTGTGAAGAGCAAAAGAACAAAGCTTCCACAGGCGTGGAAAGAGACCCCAGCGGGTTGCCACTGCTGGCTCAGGTGTCCAGCTTTTTATTCCTTTATTTGGACCCGCCCATGTCCTGCTGATTGGTCCGTTTTACAGAATGCTGATTGGTCCATTTTACACAGTGCTGATTGGTCTATTTTTACAGAATGCTGATTGGTGCATTTACAATCCTCTAGCTAGACACAGAGCACTGATGGGTGTTTTTACAATCCTCTAGCTAGACAGAAAAGTTCTCCAAGTCCCCACTTGACCCAGGAAGTCCAGCTGGCTTCACCTCTCAATCCCCCCTCTAAACAGGACACCCCAACTGCTGTTGGGAATTGGGTGATGACCGCTCTAGCTAATTCCTGCTGGATAAGAGCTAAGAAGAGGCCCTGCAGTTGTAGTGTCCTCCAGAGGGGAACTCTTTAGGCCAGTCAAAAGGCCAGTGGGTCAGTCCAGGGGTCCTCAGTAGAAGTTGTTAGTTGAGCTCATTTGGGGTTCCATTTGTAAGATCATCTGTAGCTTGATGGCCTCAATCCTAGAGGAAACAAATTTGACAAGGAGGTTAAAAATACAGGGCCCGAAGGCAAGTAATAGCAAGATGGCTGTCATGGGACCTAGAAAGGGGAGAAGTCATGTCCACCAACTCCAGAGGTTGGTATAAGAGTTTGAAAGGCGTTGTCTGATTTCAGAAGCCTTTTCCTCTAAGTGCCGGGCAGCATCTCGTACTATCCCTGACTGGTTAGTATAAAAGCAACACTCTTTCCCTAAGAAGGTGCAAAGTCCTCCTTTCTCAGCAGTGAGGAGGTCTAGGCCTCAGCGGTTTTGGAGAGTCACTGCTGCCAAAGAGTCTATTTGGGATTGTAGTTACTATCCTTACTGGATAGATTTTTTATTTCTTGCAAACTGTATGAGAAATCCTTTGAGAGTGTGTGGTAGTAATGAAGTAGATAAACTTGATATTCTGGTTCCTGTAGCAGTGGCCATTTCTAACCCTATACGTAGAGGTATTAGTTGTATGGCCCTGTGCTGACAGACTTGAGCTTTGAGGGGCACTGACAAGGTCTGATTTCCACAAGATTAGAAGTTAGGATAATACACGTTACACTGTTAACGTTTAGCGAACTTTACTTTTGTTGAAAATCTTGTAAGTTTGGGATTTTAATTTTTGTTTGCTATTAATAAAACCTTGTTCAGTCCATAGTAACTTAGAATTGGTATAGATGGCTCCTTCCTGATTCTGTAAGTACTTTAAGGTTTGGCTGAGTGCAAAGAACTCACTTGTTTGAGCAGACCAATTATTAGGCAAGTTTCCTAACTGCAAGAGTTTTCTTATCACTTACTGAATACCCATTGTGTCTTTTCCTGTTCTGAAGGGAGTTCCTCCTAGGTCAGACCTTTGTATGATAATTAGTTAAGATTTAGATCCCCTGTAAGGAAACCTGCTGGGTTAAGGATTTTTGATCAGAAGGCTGTGAGTTGTCAGTGGTCTCAGTGCTTTTGGGCTACGCCCTTGTTTATACTGACAACAAGGTGGTACTGGAGTGTTACAGTGTTACAGGGAAGACCTTCAATTATCAATTATAGGTTTTTAATTTACCCTGGCTTTTAAAGGAATAGATTACACTTTTTTCTTTACTACTTCCATCTCTCTTTCTTTCTCTTTGACTTCTTCTTTGTCTCTCTCTTTTTGACTCCCTCTTTGTCTCTCTTCCTCTCTCTCTTTGACTTTGTCTCTTTCTCTCTCTGACTCCCTCTTTGTCTCTGTCTCTTCCTCTCTCTCTCTCTCTGACTTTCTCTTTCTCTCTTTCCTTACTGCTGGTCTTTCCCTGCCTCTGCCAGCTGCTTATGCTGCTGTTCTCCTCTCCTTCCCCTTTTTGATGGCTTCGGCAGTGTAAGACTGCCACCTCTTTGGGTTTTTGCACTGCATGCAATAACTCCATGATTTCCTTGTGGTATTTAATGGGTGTCCCCCCAGAGGTTAGGAACTCCCTTTCTTTCCATATTGCAGCATGGGCATGTAGGATTAGATAAGCATACTTGCTATCTGTATACAAATTTGTTGTTTTTCCCTTTCCCAGTTTTAAGGCTCGGGTAAGTGCCACTGGTTCTGCTAACTGGGCGCTGGTCCCTGGGGGAAGAGGCTTACTTTCAAGTACTGTTACATCACTAACTGTGGCATAACCTGCCCTTCATATCCCATTCTCCACAAATGAACATCCATTGGTATATAGGTTAAGGTCAGGATTAGCTAAGGGGACTTCTAAGAGATCCTCTTGGGCAGCATAAGTCTGGACAATAATTTGTTGGCAGTCATGCTCAACTGGTTCCCCATCCTCTGGGAGAAAAGTGGCAGGGTTGAGGGCTGCACACGTGCATATTTGAAGCACCGGTCCCTCAAGGAGTAGCGCCTGGTATCTAAGTAGGCAGTTGTCTGATAGCCATGAACTTCCTTTGGCACCTAATATGCCATTTACATCATGAGTAGTCCAGACAGTGAGATCCTTTCCTTGTATTATTTTGATAGCCTCTGACACTAAGACAGCCACCGCCGCAACTATCTGTAAACAGTGAGGCCAGCCTTTTGCTACTGTATCAATTTCCTTACTTAGGTATGCCACTGGTTGTGGGGTTGTCCCATGAGTCTGAGTAAGGACGCTAAGAGCTATTCCTGCTCTGTCTGTGATGTATAAAGAGAAGTTTTGTCCTGTGGGAAGGCTTAAGGCTGGAGCTTGAGTTTGTTCCTTCCAATGCCCAGACTTCAGGGTTGATTCCCTCCTCAAGCAGCGGACAACAAATGGGTAACTTGTTCCCCATATTCATGTAGATAATAGCTCCAGCTATGGATAATATGTCCCTCCCTAATAAAGGTATGGGACTTTCAGGCATAACAAGAAAGGCATGTGGAAAGAGCAAAGTCTCCCAATTACAACTGAGGAGGTGGGAGAAATACCTGGTTACAGGCCATCCCAGGATTCCTCAGATGGTAAGGGACCTTGAGGACAGCTGTCCGGGACAGGAGATTAACACGAGAAAGCCGCACCAGTGTCCAGGAGGAAGTCAATTTCCTGGCCCTCAGTGGTTAAATGTACCCGGGGCTCAGTGAGGGTGATGACATGAGCTGGTGCTTGCCCCGGGCACCCTCAGTCCTTTTGTTGGATTATCTGGTTGGCGGCTTCTGGCCCAGAGAAACTTTGTGCCTTCCAGTGATTTCCGCGGCATAGTGGACACAGATGAGGGGGCAGCTTGTTTCTCGTTGGACAATCTTTTTTAAAGTATTTCTGCAAACCACACTGATAACAAGCCCTACTGGGTGATTGGCCTGCTCCATTTTCTGTCCTCTCTAAACCAGCAAGGTTTGTTTGTCTGAGAGCCATGACTAAGGCTGTGGCCTTTCTCTGATCCCGCTTTTCCTTTTAGGCCTGTTCCTCTTGGTCCCTATTATAGAATACCGAGGTTGCGAGGTTTAATAATGTCTCCAGATTTTGTTCAGGGCCCAGGACTCACTTTTGGAGCTTTCTCCTGACATCTGCAGCTGATTGGGTAATAAACTTATCTTTTAGGATCAATTGACCCTCGAGGGAGTCGGGTGACAGGGGAGTATATTTTCTTAAGGCCTCCCGTAGCCGCTTGAGGAAGGCAGAAGGATTCTCTTCCTTGCCCTGAGTTATGGTGGACATCATTGAATAATTCATGGGCTTTTTCCTAATTCTCCTTCATCCTTCTAGAACACAGGTCAGCAGACGTTTACGACTCCAGTCCCCATGATCTGAGTTGAGGTCCCAGTGGGATCCATACAGGGGATGGCTTGCTGACCGGTAGGGAATTTGTCCCTTTCGTCAGCTGTCATTCTATCATTTACTTGACTAAGATACCAGGTATCTCCAAACTCTCGGGCTGCAGCTGAAGCCACATTCCTTTCATTTAATGGCCCAGAGTTTGATCTAACAATAGCATGACATCTCTCCAAGTGAGATCAAAGGTTTGCCCTAGACCCTGCAGGACATCTATATACCTATCAGGATCATCTGAAAACTTCCCCAGGTCTGCCTTGATCTGCTTTAAGTCAGAGAGGGAGAAGGGGACATGTACCTGGGTTGGGCCAAATTCCCCTCCCCCTACAGCTTGAAGGGGACATAACTGATAGCCTGGGGGTTTTTGTGGTCCTTTGGAGATTTCTTTGCTTGTTTCCTTCTGGGCGGGGGAGATTAGAGGAGGCTCATCATTAATAGGAAGGAGAGCTATAGGGAGGCTAGGATATGGAGATAAGCTGAGAGGTCATCCTGTGGGATATAAATTGCAAGCTTTGCATAGTTGTGGATTCTCCTTCAATGAAAAGAAAGCTTGGACATAAGGTATTTCACTCCACTTGCCTTCCCTTTTACAGAAAATGTCAAGCTGCAGGATAGTATTGTAATTTCTACTTCCCTCAGGTGGACATTTTTCCCCATCAGAGAGAGAATATTGGGGCCAGGCCATAGTGCAGAAAAAAATAAGCCACTTCTTTTTCAGGGTTTGCAGGTCAGATTGTCCCAGTGGCTTAGGATGCATTTCAAGGGTGAGCCTGTTGATGCCTGAGTGTTTCCCATCTGAAAGAAAAAACCACCCGCGGTTTTGGTTTGTTCCCCGCCCCCCACCAAGAACCCATAACGGTCCCTGGACCCTGCTGATTGGAATAGTTGCACTCACCGACACAGCAGCAGAAACACTAGTTTTCCTGCTAGACCACAAGGATGACCGAGGAAGGTCAGATTTAGTGGCCCTTGCTGACGCATTCTTGAAAACCTGCACCCTTGCGTATTCTCCTGGGCCACAAAGAGGACTGAGAAAAATCGGATTTAGTGACCCTTACCAACACATTCTTGAAAACCTGTTAGAGTCCTAAGCATTCTCCTGTTAGTATTGGGACCTTACCCCTGTCCCATAAAGATGTTATGCCCCCAAAATGAAGTGGAGGGCCATACCCTGAGGGAGGGAAGGGATCTCCAGGGTTGGAAGAGTGACACATTTTGTTCTCACTTCTCATCATATGAATAGGAAGGATATCATGTCTGAGGCTCCCCATATCCTAGCTTCAGGAGTAGCTTTTGTTAGGCCTGCTAGTCTGAGAAATAATTTTGGCAAAAATTATTTCTTTCTGATTGGTGAGCCCAGGTGCCTAAAGAAGGGAACAGAGTCCTGAAGTTTATACTAGAAATCATTCTTATAGGAGAAACTAGAAAAGCACCAGAGACAGGGAGTGGTTTTTATAATAGGGACTAGCCTCGGAGAAGAGAGCAAGAAGTTTGTCTGACAGGCTTTAGGAGCCAGGAGGCAAGGGTCAGGATAGATAGGATAGATGGGCGAGTCTCACTTGGGTGATATGACTTGGAGGAGAGTTCCGCTCTTGGCTACAGGGTCAGCCAACTTTCTGTCAGGACCCCGGAGCTGAATGGCTTTCCTCTCTGTCAACCCTGGGCTCAGCCTGGAAGTACAGGAAAAGCGGAAGCTGTTTTCAGGCAAACCAACACTCCCAACTCCAAAGAGTTGGGGGTTGTTAGGTAGCCATTTCCCAGAAAACCTGACACCCGTATCTTTAGTCCGGCAGCCGCACTAGTCGCTTTTAACTGGCCGATAGGTGCCCAGTATTTAGCCACCGAATTCTAAGGAAAAATAGGACAGAATAGCAAGCGAAAGGGGTCCGATGGTACTCACTGCTTGGTGATGGTCCAAGGTCACCAAGATGTGTCCAGCATTGGTTCCTTCTGGTGGATTCTTGGTCTCGCTGACCAAGAATAAAGCCGCGGACCTTTGCAGTGAATGTTACAGCTCTTAAAGATGGTGTGTCCAGAGTTTGTTCCTTCAGATGTGTCTGGAGTCTCTTCTTTCCATTGAGTTCATGGTCTCGCTGACTTCATGAGTGAAGCCGCAGACCTTTGCGGTGAGTGTTACACCTCTTAAAGGTGGTGGGGACCCAAAGAGTGAGCAACAGCAAGATTTATTGTGAAGAGCAAAAGAACAGAGCTTCCACAGCATGGAAGGGGACCAGAGCAGGTTGCCGCTGCTGGCTTGGGTGGCCAGCTTTTATTCCCTTATTTGCTCCCGCCTATGTCCTGCTGATTGGTCCATTTTACAGAATGCTGATTGGTCCATTTTACACAGTGCTGATTGGTCCATTTTTACAGAATGCTGATTGGTACATTTACGATCATCTAGCTAGACACAGAGCACTGATTGGTGCATTTACAATCCTCGACCCAGGAAGGCCAGCTGGCTTCACCTCTCAATAAGGCCACTCAAATTCAAGAGGGAGGGAATTTGACTACTTCTTGGTTGGGGAGTGGCAAGGTCATATAGCAGAAGAAAATGTTGGGTGAAAATATTGGCCTGGCTGTCTTCAGAAAATATATTGTGCCTCATTAATATTTTTTTAACATATTTTTAACTTTATATCCTGAGGATGTTAGTGGTAGTTTTCTATATCCTGAGAATGTTAGTGGTAGTTTTCCTCTCCCTGAACAGTCTGTTTCATTTGACTGTTTGGGGGTCTCCCAGTTTAAGCAAGATATTTAAGCCTTATTTCTCTTGGCATGCTTGGATTCCCCAGTAAAAAAAACTCCTGCCCTGGGCTGACAATCAAAGTTCTGGGAACTAATATGGATAAGCAAGCTGGAAATGGAGAAGGCTATTCACTGTGCCTGGGTCCTACTGTTTTCTGGATGGGAACTGCTTTCCATTAGGCCTGGTGTGCCCTGGAAGGGAGAGCCTCTGCAGAGACTACATCTTGGATGGGTCTTTGCCAAGTTTGAGGTAGAAACCCAGCTGCTTTGTAAAGAGCTACTAGTGGATACTTTGAACAAAACAAAAAACAAAGCAACACCACTCCTCCATCATTCTCCGCATCCCCCCTTCAGAGGGATCCGTGCAACCAGCACCAGTTCCTGCACCCTTTGAAGATCCTGCAGTGTAAATAGAGCTGGTCTGTTCTTTCCCGCCTGTCAGCCTGGGATTTGTGCATATGCTTTTTCAGTTTCCTCTCGTCCATCTGCTTTTCCAGTTTGATTTCTGCCTCCTGTCTCCCTCTCCCTGAGGTCATTTTGTCCATCTTCCCACTCCATTAAGCACTCAGCGGCACCCTGTCTATCTGGTGGTGCTGACTCTCTTTATGTTGGAACACTTTTAGTGACCATATCGTCACCTTAGGGGCACCTGATACCTATCTTCTTTTTCCCTTCCTTGACTAGCTTTCCTTCTTATTGACTATATAAAAGATAAGTATTTATTTTCAGTATTCTTAGAATTTAGTATTTTTGTATTTCTTGGTCTTAAAAGTCAAGTACCAAGAACCATTACTTTCAGGTACTGGCTTTCCTCTGTTCCAACTCACGGTGGAATTATTTCATTTCTCATTTCTTCTTAGGTTATGCGATCTACTTAAAATTATATAGGGTAGTGTCCTCAAGGAAGTCTCCTCTTCCAGGAAAGGACCAGTGTCCACTGAGGGACCTTCTTCAGGACATGCCCCAGGTCAGTTGTTGGATTAGGCAGGCCTTGGGCGAGTGAGGCTTAGTATGGTTTGGGACTTGAGTTTTTCTTGCTTTCCCAGAATTCATGAGCTTTTGTCATTTAGAATGTTTCTTACTCTTCTGTAGTTGTCCTCACTGGCAAATCCCACCAGATATTCTTCAGTGAGTATGCTTCCTGAGTGAAATATAAAGGTGAAGGAACATTGGGCAGAGCAGTATTAACTACCCATGGCCACATTTTTGTTAATTATTTTGGTATTTATTCCTTGTGTGGGTGTGTAATTTTTGGTAAAGTTGCATTAAAATAGTATAGCATGTGCGCATTTTTACTTCCCTTTAAACTTCTTTTCTTCTTGGAAATCTCTTTGGCTATGAAATCTCATTTTCCTTTCACCCTTCTGATTCTTAGCCGAGTTTTACTTAAGAAAACGTTGTATGTCTTGAAATTAGGTTGGTTAATTACAATTCCTTCGAATGATTTGACTTCTGTATTCACCCTGATGATAAATAGACAAAATCAAAAGCATTTTTGACAAAGTAATGCTTTCTCACATATTTAGCTTCTTTATAGACACTTACCCATCTTGTTAAAACCCAAAACTAGTGATTTTACGTTGTAAAAAGCGTTTTTCAAAGCATGTGGGCCATGTAGGATGTAGACGACAGTGGTAAAGACCTATGCCTTTTTTGAGGTGAGATCCAAGTGTTTGGTTTTGAACTTTGTATTTTCTATTTGGATTTCGAGGTGACCCTTTCATGTACCCACATTCCATAAAATCCTGTTTAAGATAATTCTACTTCTCCTGTTTAAAACAAAAAAAAACCCAAGACTCAGCGGTGTCACAATTTGTAACTTAAAATCTGTTTACTTTGGTGAACTTTATTGTTACTATTCTAATAATAGCTTTATTGAATATTCACATACCATAATGTTTACCCTTTTAAAGTAAACAATATGTTCACAAAGTTCTACATCAATCTCTACTATCTACCTAGAGAACTTTCAAAGGAAACCTTTGTACCTACCAGCATTCATTGCCATTCCCCCATGTCCCCAGCCCCTGGCAGACACTCATCTACTTTCTGTCTATATGGATTTGCTTTTTCTGGACATTTAATATAAACAGAATTATAAATGACTATTTCTTAGCCTAATGTTTTCTAGATTATTTATCTACATTGTATGGAACTTGTGTGAGACCTTCATATCTTATTATACCCGTATAATATCCCATTTTATGGATATACCATATTTTGTTTATCCATTCTTCAGTTCACGGTCATTTGGCTTGCTTCCACTATTTTAGCTATTAGTAATGCCATTATGAACATTTGTATACAAGTTTTTGCGTGAATATATGTTTTCATTTTTCTTGGGTATATACCTAATAGTGGAATAGCTAGGTCATATGGTAACTCTAGTTTTAATTTTCTGTGGACCCACCAAACATTCTAAAGCAGCTTCACCAAGCATTTACATTTCTACCAGCAATTTATGATGGTTCCAATTTGTCCACTCAATGAGATAAAAAATACACTAGGGCTGGGTGCAGTGGCTCACCCCTGTAATCCCAGCACTTTAGGAGGCCAAGGCAGGCAGATCACCTGAGGTCAGGAGTTCCAGACCAACCAGGCCAACATCATGAAACCCCGTCTCTACTAAAAATATAGAAATTAGCCAGGTGTGGGGGCGGGTGCCTGTAATCCCAGCTACTTGGGAGGCTGAAGCAGGAGAATTGCTTGAACCCGGGAGCCAGAGGTTGCAGTGAACCAAGATCGCAGCACTGCACTCCAGCGTGGGCAACAAGAGCAAAATTCCAGCTCAAAAAAAAAAAAAAAAAGAAAAAAAGTGTATACACACACACTGTCAGCCTGTCAACACAGTTTTATCATCATAAATTAATGTAGCTGTCTTTTAAATCAGATGGGAAGAGAGTTACAAAGAAAATTACATTCATACTATAAATTTGTCTGTATATATATACCTTTACTGCTGCTTTCTATTTTTTCATGTGGATTTGAGTTGCTGTCTAGAATCTTTTCATTTCTGCCTGAATATCTTCATTTAGTATTTCTTGTAGGGTAAGGCTGCTAGTGATAATTTTTTTTTTAATTTATCTGGGAGTATCCTAGTTTCTCATTGTTTTTGAATGATTTTGCTCATTATAGAATTTTTGGTTAACAATCCTTTTTTTTGAGATGGAGTCTTGCTCTATTGCCCAGGCTGAAGTGCAGTGGCATGATCTTGGCTCACTGCAGTTTCCACCACCCAAGTTCAAGCGATTCTCCTGCCTCTGCCTCTCAATTAGCTGGGATTACAGGCATGCACCACTACGCCCGGCTAATTTTTGTATTTTTAGTAGAGATGGGGTTTCACAGTGTTGGCCAGGCTGATCTCAAACTCCTGACCTCAAGTGATCCGCCCACCTCAGCTTCCCAAAGTGCTGGGATTACAGGCATGAGCCACCACACCTAGCCAACAAACTTTCTGCGCGTTGAATATGTCACTCACTGCCTTTTGGTCTCCATTGTTGTTTATTTGAAGTTGTTAATCATTTTCAGGATTTGTTGTATAATCACTTTTCTTTAACATTTTCAAAATCCTTTGTCCTTGTCTTTCAACAGTTTGATTATGAAATGTCTAGGTAAGGATATCTGAGTTTATCCTCTTTGGCGCTCATTGAACTTCTTGGATGTGCAAATTAATTTTTGTTTCAATATTAATAGACTATTTTTAGAGCAGTTTTCTGTTTACAGACAAATTACACAGAAAGTACAGAGAGTTTCCATTTACCCCCTCACTGTTTCTGCTGTTATTAATATCTTACATTAGTGTGGTACATTTTTTACAATTAAGCCAGTATTTATACATTATTATTAATTATTGATACATTATTTTTTTCAACTATTTTTCTACCTCCCCAAACTTGTTATATAAATTATTATTAAGGGTTCATTCTTTGTGTTGTACATTCTATTTCTTTATTGAAATTTTCTCAATTTGGTTAGATACCATACTCGTGCTTTCTTTCAGTTATTTAG
Organism: Homo sapiens; assembly: GCF_000001405.40. Lineage (NCBI taxonomy): Eukaryota > Metazoa > Chordata > Mammalia > Primates > Hominidae > Homo > Homo sapiens. The sequence goes on from NC_000009.12 coordinate 76,499,992, forward strand.
TTCTTTGAACATATTTATAAGAGCTGATTTCAAGTATTTATTAAATCCAATGCCTGGGCTTCCTTGGGGACATTTTTATTGACTGCTTTTTTTTGTTCCACCCCCCTGTATGTGGACCAGACTTTTGTGTTTCTTTGCATGCCTTGTAATTTTTTTTTTGTTGAAACTGGATAGTTTATAATGTGTCAACCATGGAAATCAGATCTCTACCCCTACCCTGAGGAGGGTTTGTTGTTTTTGTTATTTGTTTAGTGGCTTTCCTGGACCAGTTGTCTAAAGTTTATATTCTTTGTTATTTGAGACCCACTCAAGTTTCTCTCAGTTAGTTAGTGGTCTGCTAATGATTCCATAGAGATTTCCTTATGTGCCTTGAACCAGTAAGGGGCAGGAATTACTTAAAGGCATACTTTTTGTAGTGTTTTGATATTTTAGTGGTTGAAATTCTTATGTTTTGTTACCGAAGCTCCCCGTGGTCGCTTTCTGATAGAGGTGTGGAGTGGGGTGGTGATCAAGATTGTTAGAAGAAAATGAGATGAGCAACAAATTCAGCTTCAGGATTGTCATTAATTTGCCAGTGAGCATTGGGAATCTTCACAGTGGGGGAAAGGATATGTTGGATTTTCTAATCATACTGGACTGTTAAACTGTTCCTTGGTATACATTAAGGGAAATGCTGCTAGAGTTTTCTTTCAAAGAACTTAACCTAAATTTCAGGGTGTTTTCAAATCTTTAGCAATCCACAAACATAGAATTAGAAAAATAAGTAAGACTAGAGAGAAGGAAATTTTAAAAGAGAAAAGTTAACCACCCATAATTTTGAGAAAAAAAAGCAAATATGTAGGATTAGTTCACCAACATATTTTCTGAGTGTGTGAATACTATGTGTCCATATATCCCTTGTCACATTGTTTTTTAATTTCACAGATTTCTTTAAAGACTCGTGCAGCACATCATTATCGCTGGATGCCCGGACATGTAATACACCTGACAGCATGTGAAGTGCTCAGAATGGGGCAGGATGTCACCTGGAATCAGCACTAAGTGATTCAGACTTTCCTTACTTTTAAATGGTAAAAAGTCTAAATACTTTTCTTAACATTATTTTATATTAATGATGGTCAGTTATTCATTTTTATTTGTATTATTACTATTCACAACTCATTTCCTAATGAAATAGTTAAGTTTCTGGCATTAAAAACTCGTGTCAAATCTCTAGAAATCTTGTTATGAACAGATTTATAACGGTCAAATTGGTAGTACTTGACTTTCTTTTTTTAGAACAGCAGCGCTTATCAGCTGTAGAACCAATTGCCAAGTTATAAAATTGATTTTTGAAAACAAAGCTATTTAATGTTTGTAAGCATTTCATATAGTAAAAGTGGGTTGTGTTCCTGGAATTTGAATATAGATGAAGGTCTGTCATAAATTACAATTTGTATACACTATTGTTTTCTGCAAGACTTAGTTATTACAGTCTGTTATAACTAATGCAGAAAACGCAAGCTGTATCTCTCTTTTGGATTATGAATACTTTGTTTTCTTGTAGTTTCTGGCATGGAACTAAACTCATTGTGGGACTAACCCAACACAGTCCCAAACGGGGCTTTGTTTCATCTGAGCCTTTTCAATCCAATTTGAAAATTCTGTTGACTTGCCCTTCCTTCAAAGATTCTTAGAAGTCACAACCATTTCCAAACTTCTCCCTAAGTATGCCCCAAATCCTAAATCAGCAAAAAGCAGAATGGATCTGATCTCTTTTAGGGCTGCTGACACCAGCTAATGGACATTAAAACATGTCAGGAGGAACTTAAATTACTAACGATTTCAAGAACAAGGGGTGGTAATTCTGGCACAGTGTCAGAAACTCATCAACTATAGACTGTTCAATCATTATTGCCTAGGCGTCCAACTATGGTTTTGCACCTCAACATACCAAAGAGGTAAAATGCTTGTTGTTAGATATTCTAGTGCATCCATGTACTGGGATTTGGGGTTTGTTTTTTCTTTTGTTTTCTTTTTCAATCTGTGGTATAAATACTAGAGACTGTGGGCTTCCTGTACTACTACAATTTATCCTCTGATTCAGCCACTTTGTTTTTGTTTTAAACCTAACCTCATAGCAAAGAGGACAGTTTTTTGAGCCTGAGAAGATTTATTGTGAAAAACTCTCTCTCTCTCTCTCTCTCTGTATATATATATATATATATATATATTTATTTATATTTATAATTGCTTCTTTTATTTCAGTGCTGCTCTTCATTTCAAGATGCCGTTGCAGCTCTGATAAATGCAAACTGACAACCTTCAAGGCCACGACGGAGGGAAAATCATTGGTGCTTGGAGCATAGAAGACTGCCCTTCACAAAGGAAATCCCTGATTATTGTTTGAAATGCTGAGGACGTTGCTGCGAAGGAGACTTTTTTCTTATCCCACCAAATACTACTTTATGGTTCTTGTTTTATCCCTAATCACCTTCTCCGTTTTAAGGATTCATCAAAAGCCTGAATTTGTAAGTGTCAGACACTTGGAGCTTGCTGGGGAGAATCCTAGTAGTGATATTAATTGCACCAAAGTTTTACAGGGTGATGTAAATGAAATCCAAAAGGTAAAGCTTGAGATCCTAACAGTGAAATTTAAAAAGCGCCCTCGGTGGACACCTGACGACTATATAAACATGACCAGTGACTGTTCTTCTTTCATCAAGAGACGCAAATATATTGTAGAACCCCTTAGTAAAGAAGAGGCGGAGTTTCCAATAGCATATTCTATAGTGGTTCATCACAAGATTGAAATGCTTGACAGGCTGCTGAGGGCCATCTATATGCCTCAGAATTTCTATTGCATTCATGTGGACACAAAATCCGAGGATTCCTATTTAGCTGCAGTGATGGGCATCGCTTCCTGTTTTAGTAATGTCTTTGTGGCCAGCCGATTGGAGAGTGTGGTTTATGCATCGTGGAGCCGGGTTCAGGCTGACCTCAACTGCATGAAGGATCTCTATGCAATGAGTGCAAACTGGAAGTACTTGATAAATCTTTGTGGTATGGATTTTCCCATTAAAACCAACCTAGAAATTGTCAGGAAGCTCAAGTTGTTAATGGGAGAAAACAACCTGGAAACGGAGAGGATGCCATCCCATAAAGAAGAAAGGTGGAAGAAGCGGTATGAGGTCGTTAATGGAAAGCTGACAAACACAGGGACTGTCAAAATGCTTCCTCCACTCGAAACACCTCTCTTTTCTGGCAGTGCCTACTTCGTGGTCAGTAGGGAGTATGTGGGGTATGTACTACAGAATGAAAAAATCCAAAAGTTGATGGAGTGGGCACAAGACACATACAGCCCTGATGAGTATCTCTGGGCCACCATCCAAAGGATTCCTGAAGTCCCGGGCTCACTCCCTGCCAGCCATAAGTATGATCTGTCTGACATGCAAGCAGTTGCCAGGTTTGTCAAGTGGCAGTACTTTGAGGGTGATGTTTCCAAGGGTGCTCCCTACCCGCCCTGCGATGGAGTCCATGTGCGCTCAGTGTGCATTTTCGGAGCTGGTGACTTGAACTGGATGCTGCGCAAACACCACTTGTTTGCCAATAAGTTTGACGTGGATGTTGACCTCTTTGCCATCCAGTGTTTGGATGAGCATTTGAGACACAAAGCTTTGGAGACATTAAAACACTGACCATTACGGGCAATTTTATGAACAAGAAGAAGGATACACAAAACGTACCCTTATCTGTTTCCCCTTCCTTGTCAGCATCGGGAAGATGGTATGAAGTCCTCTTTGGGGCAGGGACTCTAGTAGATCTTCTTGTCAGAGAAGCTGCATGGTTTCTGCAGAGCACAGTTAGCTAGAAAGGTGATAGCATTAAATGTTCATCTAGAGTTAATAGTGGGAGGAGTAAAGGTAGCCTTGAGGCCAGAGCAGGTAGCAAGGCATTGTGGAAAGAGGGGACCAGGGTGGCTGGGGAAGAGGCCGATGCATAAAGTCAGCCTGTTCAAAGTGCTCAGGGACTTAGCAAAATGAGAAGATGTGACCTGTGCCAAAACTATTTTGAGAATTTTAAATGTGACCATTTTTCTGGTATGAATAAACTTACAGCAACAAATAATCAAAGATACAATTAATCTGATATTATATTTGTTGAAATAGAAATTTGATTGTACTATAAATGATTTTTGTAAATAATTTATATTCTGCTCTAATACTGTACTGTGTAGTGTGTCTCCGTATGTCATCTCAGGGAGCTTAAAATGGGCTTGATTTAACATTGTTTTTGTGTTATTTTTGCTTGAAACAACGCACACATTTTCAACAACCAAAAAATGACAATTTCTAGTTTAGTTAATTTCTACAAATCATCTTATGTTATTAGCAAGGTTAAGACATCTTTTTTAAAAAAATTATAGCTTCTACCAAGAGAAACACTCAATTTTTCTAGAGATTTGCCTCTATCTTCCTTTCCTCAGTCTTCCCAGACTGCTATCAAGCTGTGTAAAAATTTACTTTCACTGGACCCTAAATTATTGTCTCTGCTATCTGACTGCCAGTAATTAGTGCAGAAAACTAAGACAGGATGATACAGGTTTGAGGGGCTGGGGAGTGGGAGGGGGGAGAAAAGGAATGTATTTAAACAATTTCCGATGCCCATGATGAGTTTAAAAACCAGCATTGACACCATCCCCAAAATTAAGGCTGTCGCTTATTGAATCCACTTGTGTCCAACCTCCCAGGATTGTTTTATCCTAATGTCACCTGTATATTCATTTGAAAGGACTTGGCCCTGTTCTTGGGTCTTCCCGTTACCTGCCCCCTGGGTGGTAAGTTTCCTCCTTTCTCAACCTTCCACGAGGAGGAAAGAAGTGTGCAGTCATTCCACATGGCCTGTTGGAAGGCCTGGGGAGGGAACTTTGGGTTTGGGACAGATTTTTTTTTTTGTTTTTGGTATCATTCACAGCATACGATTTTTACTCTCTCCATCTTCACCATAAGACAGATAATTTGGGGTTGCTATAATGCTGTCACACATCTCAAAGTACATTCAAATCTTAAAAAGAAATTCTCGTACTTTTGCCATGTTGATACTGTTCAGCAAACAAGCTACCAGGAACTGTGAGGCTTTGTCATTTAGCATTAGACTTTAAACAAGAATTAAAATCATGTGCTGTATTTTTAAAATCTAGCCAAATTAAATAGTACATGAGAAATTCAGAGTATTAGACAGTTTTAAGGCATTCAACTGAGAAAACTTTATTTGTCAAAGTCAGAAAACATTTTCATCTTATTGAGAGATATGTTTTTAAACTTTTATCATCATTTGTAAATGTGGAAGTTGGTGGATTGCTGTGTTTTTGCATGATTAGCATGGGAGTCTGTTGGAGCAAGAGGAACATGCTTGTTTTGAAAACTCGAGATGATGAGGGTGGTACATGCAGTGTGTTCTCTCTTTATTGGCTTCTAAACCAGTTTTGTCCTTTAATGCATGTCAAATATTTCTCCCATGCTTCTCTTAGCAGAAAAGTTTTTACCTATAAGACAGGGCACCTTTTAACTCTAAAACTAGTGATACTCAGTGACATAGACTTTGTCTTATAAACATTTTTTCATTTTTTATTTTGAAAAATTGCAAATCTACAGCAAAAGTAAAACAGTAGAGTGAACACCATGTAACCCTCACCTGGTGTTAACATTGTACCCTATTTGCTTTAAGTTGTATGTATTTCTGAACTTGGCAAAATTGGAAATTAAAATTTTTAAAAATTACAAATATACAAAGTTATTTATCTTAGCACATTTATTATGTGTGACTGCATCTGATTTATATTTAAATTGGCAGGTTTTGAGGGATTTTTTTCTTCATCATAAATGTAAACATAGGATTTTAGAGTCTATTTCCCCAAGCGCCACATTATAACTGTAAACTTACCATCTTCTATGTAGCTGTGATATCTCATCTTTCTAAAATGGAACTTGTTAAAAAGTGTTCAAACACTATCCCTAATGCCTGCGGCAGAATTTATATACGATCCATTCATTGGGGCTCAAAGTATCTTTTAGACTTTTAAGGACAATTTACAGCAAATGAAATTTATGATGCTGTGACAAGAAATTTAAAGAATCAAAACGATGGTTTGAAAAGGAAACCTATGATACATGCAGGAGAAGCAAAACCCAAGTGATTGGTGAGAAATATAGAAATTATTTAAATTACTTTATAGTAATTATTAAACACTAATTTTTGTACTGTCATTGAAGGTGTTTTATAGAGAAATCTGAGAAATCACATTCACAAATTAGAAGTCAAACATGGCCAGGCACAGTGGCTCACACCTGTAATCTTCAGGATTTCAAGACCAGCCTAGCCAACATGACGAAACCCCATCTCTACTGAAAATAGAAAAAAAAAATTAGCCAGGCTTGCACCTGTAATCCCAGTTACCTGGGAGGCTGAGGCAGGAGAATCTCTTGAGCCCAGGAGGCGGAGGTTGCAGTGAGCTGAGATGCCACCACCACACCAGCCTGGGTGACAGAGTGAAACTCGTATCTCCAAACAAACAAACAAAAAGTCCTTAAACATATGTGAACAAAAATTTTGTGATGGAAGGATTCTAGTTAATGAGTATTGCATCAAGATTTACATCTTTCTTACTAAGGAAAAGAGTTAATAAAAATTGTTCTTTATTTTACAGGCAGTTACTGAGGCTCTTCCCAGATCTCAGTAAACAGCCACTCAGCCTTGAAAATGGAGTGTTGTTGTTTCTAAACATATATTTATGTCATTTATTAAGTACAGTTCACTTAAATAACATAAGTAGATTTTCTCTTGTAGTGATTTGGGTAGGAAGAGGCCATGTTTCAGTTCGTTTTCTCTGTAGGGTCGATTGAATTGGACCTTTTCAGTTGTTCAGAAAAATAAAAATAATTTCTCATATTAAATACAGACGCTCCTCAACTTATGATGTGGGTAGGTCCCAGTAAACCCATTATAATTTGAAAATATCACATTGAAAATGCATTTAATATCTCTTACCTGAAATCATAACTTAGCCAAGCCTACCTTAAATGTTCTCAGAACATTTAGCCTGCAGTTGGGCAAAACCATTTAACACAAAGCCTATTTTATAATGAAGTGTTGAATAGCTCATGTTATTTACTGAATACTGTTGTGAAAGTGAAAAACAATGATTGTATGGGTACTCAAAGTATAATTTCTACTGAATGCATATCACTTGTGCACTGTTGTAAAGCTGAAAAACCGTTAAGCCTCTACGATTTTTAAGTAAGTTGGGGACCATCAGTTTAAAATAAATGCAATACTATTTCATGATAAACATGGTCACTGTAAGTTTTACTCTTTTGAATGAGGGTGCGACAGAATGCAGTTAGAATCAGTTCATATCACCATTAAAATCATCCATTCAGAAACCAAGGCCTTGTCTGCAGAAATTTTTTATTCCTTTTTCTGTTAGCAACCAGCACTCAAACGTTAAATTTGGTAGTTGATGTACTTTGTAACAAATGAGTGTGTGCAAGTAGTGATTAAAAATAAGATTCATTCTCAAGGCACAAATGTCAGAGGGGAAGAGAGTATCTCAAAAAACAAACTAACACAGAGTATGCAAAAAGATTACTGGGAGGCTTTAGAAGTATGCAATTGAATGGCCAGTATTGCATTCTAGGACATTAGACACTTCAACTGTGTCTACTGAAGAAAGAGAACAGTTTTCCAGTTAGTAGCATAGGTTAATAGGAGCTATCACCTGCTGTTGGTTTGAATGTGATGGGCACAGCTGAGGGAAAAGGGACCCCATGCCCCCAATATTGAGTGCCTTCTCCAGATATTGTCACACCGGATCTATTAAACACTTCGAGGTGTTCTTTAGCCCTAAATTAGATGAAACATTCTAGAAAGTGGCAAAATTGATGAATTTCAGATTTTTCTCTAAAGCTTGAGAGCTTTACATATCCTTTATAAGCCTGCTTGTGAAAGATATTGTTTTTAATACATGCTTTAATGTTTTCAGGGCTTGTCATCAGAATATTGATACAATTTTTTTTAATGCAGTAGGACCCAAACTAGAAATGAATTACAACTATTGGGAAAGAAAAAACTATTGTTATTATTGCAGATGATATAATGGTCCAAGTAGAAAGCCTGGGAATCTCATCTTAGAATTAATATGAAATTAGCAAAAACCTCCAGATATCCAAAAGTTAATAGACAAAGGTAGCTTTAAGATATAATTGTAGTATATCACCATTTGTTGTGGCAACAAGCTTTGTCACATTTATAGACAAACTGAGCATGTGTGCAGAAACTATACAAAGATAACAGAAGACCTGTATAGATGGAAAAATACACTGCTCCTAGCTGATAAAATGATTTTTTTGTTTGTTTTTTGTTTTTTGTTTTTTTGAGACAGAGTTTCACTCTTGTTGCCCGGGCTGAAGTGCAATGGCATGATCTCGGCTCACCACAACTTCCGCCTCCTGGGTTCAAGCAATTCTCCTGCCTCAGCCTCCGGAGTAGCTGGGATTACAGACATGTGCCACCATGCCTGGCTAATTTTGTATTTTTAGTAGAAACGGGGTTTCTCCATGTTGGTCAGGCTGGTCTCAACCTCCCGACCTCAGGTGATCCGCCCGCCTTGGCCTCCCAAAGTGCTGGGATTACAGGCGTGAGCCACTGTTCCCAGCCCTAAAATGAAATATTTTAAACATTTCTTCTATTTGTGAATTAACTGAATGCAAGTCTATTAATGTTCTCAATGGCTTGAGAGTATCCTAAATTTCATCTGAAAGATGTGCAAGAATAGGAATATTTTGAAAGGAAAGTCATGAAGTCTTAAGATACTAGATATAAAACCATATTTCACAGCTAAAAAATATTGAAAATGTACTAATAGTTTACATTTGAACCCTTAGACCAAGGCAGTAGTAGCCCCGAAATAGATGTGAGTATAAATAAAATGTTCCAAAAATCCTAGGAACATAAGGAAGGTAAACTTTTGGAGAATACTAGATTATGGCTTTATAATGTACACCAAAATCCAGATGAAAAATATGAAAATAAGCTAGAAGAACATACTAGTGACTATCTTTGGATGGGTGACTGAATTTTCCAAATAAAAGCAATAAGATTCATTAAGGAGCAGATTATATATTTAAAAATATATATCTTCTGAATATGAGAAAGTAAAAGGCAAATGAGATTAGAACATTTGCCTACAGATTTTGGAAGAGGGAGGCTTAATACCTTAATATGGAAATGATTTATGCTAATATTTAAAACCAGTTATATTGAGATAATTCACTTATACAGTTTACCCATTTAAAGTGTATATCTAAGTGGTTTTTATTATAACCATTACCACAATCCATTTTATTTTTATTTGTATTTTAAATATGGAGACAGGTTCTCACTATGTAGCCCAGGCTGGTCTCAAACTCCTGAGCTCAAGCGATTCTCCCACCTCAGCCTCCCAAAGTGCTGGGATTACAAGCATGAGCCACCACGCCTGGCCCATAATCAATTTTAGAACCTCTTCATCACCCCAAGAAGAAACCTTGTACCCTTTATAGTCACTCCCCACAACTCCCTCATACTAACATAGTTGTTTTTTTTTTTTTTTTTTTTGAGACGGAGTCTCGCTCTGTCGCCCAGGCCGGACTGCGGACTGCAGTGGCGCAATCTCGGCTCACTGCAAGCTCCGCCTCCCGGGTTCACGCCATTCTCCTGCCTCAGCCTCCCGAGTAGCTGGGACTACAGGCGCCCGCCACCGCGCCCGGCTAATTTTTTGTATTTTTAGTAGAGACGGGGTTTCACCTTGTTAGCCAGGATGGTCTCGATCTCCTGACCTCATGATCCACCCGCCTCGGCCTCCCAAAGTGCTGGGATTACAGGCGTGAGCCACCGCGCCCGGCCCATAGTTTTTAAACATGAAGACTCCAAGAGAAAAATGAACAAAGGATGTAACAATTCATAGAAGTACAATAAGAAATGGAAATGGCTAATATGAAAAATTATAATTCAATAAAGATGATTCAAATTAAAAGAAAATTTCTGTATCAAATTACCAGTTTTGGTGTTTGGTTTTTTAAAATATCCTTGATACTTGAGAGACCATATTGAGAAATAAGACTACATATAATGTGATCTCATTTATGAAAACTATTGAACAGAAAGGAGCATTCAGAATTTCCTGAAGTCACATCTTCATATTTTGAGAATGACTCCTTCCAGCTCCATAAAATTGTTGCCAAATATGTATTTGGAGCTTTTTCCACATATGGTTTGCCTTAGGGAGTCTTATGCTCCCCAGCCCCAGCCTTTATTTAGGGGAGGAAGGAGCCATGATTTCTCTCCTCTCACCTACTGACAGGCATGTTTTAGATGTAACCATTAGTGCTTAGCCGTGTCAAGGTCCTATACTCTGATTAACCTTGTAAGATAGCCCCATTGTATACCCACAGTGAAGAGAACCTTTTGCAGCAGTAGCCTGAATAACCAATCCTATAGGCCACTGGCACTCTCCATCTGACTACAAGAGCTGAGGATGATTAGATTGGCAGCAGTTTTGCCTCTAGCTCCTTGGAACGTATCTATGGGATTTCATTTTCTGATATCCAATACATGTTGATTTAATTGCTTGTTAGGTGAGGGTGGCCTGTTTCCTTGAGCTGCATGCCAGTGGGAAACATATGTTCCCCTTCAGCAGGAGGACTCCAGAAGATTCATACTCTCCAGTAGCCTCCATCCGAACATATGACTGTGGGAGTAACTTGGATGAGCAGTATTGGTGCAGGAGGAGGATCTTGTTTAACTAGATAATTTTGTGCATTTCATATGAAGGTTTATTGACCTTTAAGATATAGAAACCGGTGTTTTTTGTTTTGTTTTGTTTTAATTTCTGCAAAACACGGATACCACTATCACTGGCTTAAACATTATTGGGTATTTATAATTTATTTCCTTTGCCATTAGACTCATTAGTAAACGCTTCCTGGCGCAGTTAGAATTCCCTTAATTGACTTGATGCAAAGAAGATGTGTTTTCTCTTCAGGAAAGCTTTTCGTGCCCCTCCACTCAAAGGAGAATGCCCCTTTAAGTATGTTCCTCAAAGCCCACTGCGCTAATCATGGCAACAGCTGGCATTTGTTGAGCATTTACTTATTGCATGTTCAAAGCACTTTGCATGTATTACCTCCTTTCACTCCATAACAACCTTGGGAATGGGCACTACTTATAAAAAATTGGCCCAATTTACAAAAGAGCAAAGAAAGGCATGAATCCATAATAAACGCTTGAAAAAATGTTTTTCTCTGATCCATTCATCTCTATTTTACCATTTTAACCATCCACCTTCTTCCCCAGAACCTGGCCTGCTGTGAGTGCAGCACATCTCTTTGAGACAGGGTGTCACTCCATTGCCCAGACTGGAGTGCAGTGGCACGATCACGGCTCACTGCAGCCTGGACTTTCTGGGCTCCAGCAATCCTCCCACCTCAGTCTCTAGAGTAGCTCAGACCACAGGCATGCGCCACCATGCTTGGCTAATTTTTGTATTTTTTTTTTTTTTATAGAAATGGGGTTTCGCCATGCTGCCCAGGCTGCTCTCAAACTCATGAGCTCAAGCCATCCACCCGCTTCAGCCTCCCAAAATTCTGGGATTACAGGCGTGAGCCACCACGCCTTGCCTGCATTTCTTGTTTAAAGCAAGATGTGCTGGCTGGGCGCTGTGGCTCACGCCTGTAATCCCAGCACTTTTAGAGGCCAAGGCGGGCAGATCACCAGGTCAAGAGATCGAGACCATCCTGGCCAATGTGGTAAAACTCTATCTCTACTAAAATTACAAAAATCAGCTGGGCATGGTGGCGTGCGCGCCTGTAGTCCCAGCTACTCAGGAGGCTGAGGCAGGAGAATCGCTTGAACCCGGGAGGCAGAGGTTGCAGTGAGCCAAGATTCCATAATGCCTTGAGAAATAAAAGGGATAGAAACAGAATTAATCCACTAGTCTTACTGAAACCACCCAAAGGGTGTGTGGAGAGAAAGAGGAGAGAAAGGAGGAAGAGCAGTAAGCACCAAGTGGATGAGGGCAGGCGGAAGGCAGGCTCAGGGAAAGGGGAGAAGCAGGAGAAGAGCAGGGCTTAGAAGCTATCAGAGGTTCCTTAGCAAATATGAATATACAATGAAGTATTATTATTATTGTCACCATGCTGTACATTAAATCCCCAAAACTTATTCCCTTATAACTGAAAGTTTGTACCGATTGACCCAAATCCCCCATTTTCCCCATCCCCCCCCACGCCCAGCCGCTGGCAACCAACTTTCTACCTTTGTTTCTATGAGTTTGACTTCTTTAGATTCCACATGTAAGTGGGGTCGTGCAATATTTGTCTGTGTCTGGCTTATTTCACTTGACAGAAAGTCTTTTAGGTTCATCCATGTTGTCATAAACAGCAGGATTTTCTTATTTTTCATGGCCAAATAATATTCCATTGTGTACATGCATGTGTGTGTTTGTGTGTCACATTTTCTTTATCCATTTAGCCATCAACACACACTTAGGTTGTTTCCATATCTTGGTTATTGTGAGTAACGCATCAATGAACATGGGAGTGGAGAGCAGATATCCTTTTGACATACTGATTCATTTTCTTCGGTTATATGCCTAGAAGTGGGATCGCTGGATTATGCAGTAGTTCTATTTTTTAGTTATTTGAGGAAGCTCTATACTGTTTTCCATAATGGCTGTACCAATTTACAATCCCACCAACAGTGTTCCCAGTCCTACCACATTCTTGCCAATGCTTGTTATTATTTGACTAATACTAGCTATCCTAACAAGTGTGAGGTGATTTCTCATTGTGGTTTTAAGCTGCATTTTCCTGATATTGAGGTTTTTTTCTTTTTTTTCTTTTTTTTTTTTTAAGAAAACGGTTCTCACTCTGTCACTCAGGCTGGAGTGCAGTGGTGGCATGATCATAGCTCACTGCAGTCTCCACTTCCTAGGCTCAAGTGAGCCATCCCCCTTGGCCTCCCAAAGTCCTGGAATTACAGGCATGAGTCACTGTGCCTGACAAGCAGTTTTTAAATATATCTTTTAGCCATTTGTATGTCTTATTTGAAGAGTGTTTATTCAGGTCCTTTGTCCATTTTTTATTGGATTATTTGGGGGTTTTTGCTATTGAGTTGTATGAGTTCCTCATATATTTTGGATATTAGCCCTCTATTGGATATATGGTTTGCAAATATTTTCTCCCATTCTGCAGATTACACTTTACTTTTGTTGACTGTTTCCCTTGCTGTGCAGAAAGTTTTTAGTTTGATGGAGTCCCCCATGTTTATTTTTGCTTTTGTTGCCTGGGCTTTGGGGCCATAATCATAAAATCTTTGCCAAGACCACTATCAAGAAAATTTTCCCCTATGTTTTCTTCTAGGATTTATTGGGTTTCATGTTTGATGTTTAAGTCTTCCACCTGTTTTTTTTTTTTTTTTTTTTTTTTGAGATAGAGTCTCGCTCTGTTGCTCAGGCTGGAGTGCAGTGGTGCCATCTTGGTTCATTGCAACCTCCCTCCCAGGTTCAAGTGATTCTCCTGCCTTAGCCTCTCAAGTAGCTGAGATTATAGGCGCCTGCCACCACGCCTCACTACTTTTTGTATTTTTAGTAGAGACAGAGTTTCACCATGTTGGCAAGGCTGGTCTTGAACTCCTGACTCAAGTGATCTGCCCACCTTGGCCTCCCAAAGTGCTGGGATTACAGGCGTGAGCCACCACACGTGGCCCTTTTACCCATTTTGAGTTGACTTTTGTGTATGGCGTAAGATGAGGGCCCAATCTAATCTTCTGCATTTGTATACCCAGTTTTCCCAGTACCACTTATTGAAGATATTGACCTTTCCCCATTGTGTGTTCTTCATACCTTGGTTGAAAGTGAGTTGGCCTTAAATGCATGGATTTGTTTTTGGGTTCTCTATTGTGTTCCGTCGGTCTATGCATCTGTTTTTATGCCAGTACTGTGCTGTTTTGTTAACTATAGCTTTATAATAAACCTTGAAATCAGGTAGTGGGATGCCTGCAGCTTTGTTTGTCCTCAGGATTAATTTGGCTATTCAGAATCTTTTGTGGTTGCATATGAATTTTAAGGTTGCTTTTTCTATTTCTATAGAAAATGTCATTGGAATTTTGATAGGAATTGCATTGAATCTATGAATTGCTTTGGGTAGTATGGACATTTTAATAATATTTGTATCCTGCAACTTTACTAAATTTGTTTACTAGTTCTGACAGCTTTTTGGTGGAGTCATTAGGGTTTTCTATATACAGGATCATGTCATCTGCAAATTGAAACAATTTTACTTCTTTCTTTTGATTTGGATGCATTTCATTTCTTTTTCTTGCCTAATTGCTCTGGCCGGGTCTTCTGGTAGTATGTTGAATAGAAGTGGTGAGAGTGGAAATTCTTGTCTTGTTCCTAATCTTGGAAGAAAAACTTTCAGCTTTGCACCATTGAGTGTGATGTTAGCTGTGGGCTTGTCATATACGGCCTTTATTATTTTGAGGTACATTCCCTCTATACCTAATTCATTGAGAGTTTTTTAAATCACAAAACAATATTTAATTTTTTCAAATGTTCTTTCTGCATCTCTTGAGATCATCATTTTCATCCTTCATTCTGTTAATATGGTATATCACATTTATTGATGTGTGTACACTGAACCATCCTTACATCCTCATGATAAATCCCTCTTGATCATGATGTATGATCCTTTTAACGTGTTGTTGAATTTGGTTTACTAGTATTTTGTTGAGGATTTTTACATTTATGTTCATCAGCAATGTTGACCTATAGTTTTCTTGTTTTGTAGTGTCCTTGTCTGGCTTCAGTATCTGAGCAATGCTATTCTCATAAAATGAGTTTTAGAAGTGTTATCTTTTCAATTTTTTTTGAAAGAGTTTGGGACAAATAGATATTAATTCTTCTTTAAATATTTGTGAAGCTCTCTGGTCCTTGGCTTTTCTTTCTTGGGAGATTTTTGATTACTGATTCAGTCTCCTTATACATTATTGGTCTGCTGAGATTTTCTATTCTTCATAATTTAATTTTGGTAGGTGGTATGTTTCTAGTAATTTGTTCATTTCTTATAAGTTATCTAATTTATTGGCATATAATTATTCATAGTTGTCTCTTATGATCTTTTGAATTTCCGTGGTATGAGTTGTAATGTCTCTTCTTTAATTTAAAATTTTACTTGAATTCTCTCTTTTCCTAAATTAGTCTAGCCAAGGGTTTGTCGACTTTCTCTTTTCAGAAAACCAACTCTTAGTCTCATTGATCTTTCTACTGTTTTTCTATAATAGTCTCTATTTTCTCTATTTTATTTTTCCTGCTCTAATTTTTGTTATTTTCTTCCTTTGCTAACTTGAGGCTTGGCCTATTATTCTCTTACCTCCTTGAGGTATAAAGTTAGGTTGTTTAGTTGAGATATTTCATTTTTCTTAACGTAAGTTTTTTGATTTTTTGCTTGTTTGTTTTTAAGACAGGGTCTTGCTCTGTTGCCCAGGCAGAAGCACAGTGATGTGATCATGGCTCACTGCAGCCTCAACCTCCTGAGCTCAAGTGATCCTTCCATCTCAGCCTCCCAAGTAACTGGGACCACAGGCAGATGCCACCATGCCCAGGTAATTTCTTAATTTTTGTACAGAGGAGGTCTCACTATGTTGCCCAGGTTTGTCTCAAACTCCTGGGCTCAAGCAATCCTCCCATCTCAGCCTCTCAAAGTGCTGGGATTACAGGCATGAGCCACCATGCTTGGCCTCAATATTTGTTGCTCGTTCAGTATTTACTGCTATAAACTTCCCAGTGAAAGGAGATTTGAAGGGTGGTTTTAACCTTCTCCTTTATCTTAGGTGATCAATCACCTCAATTTACCCTGGACTGTGGAGGTTTCTGGGATACTGGGTTTGGGATGCTAAAATCAGAATAAGTTGGTCATCCCATCTTTATCTTCCCCCTAAATATCCAGTATAATATACATCAGTGCTTTAAAATGGAATTTATGTTTTATGGGCATTAGCAATTCAGAAATGTGCCTGTACACAGGCAAAGGGAAAGAACAGGGGAGCCACAAATAGGCTTAGCCACATACAGGTGATACACTCACACTTAGAGTATTGGGCACCAACAGGCGAAATTTCTGATTAAGAAGAGAATTATAACTGAGCAGAGCATTGGAGGACATCCTCTTATGGAACCTGAGAAGCCTAACCCAAACTATTTGCAGCCAGGTCACCTACCTCTGAAGGGGTCTTGGTGGATGGTTAGAAATCAGCATAAGTTTAATAAAGCTGGTTCCCGTTATCACACATCAACACACATCCTGAATTATACCTAGCAAACTTTGCAGCTTCTACTTTGGAAAATCCTTCCACAGTCTATCCAGGTACTGAAGCTGCCAAACCGAGCAGTGTCCTTGAATGTTCCTGTCTCCTCACACCCACTTACTAAGGCCTCTCTCCTTCACAGTGACTCCGTTCACATGCTCCCGTCTTGTCATCAAGCCCTGTTCATCTCTCACCATCTCTCACCTGGACCATTGCCAGTTTCTGAGCT
Organism: Homo sapiens; assembly: GCF_000001405.40. Classification (NCBI taxonomy): domain Eukaryota; kingdom Metazoa; phylum Chordata; class Mammalia; order Primates; family Hominidae; genus Homo; species Homo sapiens. The sequence goes on from NC_000009.12 coordinate 76,516,601, forward strand.
GCCTGCTCTTGAATACCAGCTTCCTGAAAATATCACCAAAACGATCTGGTCCTCAGACAAAGCAGAGTCTATTGCTCACTGCAGTAACAGAGAGCTCCGTCTTCAGAGTCTTGGTAACATTTCGCTGAGAGGACAACCCAATCACACTGTTTAGGAGATTTTGGATTCTGACTAAGGTGAGTCTGACAATGTGGGGTCTTGGCAAATAATCATGATGAAATAGTTTAAGATGAGAAGACACAGCAAAGTAAGGATTTTGAGGCAAAGGGTTCAAACAATCTTAGAGTATAAACTGCTTTTTATTGATGTAACTCTGAAGATGTTCCTGGAGTAAAAAAAGGAAGTTATTTGCAAATTTTACCTCCAGGGTGAGAGCTTCTGGAATAAGAAATTTCTGCTGATGAAGATCGTAAACTGTGTGGGTGTAGCTGGTTTTGCCTGTCACCTCCATGCCTCCTATCTCAAACTCTTCCACTTCGTTAGCAACAGCAACAATAATAACAATAGTTACAATATGAGTAGCAGCAAATATTTAGCTCTCATTAAATGCCAAGCACTGTCCTAAGCATTTTACAAATACTGTCTCATTAAAGTTCGCCATAATCCTATGGTATTGGCACTATTTTTGTCCACATTATACAAATGTAAACACTGAAGCAGCTTAGAGAGGACAAGTTATTTGACCAAGTCACACAGTACCTTCCCACTGTCAGAGTTCTATCAGAAATGAAAATTTGATAATTGCACACTCTTGCATAAACTTTTTCAAAGATTCCCTGTTGCCTAAAACATAAAAATCTTGATTTCTTCAAATGGTACACAGAACACTCCATGATCTGGCCTCAGTCCCACCTCTCCAGTCTTCTTTATTGTATAGGTTGCTCTACCCATTCCTGGACCACACATGATGCTGTTTCACGTCTTCATGAATCGTGCTCATTTGGAGTTTTTACTCCTGGTATCTACTCATCATCCATCTAATAAAACAGTAGCCTGGGGAAACAGTCTCTTCCCTCACTTTCAGCCTGTTTGCATTGTCCCCACTTAATGTGAACTGAGAGTAAGAAGGTGCTGGGATTGTTGCACTCTCTTACAGGAAGCAGGAGAATTAACCAACACTGAGGAGAAATGGGGAGATACAAACTATCTCATGAGGCTGTCCTGCAAGCCCTGGAGCAAGCTGAGCCCAAGCCTGTTCATTTATATCATCCAATACATTTGATTGTTTAAGGGAGAGTGATTTTTTTTTTAAGCATTTCCATCGGAAAAGGTCTTCATTCACACTGCAGTCTGTTAGAACATATTTCTTCAGGCTTTCAGACTAGAACACCCTCACCTTTCAACATTCAGCTCAGATATCACCACCTCCATGAGGTTTTTTTGTTTTTGTTTTTGTTTTTGAGACAGTCTCGCTCCATCACCTAGGCTGGAGTGCAGTGGTGCAATCTTGGCTCACTGGAACTTCTGCCTCCAGAGTTCAAGAGATTCTCCTGCCTCAGCCTCCTGAGTAGCTGGGATTACAGGCGCCCACCATCACGCCTGTATAATTTTTGTATTTTCAGCAGAGACAGGGTTTCACCATGTTGGGCAGGCTGGTCTCGAACTCCTGACCTCAAGTGATCCACCCGCCTCGGCCTCCCAAAGTGCTGGGATTATAGGTGTGAGCCACTGCGCCTAGCCTATGAGATCTTTTCTGACCATCTGTGTCCCCCACGGCCTTACATAAATGTCCACTCTTTTCTCTGGCTTCCACAGTATCCTAGACAGAATTAATCACCATCATCTAAAATAGGCCATTGAACTTACTTGTGCACATATGTGTGATTTTTTTTTAAATCAACTTTATTTTTTAGAGCAGTTTTAAGTTCACAGCAAAATTAAGTGAAAAGTACAGAGAATTTCCATATTCCCATATACCCTCTACCTTTCCTGTCCCCAATTAATATTGGGGGATAATAGAAATATCCCCAATTACCTCCCCACTTTTATTTATTTATTGAGATGGAGTCTTGCTCTGTCACCCAGGCTGGAGTGCAGTGGCGCCATCTCAGCTCACTGCAACCCCTGTCTCCTGGGTTCAAGTGGTTCTCCTGCCTCAGGCATGCGCCACAACGCCTGGGTAATTTTTGTGTCTTTAGTATAGATGGGGTTTCACCGTGTTGGCCAGGCTGGTCTTGAACTCCTTACCTCAGGTGATCTGCCCACCTCAGCCTCTCAATGTGCTGGGATTACAGGCGTGAGCCACCGCGCCCAGCCATTGCTGCTACTTTTAATGGCAAAACCCACAATTACTTTTGCACCAACCTAATAAATCGATAAAGTCAATTAATTTGCTTAATTTTGATTAACCACTCTTAAGGGAAAAAAATAATTTTAGATATTTTTTCCTCAAATAGAAACCATAAACAATCGAGGGGGAAAATACGGACTTACTGATAACCTTTTATAATTTGGCTGAATTCAGCTTGTCTTTATTCTCCCTGTGAAATAAAACCTTACTGAAAACTAAACACCGCACCTGAATTAAAGTGTCCTGTCAGGTTTTTTTCCTGCCCACAAATATTTCTGTTCAGGAAATTTGATCTTTAGGAATCTAATGTCCTTTCCTCACTGCCTAAGCATGCAACTGAAATAACAGGGTGGGTGGACTGATCCCTCATGTGTGGTTACAGAGCTGCGGGCTCAGGCAGGTCGAAGTTCCTTCTGTTCACCAGGAGAAGAGAAGAAAGAACGAGGAGCCGGAGACAGTGCACTTTTGTGGGTCTCCAGCTGCATTCTTTCCCAAGCCATTTCTAGAAACTGCATGAGGGAGGTCAGGGTACACCTGTTTCCTAGGAAGCTGGACTCCACTTCGCATGAAGTGCAAACAAGGAAATAGGGATGGAGAGTGAAAACAGGGAAGAGTATGAGTGCAAAAGCTTGAAAAAAAATAGTATGCATTTTTGACTTAGGAGGGCAACAATAAACCAGTGGGACAAGAGAGAGGAAAGCCTTCCCCAGGAATCTTTCCTCATAACTTTGCGTGGTAGGTGGGCTGTGGGGACAGACATGATTCAGTACTGCTGTGTCACTTAACAGTTGAATCTGCCCTGGAGTGCAATGTCAGACGATGAGAAATTGCCTACTCTAATTTTTATAGCCATTTAAGAATGTTTCCCTCTACCTGGGCACTATTGACATTTTGGGCTAGATAATTCTTTGTTGTGGGGGTGGAGGCTGTCCTGTGCATTATGAATGTTTGGCAGCAGCCCTGGTCTCTACCTGTTAGATGCCAGTGGCAACCCCAACCCAACCCCAAGGCATCATCTTGTGATAAAGATGCCTCCAGACATTGTGAGATGTCTCTTGGAAGGTAAAATCGTCCCTGCTTGAGAACCCCTGATTTATAGGAATAATTTCGTTTCCATCGCAGTGCCTGTCTTATATTGGGCAGAGTGTTTACTATGTGAAAGTTACTGACTAGGTACAGGTTTACCTTGGTGAACCAAATATTCATGATTGCTGCTCGTATGGGACTTAAATCTGATGAGTGAAAAGATGGATGGGTGAATGTAGGATGTCTCAAAAAGCAGATGTGATTTCTCTTAGGAATCAACCAGTGTTAAAAAGAAAAAATGTCACCCAGCCTACTTCCTTTCTACTCAATCACAGGGGGTTAAAAAGAATCCTTGTGTGAGGCAGGCCAAGGAGTCCCCCATCAGATAACTCAGGAAAAAAAAGCAATAATGTTGGCTGGGCATGGTGGCTCACACCTGTAATCCCAGCACTTTGGGAGGCTGAGGCAGGCAGATCATGAGGTCAGGAGTTCGACACCAGCCTGACCAACATGGTGAAACCCCATCTCTACTAAAAATACAAAAATTAGCCTGTTGTGGTGGTGCGTGCCTGTAATCCCAGCTACTCAGGAGGCTGAGGCAGGAGAATTGCTTGAGCCTGGGAGGCGGAGGTTGCAGTGAGCCGAGATCATGCCACTGCACTCCAGCCTGGGTGACAGAGTGAGACTCCGTCTCAAAAAAAAAAAAAAAAGGACAATGATACCTATGGACTATATGACAGGCTTTTGGAAATATAAGGAAACTAGATACAGTGTATTACAAATAATTTTCAAATACTAGACTGCTTCAAAATCAAATAAAAGGGTTGGTAAAAACAGATGTCTGGGCTCTACCTTATGTTTTAAAATCTATGAGGGTGAACCAGGTATGATTAATTCTTTTTTAAAAAAGATATATACATGTACACATATATTTAATTGAGACAGGTTCTCACTATGTTGTCCAGACTGGTCTCGAACTCCTGGGCTCATGCAGTCCTCCAACCTCAGCCTCCCAAGTGCTGAGATTACAGGCATGAGCCACCACACAGCCAGCCAGGTATGATCACTTCTTATTATTCATGGTAGTTATGTTCTATAAACTCATAGCAAACACTAAATTAGTGAATATTGGACTATTGCTGCAAGGGGAAATATAAGATGAGGCTCCTGAGAACCTCTGGTCACTACATTTTTGTCAATTGATATGCCATTTGCGTTCTATAGGTTCATTTTCCAACTTCCTTGTAAAACAAGCCAGTCTCACCAGGGTTGAAAATCGTCTCTTCCAGTAACCCTTTTCCCATAGAACACTTAGCAAATATTTAAAAAACTGTTCCACAGCATTCTGATCTGCAGAACCTACCCCTCCCACAGGTTTAACATTTTTCCATGCCTCATCGCCTTTTGAAACGTGTGGGCCAGTCAGCACTAGCCACAAAGGGTTTAACACTTTTCCATAAATTTCTTGGCTTTCAGCCTCACAGAAATGCTGTCCACTATGTTTTTTTTTTTTTTAATCTGTCATCATCTCATGAATACACCCATTTAGCCACTCTTCCATCTTATTCGTAGATCTAAGATGCACTATAGATGTTACTTTAGCGCTTTCTGGAGCAGTGTCACACCCGACTGGGAAATGTCCCCTTCCTTTTTAGGTGTACAAGATTGTTGACTCATTCACATTGAACTGTAAGTCGTGCCTGAACAAAGCTTATCTAGCACACATTTTCTCTCTGTAAGGCAGGTCACAGCCTTCCTGCACTTACGAACACTAGGCAGCGCTTTCAGTGCTATGCCTGGGGCCTATTTACTTATTACTTATTGAATATCTAATTTTAGTCCCAAAACCTTTTATTCAGTCCTCAAATTGTTACCATGAAAGAAATGATAAATTGCAATTTTATTATTACCCTATCACTGCGTATCAAGCCCTTGTTACAAAGTCTCCATTTACTGTCTCCAAAAAACCAACAGACAACCCACAAATTATATTACCTAATGATCTATTAACAGATGACCCAAGCTTCTCCAAGTGTGCCCCCCGACCAGTAGCAACAACATTACCTTGTTTGGCTGGTGGTGATGGCTCACTCATACCTGTAATCCTAGCACTTTGGTAGGCCAAGGGGGAAAGATGGCTTTAGTCCAAGAGTTCGAGACAAGCCTAAGCAACATAATGAGACCTTGTCTCTACAAAAAATAAACAAAATTAGCCAGGCGTGGTGGCACACACCTGCAGTCCCAGCTACTCAGAAGGCTGAAGCAAGAGGGTCACTTGAGCCCAGGAGGTCAAGTCTGCAGTGAGTCATGATCACACCACTGCACTCCAGCCTGGGTGACAGAACAAGACCTTGTCTCAAGAAACAACAACAAAAAAGAAGAAAAGAATCACCTTATCTGAAATGCAATTTTCAGACCCTAACTTAGAACTACTAAAGTAGAGACTTGGTAGGTGGAAACCAGCAACCTGTGCTTTATCAAGTGCTTTTTTTTTTCTTTCTTCTCTTGAAACAGAGTCTCACTCTGTGTTCCAAGCTGGACTGCAGTGGTGTGATCTGAGCTTACTGCAGCCTCCACCTCCAGGGTTCAAAGGATTCTCAAGCCTCAGCCTCCCGAGTAGCTGGGATTACAGGTGCACACCACCACACCCAGCTAATTTTTGTATTTTTAGTAAAGATGGAGTTGTGCTATGTTGGCCAGGCGGGTCTCTAACTCCTGGCCTCAAGCAATCTACCCACCTCAGCCTCCCAAAGTGCTGGGATTACAGGCATGAGCCACTGCGCTGGGCCTTTATCGAGCTTTTTAAGTGATTCTGATGCATCCTCAAGTTTGAGAACCACTGGAATAGACAAATGTTTATTGACATGAAAAGTCCACAATACAATGAGTTAAACAAGAACACACTGCAAAAGAATATATACAGTGTGATCCTAGTTTTGAAATATTTACACATATGTGAATGTATAAAAACAGATCTGTAAAGCTATACTTTAAAATGGTAATGTGTCCGGAATTGGTGGGTTCTTGGTCTCACTGACTTCAAGAATGAAGCCGCGGACCCTCGCAGTGAGTGTTACAGTTCTTAAAGGCAGCGTGTCCGGAGTTTGTTCCTTCTGATGTTCGATGTGTTCAGTTTCTTCCTTCTGGTGGGTTCGTGGTCTCGCTGGCTCAGGAGTGAAGCTGCGGACCTTCCTGGTGAGTGTTACAGCTCTTAAGGCGGCCCGTCTGGGGTTGTTTGTTCCTCCCGCTAGGCTCGTGGTCTCGCTGGCTTCAGGAGCGAAGCTGCAGACCTTCGCGGTGTTACAGCTCATAAAGGCAGTGTGGACCCAAAGAGTGAGCAATAGCAAGATTTATTGCAAAGAGCGAAAGAACAAAACTTCCACAGTGTGGAAGGAGACCCCAGCGGATTGCCCCTGCTGGCTCGGGCAGCCTGCTTTTATTCTCTTATCTGGCCCCACCCACATCCTGCTGATTGGTAGATCCGCGTGGTCTGTTTTGACAGGGTGCTGATTGGTGTGTTTACAATCCCTGAGATAGACACAAAGGTTCTCCAAGTCACCACCAGAGTAGCTAGATACAGAGTGTCGACTGGTGCATTCACAAACCCTGAGCTAGACACAGGGTGCTGACTGGTGTGTTTACAAACCTTGAGCTAGATACAGAGTGCCGATTGGTGTATTTACAATCCCTGAGAGAGACATAAAGGTTCTCCACGTCCCCACCAGACTCAGGAGCCCAGCTGGCTTCACCCAGTGGATCCCACACAGGGGCTGCAGGTGGAGCTGCCTGCCAGTCCCGCGCCGTGCGCCTGCGCTCCTCAGCCCTTGGGTGGTTTCATGGGACTGGGCGCCATGGAGCAGGGGGCGGTGCTTGTCGGGGAGGCTCCCGCGGCACAGGAGCACACGGTGGGGCAGCGGGGGGAGGCTCAGGCATGGCGGGCTGCAGGTCCCAAGCCCTGCCCCGCAGGAAGGCAGCTAAGGCCCAGCGAGAAATTGAGCACATCAGCTGCTGGCCCAGGTGCTAAACCCCTTACTGCCCGGGTCCGGTGGAGTCGGCCGGCCCCTCCAAGTGCGGGGTCCGCTGACCCTACCCACCCGGAACTCGCGCTGGCCCGCAAGCACGGCGCGCAGCCCCGGTTCCCGGCTGCGCCTCTCCCTCCACACCTCCTTGCAAGTTGAGGGAGCCGGCTCTGGCCTTGGCCAGCCCAGAAAGGGGTTCCCACAGTGCAGCGACGGGCTGAAGGGCTCCTCAAGTGCCGCCAAAGTGGGAGCCCAGGCAGAGGAGGCGCCAAGAGCAAGCGAGCGCTGTGAGGACTGCCAGCACGCTGTCACCTCTCAGTAACAATTGTTATCACTGGGTAAGGAGGTTACAAGGGATTCTTTCCTTTTTTTTAACGTTTCATTTGAGTTTCAGATGTTTCTACCATGAATAACAATTTCTTATGCAATTTTAAAAGAGAGCAAAATAAATTCCATGAGGAAGAATTTGACAGATAAGGACCCATCTGTGTCCCCGAGTTCTATTCCCTGCCTGTGGAATCACTCTCCTCATGCTCATAGCCATCAACAAACTGGTACCTACAGAGCAAAATTTCCCTCTGGGTCTCTCAAGCAAGCAGAAACACAATTGCTTTTCTTGATGTCCCTTGGCACAGCTGGAATTTTGTATTAGGGTTCTCTAGAGGGACAGAACTAATAGAATAGATGTATATATGAAGGGGAGCTTATTAGGAGAACTGACACACACAATCGCAAGGTTAAGTCCCACAACAGACTGTCTGCAAGCTGAGGAGCAAGGAAGCCAGTCCGAGTCCCAAAACCTCGAAAGTAAGGAAGCCGACAGTTCAGCCTTCAGTCTGTGGCCAAAAGCCTGAGAGGCCCTGGCAAACTAATGGTGTAAGTCCAAAAGTCCAAAAGCTGAAGAACTTGGAGTCTGATGTTCAAGGGCAGGAAGCATCCAGCACAGGAGAAAGACGGAGACCAGAAGACTCAGCAAGTCTCCTCTTCCATCTTCTCCTGCCTGCTTTATTGTAGCCACACTGGCAGCTGATTAGATGGTGCCCACCCAGACTGAGGGTGGGTCTGCCTCTCCCAGTCCACTGACTCAAATGTGAATCACCTTTGCCATCACCCTCACAGACATACCCGGGAACAATACCTTGCACCCTTCAATCCAATCAAGTTGACACTCAGTATTAACCATCACACCTATCTGAAAGAAATAATTTTGTTAATTCTGTAAATAATTTTTTAAAAATTCTGTTGATAGTTCAAGTCCAAAAAAATTGATTAAAAAAAATTCTTCAGGGTTAAGTGGCTACTCTATTCGCAGTAGCCCTTCCTCTAAGGTTTTTCTTTCTAGTCTCCTTTCCCCCTCACTCAGCTCTTAATTCCTGCCAATAACTGAGAGTGAAGAGACAGTCACCTTGCTTCCGGGTCTCTCAGTCCTCTACTGGCCTTTGGCTCCAGATGTTTCCTTAGCACTTGCATAGTACCCAGAGTATTTTAAGTGGTGACTGATCTGCAGGTGCAGATCTCACTTGGCCCCCATAGCATTGGGACCCATGCAGATTCCATTGTGTTACAGTGACTGTAACTTATTTTAAAAGATCTCAGCATATACATCGTGATATTTTGTATCTGTTATTTGTTTATTTAGAGACAGGGTTTCATTATGTTGGCCAGGCTGGTCTTGAACTCCTGACCTCGGGTGATCCACCTACCTCGGCCTCCCAAAGTGCTGGGATTACAGGTGTGAGCCACCACGCCTGGCCAATATCTGTTACTTAGATGAAGCCAAAACCTTCAGATAATTTATAATGCATAGTTAAGGCATGATCAGTTCACATTAAATCAGAAAAGGTTCCATCCCAGAGATGGCTTCATCAAACTAACACTTTGCTATTAAACATACTGAATGTCTGAAAAGGGATTTCACTGGAGAAACTAGTAACTTTTGTCAAGAAGCAGTTATTTAGCATGATTCTTAGAAATGAGCTCTCATTTGTGATGCTAAAGGTATTCAAAATATGAGGACTGGCTAAAAATACCTTAAAGAGACTCCTAACTCTTGTATGGGTGGGGGTGTAACAATTAAGGAAGACCTAAAATCTAGCTTGCTCCCTGAGTTGTCCTATAAGCAGCTGTTGGTATAGGAGGATTTCTGAATGATGCCAGTTGGAAGAGAGAGACTCCTGCTTCTGAAGTGCTGTTGTGTGCTGCTTGTAAGCATTTCATGCAATGTGTGATTGGATCACCTAAAAGAGTACAGAGCTAGAATTTCATTACACCAACAGGACAGTACCAACTCCTTAGTGGTGACTAATGAATGTTTGCATAGTAAACACCTATGTGGGTGACAGGATTTGGGCTAAGATTTCTTTCCTGTAACCTGATTGTGAGATTATGAAAGCACAGCTAAATCTCACTCCCTCAAATTTCTTTAGTGTCTACTATCTTCTAACAGAAACAATCTAAGGGTTGAGCACGACCAAACTGACTTGAATCAATTCACTGTGTTCTTACACAATTTCCTGTAAGGACAGACACCCTTCATTCCTTTGAGGCACATCCTTTTATCCTTGTCTAGGATCCCTGGTGAGGTCTTCTGACTCTTTCATGCACCACTCAAGACCAATATAATCTTCTCTCATGCTACTTCTGAGCCATGAGGAACCTGGAAGGAGGGCATCTCTGTCCTTTTCGTGGGACAAAAAAGTGAATGTAGGAAATCATATCAGCTAATATCACATATCATCCTTCCATACCTGTAACACATATACAGGAGTTAAACACAATAGCAAGAAAGAAATTCCTTCAATTAGGCTGGGTGCGGGGGCTCATGCCTATAATCCCAGCACTCTGGGATCCAAGGCAGGTGGATCACCTGAAGTCAGGAGTTTTGAGACCAGCCTGGCCATCATAGCAAAACCCCATCTCTACTAAAAATACAGAAATTAGCTACGTGTGGTGGCAGGTGCATGTAATCCCAGCTACTCCGGAGGCTGAGGCAAGAGAATCGCTTGAACCTGGGAGGCAAAGGTTGCAGTGAGCCAAGAGCGTACCAGTGCACTCCAACCTGGGTGACAGAGCAAGGCTCCGTCTCAAAAAAAAAAAAAAAAAAAAATCCTTCAATCAAATTCCCCAGTTCTTACACAGATACCTCACAATAGTGGTGTTATTGATATTTTTGGGTAAGAGGAAAATCTTTCTTTTGCCCAACTATCCCTACCTTGCAAGACTTTTAGCATTCTTTGACCTTGCCCACTAAAAGACAACAGTTTAAATAAAATTTTTAAAAGATCATTAGATATTTTGAAATGCCTCCAAATGGAAAAAAATTGGCCTGCTTAAGAACTGCTGTACTAATGGTCTCCCAACTGTTTCACAGGTCTCAGGGAAGGCCACAGAAGGCTTCAGTGGCTGAATAGAAAAGTAGGTGGTTGAGGGGTCAGCCTCCTATCCTTGCCTCAGAACACAGAACATGCCTCAGGGCAAAGTGACTGACTTCGCAGGCTGTGATGATAGCTGTTATATTCTTTTCGAGAGAGGGGATTTCACTGTCACCCAGGCTTAAGTGTAGTGGTGGGAATCATAGCTCACTACAGCCTCGACCTCCCAGGCTCAAGCGATCCTCCTACCTCAGCCTCCCAAGTACCTGGGACCACCACATGTGGCTAAGTTTTTAATTTTTATTTTCGTAGACATGAGGTCTCGCTAAGCTGCCCAGGTAACTCCTGGGCTCAAGTGATTCTCCCACTTTTGCCTCCCTAAGTGCTGGGATTACAAGCATGAGCCACTATACTGGGCCCCCCATTATATTCTTCATAAGTAAAAGCATATCCAGAAATTTTCATTTCCAGTTGATCTTTACGCTGCTTTCTTGACCATTTCTCTGAAGGTGCCTGGAGCAAAAATGTGTCCAGAATTGGTGGGTTGTTGGTCTCGCTGACCTCAAGAACGGAGCCGTGGACCCTCGCGGTAAGTGTTGTGTCCCGAGTTTGTTCCTTCTGATGTTCAGATGTGTCCAGAGTTTCTTCCTTCTGGGGGGTTGCTGGTCTTGCTGACTTCAGGAGTGAAGCTGCAGACCTTCGCAGTGAGTGGGCGGCGCATCTGGAGTTGTTCGTTCCTTCCAGTGGGTTCGTGGTCTCACTGGCCTCAGGAGTGAAACTGCAGACCTTTGCTGTGAGTGTTACAGTTCATAAAGGTGGCACGTCCAGAGTTGTTCGTTCCTCCCATCTGGAATTGTTCATTCCTCCCATCTGGAATTGTTCATTCCTCCCATCTGGAATTGTTCATTCCTCCCATCTGGAATTGTTCATCCCTCCCCGTGGGTTCATGGTCTCCCTGGCTGGCTTCAGGAGTGAAGCTGCAGACCTTCGCACTGAGTGTTACAGCTCATTGTTACAGCTCATAAAGGCAGCGTGGACCCAAAGGGTGAGCAGCAACAACATTTACTTCTAAGAGGCAAAGAACAAAGCCTTGGCAGAGTAGAAGGGGACACAGTTAACCAAGTAGCCACTGCTGCCTCAGGTGGCGTGGCTTTTATTCCCTTATCTGGCCCCACCCACATCCTATTGATTGGTCCATTTTACAGAGAGCTGATTGGTCCATTTTACAGAGAGCTGATTGGTCCGTTTTACAGAGAGTTGATTGGTCTGTCTTGACAGAGTGCTGATTGGTGTGTTTACAAACCTTTAGTTAGACACAGAGTGCTGATTGGTGCGTTTACAATCCTTTAGCCAGAGGGAAAAGTTCTCCAGGTCTCCACCCAACCCAAAAGCCCAGCTGGCTTCACCTCTCAATGGCACTGGCCGCCAGGACTTTTGGGCACCTACCCCGGGCATTCCGGCAACCCAGAGGGAGCTCGTACCTGGATCAAGCCCAGCAGGCGCCGAGTGTGGGACCCGCTCCCAGCCCGCGCCCACCTGGAACCCGTGCTGGCCCACTAGCGCCACAGCCCCAGCTGCCGCCCTCGCCTCTGCCTCCACACCTCCCTGTGAGCAGAGGGAGCCGGCTCCCGCCTCGGCCAGCCCCAGAGAGGGGCCCCCACAGCACAGCTGCGGGCTGAAGGGCTCCTGGAGTGTGGCCAGAGCAGATGCTGAGGCCAAGGAGGCACCGGGAGTGAGCAAGGGCTGCTAGCACGTTGTCACCTCTCAAAACCACTTGAGCTTTACCATCCAACATAATATCCTTTCGTTATCTCCTCACTATAGTTCTAGAACTATCATTTGCACATTTTATGTTAGATATGATGGATCAAAATTGTTTACCAGAACTTAAATGGTAAAAAGAGGCCATATTAATTACATACTGCATTGACAATATTGATGATGCTTTGTTTCAGATATACTATATATCGATGTTAACTGCTTTTGAAATATTTGAAAATTAGCCAGGTGGGATGGCTCACATCTGTAATCCCAATACTTTGGGAAGCCAAGATGGCAGGATCGCTTGAGCGCAGGAGTTGGAGACCAACCTGGGCAACACAGTGACACCCTGTCTCTATATTTAAAAAAAAAATTGAAAATTGATACTTGTTTTTGAAATACTTGGCTTTATACATGTGTGTATAATAAAAAACAAGTATCTGCTTTGTGTAGGGCAGCACCAAAGTGGTATGTGTACATTTTCCTGGAAGAACGGAACATTGGAGGAAAAAGTGTTTGGATGCCGTGGGACAAGAGACAGGATTGAATGGGAGAGTGGAAGATAGGATGTTGTCTGTTCCTCAGCCCAGGCTCAGAGACCAGTAATTCACTGGAGTTACTATTTACATGAAGGACTTTGGGAGGCTCCAGGTACAAGCACAGATGTTTCAGGACTTCAGTGAAACATATTACCCTGATTTATAGACGGAGAAGCTTCCCCCTTCCTGGGTGCCTGCAGCACAGCTTTTAACACTGGGTTGGGATGGAAGGTTCTCCAGTGCTGTGTGGGCACCATGAGGAACTGAAAGTTTGGAAACAGCACCTAGATAAAAAGGCTGAAGTAGACACCAGCTAAAGTAATACTAACGAGGCATCTCCTAACAGGGCTTCTTGGCAGTGGAAAGGAGCAGCACAGAAAAATCTGACTGGGGCTGGGCGCGGTGGCTAACGCCTGTAATCCCAGCAGTTTGGGAGTCCAATGTGGGCGGATCACCTGAGATCAGGAGTTCGAGACCAGTCTAACCAACATGGTGAAACCCCATCTCTACTAAAATACAATTAAAAAAAAAAAATCAGCCGGTCGTGGTGGCACGCACCTGTAGTCCCAGTTACTCGGGAGGCTGAGGCAGGGAAATCACTTGAACCTGGGAGGCAGAGGCTGCAGTGAGCCAAGATTGCGCCACTGCACTCCAGCCTGGCAACAGAGCAAGACTCCGTCTCAAAAAAACAAACAACAGCAACAAAAAAACAAGAATTAGCTGAGCAGGGCGGCGTGTGCCTGTGGTCCCAGCTACTAGGGGGACTGAGGCAGGAGGATCTCTTGATCCCAGGAGGTGGAGCTTGCAGTGAGCCGAGATGGACCTACTGCACTCCAGCCTGGGTGACAGAGTGAGACTCCCATCTCAAAAAAAAAAAAAAAAAATCTGATTGGCCTTGGTACTGAGCACTTGGAAGGGGTCTCTAGTTATGGCTGGGGAAGCTTTAAAAGGTGGGCTGAGATCCTGTAGTCTGTAGAGGGGGCCCACTCAGCTAGGGAAATGTGGATGCTATCAATGTTAACGTCACTGAAGACATTTCATTAACCACAGGGCTGTATTTTTTTAGGCATTTGAACCAACCTATTTAGTAACTGCCAGGGCCACATGAGGACTTTCTTAGGCCCCAACCACGTTGCCTCTGTGGGCTCCTTCCTTCTTAAGAAAAAACAATAAAAATTGTATTTCACAACTGCATTAGTGTAAATATAAATATAATCCAGGCTGGGTCCATTATAATATATTCATTTTTTTCTTCTGATTTTAACGGAAATAAAAATGAAACCACTTTCTGTAGGCCTCTGAAAGTATTGTCGGTCGCAGGCACTCTGCCTGCTGTGACTAATGGAGACATTGTCCCTAGTAACTGCTTTCCTTTCGTTTTTTTTCCAGCAGCTTCTTCCCTCTTCCCTCACTTATGGCCCCTCCTGACAATTTTGTTGATTTCTATCCAAATCAGCCCTTTCACTAAGATTGAAAAGTTGCTTGTAAATTGGCCATGTTTAATCATTTGCCAGATATTTCAATTTTTAAAAAAACATTGTTATTAAATTGTTGATTTCTCAAATGGATTTGCTATTTTGAGAAAAAATATACTAACTATATACTCAAAATTGATTTTTTATAAAAGCAGGAAGCTACAGTTTTCTATGGGTACATGGACCCTAAAAACCTTCTGTTGTTTTTCCTAAATCCCAAACCCAGATTTTTTGTGTGGGTTCTAGAATCAGGGAGAGCAGTTCTGTGGGCTCTACTATTCAGAAAACACCACGGTCAACTGAGTCAACATAATCAGCCTTCCTGCCAACCACCCTTCAGCAACCACTCAACTATTTACTCCTTGATGGGAGGGCACTGCCAGAAAGTTTGCTCTCAGATTAAAAGCAAAACAAAATAAAAACAGCGATGTTTTCAGAAAAGAACTATTTCATTAGGTTTCTCTATTTGTCCTCTCCTCTGTCCACATTGCTAACATACTGGAAAGAGGTTGCTGGACTGGTTTGGTTTCTTAGGTGAGAGGAACATTAACTGGCCCCCAATTCTCAACCAGGCTGTTCGCTTTTCTGGCTTTAAAAGAAAATCAAGGGTGGGTACAGTGGCTCACCCTGTAATGCCAGCACTTTGAGAGACCAAAGCAGGAGGGTCACTTGAGCCCAGGAGTTCAAGACCAGCCTTGGCAACATGGTGAAACCTTGTCTCCAAGTCCTGAGTTCAGGCAATCCCGTCACCTCAGCCTCCCAAAGTGCTAGGATTATAGGCATGAGCCACCATGCCTGGCCTTCTTCAAAAACTTTAGAAATTAGCCAGGCATGGTGGCCTGTAGTCCCAGCTACTTGGGAGGTTGAGGTAGGAGGATTGCTTGATCCCAGGAGTATGAGACCGCAGTGAGTCGTGATTGTGCCACTGCACTCCATCCTGGGTAACAGAGTGAGACTTTGTCTCAACAACAAGAGAAAAGAAAGTTGACCAGGTGCGGTGGCTCACTCCTGTAATCCCAGCACTTTGGGAGGCTGAGGCAGGAGAATCATTTGAGCCCAGGAGTTTGAGACCAGTCTGGACAACATGGTAAAAACCCATTTCTACAAAAAATTTAAAAATTAGCTGGGCATGGTGGCCTGTAGTCCCTGCTACTGGGAGGCTGAGGCGGTAGGATTATTTGAGCCCAGGAATTCAAGACCACAGTGAGCCATAATCTCACCACTGTATTCATTCCAGCCTGGTCTCACAGAGTGAGACCCTATCACCAAAAAAGTTCCGGTACTTTGGGAGGCGGAGGCTAGAGGATCGCTTGAGCTCAGTAGTTTGAGACCAGCCTGGGCAAAATGGCGAAACTCTCTCTACAAAAAAAAAAATAAAATTTTTTCAAAAAAGAAAACCCTAAGTAGAAGAATATTCTCACAATCAGCTGGAAATATCAAGTATGATTCTGAAAGAAACAAATAACTGACATAAGATATAAGGTGCTATATGAGCATTTTCTTTTCTTGTTTTAAGATACGGTCCTCAGTAGCATATATGAACATTTTGATTTGAGTATGTATGAGTCTCCCAAGAACTTTTAAATTCTTCAACATCCCTTTTCTAGGGTAAAAGTGTTACTGAAGGACAGAGTGGCAGTCAATGCAGCCAAAGCAAAGGGCCTCCCCATTTAGTCCTAACTTATCTGTTCAGTGGCATCTCTCTCCTTTTTTTTTTTTTTTTTGTTGAGATGGAGTCTCATTCTGCCACCCAGGCTGAAGTGCCATGGTGATATCTCAGCTCACTGCAACCTCCGCCTCCCCAGTTCAAGCGATTCTCTTGCCTCAGACTCCCAACTAGCTGGGACTACAGGCATGTGCCACCACACCCAGCTAATGTTTGTATTTTCAGTAGAGATGGGGTTTTGCTATGTTGGCTAGGCTGGTCTCAAACTCCTGACCTCAAGTGATTCACCTGCTTCAACCTCCCAAAGTACTGGGATTACAGTGTGAGCCACTGCGCCCGGCCTAGTGGCATCTCTTACATGCTGTTTCATGTACCTTAAGCTCCAGCCACTTCAATTTTCCGTTACTCCTTTAACATAAGAATGTGTTCTCTTTCAACTCAGCAGTAAATGTGTCCCCACTTCTGCCTGGAATGTGCCCTCTTCCCCAACACAAATCCCTTCATCTCCCTTCATGTGAGCAGCCCCTTCTCCTAGACACAATTCCCACATCTCTCCAGCCTGTGTAATGTTTCCTGCATTCTCAGGGAAGGGGCTACTTTATAGGTGAAAGAGGAATGTGAGGGATACAGCTACAAAGACCACCATGTGCAGTTTGCCCGGGACTGAGGGGCTGTTCAGAATACAGGACTTTCAGTGTAAAATCTGACAGTTTCAGATAAACAAGCATGGTTAGTCACCATATATACCACACTCCTGAACCTTTCATAAAAAAAAAAAAAAAATGATTTGGGGGAAAAAAAATAAAGATTTGTTGACAAAATCTAGCTACTCAAGAGAAGAATCAAAACTAAGAGATCAGAAATATAGAAGGTTTGGCAAAAGAAATGGTAATGAGCACTGACTATATTTACATATAAAATTAAAAGGAAACACGGCAGAAATTATAGTCAGCACATAAGCTTTATAAACCTTAACCATGTAAAACTTATAACAATACAAATAAATTTTGGAAAGTGGAGAAAGGGAGGAAGTCAGGAGGTCATGTGCTGTACTAATTTTTTATATTTCATAAGAGGAAGTAAATGGATTCTGTCCAGAATTAAAACTAATAGTAAGAAAAAAAAGAAAGCTCTAAAATGACCAACTTCTTAATGGCTTTCCGTAATGTTTTCACTGAGCCCTAGAAGGATCTCTTAGGAATGCCTACTTTATTGTAAAGAAACATTCATTTGAAGTTATACTTTACTTTTTTCCCTTTTAAAAATATTAAATTATAATCTTTCATCTTAAAAATAGCATTTTTATTATATCCTTCTTTTATCTTTCTGTTTATCTAGCTGGCTAACCACAGAAATTCTGAGAAAAGTGACTAAATGTTACTAAATGTTGAGATTGCTTGCTCCTAGCTATTTGGATTTGGGGTGGAGGAGGATAAAACTTTTTTTGTGTGTCTTTTGGTATTTTTAAATTTAAATAGCTCTATGATGATTGATTTTATGTGTCAACTTGGCTAGGCCATGGTACTCAGATATCTAGTCAAGCATTATTCTAGATGTTTCTGCGAAGGGATTTTTTCTAGATGAGGTTAACATTTATATCAGTAGCCTTTGAGTAAAGCAGATTATACTCCATCATGTGGGTGGACCTCATCTAGTCAGTTGAAAGCCTTAATAATGAAAAAGACTGGCTTCTCCAGAAAAAGAAAGAATTCCACCAGCAGATGGTCTTTGGACTCAAACTGCAGCTCTTCCCTGGGTCTGTAGCCTGCTGGTTTACCCTGTGGATGTTGGACTTGTGAGCTTCCACGATCTCATGAGCCAACTTCTTAAAATCAATCTCTCTCTCTCTGTCTCTCTTTACATGTATACATATACATATACATATACATATACATATACATATACATATACATATACATACAGTCATTCTTCATACAGTCATCCTTCAGTAACTGTGGAGGATTGGTTTCAGGACCCCTTGAAAATACCAAAATTCAAGGATGCTTAAGTCCCTTGTATAAAATGTTGTAGTATTTGCAAGTAACCTATGCAGGCCCTCCTGTATACTCTAAATCATCTCTAGATTACTTCTAATTCCTATGTGAAAGGAAAATCTTTTGACCCCCAAATTACTAAGCTAAGGGAAAAGTCAAGCTGGGAACTGCTCAGGACAAACCTGCCTCTCATTGTATTCAAAGTCATCCCTCTGCTCACAGAAATAGATGCATATTCTGATTGCCTCCTTCTTATCGGAAGCTCAAAGACTGCAACCATTTGTCTCTCAGCTACCTATGACCCGGAAGCCCCCTCCCTGCTTTGAGTTGTCCCTCAGAACCAATGTAGTTCTTACATACATTGATTGATGTCTCATGTCTCCCTAAAATGTGTAAAACCAAGCTGTGCCCTGATCACCTTGGGCTCATGTCATCAGGATCTCCTGAGGCTGTGTCATGGATGCACGTCCTTAACTTTGGCAAATAAACCTCCTAAAATGATTGAGACTTGTCTTGTCATTTTTCTCGATTGACACCTAAGACAATGTAAATGCTATGTAAATAGTTGTTATACTATATTGTTTAGGGAATAATGACCAGAAAAGAATTCTATATATGTTAGTTAAAGATGCAATTATCCTCTCTTTTTTCCCCCCAAATATTTTCAATCTGCAGTTGGATGTGGAACCCACAGAGGGCTGACTGTGTATGCACCCCCCCTCCACACACACACACACACACACACACACACACACACGCACACAGTATACACAGTGTATAGAGACACACACACACATCCTGTTCTGTTTCTCTGGAGAACCCTAACACAAATACTTAACACACATGTATAACGTGTATAAAAACAACATCGTTATTCAAGATAATTATTCATTTTTATTAAAAAAAGTTTTATGTGAGAAAATAGGTCTAGAGGAATTTAGAAAAATGTCCAAGGGGACCTCCATAAGCCCCTTGCTCAGCTAGTTAGAGGTAGAGCTGAGAATAAGATCCCTGAATGATTGACTCAAGAGTTCACCTTCCTTTCCACTGAGCTATGATGGTTCCTGTATCGTTATCTAGTAAATTGGCAATATAGAAGCACTAAATGCTTGGAGAATACAGAATATGAGGTAGATCTTGATGGCTTCATAGAATCACCTGGGAGGAGAGAAATGTTGAAGTATTCGCAGGCAGGAAACAGTGTTGAACTAAAACCTTAAAGGAGAGGATGAGGGTAATATGTCTATAGGTTTGGATGGTTATAGGGTAGATGTACTATAAGTGAAAAAAAATCAAGGTATGGAGCAGTATGAATGTCACCCTTATTATATGAATATATGTATGTATATATACATGTAATCAGTTATTTAAAAAACACGCATGTGTGTGTGTGTGTGTGTGTGCTCACAGGCACACATGTGCATGAGTTGCATGGGTGTGTAAGG
Source organism: Homo sapiens (assembly GCF_000001405.40). NCBI lineage: Eukaryota > Metazoa > Chordata > Mammalia > Primates > Hominidae > Homo > Homo sapiens. Next base: position 76,536,187 of record NC_000009.12, read on the forward strand.
AAACCCGGCCTGCACCTCCAGGTCGGAAAAGTAACCACTGCACTGAGGACTGAGTCCCCTAACCCTTAAGGAGAGAGTGAATAGATTTGTGAATACATTTGTGTTACCAACGGATCATCCATTAAAATGTTCCATGTAGGTTTCACAAGGAATGTATTTTGTTGGAGGATAGGGTAGCGTTGAGAATCTTTTCTTTTTTTCATTTGGCTCCTTCCTTAGTGTTTACATTTTTTTATCATGTTCATGAAATTCTTTTTGTAATAATAATTTTAAAAACTAGTGCAAATTAGGCAGGGTGCGGTGGCTCACATCTGTAATCCCAGCACTTTGGGAGGCTGAAGCGGGTGGATCAGGAGGTCAGGAGTTTGAGACCAGTCTGGCCAACATGATGAAACCCCGTCTCTACTAAAAATACAAAAATTAGCCAGGCATGGTGGCAGGCGCCTATAGTCCCAGCTACTCGGGAGGCTGAGGCAGGAGAATTGCTTGAACCCGGGAAGTGGAGGTTGCAGTGAGCCGAGATTGCGGCACTGCACTCCAGCCTGGGCGACAGAGCACAACTCTATCTCAGGAAAAAAAAAAAATTGTTTAAATTAAAAAGAAAGGAGTACTTATTACCACTGAATTTTATACTTAAAAATAGTTAAAATGGTAAATTATGTATATTTGACTGCAATAGAAAGAAGAGAAAGAGAGAGGCAGGGGGTGAGAGGAGAAGTGGGGGAGAGAGAGAGAAGAGAGGAGAGAAAAGGAGAGGACAGAAAAGGGAACACAAGCTTTAGATTGATAAATATGGGACTAAAAACAAATGTGTAAAAATTCTTCTACTTTTCCTGAAATGGGTCTATTATTGATGTGGTGTACGCTGAAAAGAAAATGTGCAACTTGGACAATTACGAAGAACCCCAGTAGGCAAGGAAAGGCAAAAAGAGCAACCTTTGGTGACGGTATTTCTGGCCACCTCCTACTTTCAAGTTGACGATGGGGCTGGGCTAACAGAAGCCCCTGCCAGGCCTGTTTCCTGCAGAAGTCTGGACTTGGAGCCTCAGGAGGCTCCTCCAGGAGCTGCCAGGCTGGCAGCATGATCTATCTGGACTTGTGCCCACATTGTTCTTTCACTCGCTTTTCCATTCAAAACCGAGACAAAATAAAAATGTCCCAGACACCTGGGTCCCCTGTGTTAGAACTGGCACCAGAAAACTTTTCCTGGCCAGGTGCCCACCAGAGTGGAGAGGAAGGTCCACACACTAGGCCATTGAGGAGATGGACGCCATGCCAAAGCAGCTTGCACTGCGGCCGGCTGGAATTATCTAGAAAAGCAGGGTCCTGATCCAGCCAGTCGGCTGCAGTAAACCTTTGTGGCTTCACAGCTGTGCCTGATCTGGCTCGTGTCCCTTTCAGGCCTCGGCTTTTGACCTTCTCTGTGCCTGTCCAACAGGACTTCACTGTTTGGGCCTCACATCACTGCTCCTCCTGTGGGGAGAGAATAAGATTGAATGCAGACATTTTGACACAGCCTTAAAAAAAACTGTGATCAAATAAACATAAAATTTGGTAGAGCATGGAGACTCATGCCTGTAAACCCAGCACTTTAGGAGGCTGAGGCAGGAGGATCTCTTGAGCCCATGAGACCAGCCTGGGCCATATAGTGACCCCTTGTTTCTGCAAAAAAATTGAAAAAATTAGCTGGCTATAGTGGCATGCATCTGTAATCCCAACTACCCGGGAGGCTGAAGTGGGAGGATTGCTTGAGCCTAGGAGGTCGAGGCTGCAGTGAGCTGTGACTGGGCTACTGCACTCCATTCTGGGCAACAGAGTGACAGCCTGTCTCAAATAATAATAACATAAAAATTACCATTTCAGCCATTTCTAAGTGAACATTTCAGCGGTGTTAAGTACATTCCCAACATTGTGCTCAAGGTAGCCTTTTGATGCAGGGGACATGTTGAGGTAGGCCACTCAATGAAGTAATTTTCCCCCAACTTTTTATTTTATTTTTTTTGTTGTTGTTGTTTTTTCTTTTTGCAACAGGGTCTCACCCTGTCACCCAGACTGCAGTGCATTGGCACTATCTTGGCTCACAGCAACCTCTGCCTCCCAGGCTCAAGCGATTCTCCTGCCTCAGCCTCCCGAGTAGCTGGGATTACAGGCGCCCACCCTGGCTAATTTTTGTATTCTTAGTAGAAACAGGGTTTCACCATGTTGGCCAGACTGGTCTTGAACTCCTGACCACAAATGATTCACCCGCCTTGGCCTCCCAAAGTGCTGGGATTACAGGTGTGAGTCACTGCGCCTGGCCAACTTTTTATTTTTAAAAATTTTGAAAGAACAGACAGTGACCAACCATTCACCTAGATTGCCATTTGTTAGCATTCTCCTCCATTTCTCTGTCTCCCTCTCTCTCCATCTCTCCCTCTCTCACTGTGTCCTAGTTTGTTTTTGCTGAAGCGTTTGAGATTAAGTTGCAGGCATCATGATGACAAGTTACTGTTAAATCCTTCTCATGTATCTCCTAAAAACAAGGACATTCTTCTTCAAAGCCCTCAAGCTCTTGTTTTTGTTTGTTTTTACAGTTCAGGATCTAAAGATCACATCTCACTTAGTTGTTATGTTTCCTTAGTATCCTTGAATCTAGAACATTTCCCCAGTCTTTGTATTTGTGTGTGTGTGTTCACATGTATGTGTATGTGTGTTTGTGCATGTGTGTGTGTGTGTCTTTCTTGACATTGCCACTTCTGAAGAGCCTAGGCGGGTTATTTTGCAGAATATTCCTTATTTGTTTTTGTCTGATTGTTTTGTGTTTGGATCCAAGTTAAGTATTATTGGTAAAAAGGCTATTATCTTGACATTCAATGGTGTACAGCAATTCAATTCTGGTACTAACCACCTGGAGTTAGCGTAGATCCCACAAGCAAAGGACATAGTTCCCAAGAAGACTGCCTTCAATTGTCCACCAGAATGAACTCAGTCTCCAGCCCCCTCCCCCTTCCCAGAGGATGTGCTGGCTGAAAGTCCCAATCCTCTAATCATGTGGTTGGTCTTACAGATAACTAGTCCCCATCCTGAAGCCATCTGGGGACCCACACTGAGTTACTTCTTTTGCATAAACTCAGAGGTGATACATTTAATAAATGTATAACCAAGGGTTATAAAAGCTCCATAGCAAAAATCATGGATAAACACCAGACAAATTCTTTATTATACAGCAGCTATGATGGCCATTTTGTGTCCTTAGTTTATTACATCAGGAAGTCCACGATGTGTTTGTTCCATCATTGCTGAGGTCAAAGTTGGTGAGGTTTGTCATATTTCTTCATTGCAAAGATATTTTGTGTGATATTTTGAATATCTGATTTCCCAAAATCAAAATCTTTTCACTCAAATATATACACATATATACGTATATATACGTATATATATGCATTTTTTTTTTTTTCTGAGACAGGATCTTGCTCTCTCACCCAGGCTGGAGTGCTGTGGTACCATCATAGCTGACTGCATCCTTGAACTCCTAGGCTCAAGAGATTCTCTTGCCTGTGCCTCCCAAGTTAGCTAGGACTACAGGCACACACTCACCATGCCTGGCTAATCATTTTCATTTTTTGTAGAGACAGGAGTCTAGCTATGTTGCCCAGACTTGTTTCAAACTCCTGACCTCAAGAGATCATCCTGCCCCAGCCTCAAAAGGGCTGGGATTCCCAGCATGGGCCACCGCACCCAGCCTCACTCAAAGATTTTAAGATTTTTGAGAAGGCTGGGCGTGGTGGCTCACGCCTGTAATTCCAGCATTTTGGGAGGCTGAGGCAGGCGGATCACCTGAGGTTGGGAGTTCAAGACCAGCCTAACCAACATGGAGAAACCTCGTCTCTACTAAAAATACAAAATTAGCCAGGCATGGTGGCCCATGCCTGTAATCCCAGCTACTTGGGAGGCTGAGGCAGGAGAATCGCTTGAACCCGGGAGGCGGAGGTTGCTGTGAGCCGAGATGGAGCCATTATACTCCAGCCTGGGCAACAAGCGCAAAACTCTGTCTCAAAAAAAAAAAAAAAAAAAGATTTTTGAGAAATCCTGTCCTAACCCCCATCTCAAAGCATCAATGAATATTAATATTCATTGATAATTCTTGGCTGAATCAACTGTTGCAAACTGGTGATTTTCTAATTCAATCATTTATTCTCCATTTATTAGCTGGTATTTTTATGCAAAGAAGAAGTTTCTTTTTGCCCTGTTCCATTCCATTTAAAATTTTCAAGATATTGTAATGAACACATGGGTTCTGTTACTCTTACTATTTTTGTGCTCAGTTATTCCAGATTTGGCCAGTGAGAGCTCCTTCAGGGTGGCTCCTGTGTCCCACTTTGATCAGTTACTTACTGTTTGGCACCACATGATGCTGATTAGGTTATTATGATTTGGGACCACCTGACACAGGCTAAAAAATAAAGCAATCATTAGTCATTATATAGTCAGTAAGACAGGCTTCCTCTCTCCCCAAGATTTTTTTAATCACTGACCCCATTCTCTGGGGAAGAGGTCCCACATGAAGTGGCTTTTCTGGCTGTAGTGAAGGATGGGTGGGAATTAGACCAATAGATCACAAATAGAAGACTACAGATCGCTAGACTGGCTTGTCCAGAAAGAACTGTCAAGTCCAGTGATGACTCTAAGAATTTGGACTTAAGAATTTGGCTTCATGGACTGCACAGTAAAAACTATATATTTGTCTCAATAATAGCAGTTTGCTTTCCATTAATACAGCTTTTAAATGCATACTTCTTATTGCAGGCTTTCTAATTATAATATATATCAGATTTATACTCAGTATTGCAGGGAACTGTTGCAGGGATAAAGAGGAGAGAAGAAATTTTAGCTAAAAATGATTGCTAAAATATAGCAATCAGCTTATACAGTATTAAAATATAATACTGTATAAGCTGGATCTAAACACAAGTTGTAAATTATTCAAAACCTTCAAAAGACCCCTCCACTTCCCGGAGTATAGCAAATATATTTGCTAATGCTTTACTGCATTGTAGGATGCTGAGCAGCATCCCTGTCCCACACCCATTAGATACTAGTAGAACCCCCTTTCAGCTGTGACAACCAAAAGTATCTCCAGACTTTGCCAAGTGTGTCCTGAGAAGCAAAAGTACCTTTAGTTGAGAACCACAGGGTTAAGAGTAAAGAAGCTCTATTGCAGGCATCACTGGTAATAAAAAGAATACATTTACTTATTGATTGATTGATTGATTTTATTGAGAATTTTTTTGAAATGGAGTCTTGCTCTGTTGCCCAGGCTGGAGTGCAGTGGTACAATCTTGGCTCACTGCAACCTCTGTCTCCCCAATTCAAGCAATTCTTCTGCCTCAGCCTCTCGAGTAGCTGGGACTACAGGCATGCACCACCACGCCTAGCTAATTTTTGTATTTTGGGTAGAGACGAGGTTGGCCAGGCTGGTCTTGAACTCCTGACCTCAGGTTATCCACCTGCCTCAGCCTCCCAAAGTGCTGGGATTACAGGCATGAGCTATTGCACCCGGCGCAAAAAGAATAATTTTAAAATCAACACATTTTTGTCAAAACTGCAGTTTAAAAATATTCCCTAAATGAAAAGAGCTGCATCAAGGTGGCTGCCTTAAATTGTCTTTGCTTCAGACTGGTCCCTCACATCATGCATCACTCGCACCAAAATAGCCTTTCATCTTTTTGCCTCACTCCCCTATCCCCTGTCTTGCTGGCTTCTGCCTTGGATCTTGGCCTAAATGTCACTTTCAGGGGAATTCTTGGCACATCTGAGCTGGTTTTCATACACCTGATATATGTATCCAACACATCCTGTCCTTCTTTTGTTTATAATGCTTGTCACATTTGGAATTACCTGGTCAATGTCTATCTATCCTACTTGACTGTATGCTCAGTAAGAACTGGGGCACTGCTAGATTTATTACTACATCTCATAGGTTATATAGGAGTTAGGAAGAAATTATTTAGGCAGAGAGTGAGAGTAAGGAAGCCCTCCGTAAGGTTTTCCTTTTAATGAAAAGCAGCCCCCAAATCATTTTCTTTTCTAACAAAGAGCAGCCTATAAAATCGAGCTGCAGACACAGAAAGGCAGGCTAGAAGCTTGCACGGGTGAATGCTGGCAGTTGTGCCAATAGGAAAAGTCCACCTGGGACTAGGCATGTTCAAAATGGCAGTTCCAACTTCCCTCTTCCTTTCCAACCATGTGTGCAGTAGGGAGCAGACAACATGGCCTGGCCAAGTGGAAAGCTCATTTGCATAATAAGACTAGGGTTGGGTGTCCAGCTTCCCAGCGTGCTTTGTAAAGGAAGAACCTGCTCTAACCAATCTTTGGGCCCTATGTAAATCAGACTCCGCCTCCTCACGCCTGTCTATAAAATCCAGTGCATTCTGCTTTAGGCTGGAAGTTCCACGTGGGGGCTCTTCTTTCTCACAGGAGAGAGCTATTCTCCTTTCTTTTTCTTTTGCCTATTAAACCTCTGCTCTTAATCTCGCTCCACATGTGTCCATGTCCTTGATTTCCTTGGTATGAGACAATGAACCTCCAGTACTACCCCAAACAAATGATGCTGCTTCATAGGGTCTGACATTGAGTATATGCCAAATAAATATTTGAAATTAATTCTCTTTGATTTCAAAATTATTCAAATTTAAGGTCATGTATGCCATTATTCTTTTTAATTATAATTAATGCACTTTGACTCTTGTGAAAAAAGATGAGAAGACACATAAAGTACTCGTGAAGAAAATCAATTAACTGGGCAGGCGCGGTGGCTCACGCCTGTAATCCCAGCACTTTAGGAAGCCGAAGCAGGTGGATCACGAGGTCAGGAGTTCAAGACCAGCCTGGCCAGCATGGTGAAATCCCGTCTCTACTAAAAATACAAAAAATTTAGCTGGGCATGGTGGTGCGCACCTGTAATCCCAGCTACTTGGGAAGCTGAGGCAGGAGAACTGCTTGGGAGGCCAAAGCGGGCAGATCACGAGGTCAGGAGTTCGAGACCAGCCTGGCCAGCATGGTGAAATCCCGTCTCTACTAAAAATACAAAAAATTTAACTGGGCATGGTGGTGCGCACCTGTAATCCCAGCTACTTGGGAGGCTGAAGCAGGAGAACTGCTTGAAACCGGGAGGCAGAGGTTGCAGTGAGCCAAGATTGTGCCATTGCACTCCAGCCTGGGGAACAGAGCAAGACTCCATCTCAAAAGAAAAAAGAAAGAAAATAGATTAATTTGTGGGTCACGTTTGGCCACCTTCTTCCAGTTTGTGGAGGAAGCTACACAGGAGGCTGAGGTGGAAGGATCACTTGAGCCCAGGAATTTTAGTCCAGCCTGGGCAACGTAGCAAGATCCTGCCTCAAAAGAAAAAACAAAAAGAAGAAGAAGAAGAAAGAAAGAAATGGTACTGTATAAGCTGGATCTAAACACAAGTTGTAAATTATTCAAAACCTTCAACAGACCCCTAAACCCTATTTTTTTAATGATGGGGATAAAGCAATTTTTGAAACAAAGTCATTGAGAACTTCTGGAACAGGATACTTTGGACTGCAAATAACAGCCCAATTCAAGATGACCTAAACAGAAAGAAAATGATCATTATTTCACATAATAAGTTCAAAGATGAGTGGGCTCAGGATTGGATAACAAGTGGCTCAGTAACATCTTTGAATACCTGGGTTCTTTCATCTTTTCTGCCTGGCCACCTGCCTGTATTAGCTTTGTTCTCAATCTGGCTGCCTCACAGTGACAAAATGGCTGCCCTTATTCTAGACATTGCATCCAGCACATCATCAAGCAGAAAAAGGCACTGTCTCTTCCTTTGTGTTTCATTTTAAATTTAAAAAAATTTACTTTTAAATTTACATTTAGTAAAGTTCACTTTATATTGTAGAGGCCTTTGAGTTTTGACAAATATGTAGTAATCTCCACTGTTCAAGATAAAAAGCAGTTTTATTATCCTCAAAAATTTTGGGGCTGTCCTTTTGTAGTTAACCGTCCCTCCAGCCCTTACCCTGGCAACTACTGACTACTTTTTTGACCCCATAGCTTTGCCTTTTCCACAATGAATTCTTACAGCATATAACCTTTGGGGTCTGGCTTATTTCATTCAGCACAATGCATTTGAATTTAAACAACATTTTTGCTTATGTTTATTAATAGTTTTTTCTTTTTATTGGTGTGCAATATTCCATCATATGTAAATGGGAAGGGTATTAGTCTGTTTTCAAGCTGCTGATAAAGACATACCCAAGACTGGGTAATTTATAAAGAAAAAGATTAATGGACTCAGTTCCAAGTGGCTGGGGAGGCCTCACCGTCATGGCAGAAGGCAAAAGGCAAGTCTTACATGGCAGCAGACAAGAGAGAATGAGAACCAAGCGAAAGGAGTTTCCCCTTATAAAACCATCAGATCTTATTCACAACAGGGAAACCACCCCCATGATTCAGTTATCTCCCACTGGGTCCCTCCAACAACACGTGGGAATTATGGGAGCTACAATTCAAGATGGGATTTGGGTGGGGACACAGGCAAACCATATCAGTGAGGAAACCTAGTTTTCTCCCCACCCTTCATTGTTCTTAGTTGAAAGCTACCCCTGTAACAAAAAGTAGATTAACAAGAGAAAAAAGAAATAGAAGTTTATCCACATGCATACCTTGTATATATACATGGTTTCCCCATCTACCAAGGGAAAAATGGGTAAATCTCAAAGAGATGGCTTTGGGTTCAGGCTGACATACCATCATCCCCTAAAGGAAAGACAGAAGAGTGTGGAAGGAAGGCCAGTTGTGGGGAGGTGATCAGGAAAAGTGTAAACAAGAGCAAGGTGTTTTGCAGATGTAAGTCTAAGTGCCTTCTCCATTGATTAGAGCCTCCAGTGATTTTTAGTCATCCTTCTCTTCCTGTTGCAGAGAATAGAGTAAGACACCCTTGCAAATGAAAATTTCCTTTATAGATGTAAATTTCCCTTACAAAAAGCTAACTTCTGCTTTAGAGCTTCTCTTGTGACTGCAGTCTCTCAAAATAATCATTAAAATCATCCTCATGCCTGTTAAATCAAGTTTAGCCTAAAGCTGCCTCCTGACATTTTATGTTTGGCCTAAAGGTTTCTCTGTACAGAGTGAACTTTAACATAACTGGATGTGTAAATAGACTGTAACCTACTCTCGTGCCAATCACAAAGTTTTGGCCAATCAAAGGTGGCCAACTGTTCAAATAAAGCAAAGGCTAAGCTGTAACTAATCCAGCTGTTTCTGTACCTCACTACCATTTTCTGTGCATCATTTTCCTTTTTCTGTCCATAAATCTTCTTTGACCACAAGGCAGCTCCGAGTCTCTCTGCACTATTCTAGCTTGGGGGCTGCCCAATTTGTGAATTGTTGCTTGATCAATTAAACTCTGTTAAATTTAATTTGTCTAAGGTTTTTCTTTTAACATGCCAAAAAGACATATTTTGGGGTTGCATATTCTAGTCTCCTACAGTCATATTTTGGTGGCATATATTTGGTCTCACACATGGATAGATTAATTTCTTTTTCTATTTCCTAGTTCAATGATAGTTGGATCATTTCCAGTTTGGGGCAGTTATGAATAAAACTGCTATAAGTATTTGCTTATAGTATTTTTTTGTGTGTGATGGAGTTTTGCTTATGTTGCCCGGGGTGGAGTGCAATGGCATGATCTTGGCTCACTGCAACCTCTGCCTCCCGGTTCAAGTGATTCTCCTGCCTCAGCCTCCTGAGTAGCTGGGATTACAGGTATGAGCCACCATGCCTAACTAATTTTGTATTTTTAGTAAAGATAGGGTTTCTCCATGTTTGTCAGGCTGGTCTCGAACTCCTGACCTCAGATAATCCGCCCACCTTGGCCTCCCAAAGTGCTGTGATTACAGGCGTGAGCCACCGTGCTCGGCAGTGAACATAAATTTATGGGTTTGTGTCAACATAAATTTATGGGGAGTTTTTGGGTAAATACGTAGAAGTATGGTACATACTCTTACCATATGACATGGTACCAAGTCATATGGTAAGAGTATGTTTAGCTTTATCAGAAACTGCAAAAAGTGGTTGCACCATTTTGCATTCCTACTGTTACTGGCAGCAAATCCTTAGGGATCGGCAGCAACCTCAATTCTTGCCCCCTCAGAAGAAAGAATTCAACCCAAAAGGCATAAGGAATGAGAGAAGACCAAGACAAGTTTTAGGGCAGGAGTGAAAGTTTGTTAAAAAGCTTTACAAGAGAAATTAAAGGAAGTAAAGTACACCTGAAAGAGGGCCAACCCGGCAACTTGAGAGATCAAGGGCACTGTTTGACCTTTGACTTGGGTTTTTTTTTGTTTTTTTTTGAGACGGAGTCTCACTCTGCTGCTTAGGCTGGAGTGCAGTGGTGCCATCTCGGCTCACTGCAACCTCCACCTCCTGGGTTCAAGTGATTCTCCTGCCTCAGTCTCCCGAGCAGCTGGGGTTACAGGCACCCGCCACCATGCCCGGCTTATTTTTGTATTTTTTTTAGTAGACATAGGGTTTTACCATGTTGGTCAGGCTGGTCTCGAACTCCTGACCTGAGGAGATCCGCCTGCCTTGGCCTCCCAAAGTGCAGGGATTACAGGCGTGAGCCACCGCACCCAGCCTGACTTGGGGTTTTATATGTTGGCATGATTCTTTCTTGGGGTGGGCTGTCTGCATGCACGGTGGCCTGCTACAACATGTGCAGTGTATTTACTGGAGTTGTATGCATGCTTACTTGAGGTAGTCTTCCCTTACCCGTTGAATGCTTCTAGAAGGTCTTATACCAGTTAAACCACCATTTTGCCGCTTAGTGCTCATGTTTGAGCCCACTCGCCCAACTCCTGAGATCTTATCGGGAAGCTGCTGATCACGCAAGTTTTTTTCTGTCTACTGGGAGACTACCTTTCCCTGGCGCTAGCTGGCATCAATTATTATTTTAGAGAAACAATGTAACAGTCACCTGACCATCACCTGATGATTGCCTAACATTCCTGGTGGGGTTGGGGGAGCCCTCTCCTGCCCAGCTCATGTCTGACTAGCTACCCACTATAACAGAGCTAGCATTGTATACAAGTGACAATTGTTCTGCATCTTCAACAGCACTTAATATTATCATTTTTAAAAGTCAGCCATTCTAATAGATGTGTAATGGTATATTACTGTGGTTTTAATTTGCATTTCCCTGATGCAAACTGAGTTTAGCATCCTTTCATGTGCTTATTTGCCATCTATATACCTTCTTTAATAAAGATCTTGTTCAAATGTTTTGCCCATGTTTTTACTTTTATCTTTTCTTACTGTTGAGTTTTGAAAGTTCTTTATATATTCTGGATGTGAGTTCTTTGTTGTATATGTGTTTTGCCCATGTATCCTTCATAGCCTGTGGATTGTCTTTTCATTTGCCTAAAGCTACCTTTTATGAAGCAAAAGATTTTAATTAAAAAAAAAAAAAAACATAGAGACAGGGTCTTACTATGTTGCCCAGGCTAATCTCGAACTCCTGGGCTCAAGCAATCCTCCTGCCTTGGCCTCCCAAAGTGCTGAGATTACAGGCGTGAGCCAGGCGTGAGCCAGGCGTGCCTGGCCCAGGATTTTAATTTTGGTGAAGTCAAACTTATCACTTTTTCTTTCATTGATTGTGCTTTGGTTGTCAAACTGAACAAGTCCTTTCCTAACCCAAGCTCACAAAGGTTTTCTTCTAAAAGTTCTAAGTTTTCCATTTAGATCTGGGCTCCATTTTAAATTAGCTTTTTTTTTTATAACATAGGAGGCATAGGAAGAAATGCAATGTTTTTGCTTATGGATGTCTGATTTTTCAGCACCATCAATTGAAAAGATCATCCTTTCTTTGAATTTCCTTTGTCCCTCAGTCAAAATGGGTAGAGCTGATTTGTGTGGATCTGCTTCTGGACTCTACTCTGTTGCACTGATTTGTGTTTGTGATTTCATGTCTCACCAATATCAAACTATCTTGATTACTGCAGCTTATCACAGTAAGTCTTGAAGTCATAAGTATAAATTTATCATCTGTTTTTCTTTTGCAAAATTGTTTTCTCTAATCTCTTTCCTTTGCCCATCATATAACTTGTAGCATCAGCTTATCCATATATACAAAAAATTTCTGATATTTTGCTTGAGACTGTGTTGAACCTATAGATCAATTTGGGGAGAATTGACATGTTAATATTGAGTTTTTCCAATTCATAAGCTCACTCTTTTAGTTTTCTTTTAAGACTGAAAAATTGCTAAGAAGAGTGGTGTTGACATGACAGGTTTAAACCAGTGTTTTTGCCTTATGATCCATTAGTTGGCTGGGAAATGAAATTCAGTGAATCAGAGTCATCATTAGAAAATGAAATAGAAGAACCATACCAGAGCATAATGCACATTACAAAGGTGAATATTATTTCATTAAGTTTTCTTTTCCATTTTCTCTAAAGTTATGTAGATGCATGTGTGTGCTAGGTTGCCATGCAAAGTTTGTTTCTTACTCTAAGTCGTAGCCTAAAATGTTTTTGATCTTAGATATAATTCTGAAGATAGAGTCATCTTCTGTAGTGAATTTTTTTCTTTTTGAGACAGTATCTCATTCTGTTGCCCAGGCTGGAGTGCAGTGGCCTGATCTTTGTTCACTGCAGCCTCCACTTCTCCCGGGTTCAGTGATCCTCCCAACTCAGCCTACTGAGCAGCTAAGACCACAGGCATGAGCCACCATGCCCAGCTAGTTTTATTATTTTTGCCCAGGCTAATCTTGAACTCCTGGCCTCAAATGATCCTCCCCCCTCGGCCTCCCCCAGTGCTGGGATTACAGACATGAGCCACAGTGTCCATCTGTAAGTTCTTATAATTTGTTGTTGTTGTTGTTATTTATTTCTTATTTCATAATAATAAACTTAAGTCTGCAATCCAGCTGGGCATGGAAGGAAATAAGGAAAATATGGAACCCAAAAGAACTGAAGTGAGAACACAAAGATTATAGGATACTATGAGCAAATGGGGTGGAAAGGTGCTCTCCTGAGCTACAGAAGGAATGGTCTGGTGGTTAAGATAAAACACAAGTCAAATTTGTTAGAGTTGTCCACAGTCAGCAATGGTGATCTTCTTGCTGGTCTTGCCATTCCTGGACCCAAAGCGCTCCATGGCCTCCATGATACTCATGCCTTCTTTCACCTTGCCAAAGACCACATGCTTGCCATCCAACCACTCAGTCTTGGCAGTGCAGATGAAAAACTGAGAGCTATTTGTGTTGAGTCCAACATTTGCCATGGACAAGATGCCAGGACCTGTATGCTTCAGAATGAAGTTCTCATGATCAAATTTCTCCCCATAGAGTGACTTGCTGCCAGTGCCATTATGGTTTGTGAAGTCACCAGCCTGACACATAAACCCTGGAATAATTCTGTGAAAGCAGGAACCCTTATAACCAAATCCTTTCTCTCTAGTGCTCTGAGCATGAAAGTTTCTGCTGTCTTTGGAACTTTGCAAACAGCTCCAAGGAGATTCTGCTTAAAAGCTCGCTGATGATGGCGATGTTGAAGAACATGATGGGGTTGACTATGGCTGGTGGCAGAGGGCTCTGGGAGGCATCGGCGTCTGCAAAGCCGAATTTGTATTAATTTCATGTTGCCTCAGCATTCATTTTCAATATAAGTTGGAGTCACTCATACTAGAAGCAGGGCTTAGACGTCTTTGACACAGATTGCAATTCTTCCAAACTCTACCTCTTCCCAGTTCCTCAAGGTAGGTCAATCCAGATACGCGCTTTATACAACTGCCTCCTGGTGACCACCTTTTTATGGGATGGCTAGATGCAACCTACTTGACTTACCCCACTGACCCCCCACGCCGTGGGTGGACTGCCCAGATATGCCACAGTGATCACCTCTTGGTCACAGTGTGACTTCATGGACCTTGTACCTGCTTGCTATAAACCCACCAATTAGAACTCATCATGGGAAACCTGCTTGGGTAACATGCTGGACCAGAATAAAGGCTTTGCCCCAGAGGTCTCTTTCTCTCTCTCTTGCTATCCCCCTGCTGGTTAAGTGTGCATGTTCCAGACAGCTTTCCCCCTTTCTTTTGGCCCTGCAAGGCGTGCTGCCCTCTTCCCTTTGGAATCTGTTAGTAATATACTGCTCCTCTGTGTTTCATCTGACCGACACAGCCAAACTTAACTTTTGTCCTGGTCAGCGCCCTCCTAGAGTCTGGCTGTCTTGGTAGAAAGAAATTGGACACAGTTTACACAAGAGCCACAAGGGCATCTGCCAGTATGAGCAAGTTTCCTGTGGGAGGGACCCCTGCACGTGGGTCAGACACTTAAGCACCAGGATTTGAAAGGGTCCTGTGAAAGGCACAGTATAAACATCCACGACCACCTCCCCTGGAGCTCCACCTGGCACCTTCCTCTAGCCCTGCCCTGCCCTGCCCTGCCCTATCAAAGCAGGGATAAAGTTTATAGCCACTCTCCTCAGAGAGGCCTCAATACCAAATTAGAGGAAAACATAACACCCTCTATGGTGGGTAGAGACCTAAACAAAATATGGGTCTGTTAGGAAGAGAGAAGTAACAGATGTTGAATACTCAAGCAACAGAGCTTGCTACACCTCCTTTCTGTTTTCTTTCCTCCATGGCTAATTCTTTCTTTCTGTACTTTCAAACTCCAATGGACAAAAATGTTTCATTGTACCCAACTTAAAGGATCATAGACATTCATGCAAACATAAATCTTCTATTGCTGTCAAATTAGGAGGAACTAAAATAAAAATTAACTATTAATCTCTTTCGGAAATATATAATGAAAATAAGGACAGCAATCTATGACAATCACTGCTAGGCCCCCCAAAAAGAAATCAGTTCTATATTTCAGATGGATGTTAACAGACAATTAATTTGACAAAGCAGAGGATGTTTCTAATCATCAGTGCAATATCTCCACACTGACACTATTTAAAAATCAAAGCATATTGTATTAGGTTCCTACTAATTCACTGTGTAAGCCATAAGCCAAAGGTAATGAATGTAGTTTTGTGGATTATCAGAAACAAAACCTTTGAAAATAAGAGTGGAATTTTGTTGTCAAATAACATTTCTTGGCACTTGCCCTGTTAAACCAAGTCCTTAAATCTCCCAAGCAATTTATGGACTGAGTTTCTATCAACTTACAATACACAATTTTTGATACAAGATTCACTTCTAAATATCAGGACACAATGAGATTTCACAAACTTGAGAAACAAAAATTGCATTCTAAAAAGCTTACAACTAAATCTAGAGGTAAATGTTTTCATATGCTCAGTTCAAAGTTCTTAGCGTGTGGTGCTGTGTGATGCCCTGCTTCGTGTTCCCTTTAGTACAAGGATGTACTGAGTGACCTACCTCGAAGCAGCCCCCGGCATAGGAGTAGACTGTATTTGACTAGACAATTCCCCCATAAACACAATATTTAATCTGTTTCTAATTTGGCCAAAGGTTTCTGCAACAAAAGTCTCTTTTTTCCTTGGTTGTTTTCTTCCCTGGAAAATTCAGGGGACTTACACAAACCACCCCATGGGTACTTCTTTGCATTATACCTGGTAATTAGGAGCCAATTACTTTTTGTTTTTTTTTTTTGGCTGAAGATCAGATTACTTATTTGGTAAATATAAAGGCATGTTTGTTTCACATCCATACTAAAAGGTGTTAGGGGGCAGGCATAAAAACCTGAAGCAAAAGAAAACAACTCTAGGATCTACTTTTTAACTCAGAATCAAAATTCCCTTTTTTTTCTTCCAGATTAATTTCTGTGCTAGCTAACTTTTGGAAATTTACACATAAACATTTACTTAATTTTAAGGCCATGCCATAATTTAGTGGACAGAGATACTAAGCATTTGCTGTATTTCATAGTAAATCTCCAACGCTTATCATTTCAAATGTTTTTAAACACTAAATAAGAACATAATAAAAGTATAACATGCCTCTCTTCTAGATTGTCCTATATGCTGAGACATCTGAATAACTGCATTGCCTCAGTTACATTTTATAACATCTTCTCCCCAAATAATTTAAACACTCTCCAAACCCCCTCTCCTCCACTGCTGTTTTTCTATCTTGGTAGGAGGTTTGAAGTGTGACCTCAGTGTACTTTGAGCTCAGATCTTAGAGAGACTCTTTCCAGCCCAGTTTCAGGAAGTACCCATGCCTTTGAAATCACAGGATCACAAACACCAATCTGGAATACCATTGATTATCAGGGTTAATGACATTTTTAGAGGTGTTTGAATAACTGAAGGAGGAACTTGGAAACCAGATGAATGGGGGAGGAGGTATAAGGAGTAATAATGGTTGCTTATCATATTCATGGCACCAAATAACATTTTACGTACATTATTCCGTTTTAATTGTTACCTATGAGGTCGGTATTATTTATTCTGTAAGTATTTTGGAGATTAAGTATATTGACCAACATTATCTCAAATATACTCTTAATCTTCTTGAAAGTAGAGATGTCTTGCTGTTCCTCCTTGTATCTTTGAAATTTAGAACCTTGGCACATAGTAGGTTCTCAATACATATTTACTGAATAAATAAACACACGAAAGAATCCAGTGATCAAAGTGAAAGAGCTAGGATTAAAACGTGGGTCTTTCAGGCCTTGCAATCTATTCTCTTATACTCTTTCCACTACATTCCATAGCATCCTCACAGAATAGGAATGGCTGTCTTTCCTGCATGTTAATTTCAGTGCTGAGGACTCCTATTGGCTCTTTTCCCTGTGGGCGTGGCTGGAGAGGCCAATGGGCCGCAACTTGCATCTACAGACTCTCACTTTTGATTTTGTTTAGGGTATCTTCCAGGTGTTTCTTCAGATCTTGAATTTTTGCCATGTTTGGGTTTTCTATTATAGGGAAAATACTAAATTGCGCATTGTAGCAGAGGGAAACAAGCTGGTGGTGGGAGCGGATAGAAGAAAATGAAGACGGCTCCAAACCTGGGGAGCGCGCAAGAAGATGACACAAACTTTTGAAATAACATGAACACGTGGGTTTCCTTTTTCTTGTGCAACTGCTATTTGTT
The DNA here is from genome assembly GCF_000001405.40 of Homo sapiens. Classification (NCBI taxonomy): domain Eukaryota; kingdom Metazoa; phylum Chordata; class Mammalia; order Primates; family Hominidae; genus Homo; species Homo sapiens. The sequence goes on from NC_000009.12 coordinate 76,553,269, forward strand.
AGCAATCCTCTCAATTTGCAGTGAATTGAGGGTGAGGGAAGAGGAGCAAATCACACAGTGCAAATGAAGACATTAACATGCAGATGAGGTGAATCATTCTTTTTTCAAAGCAGAAGATCAGGTCCCATGTAAGCCGAAATAATAATAATACTTACAATCAAAGGAAGCAATATTATTTAGTTTATTGATGACAGGGGTTGAGGGGAGGGAAAGATACATGATGTCTTTACTTCTGTCCAAGTCACAAACAGGTAACTTTCTAGTCCTCTGTTCGGAATTCCTTGCAGCAGAATGTGGAGATGTCTAGCAATTGGCTGAGATTTCTTTCTAAGGCAAAGCATGAAAGTGAAGTAGAAGGGAAAGTGTGGCAGAGAAGACAAAGCACCAGGGCTTATACAGAGCCCAAGAGGGCTTGAGATTCTGGCTGGAAAACGCCATCCCTATCATGGAGGGAGAAACAAATCCCCGAGTGTGGCTTCTGTACAGGAAGCAAGAGGCTAGTCGCTGGGGAGGAAAGCCAATAAGCCTCAGTGCCAGTAAGTGCTGTGTTTAAATCTTTACTAAATGCAGTCACGTGTTTTAATGTTGGGGATGTGTTCTGAGAAATGCTTCATTCGGGGTTTCTTTGTGGTGTGAACACCATAGAGTGTAACTTACACAAACCAAGATGGTATGGTATAGCCTACTATACACTTAGGCTATATGGTATCCTAGGCTGCAAAGTTGTATAGCATGTTACTAAACTTAATACTATAGGCAGTTGTAACACAGTGGTGTTTGTGTATCTAAAGATAGAAAAGGTACAGAAAAATATACAAAAGATAAAATATGTACACCTGGCCAGGCACCATGGCTCATGCCTGTAACCCCAACACTTTGGGAAGCTGAAGCAGGAGGATCATTTGAGGACAGGAATTCTAACCCAGCTTGGTCAACATAGTGAGACCCTGTCTCTACAAAAGAAAAATTAAAAAATTAGCCTAGTGTGGAGACTGGGCTACTGGGGAGACTGAGGCAGGAGGATTGCTTGAGCCCACGAGTTTGAGGCTGCAGTGAGCCATGATCGTGCTACTGCACCACAGCCTGGGTGACAGAATGAGATCCTGTCTAAAAACAAAAATACACCTGTATAGGATCCTTACCATGAATGGAGCTTGCAGGTCTGGAAGTTGCTGTGGGTGAGTCAGTGAGTAAGTGGTGAATAAATGTGAGTACTGTACACTACTGTAGACTTTATAAACACTGTACACTTAGGCCACATTAAATTCATTAAAAATTTTTTCTTCAATAATAAATTAACCTCAGCTTACTGTAACATTTTCGTTTTATTAACTTTTTAGTTATTTTTAACTTTGTGTGACTCTTTTGTAATGGCACTTAGCTTAAAATACAAACACATTTTACAGCTATACAAATTTTTTTTATATCTTTATTCTATACACTTTTTTCTATTTAAGAATTTTTTTTTAATTTTTAAACTTATTTGTTAAAAACAAAGACACAGACACACTAGCCTAGGCCTACACAAGGTCAGGATCATCCATATCATTGTTTTCCACCTCCACATCTTATCCCGCTGGAAGGACTTCAGGGGCAATAACACTCATGGAGCTGTCATCTGCTATGAAAAGAATACCTTCTTCTGGAATACCTCCTGCAGGACCTGCCTGAGGTTATTTTACAGTTAACTTTTAAAAAAATATGTAAGTAGAAGTAGTACACTCTAAAATAATGATTAAAAGTATAGTATAGTAAATACATAAACCAGTAACATAGACATTTACTATCATTATCAAGTATCATGTACTGTATATCATTGTATGTGCTATACTTATTTTTTTTCTTTGAGATGGAGTCTTGCTGTATTGTCCAGGCTGGAGTGCAGTGGCACGACATACTATACTTTTATAAAACTAGCAACACAGTAGGTTTGTTTACACCAGCATCATCACAAACATGTGAATAATGCATTGCACTACAATATTATAAAGGCCACAACATCACTAGGTGACAGGACCTTTTCAGCTCCATTAAAATCTTATGGGACCATGTTGTACATGTTGTCTGTCATTGACTGAAACATTGTGTACTTGTTTTGTGGTTAGAGTAAGTCCCTTAATATCTCCAACCCATCATTACTAATTTTGTGCTTGCCATGGTTTGAATGTTCCCTCCAAAACTCATGTTGACATTTAATTGTCATTGTGACGGTATTAAGAGGTAGAACCTTTAGGAGGTGATTAGGTCATAGTTACATAGCCTTCATGAATGAATTAATGCCATTATTGCAGGAGAAGGTTAGTTATTATTGGAGTGGGATTTTGATAAAAGGATAACTTTGGCCCAATTTCCTATCTCTGTCTTTTTTTTTTTTTTTGACAGAGTCTCTCCCTGTTGCCTAGGCTGGAGTGCAGTGGCGCAATCTCAGCTCACTGCAACCTCCACCTCCTAGGTTCCAGCAATTCTTGTGCTCAGCCTCCCAAGTAGCTGGGACTACAGGTGCATGCCACCATACCTGGCTAATTTTTTGTATTTTTAGTAGAGATGGGTTTCGCCATTTTGATTGTACTGTTCTAGGTTGGTCTTGAACTCCTGAGCTCAGGCAATATGCCCACCTCAGCCTCCCAAAGTGCTAGGATTACAGGCATGAGCCATCGCACCCAGCCCCTATCTCTGTCTTGAGTACTAAATTTTACCTTCAGCCATGAGAAAACACAGAACAAAGGCTCTCACCAGATGCCAGTACCAGGCCCTTGGACTTCCCAGCCTTCAGAACCACAAGCCAAATACATTTCTATTGTTAATAAACTGGGTATTCTGTTATAGCAGTAGAAAACAAACTAAGACTGTGCTCCAGAAAAACAGTATAAGGTGTGCCCTCAACTGACATTGTCATCCATGTGGCTTATACGGATGATGCATGCTCATTGTCCCTTTCTATTTTATAGAGTTAGTCTCACTAAATATGTGCTCTGCTCTGGTGTTTGCTGCTGAAGCAGTGTGTGTGTGTGAAGTCAAGAAGCACATAAGTACGTTTTTTAATTGCACAATTAAAGAAATCATTATTTAAAATATTTCTCCTTTTAATTTTAGTTCCTCAGAAGACATTGCTTTAGTCTCCCCTCTTGAATTACTTCTTTTCCTGTGAAACTAAATTTCTTCCTCTATATAATGGGGAATAAATAATTGTTAGCTTGCTTGATACATATTACCTTCTAATAATCAGTAGCTATAATAATAATAATGACAATGACAATATGGGTTTTGTGAGGCTGAAGCCTTTCAAAAACAGAACATACAGAATTGACAGGTGCTGCTACTTTCTGCAGAACAGAGAAATTTTTCCTCTTGGACAGAAGAACTGAAAGCTGACTTGTCTTCCATAAAAACTGTGCTGTTAATGACTTCTCAGCAAAATGGTTTTACCAGGTTATGAACAATTTCTTTTTCTGAATATAATAAGTTTTCACCCCAAACACAATAACTATATACTCAATGAGAACTGTTAGTTTGCCATTATGGTTTTAGACAGACACACTCATTAATTCACTTGACACAACAATTTCTAGTCAGATAACATCACTGTGCACCATGTTTGAACAAACCTACACATTTTGCTTTGCTTAAGTGAGCCAAGCAAGAAGAACGAATGGGTGGTATCTTCTAGGATTCTTCAGACTTGTTATTCATGTATATTATTACTTTGTGTTTCAGAGTAATCTTGCTTTTAGCCTTTCTTTGGTTCTAAATGTGTTATTCTGTGATATTATCTTTTTTAAAGATAATATTTATATTTAGATAACCATGAGCCATAAGAGGTTGAAAAATATGTGAAAAAATTGCTTGAAAAAATGCACATACCAGTGACTTTCACCCACCCTCCTCTGCCACTCACCACATGTTCCCAAGATTTTTCTTCATTAATTTGCACTTGATGTATAGTCTGTATTTATTTACTTTCCATTTATGCTCTATTACTTATTTAAACTTGCTTTCAATGGTCAATTGATGTGCTTTCTATCTCTGGAAATTGCTTAGGTATCTTGCTTTGGTCAAGATAGAACACGTCGTAATTTTCCAATTACAGTTCATGGAAATATTTTTCATATAATGGCTCTCCAGAGCATCAGGGTTTATACGAATGAGTTAAAGTCATTAAGTGAAGGATAGGTTAGAGAGTTAAACACTCTCTATAATGTGATATGTTCCATCAACTCCAAGAGCTGAAAGCCTTGGAGAAGGGAGAAAAGACAAAGAACACATAATTGTCTCTTGACCTTGGGTCAAGACACCACACTCTGGTATTCCTCTTACCTCTTCACATTCCAATTCTTCTCAGTCTCTCATACTGTCTCTTCCTGCCTTTCATGACTTCAAAATATGAGAGCCCCAGGCAGTGGTGTGCTGGTAAATATTTGATAACTGTTTCTATTGGAAGGAGGGGGACCATGATGTGTAGTGTTTGCCAGTTTTCATGGTTCAATCATGTCCACTATGGCTGATTCCAAGCTATTAGCATGATGTCACTGAATGGGGAGTTGAGAAGAGATGTGTTCAATTAGAGGGGCTGATTACTAAACCCTAGGGTCAGTGGTGAGCCAGCTCCAACTCACCACTAGCCTTAGGGTTTAGTAATCAACCCCGCCTTTTAAAGAAAATTTATAGTCATTCCCTGGGTGATCTCAGCAAATTCCATGGCTTTGAATACCATCCATATGCTGATGAATCCCAAATTAGATCTTATGCCCAATCTATTCCATTTGCACATATTCTTATCCAACTGTCAACTTGACATCTTCATTTGAATGTCTAACAGGCATGTGAAATTTAACAGGAGCAAAACAGATCTCTTAATTTCATCCTTCCTTGCCTTTAAGTCTTCACCATATCTCAGTAAATGGCAATATCATTCACCCATCATTCAATTCTAAACCCTCAGAATTACCTTTGACTCTTGTCTTTCTCTCATACTCCATGCCCCACTCATTAGCAGGTTTTATTAGCTGTGCCTTTAAAATTTGTCTCAACTCACACTGATGCTCAACCACCACCTCCAATCTCTGCCACGTAATCTAAGCACAATTTCTCTCCTGTGATTGCATCCCTGCCTCCATTCTGTTCCTCTATAGTCAATTATTTAAAGCAGCCTCAGTGAGCCTTTAAAATGTAAATCATATCCCATCCCTCCCTTGCTTAATACCCCCCAATTAGCTTTTGATCATATTCAGAATAAAGTTCAAACCCTGCCACCTTCCCTAAGCCTTTACTAGTTCATTGGTTTTGCTAGCTCTCCAGTGTCAGCTCTTTCCACTCTGCCTTTTGCTTACCCTGCTTTAGCAGCACTGATCTGCTTACCATTATCAACACACCAAGTTTGTTCTGGGCTCCAGATATTTGCATTTCTTTACCCTCTGACTGGAAATATTTCCCCAAAGCCTCTGCTGTGGTTTGAATGTCCTTGCCAAAACTCATGTTGAAATTTAACGGCCATTGTAATGAAATTGAGAGGTGGGGACCCTAAGAGGTGATTAGGTCAGGAGGGCTCAGGATTCACATTGTTATCATGGGAGAGGGTGTCTGATACAAAAACTGAGTTCAGACCACTTCCCTCTCTTGTCTAATGCACTTGTTTCTGCCTTTTGCCCTACCATCATGAAATGACCCTCACCAGGTAGCCTGGCAGATGCTGGGGCCATGCCCTTGGACTTCCCAGCACCAAGAACCACAAACCAAACAAACTTAAGAACCATAAGCCAAACAAACTTATCTTATTTATAAATTACCCAGTCTGTGATATTCTGTTATAGTGCAAAAAATAGACTGAGACATTCTCTATCTCATATCTTCACATCATTCACCCCATTGAGGTTTTTTACTCAAATATTACCTCGTAAGAGAGGCTTTCCTTGACTGCCACATCCCAAAGGGTCCCTGTTGCCCCCCTCTACCATCCCAATACCTCTGTATCTTCTTTCCATGCTTAATTTTCCTTCATAGCACTTATTTCTATGTGGTTTATATCATTTGTTGATTTTTTTCCATGGGGGCTGGTATTCATCATGTTGAGTGCTAGATTCCTGACACCTATAAAGGTACCTTGCACACAATAGGTGCTTAATACATAATTTGATGAATAAATAAATAAAATGAGAAGTGAAACCATCTACTCCCACACAGCTTACCATCCATATCAGGGGTTGGCAAACTTTTCCTGTAAAGGGCCTGATAGTAACTATTTTAGGCTCTGTGGCCATATGGTCTCTTTCATAACCATTTAACTCTGTGTTTGTAGCATGGAAGCAGTCACAGACAACATTTGAAGGAATGAACATAGGACTGCTCCAATAAAACTATAAAAACTGGGCATGGACCAGATTGGGCCTTTGGGCTATGGTTTGCAAACCCTGGTGTTGGTGAAACTGATTGTACTATTTGGCTTCATGAATATGACCTTATTCCTCCTCTGTCTTCATCACCATGATTTTTCCACTCCAGGAACCTCTTGCTCAGAATAATAAAAGTTGCAAATATCTTTGGAAAAATTTATTTGAATGAACATCATACTGTGGAACCCTTCACTGAATTGTAACAAATGGATTTTCTCTCCAAGACTCTTCAAAATTCTGTCTCAAAATTCTTGCCTTGCTGTGTCTACCAGTCCTAAACTACTATATCTCAAGCTCCTGCAATGAAAAGCTTGCTTTCATCCACACCCTCAAATATCATCAATATTCCAACTTATTTTTCCCTACTCAATGGCGAAGATGGTCAAGGTAGTGATCTCCCTGAGTGCAGTAAGCAATTAACTTCAGTGCTGTGTGCTAGAATTTTCAGAGTCCACCATAGTGAAGGGCTATCCCAGAGGAAGTTATCATGTTGTTTCTGTTGCTTTTGCTATCATGATTGCTTGGCCTCCAAATTAAAGGATATACTAATTCACTCATTCATTAACAAATATATATGTTGAGAGCTTATTACACACATGTCCTCATGCCAGTTAGTCTTGATAGACATGTATAAGTAAAAACCAGGCAACTTTGCTCTGTGGAAATATGATAGAAAAAGATAACCTTTCCTCCAGTGATTAATGACATTTATGTTTACTTTCTGGAACTTTAAAAAATTGTGTCACCAGGGATTTTGACATGGAAAGAAACATTTACTCATTAAAATCGAGAGCTTCTTGGTTTCTTCAGTCTCCTAGGTTCAATAATCCACAAGTCTGCAACTCATAGTGCATATATCCAGGAGTTTTCTGGAGGAATGCCAGGCATGGCTGAAACAGCAATCTTTTGACCATAACTACTGGGGGGGGAAAGCAGCCCTTGCTGTAATCATCGTTCATAAAAACTCTGGAATTTACTTGCACAAAGAGCTCATTGAGAGCTGACAGTTCTGCTACAGCCATTCCTTTCTTTCCAAGGAGGAAGCATCAGAAAAATGAGTGGCCCAGCTTGTGCCATTTCTGCAAAGGGAGTGTTCAAAAGTCGGTGCCTTGGGTATCAGCAGGCTTGGCTTCCCAAATGGGTGGAGGTAGCAGTGTGGTCCTGGGGAGAGTGCCCGAGACTCGAGTCAGGGCCTAACTCTGCCAACTGAGGTGAGTCACTGAGCCATGCAGGGCCTCTATGTCCTTGTCTTGGAAATGGACATGGGAAAACAGTAGCACCTCATTTACAGGAGGCTCGTGTTAAATCAGCCAAGAAGATGGAGATTAAATTGTTGTATAAGTCAGAATCTCTTTACCAGTGCTAGTCGCTGTTATTATTTCATTAAGGCATGGTTAGAGTTGCCATTTTAGCAGTTTTACAAAAGACTTCCCTCTCACCCCACCCTCAAAAGTCTTCCCCGTAGTGCCAGGATTTCTGTCAACAGAAAAGCAATCTTTCTTTATCCTATTTATCCTCTTCTTGTTTGGACTCTTTTAAAATGCAAGCACCTCCCCAAAGGCATAATACATCAAAGTAATTCATACTAACACAGATGTGGCTTCTTGAATGCTTTGTTTCTCTCAGGAGGGATCAGGTGGTTAAGGATGGATAATGAAGAAAAAAAAGATTACTAAAAAGCTAGGAAAAGTCATTTTAAAAAGGAGGAATGCCCACAGAATAACAGAATTGCCTTAGCCTTGCAGAATTAAAAGATTAATGGTTTTTGAAGTGAAATGTAGGCAGGTTCCTTTTATATAAAATAGAAAAAAATCAAAGCTATAGTGGGAGTCTCAGAGTCTCACCCACCATCTCAGCCTCACGCTGATCCCTCTACAGCCCACAGGCCTCTCTGTGGAATCCCAGGGCTCTGAGAACAGTTTGAAAACCACTGCTGGCTTACCCTCCACATTGCAGAGGCAAAATGACCTCCAGGAAGAGAGATGGAAACAGCCACTCTTCTAATCAAGTGCTGGTGGCCCTACATAAGAACAAACTAATAATAATCAACATTTATTGAGATCTTACTAATCCAACGCTCTTTGGCTAAATCATATGCATTATCTGATTTAATCTCCAAAACAACCGTATGGGGTAGGTACTAATTTCCCTCCCATTTTACAGATGAGGAAACTGAGGCTTAGAGAGGGTAGGAAAGTCAGACTGAAGCCAGCTACTCCCTTCTGTCATATTGTTTTTGAAGAAAACTTTTATTTGTCCCTCTCTGCCCCTTGGCACCACAGATGTGATCTAGAATTTCTGTAGAACATATATTTAGATTTCAGTACAAACATACATTGTTTTTAGCCTGGATTGATATTTTAGAAGAGGAAGGAAGAATTTGAATTAAAATAGAAAGTTCTTTTGTGGGTGTAACAAGTGAGTGAGCATACAGGCTTAGGCACATGATGAGGTTCTATTTTCCCCCTATGTTGCCAACTCTGGGTCATTATTATTTTCTTTTCAAACCTAGCTTAAGCTTACTGAGTAAATGAAGAGGGGGAAAGTTGACATACTGCAAATAACAAAATACCCCACTTTAAAATCTGAAATTCATAGCTGGACCTGGTGGCACGTGCCTGTAATTCCAGTTACCCAGGAGGCTAAGGCAGGAGAATCACTTGAACCTGGGAGGTGAAGGTTGCAGTGAGCTGAGATCATGCCACTGCACTCCAGCCTAGGGGACAGAGTGAGACTCTGTCTCAAAAATAAAATGAAATAAAATAAAATAAAATCTGAAATTCCGATGGAAGAATTACTCTGCAAAGCAAAACAACATTAAGTGCTGTTACTGCAAAAAAAGAAAACAAATCTGAAACTAAGCTCATCATGGAAACTTTTAAGTGAACTCTAAAAGAGAGAAAGAGAAGGAAAGAAACCCAATGAATAAGGGCATTCTTCTTTCAGTTTAAATGTGCCAGAGAGAAGTGAAAAATACTTGATTCTCTCACTGGCAGGAACAGATAACCATTTTTGTATTAGTCACCAGCAAAGTCATCATTTACTTGGTTTTAACAGCTTCAGAATTATGAAATAGTAGTATTTCAAGACTCTGAACATTCTGCTTCAAGATGAGCCAGCCTCTCTTAGAGATAGAAAGATGAAAAAAATGGGGCAACTGACAGGCAGGCAGCTCATGCTGGTTTTTGAGTTATTTGTCTCATTCTTGTCTATTTGCAAGAGCTTGTTGCATGTTACAGACACTGACCCTTGGCTTTGGCATGACACATTTTTTTGAACTTTTTTTGTCAGTTGATTTTGTACCTGGCACATTTTTCAGATAAGGGATTTGTATCTGTTTATGTTCAAATATTTCTGTTTTTTTTTTCTCTTAAGTTTGTGGGATTCCAGTCTCTGTTAAGAAGGTATGCCTCATCTCTAGTTTGTACATACTCTAGGTTTTCTTACATGATTTTTTTGTTTTAGTTTGCATTTGAGACTTCATTCTTTTCTTTTCTTTTTTAAAATAGAGATAGGATCTAGCTCTGTTGCCCAGGCTACAGTGCAGTGGCCCAAACATAGCTCACTGCAGCCTCAAACTCCTGGGCTCAAGCAATCCTCCTGTCTCAGAAAGTAGGTGGGACTACAGGCACATGTCACGATGCTTGGCTACATTTAAATTTTTTTGTAGAGATGGGGGTCTCACTATGCAGCCTGGACTGGTCTTGAACTCCTAGCCTCAAGTAATCCTCCCGCCTCGGCCTCCCAAAGTGCTGGGATTGCAGGCTTGAGTCACTGTGCCCAGCTCTGAGCCTTCATTCTTTATGTAATTTATACCATTTTGTATTGTGTGAGACAGAGGTCTACTTTTATTCTCTTTTTGTGACTTGGTAGTTGTGTTAGCATCACTTATTAAGTAACCCATTCTTTTTTCCTTGAGTTGAAATAACACTTTTGTCAAGTGTTAAATTCACACCTGCATGGTGTGGAAGGGACTTGAAAAGGTCCTTCCCTTCTGGGACCCTCACCCCTAGTGGCTTTGATGCCCATCAGAAGATCAGCTGAGGCCAGGCGCAGTGGCTCACGCCTGTAATCCCAGGACTTTGGGAGGCTGAGGCGGGTGGATCACAAGGTCAGGAGATCGAGACCATCCTGGCTAACACGGTGAAACCCCATCTCTACTAAAAATACAGAAAATTAGCCAGCCGTGGTGGCAGGCACCTGTAGTCCCAGCTACTCGGGAGGCTGAGGTAGGAAAATGGCATGAGCCCGGGAGGCGGAGCTTGCAGTGAGCCGAGAACACACCACTGCACTCTAGCCTGGGCGACAGAGTGAGACTCCGTCAAAAAAAAAAATTCACACATATATTGAGATATCTTTCTGGATTCTCTATTCTGTTCTACTAACCTATTTATCCCTCCAAAGTACTATGTAGATTTTATCATAATGCCTTTTAAGGTGCCCTCCCCACTTACTGTTCTTTTCCCTATCTTCTTGGCTATTCTTGGGCATTTATTGTTCCATAACAATATTAAAAATCTTATTGGTGTTTGTGTTAGACTGATAATGTGCCCCCTTCAATCCTTATGATATGACCACTTCCCAGTCCATTGAACCTGTGAATGTTACGTTATATGGCAAAAAGGACTTTGTAGATGTGATTAAAGCTAATTATTTTGAGATGGGGATGTGATCCCAAATTATTCCATGGATTCTAAGTAATCACAAAAAATCCTTATAACAGGGACAAGGGGAGTCAGAGGCAGAAGAGAAGGTGTTGTGATGACAGAAGCAGAGATCTGAGTGACTCACTTTGAAGATGGAGGAAGAGGTCACAGGCCAAGTGATACAGATGCCAGGAGAAGCTGAAAACAGGAGGAAATGGATTCTTCCCTCAGAGCTTCTGGAAAAGATCAGTCTTGCTGATAACTTGACTTTAGCCCACTGAAACTGATTTTGAACTTTTGACTTCCAGAACTGTAAGAGAATAATTTTGTGTTATTTCAGTTACTAAGTTAGTGGCAATTTGTTATAGCAGGAATAGGAAATTAATACAGTGCTGAAGTAGAAGTTATGTTGCATTTATATATTAGTTTCCTGAAAACTGACACTTTTATAGTATTTGTTTTCCCATTCAAGAACATAGTTTCCTTTCTTTTGTTCAGACTCTGTTTTACTTTTTTCAATAAAATTGTGTGTGTATGTGTGTGTGTCCCCATATGGGATTTGCTTTTTCTTGCTATATTTATTCTGAAATATTTTATGTTTTACCATTGTTGTGAAGGAAATATTTTTCCATGTTTCTACTTCTATGTACTTATTGTTAAGATATAGAAAAAGCTGACCGGGCACAGTGGCTCACACCTGTAATCCCAGCACTTTGGGGGGCCGAGGCGAGGTTAGTTAGAGACCAGCCTGGCCAACATGGTGAAACCCCATCTCTACCAAAAAATACAAAAATTAGCTGGGCATGGTGGCATGTGCCTATAGTCTCAACTACTTGGGAGGTTGAGGTGGGAGAATTGCTTGAACCCAGGAGGCAGAGGTTGTAGTGAGCAGAGATCATGTCACTGTACTCCAGCCTGGGCAAACCCTGTCTCATAAAAAATAAAATAAAATAAAATATATGGAAAAAGCTATTAATTTAAAAATATTTATTGTTTATCCAACTGTGTTAACAAATTCTCTTAGTATTTTATTTCCTGTAGTAGCTTTTTACCAGTCACTTGAGTGGTTTTTTGTTTTTGCTTTTGTTTTAACGATCACACCATGAGAAAAACAAAGTGTTTTATTCTTGTTTTCGAATGTTAGTCAATTATTTAATATTGCTGTGTTAATGTGATTGAGATCTCTTCCAAGCCAATGTTTAGTCATGATGATGGTGAGCATTCCCGTGTAGTTTCTGTTCAATTAAAATGGCTTTAGCATTTTGTGCTTTGGGATACTATTGGCTATTGGTTTGGTAAATAGCCTTTTATATTAAACAATTTCTTTAATTCTTATTTTATTCATTAGGTATGGCTGCCATTTTACCGAATAATTTTTTTTTTTTTAGACAGGGTCTCATTATTGTTGCCCAGACTCATCTCAAACTCCTGGCTCAAATGATCCTCCCACCTCAGCCTCCTGTATAGCTGGGATTACAGGTGCATGCCACCATGTCCAGCTTTACTAAATAAATGGTAAGTACTTAAAGATATGATCATACATCCTCCTTCAAAATATGGTGTAATAGATTATACTGATAAACTCTCCGGTACTGAACAACCCGTAATTTCGTGGAAGAAGTCATGGTCTATCTTTTTTTTTGATATGTTACTGGATTCTAATTAGAAATGTTTTATTTAGATTTCTTGAATCTATATTCATGAGCCTGTCTACAATTTTCAATTTTGTCTTATTTTTATCAGCTTTGATTCAGTTTATTTTGCCTTTATAAAGTGGATTGGGGGCTTTTCATCCTTTTCTATGGCTTATAGTAATTTAAGTAAAAGTAGTATTGTCAGTTCTCTAAAGGTTAGATAAAATTCAGCTAGAAATTCATGGGCTTGGTGAATTTTCAAAATTTATATTTTCCTTCTCTTCCCTGACCCAATATTCGACACCTGGGTTTTTTCTGATATCATGTGAGTATTTTCATTCTAGAGTGTCATTTGAATTATTCTTATAAATCTTCCATTTCAAGAGCCCTTGTTTACACTTACCTTATCTTCAGTCAGAATCTCTCCATCTCTGCAATATGTGTATATACATACATGCGTAAAGGTTCGTTACTTACCAATCACTCTTCTTTATCTTTTCTTATATTGAGATTTATAATATATTCTAATTAACTTGATGTTTCATTAGTCTCTTCCTGAGTATTTTCCTCAAATAGAGTGCACTGCCAATATAATGATTTACTCTCTCTTACATCTTCTTGTATTTGTTTTCTTTCACTCTCATCAACTAAGGAAATAATGGCTGGGTATGGATCTCTGGGTAGCAGTCCTTTTCTTTCAGTATTGTGTGAGGATATGTCACTGTTTTTTAGTTTCCAATGTTTTAGGTGTGAGGTTTGATGCTATGCCTGTCTAATATATTTTTTTTCCCATTGTAGGTAACTTGTTATTCTTTCTGGAAGCCTATAAGATTCTCCTTAACGTTAGAGTTCAAGGTTTTTATTAGGATATGGGTAAACGTGTATTTTCTCAGTAACACTGAATTCTAATGACTAATGATGTTGAGCATCTCTTCATGTGTATATTGGCCATTTGTATGTCTTCTTTGAAGTAATGTCAGTTCAAATGTAATACCTCATTTTAATTAGTTTATTTGCCTTTTTACTATTGATTATGCTTTTGTTGCTCATTTGAATCCATGGCTTCCCAACATTTTCTGGATTTCTTTTTTTTCTTTTTTTTTTTTTTTTTTTGAGACAAGGTCATGCTCTATAGCCCAGGTTGGACTGCAAGGGTGCAATCTCGGCTTACTGTAACCTCTGTCTCTCTGGCAGAAGTAATCCTCCCACTTCGGCCTCCTGAGGAGCTGGAATTACACATGTGCACCACCACACCCAGCTAATTATTGTATTTTTAGTAGAGGTAGGATTTTGTCATGTTGGCAAGGCTGGTCTTAAACTCCTGACCTCAAGTCATCTGCCTCCCTCAGCCTTCCAAAGTGCTGGGATTACAGGCATGAGCCACCACACCCAGCCAGGATTTCTTTTATCATAAGTCATCACTTCAGATTTTTGAAGAGAATGTACAGCAAATAATGAGGTTCTGCATATGTCATAGTCATGATGGTCACCAAAGGAGTGATTTTACCCTTTATGTTTACATTTTATCAAGAGTTGAAAAAATGTACTTTATGACCTCAAGGTAGAATAGCAATCTGATATTTGAGGCTGAGTGAGAGGACGAAATTAATTCTCAGAGCTCTGAATTACATTTTGAAAAGATTGCTCTGGAAAGTTCTTGGACTCTAAGGGAGTCAGGGTAGAAGTGGGTAGTACAGTTAGTAGTACAGTTAAAGATCTAGTCTAATAATCTAGCTGAAGGATGAAGGTATTTGGATCATAGCAATCATGGAGAATAGAGCAATGGTGATCTGCTAGAATGAAGAGGACTTGCCATTAGATTGAATGTGGTAAAACAGAAAGACAGGAGTCAAGGAAAACTTGAAAGTTATTGTCTTGAGAAACTGGAAAAATGAAATTTATTTTTTGTTTAAGACAACTTTAGGAGAAATAGTTTGGGGGAAGAATCAAGGGTTCTGTTTTAAACATGTAAAATATGAGATTTCTATTAGATAACCTAATGGGGATATTGAGTAAGCAGCTGGATCTCTCAGCTAGAATTCAATACAAAAGCATAGATTAGAGATAAAAATTTGGAAATAGTCATCAAGTAAATGGCATTTAAAGTCATGATCCTGTGTGAGATGACCTGAGGAATGAGTCTTAATATAGAAGGGAATTGGCCAGGCACAGGGGCTCACGCCTGTAATCCCAGCACTTTGGGAGGCCGAAGCAGATGGATCACTTGAGGTCGGGAGTTTGAGACCGGCCTGGCCAACATGGTGAAACCCCATCTCTACTAAAAATACAAAAATAAGCTGGGCATGGTGACACATGCCTGTAATCTCAACTACTTGGGAGGCTGAGGCAGGAGAATCACTTGAACCTGGGAGGCAGAGATTGCAGTGAGTGAGCCAATATCGTATCACTGCACTCCAGCCTGGGTGACAGAGCAAGATTCTGTCAGAAAGAAAGAAGGAAAGAAGGAAGGAAGGAAGGAAGGAAGGAAGGAAGGAAGGAAGGAAGGAAGAAAGGAAGGAAGAAGAAAGAAAGAGAGACAGAGAGAGAGAGAAAGAAAAGAAAGAAAGAGGGAGGGTGGGAGAGGGAGGGAGAGAGAGGGAGAGAGAGTGAGAAAAGAAAAAGAAAGAAAGAAGAGAAGAGAAAAGAAAAGAAAAAGAAAGAAGTGTCAATCAGGTCGAGGGTGGCTAAGAGGTAGAGTCAGTTGAACTGGAAGTCATGAGTAGAGTTAAGGACTGTTTGGCTGCCATGGTGACCATGAAAATCTAATTGGACTGGGTTCAAGAGAGAAGTAAGGACTTTTTCTCTTCTTTTAAGAACATTTCCTATTATTTTTATTATTAATATTTGGATTTCAAATAATTTTAAAATCATTATCTTAATACCAAAATATAATGATATTCTGGTAGGTTAAGAAGTTAAATGAATGCTGAATATTCAAAACACTTAAATAAATCTGTTATTTGAAGAAACTATAAACACACTTCACTGAACCAAGTGTAAAACAGACTGTGATCTTCTGGAGTTTACCTTGAAATATTTGTATAGAAAAGTGAGTAGTTCTACTCTGAAGGACAGCAAAGAAATGGGGTAGTAATTGGCAGGGATGAGTGAAGAATTTTTTTTTAAGATGGGAACTATTAGAGCATATGCAGTAGAGAGATAAAAATTGATGGTACAGGCCCGGTGTGGTGGCTCACGCCTGTAATCCCAGCACTTTGGGAGGCTGAGGTGGGCAGATCACCTGAGGTCAGCAGTTGGAGACCAGCCTGGCTAACATGGTGAAACCCTGTTTCTACTAAAAATACAAACAATTAGCTGGGCGTGGTGGCACATGCCTGTAATCCCAGCTACTCAAGAGGCTGAGGCAGGAGAATTGCTTGAATCCAGCAGGCGGAGGTTGCAGTGAGCTGAGGTTGTGCCATTGTACTCCAGCTTGGGCAACAAGAGTGAAACTCCATCTCAAAAAAAAAAGATGGTACAATAGCCAGATGGAGACAACTGTTGGAGCAATGCCTCTGTTAGATGAAAAGGTATCTAATGAGTATCTAACGCACAAGTGGCAGGGTTGACCTAAGACAGGAACAGATGTTTCTGCCAGAGTGGCAGAAAGAAGGGAAGCCCGTAAGTGTAGAGAAGCAGGGAGATTGTTTGTATCGGGGTAGATGTGTGTTCTTGCACTTGATCTTCCAGTTTGGGCTCCACAGTGTCCTTCCATTCATCTATTGAATTGTTTTGTTCAGAAATCATGGTCTTTTGGTCTTTCACTCTATAGAGCACTCTGTGTGCTACCCTTGAATCTATCCTTCATGCTCTTATTATTTCCAGAGTCAAGATGCTGTCTTCCTCCTGCAGCACTGCTATTTCTCTGGGCATATGTTCTATTCATTTGTGTTGACCTTCCCTCTGAAGGTTGGCTGCTTCAGAAAAATGCAGCCCCTCAGGTGAGTTGTAGTTTTCTTTGTTGGCACTTTGAGATAAGATCTAGTGGTTTGGGTACTCTAAATGGCAGGGCATGCAGAAAACGTTACTTCTGTTCTCCTGTGGTACAAAGGCAGTCGGGTGTCAGTTCCTGCTGAGGAACCCAGAGGAAGATTCTCTGCTGTCACTCTATTTATTTACTGAGACAGATTTTCACTCTGTCGCCCAGGCTGGAGTGCAGTGGTGCGATCTCAGCTTATTGCAACCTCTGCCTCCCAGGCTCAAGCGATTCTTGAGCCTCAGTCACCAGAGTAGCTGGAATTACAGGCACATGCCACTACGCCTGGCTAATTTTTGTTTTATTAGTACAGATGGGGTCTTGCCATGTTGCCCAGGCTGGTCTCAAACTCCTGACTTCAAGTGATCTGCCAGCCTTGGCCTCCCAAAGTGCTGGGTTTACAGGTGTGCACCACCACACCCACTGTGCTCTCACTCTCATCTTCTTAAAGGATGGGGGGTAGGGAAACCCCAACCCACCCATTGCCTAGCCTTTCCACATCTTGGGCTTCAGGAAGAACTGGCACATTTGTGTTGGTTCAAATACCTGGCCAGGCTCTCGTTAGGATCCCCTTTTTACTTGGTCCTTACTGGGTGCTCTTGCACAGTGGTACCAACAGTTGTCCAACCCATGGGACCCTATAAGCCGCCAGGGCCTTGCCTGCATCCAGTACCTGATAGAGTCCAGTAGCTATGTTACTAAGGAGGGTCAGTAGGCAGACAGCAGTTGCTCCTCCACTTCCTTGACTTATAATGATAAACCTATTGTAAGTCAAAAATGCATTAATACACCTAACCTATCAAACATCATAGCTTAGCCTAGCCTACCTGAGTATGTTTCCATACTCAGAACTCTTGTTAGCCTACAGTTGGACAAAACCATCTATAATACAGTGTTAAACATCTCATGTCATGTACTGAACACAACACATTAGAGTACAGTATCGGTTGTTTACCCTCGTGATCAAGTGGCTGAGTGGGAGCTATGGTTCCAAGATCAGGATGCCAGCAGATCTGGTGTCTGATGAGGCTTACTTCCTAGTTTTTAGAGCAGCAACTTCTAACTGTGTCCTCACATGGTGGGAGGAGCAAATGAACTCCCTTGGACCTATTTTATAAGGGCACTAATCCCATTTGTGAGGGCCCTGCTCACATGACCTAATTACTTCCCTAAATGCCCCACCTCCTAATGTGTCAGCATAGGAGTTAGTATTTCAACATAGAAAGTTTAGGGGGACACAACATTCAGACCACAGCAGATGATTATTTAAAACATGGAAAAGTACTCATGAGAAAATAATAAGTATTGACTGAATACATAAAACATGCCACATACTGGGCTAAGTACTTTACATCCATGATCTTATTTAAATCTCTCATAAACCCCAAGATAAGGGAGTAGATTGTTCCTGTTTGATACAGGAGGAAACTGAGGCTTATAGCAGTTTGGAAAATAACTTAAAGTCACATACAGTGGCAGAAGCCAGATGAGGAACTTGGTCAGTCAGTTTCAAAACCTGTGCTTAACCACTGTGCTACTTTCACACAGCACACAGAAGGAATCTAATGGCATGCTATGATTACAGCCGTTTAATACGGAGACAAGACTCATAATAGTTCATAATAGTCACTGTGTCAGGGTGGTGCAATTTTGTTTCGTTTTCCTCTGTTTTCCAAAGCTATCCTTGAGGAAACTTTTTCCTAGTGCAAAGCTTTTCATTGGGATGGTATGTTTCTTTAAATGGAAGGAGACTAATTTTACCATTTAAAAAGTGGTATTTATTTTTAAAAACATAAAAGAAATTCCTTTTCAATAATAATGAGATGGGGCATCGCCGCGGAGCCTCGGTTGGCCTCGGATAGCCGGTCCCCCGCCTGTCCCCGCCGGCGGGCCGCCCCGCCGTGCGCCGGGACCGGGGTCCGGGGCGGAGTGCCCTTCCTCCTGGGAAACGGGGTGCGGCCGGAAAGGCGGCCGCCCCCTCGCCCGTCACGCAACGCACGTTCGTGGGGAACCTGGCGCTAAACCATTCGTAGACGACCTGCTTCTGGGTCGGGGTTTCCTACTTAGCAGAGCAGCTCGTTCGATGCGATCTATTGAAAGTCAGCCCTCGACACAAGGGTTTGTTAAAAAAAAAAGAAAAAAGAAAAAAGAAAAAAAGAAAGGGAAAAAAATAATAATAACAAAAGCAAATAAGTAATAATAATAATAATAATAATGAGATGGGAAATGTGGCCATGTGTTTTTCTTGTGCTTTTGCACATTCTCTCTAGGCTTTGTCTGTGGTCATGGAATAAGAAAAGCCTTTTGGTTGCCTTGTTTGGAATAGGTGCGGCTTTACTTCATTCTCCACCTGAGAGGGTAGTTTACTGCATGGGGCATTTTGTTTGCTGGGAAAAGAATCCATGTATGAATCATACCACTTAACATTTCCCTGCCAGCGCTGTGTGCATCTTTTGATGTGACATATTTTTGTTTGTTTGTTCTTTTCTATTTTCGTTGTTCTTCTTCTTAAAAATGACAACTAACTTTGTTTAAAAAAAATTGTGTTAAACAATCTCAAAGTTACAGACACTTTGTAAGAACAGTACAAAGAACATCCCTTGAACCAGTTGATAGTAAGTTGACTACCTTGGATAGTAAGTATCTCCCCTGGATACGTTAGTGTGTGTTTCCTAAAAACAGGACATTCTTTTACAACCATACTGTTTTTAAACTATGCAAGTTAACACTGTTGTATTACAGCAATTTAATCCTCAGACCGCATTCAAGTTTCATCAATTGTCCAGTGAATCCATCACAGTTAAAGAATCCACTTGAGAATCCTTTGTTGCATTTAGTTGTCAATGATTTTAGTCTTCTGTCTGCAGTGGTTAGTTTCTCTATCTTTCCTTGACTGTTCTGACTTGGGTGCTTTTGAAGATTACAGGCCAGTTATTTTGTAGAAGTCACTCAATTTGGCTTTGTCTGATATGGGACTCAATTCATTCAATTCATGCATCTTTGGCAGGAATTTCTCAAGTGACCCTTAATACTTTTTCTTTTTTGAGACGGAGTCTCGCTCTGTTGCCCAGGCTGGAGTGCAGTGGCGCGATCTCAGCTCAGTACAATCTCCACCTCCCAGGTTCACGCCATTCTCCTGCTTCAGCCTCCTGAGTAGCTGGGACTACAGGTGCCCGCCACCATGCCTGGCTAATTTTTAATATTTTTTAGTAGAGACAGGGTTTCACCGTGTTAGCCAGGAGGGACCCTTAATACTTTTTACTGGATCCTATCAGGGATGCACAAATTCAATTTTCCCATGACTGCTGATTGTTCACTTTGATCATTGGTTAAGGTGCTGTCTGCTTTTCTTCTCCATTAGGAAGTTACTATTTTTCCTGCTATCATTAATACATATTTTATGCAGGAGGTTCTATGTAAATATTCCATTCGTCCTCAAACCTTCCATTTATCCATATACTAACATTATTAGGACTCATAGTTTTCTACTTTATTTAAGGAGTTATAATCCATTACAACAGTGATTCATTTTGATGATGAAGCTGGTTTCTGTGTCCTTTTGATATATCTCTATCATTTCCTTGCTTTCTGACACAAGGTTCATACTCAAGTTTCCTACCTCAGTCCTGGAATCAGGACTTGAATCCTGGAATCCTTGAAATCTCTCCAAGAAGCCCTGGTTTCTTTTAGTGGAGAATGGTATCTAGAAGAGGAAATCTGGGCTGTGTTTATTGCTAAGAGAGATTCTCTTAGTAGACAGAGTTGGAGGATGTATGTAAGTATATAGCTGCATAAAAATATATGAAAGTATATACATACATACACACAAACACACATATACATTGTCATCTGTATTTTTTAATCTATCTATATTGAAAACTGTAAGTGCACCCCAATAGTTTTCTTTTTTCCACATCTGTGACTCTGAACTCCAACAGTTAAGAAATCTGGCTCCCATTATCCTTAAGTCTCCTTATTTGCTCAATCCCCCTGTAGGAAGCCAGTCTCCTATCAGAGCCACTGTCCCCCTTACCCCTCACACACCCTCCTTACCCTGTCCTTGCTCTGACCTGCCACCACCACCCCTCAGAAACTGCCCTTACCCTGCTTTGACTCGGTCCATGACATGCTGCTGACCCCGCATGGACATCATCCTCACCCCATCAGGGTTCTGGTTCCCTACCCAAGGGCTATGTGCCATGCAGTTCCCCTCCTTGGCCCCTTGGGCTGTGACTCCCTACACAAGGCACTCCCGGCTGTGGCGGTGTCATCCTTACCCAGCAGGGTCTCCAGGTCCCCATACCAGTTTGCGGGCATCTTCCTTGGACTCTACACCTATGCTAGGCTGTCTCTCCATGGGGCTTCCCTCCTCGTCGTGCTGGGGTTCCCACCCCCACTACAGGCACCCCTCTTAGCTGGAAGCCCTTCTTGTCTACTTAGGCTCTCTGATATACCAGGCTGTCCTCAATCATGAATACCCTCCTCACCCTGTTCAGGGGAGACACCTATGCTGGGCCATCACCCCTACTTCAGAGTAACCAACTTTCTCTGCCCTGCTGAATGACATTAGGACTGAATTCTTCCAGTAGAAAAGGGAAGAAGACAAGGAGAAAGAGGAAAAGAAACATGATGTTTCTTCTGAGCCCTAAATCATCACCACGACCAACCCTGAGTCAGCACTTAAGTTGACAGGAGAGTTGGCTTCTGATCAAGTATATTTTGGTGGCCACCTCTGGGCAAGGAGCTAAAGGCCTAAGTAATAAAGATCCTCAGGAGACAGGGCCTCCAGCTAGAAGTGAGGAAGCCCGGAGTCCAGTCCTGACCCTACCTTTTCCAGCAGTATTGTTGTTCTACCTCCAGTCCTTTGTATTACGGGGTGATAAGGAAATACACTAATCAACAAATAAGATGCCTGATAAGACTACCTTTCTCCAAATATATAACGTTGTTGTGAAAAGGAAGCAAGATTAGGTGTTTTGAAATGTCTTGAAAACTTTAAATATCTAGGCAAATGTGACATTTTTATAAGAAAAATATTTTGTCAGGAAATATTAATGTAATGGGAATTTTTATTAGGGCAATCCTATTATCTTTATGACTTAAAAAATTGATGTGAATAGGCTGGGTGCAGTGGCTCATGCCCGTAATCCCAGCACTTTGGGAGGCTAAGGCGGGTGGATCACTTGAGCTCAGGAGTTTGAGACCAGCCTGGCCAACATGATGAAACCCCAGTCTCTACTAAAAATACAAAAATTAGCCAGGCATGGTGGCAGGCACTTGTAATCTCAGCTACTGGGGAGGCTGAGGCAGGAGAATCGCTTGAACCCAGGAGGTAGAGGTTTCAGTGAGCTGAGATCGCGCCACTGCACTCCAGCCTGGGCAACAGAGTGAGACTTTGTCTGAAAAATAAATAAATAAAAAAATAGGCCGAGTGCGGTGGCTCACACCTGTAATCCCAACACTTTTGGAGGCCAAGGCAGGCGGATCACGAGGTCAGGAGATCCAGACCATCCTGGCTAACATGGTGAAACCCTGTCTCTACTAAAAATACAAAAAATTAGCCGGGCATGGTGGCGGGTGCCTGTAGTCCCAGCTACTCAGGAGGCTGAGACAGGAGAATGGCGTGAACCTGGGTGGCGGAGCTTGCAGTGAGCCGAGATCACGCTACTGCACTCCAGCCTGGGTGACAGAGTGAGACTCCATCTCAAAATAAATAAACAAATAAATAAAAATAAAATAATTTGATGTGAATAAAATATATCCCAATACATAGAGCTGAAAATGTGTGCTGGGGAAATAATATATGGGATGCCTGGGTGGAGGTAGGGGCAGTACACAGCCATAACATGCTAGATCCTGTGAGACCAGAACCCAGTAAGCTGATGGGGAGTGTGTTGAAGAGCTTCCAATTTAACTCAATTTGCCTGTTTAGCTGATTTCACTACTGTGAACTTTGAAACAGCAAGATTCCTCCTATGATCATATCCCCACCTCCAAATTTACTTCTCTTTATTTCATCTGTAGAAATAACCTCTGGGTTCTGATACACTTAGGAGCTTCTAGGGCTTCCCTTATCTTTACTGTCTACTGTCTAGATATGTATGGAATCTAGTTGAACTATCCCCTGTGTCAGTAAAAGAAGCTAACTAAATGGTATCTCTGGGTCTGAAGATTTCTTGATTCCTACGGCTTTCATTTACGCAAAAGGAAAGAACTTGATTTTTTTTCTGTATATTATGAATAAAATCTCATTTTTGGCGCTTTTATGAGATACTCTAATACATATTTAAATTGCTTTTCATTTATTCTTGGATTCTAGAATAATACGTTAGTAAGTACAAAACCAAACCAACAAAGAACCTCAAAACTACTAGCCCTACACTGATTACACATAAAGACTGGACTCTAACATTGCTCTGTGTTCTAAGGGGCCTGGGCTTCATTTTTAAGATTCAAGAAAAAAAGCACAAAAAGGAACCCAGCCCTTTCAAAAGAAGAAATGAGGATGAAGGTGGGGGAAGGCAGAGTTAAGCTAAATCTCCGTGCTAGAGAAAGAGCGTGTGTATTACAAGGAAGTGGTCTGTTCTAGCAGGCAGTTGGGCGATGAGGTTGAGGGAGGTGGAACAGTTGACTCATGGCTCCGTCTTGCATTTGGTTTGCTGCTAAGAGCCTTTAAAATTCTTAACTATTTCTGGGGGCTTTCTTAGCTCAGTAGTCACTGAGAGAAATGAGCTGAGCTAAGGAGTGCAAGGGGAAACAGGCTCCCTGAAGGGTGACCCAGAGGGTGTCGCTTTCTGGGCACTGGTTTTAACTGGATTGGATGACATTTGGGGATTAAGTCAGTCTCCTGGATATCTCATTATTCATCCATTTGTTCCTTTTGGAAATAGTTATTGCATACATAGGGTTTTCAGATGATTTAAACCAAAACACCAGACTCACAAAAAATTTATAGACAAAAATAATCATATTCCATTGATATGGAAAACTTATTGATGATCAGTTAAAGATGGTGGTTTCAACATCTATGTTTATCTCTGTTCTCTCCAAACATTCCAATAAAATGAAAATGGATGATTTTTTTTTTTTTTTTTTTTTTTTTTGAGACGGAGTCTCACTCTGTCGCCTAGGCTGGAGTGCAGTGGTGCAGTCTTGGCTCACTGCAAGCTCCGCCTCCCGGGTTCACGCCATTCTCCTGCGTCAGCCTCCCGAGTAGGTGGGACTACAGGCGCCCGCCACCACGCCCGGCTAATTTTTTGTATTTTTAGTAGAGACGGGGTTTCACTGTGTTAGCTGGGATGGTCTCGATCTCCTGACCTCGTGATCCGCCCGCCTCAGCCTCCCAAAGTGCTGGGGTTACAGGCGCAAGCCACCGTGCCTGGCCGATTTTTTTTTTTTTAAGGCACAAACCCATAAGGACAAAGAGACTTGGAGTGGAGGAAACACCAAGGAAAAATGGAAAGATGGAAAGCTGACGGATGAGTGTGAGCTGACCCAGCAGATTCGGTGAGGCCAACACCTAAGCTGGCAGTGAGGGAAAGTGAGTCATCCATCCTATTTGCACCACAGAACCACAAAAATGCTCAGAAATTGGGGCCACCAGGAATTTCTAAAATGAGGGTAAATGGGAAAACAGAGTCAGTCAAAAGTCTTTTTAAGAAGCAGTTAGGCCGGGCGCAGTGGCTCACGCCTGTAATCCCAGCACTTTGGGAAGCCGAGGCGGGCGGAACACGAGGTCAAGAGATGTGAAACCCCGTCTCTACTAAAAAAAAACTACAAAAAATTAGCTGGGCGTGGTGACGGGCGCCTGCTACTCAGGAGGCTGAGGCAGGAGAATGGTGTGAACCTGGGAGGTGGAGCTTGCAGTGAGCTGAGATCGCACCACTGCACTCCAGCCTGGGCGACAGAGCGAGACTCCGTCTCAAATAAATAAATAAAGAAGCAATTAGACTCCCAGCTTCCTTCTCAATGCCTTGCAGCAGAAGACCTGCCCCTCCCCTCACCTTTGCACTAGACTGGAAATTTAGTTTCTAGAGCTGTACTGCTCAATACGGCAGCCACTAAGTACATGTGGTTTCCGAACTCTTTAAGTCTGGTTATTCTAAATTGAAATGTGGGTTAAGTGTGAAATACATGCCAGATTCTGAAGGCTCGGTACAATTATAAAAGATTTTTAAAAACATTGATTATATGTTGTAGGCTGGGCTCAGTGGCTCACACCTGTAATCACAGCACTTTGGGAGGCTGAGGAGGATGGATCACTTGAGCCCAGAAGTTCAAGATCAGCCCGGGCAACATAGCAAAATCCCATCTCTACAAAAAATACAAAAATTAGCCAGGTATGGAGGCACATGTGTGTAGTCCCAGCAACTTGGGAAGCTGAGGCAGGAGAATCACCTGAGCCTGGGAAGGTCAAGATTGCGGTAAGCCATGGTAACATCACTGCACTCCAACCTGGGCAACAGGGCAAGACTCTTATCTCAATAAATAAGTAAATAATGGAAACATTGATTATATGTTGAAACAATAATATTTTTGATCAATGGGATTAAATAAAACACATTAAAATTAATTTCTCCTGTATATTTTTATTATTTTTTCATGTGACTGATAGAAAATCTAAAATGACTTCCGTGGCTCCCATGAGATTTCTGTTGGACAGCGCTGCTCCGGAGAGTATGAACCAATGGTGACTAGGGGACAAGGGGACAGCAGAGGAGTTTCCACACTGAGAATAGGTTGGTCAAGCAAAAGCTAAGATTAAAGAGAGCCCAGTCCTCTCTCTCACCCAGATCCCAGAGTGCTGGCAGCTAGTCTCCTAACCCACAAGTAGGAGATGGCAATATTCACTTCAGGGGAAGCTGACCAGCCTGAGGAAAGTTCTAAAGATGCAGAAGCAGACACCATCAGCCTTCTGCCCGTGTCCCTCTTAGCATCCACTTCTGCACCTAAAGATGGTTTCCTGCCAATTCCTGCAGCTTTCTTCAGGTGAACGCTTCTCTCAACCTGCAGACAGACCCAGCCAGAAGAGGCAGAGAATTCACAGGCTTCAAGGTGGTTGAGAAGGGCGTGGCTCTCTTGCTCTTCCATCAGGGAGAGGATCCTGAGGGGCGTGACCTACACTGACCCCCAGAGCCCCCCACAGAATTGAGCTCTGATTGTCCACCCATGCTGACTCCCTTCCCTTTCCTGCCACTTCTCCACCTCCCTACCAGGGTTTCCTGAGATGACCTCTGAAATAGATGACCTGAATGGGGCTCTCTGTTTCTACATCTGCTTTGAGGGAACCTCAGTCAAGACAAATTCTGATAGTTGGAGTTTCTCCAGGAAAACAGTCCAGCCATGTCATCCTAAAGGGAGGCCACCAGTGGATAAGCCTCATCTATACACAGAACTCTTTACTTTTATTTATTTATTTGTTTATTTATTTATTTATTTATTTATTTATTTTAAGACTGAGTCTCACTCTGTCGCCCAGGCTGGAGTGCAGTGGCACGATCTCGGCTCACTGCAACCTCTG
The DNA here is from genome assembly GCF_000001405.40 of Homo sapiens. Taxonomy (NCBI): domain Eukaryota; kingdom Metazoa; phylum Chordata; class Mammalia; order Primates; family Hominidae; genus Homo; species Homo sapiens. Next base: position 76,579,431 of record NC_000009.12, read on the forward strand.
ACTCCCAGGTTCAAGCGATTCTCCTGCCTCAGCCTCCCAAGTAGCTGGGACTACAGGCACGTGCCACCATGCCTGGCTAATTTTTTGTGTTTTTAGTAGAGACGGGGTTTCACCGTGTTAGCCAGGATGTTCTCAATTTCCTGACCTTGTGATCTGCCCGCCTCGGCCTCCCAAAGTGCTGGGATTACAGGCATGAGTCACCGTGCCTGGCCTATTTTTTATTATTTTATATTATTTTATTTTATTTTATTTTTGAGATGGAGTCTCACTCTGTCACCCAGATGGGAGTGCAGTGGCATGATCTCAGCTCACTGCAACCTCCACTTGCTGGATTCAATTGATTCTAGTGCCTCAGTCTCCCAAGTAGCTGGAATTACAGGCAGGCACCACCATGCTCAACTCATTTTTGTGTTTTTAGTAGAGACGGGGTTTCACCATGTTGGTCAGGCTGATCTTGAACTTCTGACCTCAGGTGATCCACCCGCCTCGGCCTCCTAAAGTGCTGAGCCACCGCGCCTGGCCAGAGCTTTTTATTTTTTAATCTTTATTTTTTTATACTTGATCTTAGCCAAAAGGCTGAGAAGCGATTAATCTTTATTTTTTTAATCTTTATCTTTTCATCTGTATTGTATAATTGGTATCCAAAAAGCTGCACATATTAATATACACAATTTAGTGACTTTGCACATAAGGACTGTTAAAAGATAACTTTAGACAAATTAAATTTAACAGAGTTTAACTGAGCAAAGAACAATTTGAGAGTCGGGTACCCCACCCCCACCCATCAAACAGAATACCTTCAGAGCAACTCCAGGGCTGCTGCGTGGTTAAAGAGAATTTATGGACTGAAAAAGGAAAATAACAGACAAAAAACAGAAGTGAAGTACAGAAACGGCTGGATCGTTATAGCTCAGTGTTGGCCTCGTTTGAACACAGTTTGCACAGTCGACCGCCTGAGTGGCTGAAGTATAGCTATTGTTACAAGAGTAGGGTGCAGTCTGTTTCCACATCTGGTTAGGTTGCAGTTGACTAAGTATGGAGAAGCCTTTAGGCTGACTTAAAATACGTAAGGAGGCAGCTTTAGGCTAAACTTAATTTAGCAGTACTTACTGTTAATTACAGGCACTGTCTTACAGAGCAGATCTCTGGAACTTACTCACTTTTGTATCACTGTAAGTTTATACCCATTGAACAACAACTCCCCATCTTGCCCTTCCCTACCCCCTAGCAACCACCATTCTATTGTCTACCTCAATACCTTTGATTATTTTAGGTGCCTCAGATAAGAGAGATCACACAATATTTGTCCTTCTATGACTGACTTATTTCATTTAATAGAATGTCTCCCTGGTCCATCCATGTTATTACAATAGTAGGATTTTCTTCTTTGTTAAAGCTAAATAATGTTCCATTGTATGTATGTACTACATTTTCTTTCTCCATTTGTCCGTTGATGGATATTTGGGTTGCTTCCATATTTAGGCTACTGTGAATAATGCTTCAATGAACATAGGATTGCAGATATCTTTTCCAGATCCTGATTTCAGTTTTTTCAGATGTATACCAGAAGCAAGATTGCTGGGTCACATGGTAGTCCTGTTTCTAATTTTCTGAGGAAACTCTATACTCTTTCCCATAGCAGCTGTACCATGTTACATTTCCAGGAACAGTACGTAACGGTTCCCTTTTCTCTACATCCTCTCAGACACTGGTTTTTATATTTATATATAAAATACATTTTTATACATAAAAATGTATGTTACATACAATATATATTTAAAATATTTTTTAAAAATAGGTACTGTATATATATATATAAAGTATCTGAGAGGATGTAGAGAAAAATATATAATACATTTTATATATATATATAATGGCCATCCCAACAGGTGTGAGGTGATATCGCATTGTGGTCTTGATTTGCATTTCCCAGATGGTTAACAATGTTGAGCATCTTTTCATATACCTGTTGGTCATTTGTATGTCTTCTTGAAGAAATGTCTATTTAGATATTTTGCTCATTTTTTGATCAGGTTATTTATTATTTGTTTATTTTCTTGCTCTTCACTCAGGGTCTTTTAGAGTCGACTTTTAAATATGAGCAGAAAGCCCAAACAACCATTGAGGAAATCCTCTAATAATTCAGACAGTAACACAAAATTTTGGGTTCGTCTAAAAGTAATCATCTATTTATGGCTGATTTTTTATGACCTGCTTGTGCATGGGAGTGATATTGTGCCCTAACAATACTAAATGTGCAAAAGGATGCATGCATGTCTGTGTTTGTTTCACTAAACAGAAAGCTAAAACACTGGACTGTCTGCCTCATAGTTAATACCCAGCCACCCTCTGAGTACCCAGAAGGTACTCCTCACCTTGTCAGGTGCTAGAATGCAGACAGTAAAGTCAGTCCCTGATGTCCAGGAGGTATAGTCTCAAGGAGAAGTCAGATAAGAGGAGAAATGCTTACTGTGCAGTGGGATAGAGTCTGCACAGCAGGAAGGGAGCCCAGAGTGACCTTGAAACAAGCAGCTGTGGGGAGAGGCAAGGGGAAACATTTCCAGAGGGCAAGCTGGGTACAGCAGAAGGGACATTCCCTGCAGAGGGAGAAGAGAAAGGGACACATTTAGCAAACTGAAAATATCCTGCCAGGGGTGGTGGCTCACACCTATAATCCCAGCACTTTGGGAGGGCGAGGCGAGTGGATCACCTGAGGTCAGGAGTTCAAGACCAGCCTGGCCAACATGGTGAAACCCCGTCTCTACTAAAAATACAAAAATTGGCTGGGCGTGGTGGCACATGCCTGTAATCCCAGCTACTCAGGAGGCTGAGGCAGGAGAATCGCTTGAACCCGGGAGGCGTAGGTTGCAGTGAGCCAAGATCTTGTGCCATTGCACTCCAGCCCGGGCAACAAGAGCGATACCCCGACTCAAAAGAAAATATCCTGAGATGGCTGCAGTGAAGGGTGTGATGGAGAAAGTGTCCAGGAATGAGGCTAGAGGGAAGCCCAGGACACCACACCAAAGAGGTAGAATGATTTTCTAAAGAAACAAAGGCATCGCCGAAAGGCTCAGGGTGACATCTCTCTGAAGAGAGAGCCCCTTCAATAGCCTCCACAGTCTTTTCTTTCTTTTTCTTTTTTCTTTTTTCTTTTTTTTTTTTGAGACAGAGTCTCGCTCTGTCGCCCAGGCTGTAGTGCTGTGGCGCGATCTCGGCTCACTGCAAGCTCCGCCTCCCGGGTTCACGCCATTCTCCTGCCTCAGCCTCCTGAGTAGCTGGGACTACAGGCGCCTGCCACCACTCCACGGTCTTTTCTTAAGGGCAAGATGTCTCCCTTTTTGCAATCTGCAGAGGAAATGGAAACGACCACTACTTCTGTATCTTTTCAAAGAGAAAATGCCTGGGAATGTGGAACCAGGTATAGGAAGGAGACGGAGCAGGTGTCTAGCAAAACTGAATTGTGCTCTTTAAGTCAGCCCTTTTCCCACACAAGCTAGGATTTTTTTTTTTTCCCCTTGCGCTTCTTACTCAGCGCCTCTTTTGGGCCCCTCAACAATGAGCTGAGCTACAGGGCTTTTGATACTGGCTAGTGCTGAACTTTTCCCAAGTAGCATAATATGTTAAATCCGTTACATGGGGAAGATTTCTAGAAAGCAACACTAATTCTAAGGGGAAAATGGCAGATTCCTCACGAAGTGACAGGGAAGGGATCTGGCCCCGTAAAACATCACACCGACACAGGAGATGTGGAAGGGCACCCAAAGGCAAAGGAAATGAGCCATTTTATGTAGGTGGGAGGGGTCTGCAAGGCAGCCCTTAAAATGATCCGCAAAGAGCACATTTGGGGTTCCTGGCTTCTGCTTTGCCAAGAGGATCGTTGTTTAGGGTTTGTGCTGCCTAAAGAGGAGATCAATGTGCCAGAGCACCCAGACCTCACAGTACGCTGATGAGAAGGTGCAGAGGCATGCCATGCTCTCTGGTCTCGATCATGCACTCCAAACTGAGTCACCTGAATAGACAGCCAGGGCAGAAATATTGCATAAGCCCTCGCTCCGAAACAGGGTGCTAACAGGAGGGAACAATCAGAAGGAATAATGAAGTCATTGGCTTAAAGCAAGTCCACAACGCAAGAGGAAAAACTCCATTAGATTTCAAGGCCTGAAAATAATCTTCTGTGGCTTGAGGCTCTGTTCTCTTGGCCCATTGGGTGGATGGCCTCACTTTCTTGGCCCACCCAGGGTACCATCCACCTTGCATCTGTGGCTCTGGCCTCAGGCTCATTCTTCCTTCATTTCATCTTGCCTCTGTCCCTTTCAGTCTGGGATGGCAGCATTTCCACTAGTATAAAACTATTAAAAATGTTGTCAGTCTCCCAGGTAATCTAGGGGTCTAAGCCATGAGTCAAGAGAGTCCCTCGTAGATATTTGTTGGATAATTTTAGCTCTATTCCTGGATTCTGCTGAGTTGGTTGATTGGATTCATAAATCACACATCTCATCCGTTTAGCAAATATTGTCCAGACATACCCTTGACTCTAATTCCAGAGCAGGTCATCTGGATAGGCTGAGAATTTTCCAGATCAAATGCTGGTCCCTTTATGCTTACCAGTTCATTCCTTAATGTGTCTCTCTCTTGCATTTTACTCTTAACAGCATAGAGAAACCAGACTGTACCTTCCACACTTGGCTTGGAAATCACTTCAGCTCAATATCCAAATTAATCACTTGTAAGTTTACTTTCCACAAAGCAGCAGAAGATAATTCAGCCAAGTTTTCTGCTACTTTGTAACCAGGTTTACCTTTCCTCTAGTGTCCAATACCAATGTCCCTACTTCCATCTGAGGCTTTACCAGGAGCACTGTTAACATTCATATTTCTAGCAACATTCTGTTCATAATGATATATGTATTTTCTAACATGATAAAAGCTTTCTCTACAGCTTCCCTCACTTCTTTCTAAACCTTCACCAAAATGGCCTTTACCATCCATACTTCTTTCTTCTTTCTTTTAATTTTTACAGAGGCAAGCTCTCACCATCTCACCCAAGCTGGTCTCACAATTCTGGGCTCAAGTGATCCTCCTGCCTCAGCCTCCCAAAGTGCTGGGATTACAGGCATGAGCCACTGCACCCAGCTGACATCCATATTTCTACCACCAATCTCTTCAAAGCAATCTAGGCTTTTACTATGAAGCTCCTGAAAATTCCTGTACGTCTACCCACTGTAATTGCCTACCAGGTTCTTACTGCTGCACAGGCAAAATCAATTCACTGATATCGTGGTATTGCAGTAAAGACAGAGTTTAATTGATGCTAGGCTAGCCATATGGAAGATAGAGTTATTGCTCAAATTAGTCTCTCCAAAGGCTCAGAGGTTACAGTTTTTCAAGGATAGTTTTGTGGGCAGAGGACTAGGGATTGGGTGCTGCTCTTTGGTTGGGGCTGCAATCATAGGGCTGTGGAAATCCATCCTCATGCTCTGAGTCTGCCTCTGGGTTGGGGGCTATAGAATCAGTTGAGTCATGAGTCTGGAAGTGGATAGTATAGAAAAATCTCAAAAAACCGGCCGGGCACAGTGGCTTACACCTGTAATCCTAGCACTTTGGGAGGCCAAGGTGGGCAGATCACAAGGTCAGGAGATAGAGACCATTCTGGCCAACACGATGAAATCCCATCTCTACTAAAAATACAAAAAAAAAGTTAGCCGGGCATGGTGGTGGGCACCTGTAGTCTCAGCTACTCAGGAGGCTGAGGCAGGAGAATGGTGTGAACTCGTGAGGCGGAGCTTGCAGTGAGCCGAGATCATGTCACTGCACTCCAGCCTGGGTGACAGAACAAGACTCCATCTCAGAAAAGAGAAAAGAAAAGAAAAAATCTCAAAAAACTAGTTTTAGGTTCTACAATAGTGATGTTACCTGTAAGAACAATTGGGGAAGTCACAAATCTTGTGACCTCTGGCTACATGACTTCTGAGGAGTAAGGGATTAGAGAAACTATCCCTGCATTTTAGCAGAATCAGGCCCCTCCCATAATCCTAATCTCACCGCCTTTCATTAGTTCTCAGTCTCTGAGCAAGAATGGGGCTAGTTTTAGGAAGGGACTATTATCATCCTTGCTTCCAAGTTAAACTATAAACTATATTCCTCCCACAGTTAGCTTGGCCTATGCCAGGAATGAGTGAAGACAGCCAGCCTGTGAGGCTTGAAGCAAGATGGAGTCAGCCACGCCAGACTTCTCCCACTGTCATAATCTTTGCAAAGGAGGTTTCACCATTACCCAATTCCAAAGCCACTTCCACATTTTAGGTATTTGTTACATTTCACTTCCCTGTACCAAAATCTGCATTTATTTGCTAGGGCTGCCATACAAAGTAACTCAAACTAGATGGTTTAAAACAACAGAAATATATGCTGTCACAGTTGGCCAGAAGTTGAAAATCAAGGTGTAAGCAGAGACATGCTGTAAAAGCCTAGATCTAATTCTTCCTCGCCTCTTCCTGAATTCTGGGGATGATCCCAATCTTTGGCGTTCCTCCAATATCAGCTTCTGTTGTCCTGTGTTCTCCCGTGCATTCCCATGGCATTCTCTTATTTGTGTGTCTGTGTCCAAATTTCCTTCTTTTTATTAGAACACCAATCATATAGGATTAGAGCCCACCCCAATGACCTCATTATAACTTGATTATATTGCAAAGACTCTATTTCCAAATAAGGTCACATTTGTGGGTCCCAGAAATTCAGACTTCAGCATATCTTCCTGGGGGACGCAATTCCACCTGTAACCCTGGATGAATACACCTGTGTAAACACCACCAAGATAAAGAAATGGAGCATTTCCAACATTTATCAGGCTCCCTCACACTCCTTCTCAGTCAGCACTTCCTACAGGTTGCCTTTATTCTGAACACCATGGCCTACTTCGGTATCTACAGAGCAGATTTATGCTGAAGCAATAGAAAATAAGATAAGAAGTAATTAGAGCAGCCATATCGTCAAAGATAACCTACACTTTAATGGCTGGACTTTGAGCCATTTCTAAGATAGCTTCATTAAAACATTACACTTTTTGAGTTCCAACTAAATGTCAGGCCCTGTGCCATTTATTCATGTACACTGAATTTTATTTTATTCCATAAACACCATTTGAGGAAAGTATGCTATTTCTGTCTAGAAAGAATAATTGTGACATAGAGTGTTTGCCTAAAACTGCAAATCTCTAGCTAACAAACAACTCCTGGAACCAGACAGAGCTCTCTTGGGCCCCCAGGTTAGTATTTGGTTCAGCAAATATTTGATGAGTGGTTATTATAGACACAGGCATACAGGATCATACACAAATGCCATATTTCCCTGCTCTCAAGGAACTTAATATTCTTTGGAGGAACACAGGAGGATATAATTCTAAAATAATGCAGTCATTGTAATGACAGAGGCCAGCATCAAGTTCTAGAAAGGCAGAGAAGATCAATATTGGCTCACCTGGAGGCGGGGGATGATCCAGGAAAGGATCTTAAGCTTTAAAGACAGAATAAACAGGAGGTAGGAAAGAAAAAAAAATGAGCAGGGGCAGGGAGGCATGAAACTCACGAGAAATCAAGCAGATGGGGACGGCAGGAGCCTGAAGTGAGAGTCAGGTTGTAGCTGGGGATAAGGATTAACAGTGGAAGTCAGACCAGAGAAGACTTTTATGTCATGGTGAAAAGCGGACCATGCATTTCTCCTGAGGCAGCACATGCATTGCTTGTGGACTGCTTTCAGTCTGCAGATGGTGCTTTCATTTTGGCCCTCACAGTGTTTGAATAAAGTCTACAGGCGTTTAAGCCTCTGGTTCACCCCAGGCTGCACTGCTCCCTATTGTTTAATGCTTACCAGATATGTTCAGGTATATGACCTGGATGTGTGGCATCTAGGAAGGAGACTGGGTGCCACTGCAAGGTTTAGACAGGGAAGGGACATTGGCCACACTTGATTTTTTTTTTTTTAATTTGTTTTAGAGATGGGGTCTCATTATGTTGCCCAGGCAAGTGATGCTCCCACCTCAGCCTCCTGAGTTATTGTGATTACAGGCACATGCAACTGTGCCTGGATGAATTTTAGATAAAGTTCTCTAGAAACAGTTTCGGAGATGGACTTGAGAGAGTGACACTGAGGCAGGATGATCAGTTCAGAGGTTATAAAAATGGCAAGATGTGTTTACTATCTGAGCAGTAGTAATAGAAGAGAGGAAAGGCCATATTCGAAAACCATGTAAGAGATAAAATCACTAGCAGAGGGTGAGTCTCTGGAGGTGAGGAGGTAGGAAATGGTTTTCTTCCCACTTGTCACAGTGAGGCATGCTTTGCAATTTCTGTATCAGTTCTAATTCAAGGACACAGTCAGGCTGGTGCACACAAGTGTGGGCCACAGAGATATTGGAAGATGGCATAGAACCAAGTGGGAAAAGAATAGGACCTTGGCTCTATCTAGAAAAGAGCTTCAGCTTCTCCTGGCAAAGCTTACACTAGTGAGGAGAGTTTGATGGTCAACACCAAACCCAGCTATAGATCATTGCAAGTGATCATCTTCAGCAAATGCTGTACAGAGATAGTTATGCTGATGTTACTGGTTGGTAAAATAGTGTATTAACTCCTTTAATTTTTTTGGTCATCTTTACAAATTGAGAGTTAGAAAGTATATGAAGATGTGACATCTGAAATCAGTAGCCAGTGTCCTGGTCCTGAGCATAAGTAGCAGTCACCCTAGTGACCTTAAGATTAGGACCCAACCAAGACCTTTCTGAACAGGCCATGCCTGAAAAAAGCAGATTAAAGGACTACAGCCTTTACGTAGTCCTTCAATCATATGTAGCATGATTTTGGGAGACCCAAGGAAGGGGCCCATCTAAAATCTAGGTGATTCAATGGCAAATCTGTGAAAGCCATTACTTCAGAATTCCCACCAAAAATTCCCACCAGACTTGCCTTTTTGGCCTAAGTTTTGGTTGGTTCTTAAAATGCAAATATCCTTGGGAGGGATAAACATTAAGCTTTATTGGTCACTTCCACTTTTGTATGAATGAGACAGTGCTTTCCTGACTAGGTCTGTTAAAGGAAGAAGCAGAATCAGATGCTTGAGTTCATGTAAAGAAATGCCCTAAAGAAGAGTGAACCAGGAATGGGGAATCTACATATGAGGAACAGAGTAGGATGTAGAGCAGAGGTTAGCAAACTTTTTCTTTCTTTCTTTCTTTCTTTTTTTTTTTTTTTGAGACAGTCTTACTCTGTTACCCAGGTTGCAGTGCAGTGGCATGATATTGGCTCACTGCAACCTCCACCTCCTGGGTCCAAGCAATTCTACCTCAGCCTCCTGAGTAGCTGGATTATAGGTGCCTACCACCACACCTGGCTAATTTTTTTGTATTGTTAGTAGAGACGGGGTTTTGCCATGTTGGCCAGGCTGGTCTCGAACTCCTGACCTCAGGTGATCCACCCGCCTCGGCCTCCCAAAGTGCTGGGATTACAGGCGTGAGCCACCGTGCCCAGCCCAAACTTTTTCTATAAAGGGAACATAGGCAATATTTTACTCTTTGCAATGCTTATTGTTTGCATTGCAAATACTCAACTCTGTCATTATAGAGCAAAAGAATGAGCATGGCTCTTAGAATAAAACTTAATTTACAAAAGTGAGTGGTGGCAGGCAAAATACGGCCCAAGGGCCACAGTTTGCCATCTCTTGTACAGAGGTAAAAAAAAAAAAAAAAAAAAAAAAAAATAACCATGGGCCTTGGAGACAGATAGACTTGAATCCAAATCCTATCTCTAATAACTACTAGATATATGGTCTTACGAAAATTAGTTGATCTCACTAATCCTCCTTTATCTCAAATGTAAAGTGGGATAGGAATACCGACCTCCAGTATAGCAATAAAGTCGAGAGAAGATTCTAAATATAAAGTCTTTAACGTTGTGCCTGGCACATGTAGACACCCAACAAATATTAGTCCCGCTTCTCTACTTTGACTTTTCCTTGAGCTGACATTGTTCAAAGTATGTGGGTGTGAATAAATTCTTTTTGGTCATTTGATTAACTGGTAATCAAATGGCAGATCCTAGAGAAGTAGAGTATGAACCAGGATATTTCTGGGATCCCATGTTTCTTGGAGTGATAGGATGAGACTTACTTGAGATGTTGCATGAAGTTTGGAAGTTACTAAAGGGAATTGAAGATTCTCTGTATCAGGACATCTTGGTTGCAAGCAAAATAAATTGACTGACTAATTGAAACAAAAAGTAAATTTACTGGAAGAATACGGTGCAGCTCATAAGATCCAAGAGAAGCCAGATAATTATATTTACAGCTAATGAAACAGCTGAAAGAGATCTTGGAAGAAGAATTTCGTATCAGTCTTGACATGGCTTCTAGAAAACTAAACCTTTTATATTGAAACATTTAGCCCAATATGCAAGACCCATGGAGAATTCAGATTGGATGAAGTTGGTGACAGGTCTGCCCCTTCACTGTTTTGGAGGGGGAAGACAAAGGATCTTGGGCAAGGATCTTCCAGGGGACTTCCTTAGTGGAAGAGCCGGCACCTGGATTTACAAACTGGTTGAGTGAAACTAGATTGTGGTCCCCATAGTCAGCACTCATGACAACAAAACATATCAGGATTATTGGATTATCAGACTCAACAAAACATATCAGGATTATTGGGATGAAAGGCCCCTTGTCCATCTGCTAAGGATTTCCCAACCTTGGCACTGTTGATGTTTGGGGTAGGGTAATTCTTGGTTGTCAGGGGCTGTCCTATGCACTGTAGAATGTTTAGCAGCATCCTGGTCTCTACCAAGTAGATGTCAGTAGAAGTCCCCCTTCCTCCCAGTTGTGACAACCACAAATGGCTCCAGGCTTTGCTAAATATCCCTAGGGAGAGCAAAATCCACTCCAGATTGAGAACTGTAGGGCTGGCTCGCATCCTGGGGATTCCTCTCAATGTCCAATATGCCTGGTTTGGTCTTATGTAACCACTCCCTTAAAGACTTGGTTGACCCAGAGGATAGGTTCAATTTAGTTCTTGTGATCCACCCTGCTTCCTGAGAGGATTCTTTATTGTTGAACTTACCACAAAATATTTAATGAACATTTTATTATGACAATTCTAACCATTCTCAAGTTCAGGTAAGGCTTGCATCTTCAGTGGCCTAGACACTCAAAAGCGAATGCATAGATAAGCAAATAAATATACGAATGGAAAGGACAGAAAGCATACATCCAATTTTATCATCTGCACAGTAGCTGTTGTAGTTCTTTCCTTTGCTCTACCCTAAACCTAATGCCTATTCTTCCTTTCTGATTTCTTCTGGGGGAATTACCACTCCCTCTTCCACAAATCATGCAGTCATGGGGGATTATAAAACCAGGTCCTCCTCTTCTCCTAAAGAAGCCCAAGGTTCCTGGGGGATTCCTGCCCCAGAGCCTTTCTCTAACATTGCCATACCTGTAGTGGCAGGCATGTGACCCAAGCTTAACCAGGTGGAATTTTCTCCCAGGAGTATGAGTGTGAAAGTGGCAAGGAAAAGAAAAGGGAGAAAGGAAAGGAATGGATGAGTGTGGAATGTTGGCTTCCAAAGGGACTTATAGAGCATCTGCTCCATTGTCCTCACTGCCTTGAGAGGCAAGTGGGGCTCAGCACTATGAGATGACTTTCCTAGGTTGCTGTGTAGGGAAAAAGTGGAGCTGATGGGGTCTTTGGGGAAGGAAAGAGAGAGAAAAAAAGATGGAGATGGGCAGAAGAAGGAGAGGGAAACCAAGCAAGAAGGAAGGGAAGGTGTTTCTCATGAAGGGAAGGTGTTTCTCTCATGAAAGAGAGAGAAAAAAAGATGGAGATGGGCAGAAGAAGGAGAGGGAAACCAAGCAAGAAGGAAGGGAAGGTGTTTCTCATGAAGGACGATGGTGTGGATCCACTCACTCATGACCCAGGGCTGTGGCTTGCCTGCCAGACCTTTGGGCTCTGAGGGAAATGAGACAATCTGGGCTTTGTCAACTCATGGACAACCTTCCACGTCTTCTTTGAAAATATGTGAGGCTGGACTTGGCAATAGCTTCCTCTTTGAAACAACAATTACTCCCATTACTGCCAATTCTTATTAAGCTCTATGTGCCCTGGCTATCAGGCCATTGCATGTATTTCTTCACTGATTCCTCCCAGAAAGCCAATGAGATAGATGATAGTATTGTCTCTATTTTATAGATGAAGATAGTGAGCATCAGAGAAGTTAAGTAACTTGTCTAAGGGCAGAAACAAAGTTTAAGCCAACACAGTTGCGAAACCCCTGACCACAGACAGTGGGGGGATTTACAGCTTAGATCCTGCTAGATCCAGGCCCTGGAGAAATGGAGGTGAGGACAGGAGAGTTCCTCATCTCCTGTTCCAGCTCAGACCTTGTCCTATCTCTATGCCTTCAGCTCTTTAAGCAGGACTTAGCTTTTCGAACTTGATTTTGATCTGGCTTTGGAAATGCAGCTGCCTTCTGCTGAAATGGTCCCACTCTCCATCTGGTGAATTAACTTGCTTTTCATCTCCTCCTCCCTCCCTTGGCCTGTGGGTCACCGGGCTACTCGATAGCACCTTGGCCAGAGAATCAATGGATAAGGAAGGGAAAAGAAGGAAAACTTAGCTCAACTCTTGTTACCTGAGGCAGCGACTGAAACCAATGCCCACAAAGGGGGTTTTGTATTTCCCATGAATTTAAAATGTTTCTGTCACTCATGCTACCAAATGTCCTGAGTTGGTGATCCAAAAAAGAATGCCGTCATTGTGCAAACAGGGCAATTTATAAGAAAATTCTTCACAGCACACAGCTATGCAGTAAAACCTCAACCCCAAGGAGCTCATTGCTAAGCTGTTTCTTTGTTTCTCCTGCCTTGATTGGGGGTGGAGGAGAAATGAGGGAGGAGTAGCACTGCTGAAAAGCCCAAGACCTTCAGGAGGTCCAAGTCCTGCCCCCCACCCTCTTTGTGGGTCAGTTCATGCCCCCCATGGCCTCTGTGCTACTCCCTCATCCCTACCCCCTCATTTTCTTTTCTGTCTGCCATTTCTAGTCCTGGTCAGGGAACATAAAAGCTTGGTCTTGAAATTGAGATGTCTCTATGCCAGAAAGTTACTAACAAATTACAAGCAGCTGCAGTCAACATTGGCTTCCGACAGTCTTGACCATTTGGGAGAATGTTTTCTGGTGGGGCTGGCAGTCAAGAGGAAAAGGAGGCCATCCTCATCAAAAGGGCAGCACGCATCTTTTGAAAACGTTCTCTTTTCTTTGCTTCTCTTTCCTTCTCTTTTTCCTTTCTTTTCTCTTGCTTTTTTAAATGCTCTCCCTCACAGAAGGAGGGGAGCCACTATTGTGCAAGAAAATTCTCTATTGGCTTGCAGCTTAGCGGTGCAGTAAAAGTTTGCTCACATGCTGAGGGGCAATTCCATTTTAGCTGAGGGGTGATTCTATTTCAGGCCTCAGGCTGAGAGAGAAACAAGAAGGTGAAAGTTCCTAATGTCATCAAACAAAATTACAACAAGTTTAGTTTAAAGATCTTAATTGGCTTTTATTTGTGATTCTAGAATCAGGCAATTCAGAATCTGCCTCATTCTATAAAGTAGAATGTTGTGATGAGCTGGGAAGAGGAGGTTGGTTTTACAAACAGAAAGGAGCTGAGGAAAGCAGAAACAGAGAACCGGTGGATTAGTCGTTTCAAAGTTACCTTCATTATAAAGATCAAGGCAGAGGGGATTTCCTCATCATGCTCATTGAGACTGGCCTGTTTGGGGATTTGGCTGTTATCTCTCTCTCTCTCTCTCCTATTTATTGGAAGTTCAGGTAAGCAACTTAGTTTTGGCTTGGTGGTATGGAACATTAGCATGAGTGACTCTATTTTGGTTTGATCTGTTGGGACTAGTGCAGGAGCTCATTTCAAACCAGTGGCCTCCTGTACATTTTATTTAACACTAATTTTGACTGAATTTCTTTCTTAACTTACTCTTCTTGAAAACTACTTCTTCTTCTTCTTTTTTTTTTTTTTTTTTTTTTTTTCAGAGGGTCGCACTCTATCACCCAGGCTGGAGTGTGGTTGTTACAGGAAAGGGGTCCCGATCCAGACCCCAATAGAGGGTTCTTGGATCTCGCTCAAGACAGAACTCAGGGTGAGTCGATAAAGTGAAAGCAAGTTTATGAGGAAAGTAAAGGAATAAAAGAATGCCTACTCCGGCCGGGCGCAGTGGCTCATGCCTGTAATCCCAGCACTTTGGGAGGCTGAGGCAGCGGATCACGAGGTCAGGAGTTCGAGACCAGCCTGGTCAATATGGTAAAACCCCATCTGTACTAAAAATTCAAAAATTAGCCAGGCGTGGTGGCACGTGCCTGTAATCCCAGCTACTTGGGAGGCTGAGGCAGGAGAATCCCTTGAACCCGGGAGGTGGAGGTTGCAGTGAGCTGAGATTGCGCCACTGCACTCCAGCCTGGGTGACAGAGCGAGACTCCATCTCAAAAAAAAAAAAAAAGAAAAAGAAAAAAAAAAAGAAAAAGAATGGCTATTCCATAGACATAGAAGCCCAGAAGACTGCTGGTTACCCATTTTTACAGTTATTTCCTGACGATAGGCTAAACAAGGGGTGGATTATTCTTGCCTCCCTTTTTAGATCATATAGGGTAACTTCCTGACGTTGCCATGGCATTTGTAAACTGTCAGGATGCTGGTGGGAGTGTAGCAGTGAGGACAGCCAGAGGTCATTCTAGTGACTGTCTTGGTTTTGGTGGAATTTAGCCAGCTTCTTTACTGCAACCTGTTTTATCAGCAAGGTCTTTATGACCTGTATCTTGTGCCAACCTCCTATCTCATCCTGTGAAATAGAATGCTTTAACTCTCTGGGAATGCAGCCCACTAGATCTCAGTCTCATTTTACCTAGCTCCTATTCAAGATGGAGTTGCTCTGGTTCACACACTTCTGACACAGTGACACCATCATGGCTCACTGCAGCCTTAACCTCCCAGGCTTAAGTGATCCTCCCACCTCAGCCTCCTGAGTAGCTGAGACTACAGGTGTGTGCCACCACATCCAGCTAATTTTTGTATTTTTTGTAGAGACAGGGTCTCACTATGTTGCCCAAGCTGGTCTGCTGGTCTTGAGCTCCTGGCTGCAAGCAATCTGCCTGCCAAAGGCCAGGTGTGAGCCACCGTGCCCGGCCTATTCTTAGACACCCCTTGAATGCCAAAGTGAATTAAATTTTCAACTCTATTTTCTCCTCCTTTGATCTTCTTTTAAAGATTTTGGGGGACATATTATTAATATGTTTCTAACATTTCATCATAAAAAGTCTCAAAGAGAGACAGAAAAAAGGTTACACTGCATCCTCATCCACTCTGGGTAATTTTAAAGCTAGCAAAAGTAGGGAAATAAGTGGAATTAAATAACAAACGGGGGGAGGGGGAACAAGATTCTCACTTTAGAATTCTCAATAATAAAGGCATCTCAGCTACACATTGACATGTAAATTAACAAGACTTTCATCTTTTTGGGGCTCGGCCTCTGGCCCATATCCTTAAAATGGGTCTTTAAAAGGAAGGCTCCTATTAGATGCTCTTTGTGGTCTCTTCCTTGCCACAGGGATTCATGATTATACCAAGGGCTTGGATGGTTGGAAGGCAGATGAAACCTGAGATTTGAACAGAGCCTCATAAATCTGTTGTTAGAAAAGCCAGCCTGCAACCCAGTTGATAACATCCTGGGGAGCTGCAGGTAGGACCCAGAGGAGGGAAGAGAGAGTGTGGGGCAGATCAGAGAAAGTTGTCCCTTGCCTCCCAGGGGTTAAAGTCAGCGTCTAGCCTGGGAGATAGAATCTTCAGTGGTCTAGACCAGACCAGAGCTTCCTGAACTTCAACAGCCCCAAAAACAACCGACCTGGGAATCTTAAGATGCAAATTCTGATTCAACAGGTCTGGGGGTGGGGGTGGGGGTGGGGCTGAGGGTGGGCGGCACTGAGAACCTGCATTTTTATCAAGCTCCTAAGCAAAGCCAGCTCCTAAGCTGCAACCTATGCAGGCTCTGAACTTGGTTTTAACACACTATTTTCGCCTTAAAATTTTAAATGATTTTTAAATTTGAACTTGTATTTTGTAAGTCTGATGGGGCAATCCAGCCAGCCGGAGACTAGAAGAGATCCACGCAGTGCAGTAGGAATATGCGTGGCCACAGTCTTTTGCGTTCCATTTGCATATAGTACTTGAGATGTCCCATGAGTACAAAATTTTGGTGGGAGTTCAGCAAGTCCTAAGCGGTGTGTTAAGGCTGTGACTTGGTAAGGTTTGAGTCACTGACAGCCTGGAGAGGCCATGCTTGCCATTGGTACCAGAACTTGCTATGAACACAGAAGGAAGGCAGTGATGTTCTAAGAAATATGAATGACCAAGAAACCCTGTCATATCCCTCCTGGGTTACTTCCCTATATTAGCCAACCACGGATGCTAAAATGATGACATAGAAGAGAAGGGAAAGTTCTTTTTCCTTTCAGTCCTTCCCTATCCTTCAGGAAGTGGAAGGTACTGTGAGTAGAATGTGTGCTTGTTAAGAAGTAAAACAAAAACAGTTGAGTGCCTTTATTTAGTGTTTCCACTGTTCTGGTAAGAACAAAATACACCTGTGTGTACAAGTTACAAAATACAAGTTATGTTATTTCAATGATTCCACCTTAGGAATTAAATGCTTAGATATTTGCATTTAAAACTGGCATTGCTTGATAAAAACGATGAACGGTAAATCCATGTTAGTCATTAAAAATGTTTTTTTAGTTAGAATGACATTAAATGGGCCGGGCACGGTAGCTCACGCCTGTAATCCTAACGCTTTGGGAGGCTGAGGTGGGTGAGTCACCGGAGGTCAGAAGTTCGCGACCAGCCTGACCAACGTGGCGAAACCCCGTCTCTACTAAACATGCAAACTTTTGCGGGGCATGGTGGCACACCCCTGTAATCCCAGCTATTCGGGAGGCTGAGGTGGGAAAATTGTTTGAACCCAAGAAGCAGAGGCTGCAGTGAGCCAAGATTGCACCACTGCACTCCAGCCTGGGCAACACGAGCGAAACCCAGTCTTAAAAAAAAAAAAGAATGACATTAAATGGCAAATATAAAACACCATGACAAGTTGAGAGACTGTGGAAGAAAGAGAGAAGCTTAACATGTTTGCAAATGTAGTGGCACTTTCCCCTGCTTTTTGAACAGGTGCCCATATTTTTATTTTGCATCAGGCCACACAGATTATGTCGCCAGCCATGCTCCCAGTTGATGCTGATGCTGCCAATTCACAGACCACACTTTTTTTAAAAAAATTATTTTTTATTGTTGTTGTTGTTGTTATTGTTGTTTGAGATGGAGTCTAGCTTCCTTGCCCAGACTGGAGTGCAGTGGCGCAATCTTAGCTCACTGCAACTTCCGCCTGCTGGGTTCAAGCCATTATCCTGCCTCAGCCTCCAGCGTAGCTGGGACTACAGGCGTGTGCTACCACGCCCAGCTAATTTTTTGTATTTGTAGTAGAGACGGGGTTTCACCATGCTGGCCAGGCTAGTCTCGAACTCCTGACCTCATGATCTGCCTGCCTTGGCCTCCCAAAGTGCTGGGATTACAGGTGTGAACCACCACGCTCAGCTGTTATTATATTTTTTAAATTGTCAAATAATAATTGTACATATTATTATTTTTTGTCTTTTTGGTAATAGCCGTCCTAACTAGAGAGAGATCATACCTTATTATGGTTTTGATTTGCATTTCCCTGATGATTAATGATGTTGAGCATTAAAAAATATATTTGTTGACCATTTGTATATCTTCTTTTGAGAAGTGTCTGTTCAGATCATTCATCCATTTTTTAATTGGATTACTTGGTTGTTTTTCTTTTGTGTTGAGATTTTTAAGTTCCTTATATATTCTGGCTATTAATCCCCTGTCAGACGAGTAGTTTGCAAATTTTTTCTCCCATTCTATAGGTTGCACAGACCACATTTTAAAAAGTGGGAGTCTTGAGCCAGGTTTTAAAGCCAGATGGACCTGGATTCAACTGCAGATTGTACTGCCTGCTAGTTGTTTTTGAAATCTTATATAATATGACGTATGAACACTGTTTTTCGCTCAGAGGAGTGGAGGAGTTAGGGCAGTGTAGCTCCTCCTGGCCCCCCTCAAGCTGTCCACCCACCCTAGTTCCTGGTTGATGGTCCTAGAAAAGCAGCCTCTAGTTCCTATCGAGTGGGGCAGGCTTAGAGAGCAAACAAAGACTAGAGTCTGAGAAGATTAATTGGTGCTTTTTATAGTCCATTCAGTAAAGGAATATGTACAAGAAAGGCAAAGCATTATCTTTCTGGCTTATCAGTAATAATAATTGTCTAGCTTGGTATGTGACATTTTTGCTCACATACTTTAATCTCTTTATCTATCCAATGTGGATGATAATTCCTCCCAGGCAGACATTCAAAAGACACTCTATTCTTTAAATTTTTCTTCCCGTCTGCAGATCTGAGGTGAACGAGGGCTACATCTCTCCCCTACTGTTGGTCGTTTACCTTTTGGTCCCTCTGCCAAGATATAAGCTCTTTGAGAAATGGAATATGTCATATCTCTATCCCAAACCCATCCCTGCATAGCCAACTCCACCACAGAATCAGTATTATTATTATGCCAATGTTTTATATTGGATGAATACAAATTATCTGCTTTAGCCAAGCAAAGGAAAGATTCAGACCGGGTGCAGTGGCTCATGCCTGTAATCCCAGCACTTTGGGAGGCCGAGGTGAGTGGATCACCTGAAGTCAGGAGCTCGAGACCAGCCTGGCCAACATGGTGAGACCCCATCTCTACTAAAAGGACAAGGATTAACCGGGCGTGGTGGTGGATGCCTGTAATCCCAGCTGCTCAGGAGGCTGAGGCAGGAGAAAGGCTTGAACCCAGGAGATAGAGGTTGCAGTGAGCTGAGATATTCCAGCCTGGGCGACAGAGTGGGACTTGGTCTCAAAATAATAATAATAATAATAATAATAATAATAGTAAGAAGAAGAAGAAGAATTTCAAAGTGCCATTGTTAAGATACTGCACATTCCCTCCAGATTCCTGTTATTATCTACTGTTAGTATTCTTCCTTCTCCTCTAGTCTATCCAAATCAAACAAACCCTTCAAGAATTAGCTATATGAATTTTGTGGGACTTCCAGGGGGTCCGTCCGATCCTAGCTCTGCTCTGTTTCCCCATCAGTGTCTTACCAGAATTTACTTATAAATGACTGCAGCATGTTCAGTCTTTCACGTTATTGAGAGTGAGGGAGAACGTCTGCATGTCAGAATCCCCAGCATAAGCCACATCTTTGGTCTGATTGGCTGACCCCCGAATCAATCCTAGTGGCTAAAGTCATGTTAGAGGTTGATTAGTCTAAATTTGAGATTACCTAAACTAATCACTCTGATGAGAAGAAAGTGATTCTGTTGATCCATTTAGGACATCTTCTTGCTGAAAGTGGGTTAATCCCAACCTAACAAACCACGATGGGCAAGGTAGTGGTAGAATAGCGATCGGTAGACAGTCTAGACATTTTCTTGACTTCTTATGACTGCTCTGATAGATCTGTTGTCTCTGTTAATAGACATTTCTTCTTTTAGGACTAGCCGGGCCCTTTGAGATAATAGCTTAGCTCTCATTTTATATAAACATAAGGAAACGAGGCCCCATGGGGAATAAGGAAGGAGCTTGCTCAAGATCACATGTCTTGTTAGTGGCAGAGCTGGGACTAAACAACTTGGTCTAGCCCTTAACCATACACTGTCCTGCCATTGAGGGATGTTGTACTTATATATTTTCTCTCCTTCTAAATACTAAGTTTCCAGGGGCCAAAAACAATGTATTCTGTCTGCACCATGGTATTTTGCTTAGAACAATAATGAAAACTTAGTTTAGGATTATAAACACATTAAGCAGACTCAATAATATTAGTGGAATGAATAAAAACTGTTTATCACCAAAGTGCCAAGCAAAAGTCACACAAGTTAAACTATTATTATTATTATAATCATCATCATTATTATTTGAGATGGAGTTTCACTCTTGTTGCCCAGGCTGGAGTGCAATGGCACGATCTCGGCTCACTGCAACCTCCACCTCCCGGGTTCAAGTGATTCTCCTGCCTCAGCTGGGATTACAGGCGTGCACCACCAAGCATGGCTAATTTTGTATTCTTAGTAGAGATGGGGTTTCTCCATGTTTGTCAGGCTGGTCTCGAACTCCCGACCTCAGGTGATCCGCCTACCTCAGCCTCCCAAAGTGCTGGGATTACAGGCGTGAGTCACCGCGCCTGGCCTAAACAATTATTTTTGAGTAGTTATCACTGTGATGTGACCAGAGAGATAATGTTTTTCCTCTCTTTTAAGTAAAAATGATACAGGAATTTAACCTAAAATTCTCAGACTTATGAATAGTTTCTATATATCAGAAAATCTTTATACCAATCATAGCCTTAGTTAAATGTATATGCATTCTTATATACCTATAGCTCTATATTTCTGATCTCTATATCTATCTATTTACCTATCTATCCATCTCTGGTATTCTTAAGAAAACACCTGTATGTAATGAAGGTGTAATGAAGAAGCCACTGGAGCCACTTGATTTATTAACACTGTTTTTCACTCAGAGTAGTGGAGGAGTTAGGGCAGTGTAGCTCCTCCTGGCTCTCCTCAAGCTGTCCACGTGCCCTAGCTCCTGGTTGATGGTCCTAGAAAAGCAGCCTTTAGCTCCTATCGAGTGGGGCAGGCTTAGAGAGCAAACAAAGGCTAGTGTCTGGGAAGATTAATTTATGCTTTTAATAGTCTATTCAATAATACCACAGATCTGTCACTTTATTTGTCTTTTCATATGCCTTGTGATTTTTTTGTTGAAAGCTGGACATGATATCCTTGGTAAAAGAAACTGCTATAAACAGGCCTTTGGTATGAGGTTTTATGTTTTTCTGGCAAGGACTTTGGCTGTGTTTGCTGTAGCAGTAGGTGTTGAAAGTTAAACTTTCATCTGATGTGCTTGTTTTTGTCTCCCTGTTGTCTTTGAGTTTCTCTAAAGGGCTCTTAAATTGTCACTTTTTTTTTTTTTTTCCTTGAGACAGAATTTTGCTCTGTCTCCCAGGCTGAACTGCAGTGGTGCGATCTCGGCTCACTGCAACCTCCAACTCCCAAGTTCAAGCGATTCTCCTGCCTCAGCCTCCAGAGTAGCTGGGACTACAGGTGTGCACCATCATGCCCAGATAATTTTTTTTTTTTTTGTATTTTAAGTAGAGATGGGGTTTTGCCATGTTGGCCAAGCTGGTCTTGAACCCCTGACCTCAGACAATCTGCCCACCTCAGTCTCCCAAAGTGCTGGCATTACAGGCATGAGCCACCGCACCTGGCCTTAAATATTCTCTAGAGACTTATTAAATAGTTCTTCCCATTGTTTTCCCCTGTTATTAAACACCAGCCCTATTAATGTGGTAGAAAATGTGTGGGGAAAGGAAGTGTTCTACAGTCCTGTAAATAGGTCTCAGACTTGTAGTGAGCCTGTGCCCCTCGGCTGGCACCTTCACCAGTGCCTCTCAGTTTTGTTTTGTTTTTCCCTCTCAGGTGAGATGGGAAGGCTGGAGCCCACTGCAGTTGGGTATTTTCCTTCACCCAGGTCAACCTAGGCTCCAGTTTCTCTTGAGGACAGGCATTGTTATTAAAAAACAGAATGTTCTGGGCAACTTTTTAAATGGCTACTTTCCCCCACCCCATGGGGGAATCACTTGGGAATTTTTCTCTGATCTTACAATGTAGCGGCACTCCTGGAGTTAAAACTCAAGAAAGTGTGGGGTTTGCCCTACAACAGCCCTCTCCCTGAATTTTTAATTCTCTCAGCCTTGTCCACGCTGAGCCTCCAGCCATTCGTTAGTGGCAGTTCAGGTTTTCCAGATAGGATGCTCGTTCCTTTGGAAGTTACTGCTCCTGGGCTTCTGCTCTGGTAAGTTGTGATTCTCTCTATCTGCATGTCAGTCTCTTCAGTTTGGGGGACAGCTGTTTGCTCTATGGCCTCAGTTCTCTGATGGATATAAGAAGAATTGTTAGTTTTCAGCTTGCTGGGTGGACAGAAGAGACAACTTCCAAGCTTCCTACGCACCTGACTGGAAACCAGAAGTCTCCCCCATCATTTAATTTAACTTTTCCAAATTGAAGTTTAGAGATATTCAGTCTCGCCTGGGTGTTGTGGCTCACATTTGTAATCCCAGCACTGTGGGAGGCTGAGGCAGGAGGATCGCTTGAGGCCAGGAGTTCGAGATCAGCCTGGGCAACATAGCAAGACCCCATCTCAAAAAAAAAATGTAAGAAAGAGATATTCAGTCACTCACACAGGAGGCAAAAAGCCAGAACTGGAGACCTTGGCTGATGTGACACCTAAGCTGTTGATCTTTTTCATGAAGGTGAGGCGAACACCTCAGAGACTGGCCTGGAGCCCTTTAGGAAGTTATTGCTGGGTACCATGCCTTTGCTTATCTCCATGGTCATAATGGGACCAGATTCCCGTACTCACTGGAGCAAATACAAGGCCTGTCCCAAATAGAGATGGGGAAGTGTCCCAGAGAGGTGCTTTAGCACTGTGCTTCCCTACCTTTCCCCGAAGCTTGTCCATATGGCCAAACAGGAGGACTCATAAAAGTTGAAAAACTCATTGGCTGAATAATGGTGGGAAAATGAGTATATTTTTGTCCAGAAAACATTCTCAAATGTGTGGGTCCCACACTCAGGGTGACAGTGTGGTATGACCCCAGACTCTGCCATTCATCTTGTACAAAGTTGTGTCTCAGCAGGTGTCATTGACATTGAACACAACAGCAACAGCATTCTCTGGGATTGTACAGCACGAAGCCTGACACCCTATACTTAATGTCAGGGAAACACTGTGCATGAATGAGCTGACAATTTGGGGATGGCAATTGGCCCAGTGTCTCTCCAGAGCCCAGCTTCACCAACCACAGATTATTTTCTGGCATCAGATGCTGTATAAGGGGCCCATATTCCTGGGGGAGCCTTCATGACAGGCTTAATTCTGAGAACTGCATCAGAATCTCCAGGTTTAGGGCAGGGTCCCATGACAGCAGGAGCTCTAGCCTTTTTTTTTCCATTATATAATTATTATTATTATTGAGACAGGGTCTCACTCTGTTGCCCAGGCTGGAGTGCAGTGGCATGATCTTGGCTCACTGCAACCTCTGCCTCCAGGGTTCAGGTGTTCCTTCCACCTCAAACTCCTGAGTAGCTGGGACTACAGGCACACACCATCACAACTGGCTAACTTTTGTATTTTATGTACAGATGAGGTTTCACCATGTTGCCCAGGCCTGAGCTCAAGTGATCCATCTGCCTTAGCCTCCCAAAGTGCCAGGATTACAGGCTTGAGCCACTGCGCCTGACCAGGAGAGAGTTCTAGCCTTTTGAACACTTTCATCTAGAAATTCCAGTATCCCTGGAAGCCTAAGCTGAAATTAGCTTGTTATTTTCTTGGGGCCACACTTACAGGTTTGAGTTTCTTTTGGGAGGCCAAGGGGCAGTTTAAGGACTTGTGGCAGCTGCATCCCCATCTCTCCTCTGAGCACTGGGCTCTGCTCCTTTATTCTGTAGGAGGGATTGGGATGGTGCTGATTATCAGGTGCTCAGGGGCATGGCCATGCTTCACCATGGCAGAGTTTGAACTGTGACAGGAGGTGGTAATTTCCCTCTGCAGGGATTTCTGTTCTATCCACTTACATGGCTTCAGGTAATGTTCATTTGTCACAGGATAATTTACCAAGCTATTTAGTGCTGTTTTCTACTCCCTGCCAAAAAAGATTTCAAAAGGAGGAAAAGGTAATTTTATCCTCGTTTCCAGGAAATTCTGGGCTGCCAATCTTAGAGGCCATGTATTAGTTATCTGTTGCTGCATAACAAATTATTCCAAATCTTAGTGGCTTAAAACAAGAAATACTTATTATCTCACAGTTTCTGTGAGTCAGGCATCAGCTGCTTAGTTGGCTCAGGGTCTCTTGTAAGCCTGGACTCAAGTTTGGCTATGGTTCCAGTCATCACAAGGAATATCTTGAGGAGGATCCATCTGCTTCCAAACTCACTCACATGGCTTTTGGCAAGCCTCAGGTACTCTCTGGCTGTTGTCCTAAATATCAGTTCCTTGCCACATGGGATTCTTTGTTGGGCAGCTCACAATTATGGCAGCTGGCTTCCCTCAGAGCAGTGAGGGAGGAAAAGAGAGAGGGGAAACAAGATTGAAGTCACTGTAGTTTTATAAGCTAATTTTGAGAGTGACATTTCATCACTTTTGCTGTGTTCTGTTGGTTAGAAGTGAGTCACTAGGTCCAACCCACACTCAAAGAAGGGGATTACACAAAGGCATGAATACCAGGAGGTGGAGCTCACTGAGGGTCCTCTTGAAGGTTGCTATTCTGGGTTATTAATTTTTTTTTTTAATGTGTGGTTCCCAGCCCCAAACAAAGTTGCAAGACATCTGTTATAAAGCTCTATCTAGGCCCCTGTGAGGAAGGTGAATTCGGCAGGGTGTTTCTTGGAAGGTATGGGGTCTGGAGATTGAGTTGAAAGACAAGGAGTTGCCCAAGGTTAGCAATGAGGCAAGGACTTGAGGAGCTGTGGAAGGAAAGTCCACAAGCATCAATTTCCTATCAGGAAGTATCCTATGTGGCAGCAGGAACTTTTGATGACGTAAACACGTTTGCTGGGGGCAATGAACATCAAACACCATGGTCTCAGTAACTACATAGAACTTACCAGATACCCTAAAGGTCAAAAAGCCTGCAGAGCCACCTGCCTTTGAATGGACCACAGGGTCTTGGACAATGAACATCCCCATAGCAAACATGTGCCAAAGATCAAACAACATTTTCTAGGCAATTTGTGACAGATTTCACCACTAAAGAGTAAAAGAGCCCACATAGTGACTGATATTGGGAGTCTTCTCATCCTAGTAAATGGGGATATCTTAGTCTTTTTGTGCTGCTAGAAAAAAATTACTACAGTGGATAATTTACAAAGAATAGAAATTTATTTCTCATAGTTTGAGAGGCTGGAAAGTCCAAGATTAAGGTACTGACATTCAGTGACTGGTGAGGGCCTTCTTGTTGTGTCCTCACATGGCACAAGGCAGAAGAGCAAAATAGCCCAGCTAGCTTTCTCCAGCACTTTATTTATTTATTTATTGTTTTTAGAGAGGGTCTCACTCTGTTGCCCAGGCTGGACTGCAGTGGCACGATCACAACTCACTGCAGCCTCAACCTCCCAGGCTCAAGCAATCCTCCCATCTTAGCCTCCTGAGTTGCTGGGACTGCAGGCATGAGCCACTACATCTGGCTAGTTTATAAAATTTATAAAATTTTTTATAGAGACAACATCTCCCTATTTTGTCCAGGCTGGTCTCAAACCCCTGGCCTCAAGCACTTTTCCTGCTTTGACCTCCCAAAATGCTGGGATTACAGGCATGAGCCACCGTGTTTGGCCCCTCCAGCACTTAAAAAAAAAAATTAAAAAGAGACAGGGTCCCTCTGTGTTGCCCAGGCTGGTCTTGGACTCCTGGGCTCAAGTATTCCTCCTGCCTTGGTCTCCCAAAGCGCTGTGCTGGGATTACAGGCATAAGCCATCGCACCCGGCCCCCTTTAGCATTTTTATAAGAGTTTAACCACAGCCATGAGGATGGAGTCCTAATGATTTAATCATCCCTAAAAGACTCACTCTTAATACCATCACACTGGGTCTTAGGTTCTAACACATGAATTCTAGGGGAACACCAACATGCAGACCATAGCAGGAGGTTAGAACCAGATATAATCTAATTTAGAAAAATTAAGCATCACATAGACATCTCTTTTATCATGGTATTATGAAGGTATATTATACTTATATTTATCACTTACTTCATCTTTATCACTCTTTGTAGTAGGTATCGCTTATTCTTTTTACAGAAAGAGGAACTGCAACCCAGAGAAGTGAATATATGTTTAATGAGCTAACACAGAAGAAGAAACCAGGGCTGGAGAACCCCCTGTATTGTGAGGGGTCATTTGGAATCACCTTACCTGGCTTAAACTAGCAAACGAGAAGGAAGGAAATATATTGACTAATATAATAGACAAGTCTGGAGTTAAGACTGCAATCAGGCTGCACCGTTGATTCAGGGGCTCAGTTAAAGCCTTCAGGATGCTGTTTCCCCCCCGTTCATCTCTATTGTATGCTTCCTCATTTTCAGGCTTCTTGTGGTAGCAGGATGCATCCCAGCAAGTTCAGACCTAAAACTTTCCAGATTCAAGTGCCCCTAAAGATGTGGTGGCTCTCACAAAAGTCCCTGCCAAATCGTATTGTGTCTTTCAGGTCACATATCCATCTCTGAGTCTGTCACTGGGAGAATGGGATGCTTTTTTGGACCAGGCCTGACTTACATACCCATCTGGGACAATAGGACTTTCTATGGGGACAACTTCATCTGTACATGGACAGAGACTGAAGAATGGAGGTAATCTCTCCAGGATTGAGTATTGTTGAGTAGAGGTATAGTTGATTTCCACTGGTAGAAATGATAACTCCAAAGATGACATTTTATTGCTCGATTGGATAGTACTCAAATTTTCATCTATTAGGTAATTCATTTGAACATTCCTGATGTTACGTCTCCTGTTTTCTGTTCTTTTGACCAGTCTTAACATCTTATTTAACATAATTAATTAATGAGTTAAACAAATCTTTAACATCTGTTCACTTTGTGTGAAAGTCATGTTTTTAACTTTCTTTTTTCTGAGACAAGGTCTCACTTTGTTGCTCAGGCTACGGTGAAGTGGCATGATCACAGCTCACTGCAACCCTGACCTCCTGCGCCTCAAGCGATCCTCCTGCCTCAGCCTCCCAAGTAGCTAGAATTACAGGGGGCTCCACCATGCCTGGCTAAGTTTTTAACTTTTTGAAAATTGTATTTCAACAATTGAGAGGAAGCTATCTTCCTCTCAGTATCTTCAGGGATATCATAGCTTTAAATTTAGCTAACATTTTAAACAACTTGCCATCCAGGTTAGCCAGACTTCTTGAAAGTGGTTCCTCCAGCCCCCAGCCAAGCTGCCCTGGCAGATGCTATCTGGAATTGAGATGAGCTGTTCCTTCTGATTCCTGCCCAAATTGTAGATTAGTGAGCAAAATAAATGAATGGTACTGTTTTAAGCCACTCAGTTTTGGGGTTATTTGTAACACAACAATAAATGAATGATACAAGGAGACTTTCCTTTACATACATCTTTGTCTGAAATTTTTACAACAAACCCTTGTTACATTTAAAATTTTGCTGTTGTTGTTATTTTTTCTGAGACAGAGTTTTGCTCTTTTGTTGCCTAGGCTGGAGTGCAGTGGTGCAATCATGGCTCACTACAACCCCGACCTCCTGGGCTCAAGCCATCCTCCTGCCTCAGCCTCTCAAGTAGCTGGGACTACAGGTGCGTGCCACCATGCCTAGCTAATTTTTAAATTTTTTTGTAGAGACAAGGTCTCACCATCTTGCCCAGGCTGGTCTTGAACTCCTGAGCTCAAGTGTTCCTCCTGCATCAGCCACCCAAAATGTTGGAATTACAGGTGTGAACCACCGTGCCTGGCCTACAATTTTTGAATACATATTTTGAGGAAAAATTAAAATTAGAAACGTAGCAAGAGTTTCTTTACGTACTTCCTTTACTTATATCCTAAGTGATATTCAATTTCAAAGTCATTCTAGTTGTCAAAAGATATTTCTTCAGCAAATACTGCTATGACAGTTACTCTTGATTTCTTAGATCATTTTTCACTGAAGAGAACAGAAAAGGTAAGGGAGGATGAAAGCTGTACCTGGACTATAAGGAAAGTAAATATTATCGAGGGCTGAATTTATTGTTCATTTTCTTTCCTGCTTGATCAATGCTCCTTTCCTGGTATCATGTTCTCCAAACTTCAGGTGAATGGATCAACCTTTTCCCTATTCTCGGTTTGGAGAAAGTGTTTTCCTGGGTTATATTTTTCATTTATAAGATATCCCCACCTATTGAAGGTGGGGGATTGGGATGAGGCTATTTTTGCTTCAGAACTCATTGGCCATTCCATTGTTCCTCAAGAGTGGCTCCACCATGCAAAGTGAGGGCTGGCTGGTTCTGGAGCTGGTTTTTCTCGGGCCCTACCGTGCCCTCTACACCTCACCTGTGTGCCCCGCTGAGAGCCTGCTTAGGCTTCAAGGCCAACTCAGATGCCCTAACTGGAAATCTCTTGATCTTGCCTGGTATTTAATTCCACTTCTTTTTGAAAACTAATTTTCCTTTGCAGAAACACCACTCCCCTACCTCAGTCACTATGGCTTGGTTGGGGCTGATTCCCTTCTCTCTCTCCAAGGGTAAACATACGACCCAGGCCCAACTAAGCCTGCATAATCCACCCCTTCAGTTACAGTGGTTGGCTCATAGACAGGCAACTAAGCCGGTCCAGTGACATGCAGCCCTGGGTCTTCTGCTGGGATTAATGGGAAGGAGGTGACCCTTTCCAGTAGGCTGAATCCCAGTTTGTGTGATTTCAAAGACAATGAGGTAGTACAGAAATTGTCTCATCAGCTCGGGGAAGTGAGAATTTACTAACCCCCTCCTCAGGGATTGGAGGGGGCACAGAGAAATGATGGTGGGAGTTTGTAGTCTGAGATTGAAACCAGGCTTTGAATAATCTGAGTTGTGCTAGTTGAAGTCATGGAGAAATAGCAGAAAAGCCTCCGTCTGAACATTGAGAAACACCTTGAGAAAACAGAGGAGCTCAAAGAGGAACTTGCAGAAGGCACCAGGGGTATGGTGGGCACAGTTTCCAGGCAGCCTTCAATCATCCCTATCTCCTGATAGTTACACCCTGTGTCCTACTCTCCTTTTGAGTGTGGCTAGATCTAGTGACTGACTTCTTTTAATTTTTTTTTTTTTTTTTGAATTTTTACTTTTTGGAGATAGGGTCTTGCTCTGTCACCCAGGCTGGAGTGCAGTGGGGCAATCATGGCTCACTGCAGCCTTGACCTCCCAGGCTCAAGAGATTCTCCTACCTCAGCCTCCTGAGTAGCTGGGACCACAGGCAAGTGCCATCTCACCTGGCTAATTTTTATATTTTTTGTGGAGACAGGGTCTTGCCATGTTTCCCAGGCTGGTTTCAAGCTCCTGAGCTCAAGCTATCCACTTGCCTCAGCCTCCCAAATTGCTGAGATTAGAAGAATGAGCCACTGTGCCTGTGACTTACTTCTAACCCACAGAATAGAGCAACAGTGAGAGGATGTCAATTCTGTGATAGATTGCAAAATATTGTAAGTTCCTAGCAGTCTTTCTCATTGGTTTCAATAAAAAAAAGCTGCTGTGCTGGAGGGACCCATGAGGCAAAGAACTGAGAGCAGCCTTTAGCTAACAGCCGGCAAGGAATGAGGTGCTTGGTCCAGCAATCACAGAGAAACTGAATCCTGCTGATGATCATGAGGGTGAGCTTGGAAGCAGATTCTGTCCCAGATGAACTTTGATTGTGTCTTGTTAGAAACCCTGGACCAACTCCTTGATTGCACCTGTGAGAGGCCCTGAAGCGGAGGGCCCAGCTAAGGTGTGTCTGGATTTCTGACCCACAGAAACTGAGATCATAAATGTGTGGTTTTAAGCCCGTAAGTTTTGGAATACAGTAGATCTTCATTATTCACAGATTTTGCACTTGCAAATTTGCTTACTCGCTAAAATTTATTTGTATCCCTAAAATCAGTACTCCAGCACTTTCACAGTCATTTACGGCATCTGCAGAGCAGTGAAAAATTTGAATTGCCTGAGATACATGCTCCCTGCTGAAGTCGCACAAGGTAAGGCTCTGTCTTCTTGTTTCAGCTCTCAGCAACAAGTATCCTCTTCACAGTCCATGTAGTTTCCTGTATTTGTGTTTTTGTTTTTTGCATTGTTGCGCTTTTTGTTGATTTTACTGTTTAAAATGGCCCCCAAGCTAGTGGGGGCTATTTGGTATTCCTAATGCAAGGAGGCTGTGATGTGCCTTATGGAGAAAATACCTGTTGCAGAAGCTTCATTCAGGCGTGAGTTATGTTCAGGCTGTTGGCTGTGAATTCAGTGTTATCAAGTGAACAATATACATTAAATACAATATCTTTAAACTGAAAAACACATAGAACAAACTTATGTATTGACCGGTTGCCCGAGGAGCAATGGATCAGTGTTCACTAACTCAGTGTTCTTGTTGACTTTATAGGACATAACTACTGTGAAAAATGAGAGTCAACTGTAATTTGTTAATACAGCAATAGATATTGAATACTGTGGGAAAGCAGGGTAATTCAGCTCACTGGTCTAAGGAGGAAGTTTCACAAGGAAAGCGTGATCCAGTGTTAAGGGCTATAGGTCTCTCACTAGAGGTAAGGCTAGAGAGATCATGGGTAGCAGTTATTGGTGTCTAATGTCTAAGTATCATTGGAATGGTTATATCTTGAGAAGAAATAATTTTGTCTAGTTAAAGAGGGTTATTTTGAATGGATGTGAATGAAACTATCTAGGAAAATCAGGCTCGTGAGGCAATCTGCTTGCTCCGTAAAGCCCACAGCTGTGTGAGGATTGATGTGTCAAAAGGCACCAGCTCTGAATTAAAAGTTCCATGACTGCACAGGATGATGCAACCCAGGGCGGGCTTCTGGCACGCTGCAGCACATGGACACAGCCAGCACAGGGACACTGCACACACAAGAGAAGCTGTAGAAGGGAATGGCTCCTCAGGGATCCACAGTGCCCCAACACAGCTTTTCTGTAATCTATGACTGAAAGTCTTGGCTTCCACGACTGAAGTTGTCTTCATTTTATTTATTTTTAACTTCAGCTTATAAAAGGCCCCTTATGATTTTGATTTTTAATTAGGCTCCCAACTTTATCACTGATCTCCATGCCCTACCCTTACCCAAATGAGTGTGTTAAGTCCTTAAATACACATGGATTTTGGATAATACGTAGTTTTGTGTGTGTATGTTTAACAGTTATGTAAGTGGCACTGTGCTATAAACATCGAGTTTGTTCTTTTTCCGCTCTACCCTATGATTTAAGTGTTGCTTTATGAACATATAGTATGTTGCTTCTCACAGCTGTGGTATACTAAAAGGTGTATTCAGCACGATTTACCCAGCCCTTTCCCTAGTGCTGGACACCTAGCCCACCTCCAGTTTCCACCACCATAGTTAGGTACGAGAGCAGAATGAATGTAGCAGTACGTCTTGTAGTTGAATGTCCTTCCTTTGCCTGCAATTACTTGTCAGCCTTTTCTTCTGTTTCTTCCCTTTCTTGGGTAGAGGACAATATCTACCAGAACTCATTTTTAGATCATGAGAACATGCAACGTCTCACTTCTTGTAGAGCAATTTCTCCTTTGGCTAGTCCAACAACTTTCTCAGAGGTACACATGTGTTTATTAAGTTAAAAAAATAGCACAGTGGTAATTCTCAACTCTGGTTTTGCCTGAAGGTTGTGAAAATGGGGAAAAAACCCCAACTAAAAATAAAATGATATTTAAACATTTTAATTTAAAAATAAATATATGCCATAAAAAGGCAAGGGGAAGAGAGAGGAAAAGACAAAAATCAAGTAACCATGAAACATGGAGATGTTTCCAAAGTAAGAAATCGCTTATCCACAGAGTAAACAACAGTTTGAAAGCTCGGTGTATTGAACTCTGAGATAGGAAAGGCAAAAATGAAGAGAGAATAAAGTTTGGGTGTACAGAAAAACCAAAATGTATACAGTCCTCCAGTACCAAGTGCCAAGCTAGATTGATGTTGAGATAAAACTGCTGCAAAGTGAAGCCAGAGAAAAATTCTTGCTGACTCAAAGAAAGAAAACCATCACATGCAGAATCAATTTTTATTTCTGAATTATACAGTGAGGCTATATAGATATATTGTGTCATTAAAGACTTTTATATTATTAATCTACATTATGGAGAATTTATTTACCAAAACGAAGTCTAACAGACACTTTATTCTGAGCAATCCAATGCATGATAGAAAAACCTTTAGATATATAAAAGATTAATTTGTGCACATCTAAATGTTTCTAAGGGAACAAACTACTGAGGCATTGTGATAAGACGAGAGTTGCAAACATAGTACCATAACTGAATATTTAAAATTACATCTTAACAAAGGCTAGGAGTAGTGACTTCCTCACACACCTCAGAGAATGTCTTAGAGAGTAACCCCATAGAACATTGTATGGCTTCAACAGAAACTTCAGGATTTTCTTCCACACTGAGCTACTGCCCTCAAACAAACTTTCTCACTCCTTGACACTATCTTCTGTGCAAATTTCTGTTCTTTCTCTTAATCAAGGAGCTTTGAGAAACAATGCTTTTGCCCCAATGACCCCTTGGTTCCCTTAACTACAGATCTATAGGAGAAATGCAAAGCAGTTCCCAGAAGTCAGAACCAAAGCAAGAATGTTCAGAGTGCAAGAGCTAGAGAGCTAAATCATGTGAATGTTTACCTCTGTCTACCTATCTGCTTAGGGATTATTTTTCTAGGATTCATCTAGGATTCTATTTACTTGGGGTGAATGTACATGGTAGCTTTTCCCTAGCACATGCAATTAAATTAATTTGTCTTTTAAGATAATAAAATAGCAGATACCTAAATATCAGAGTGGTTATGCAGCCTACAGAACAGCTGAAACAAAATCATTGGGACAAATGCCCATAATTTTCATGTAGGAAGATGAGGCTTCAAACAGCATACCACCTGAGTAGTTTTCCATAGATGAGCTGGACAAGTTAAAAATATATATATAAATGGTGAGATTGTTGCTGTGTCTGTTTGGCTATAACAAGAGCCCTCTATGAACAGCTCTATGCCCTCAGGTTTGCACCACTACACTGAACACTGGATTTTTCATTACTTCCTGTGACAGGGTGACCATGGAATTCATTTTACAAAATGGGATGCTACTGAGTGAAAGTAGCAAATAGGTGAACAAACAGGAATATTGGGTAACTGTATTTACGTCAACACTGTGTTCTGGGAGAGGTGTAATTTGGGCTTTCAAAAGTGGAGGTGGGCTGTGGGAGGGGGTGGGCTGTAGGGTTTTTCTGTCCAACAAGCCAGATGTTATGAAGGAGGAGATCCAACAGAACATACAATTCAACAAGATACTCGCTTGAAAGGATCAAGAGGAGAAAAGAGAAAACGATGGAGGCTTATGGAGGAAAGAGGGCTGAACTGCGTGTGTGTGGGCACGTGCGGAAGGACGGGAGGAGACAGAGGTGAAGCAATGAGGTCAGAGAAACTCAATCACCTGTGCAAAGATGTCGACTTTAAAGTAGTTACAAGCTCCTTCTACCCAGGACTCCAAATATCCTGGACAGCTCTCCCCAATGAATTTTCCACCATGAGACTAGGGTGGAACCGCTCTCACCCCTTCATTTTTATTTCTGCCAGCTTCTTTGTAATAGGAGACACTGGAGACTAAGAATGGTTCCCAGAGTGAGGCACGGACTTCAGCCAACACCTGTATATACTAAAGAAGTGCTTCTAAGAAGGCTTCATTTTGGCAATTGCAACCTAAGCAGTGATTTTGTGGCTAGGACTCCTCATGTTTTTCAGCAAGCCATTTCTTTTATTTCACTGTCTGTGGATGTCAAAACATTGATTTTTGACAAAAATAAATTAGTTTGCAGCCTCATTTGTCCGTTCTGTTAGAGAAACTATCTAAATACAAATTGGGGTGGAGTAGGAAAGGATGCGTTTGCTAGAGCAGGGGTCAGCAAACTTTTTCTGTAAACATAGTCAATGTTTTAGGCATTGTGGGACATACGGTCTGCTGAACTGCTCAGCTCTGCGGCTGTAGTGTGAAAGTAGCTGTAGACAGTACAAAAACAAGTTTGTGTGGCTGTGTTTCAGTACCACTTTATTTATCGGCACTAACATTTGAATAATTTTCATGTGTCATGAAATATTCAAAAAAAATTTTTCCAACCCAAAATGTAAAAACCATTCTTAGCTTGCAGTGGTGAGCGAGACTTAGCTGTGGTTTGCCACCCCACCTCACTAGAGGCCTACAGACTTGAAATCTTGTTGGCATTTTAAAGGGCATATGAAGACTATAAAGGAAATATTTTGTACATGAAAGTAATACTCATATTTAATTTTAAGCCTATGATCAGATTACGGTGTTTTAAAGCAGATCACTTTTTATAATGCATGCGAGAGAGGAATTCATGAATAACTGAATGCTACCAAATGATTTTTGAGTAGGCCACCTTGCACTTGAGTTCTTGGCACTTAAAAGGTAACCTCTGGAGCTGAGTTTATGGCCTGAAACTCAGAGAGCTACCAAACATGCAACACGGATTCTTAAATTTCACAATGTGGTGGTCACCAACATTCATCAGGAAAATGATGTTAAAAGACCAATTTACATAAAATATAATGCCCAATTTGACAACTAAAATAAAGTTGACGTGGATTAGAAAGCCCGGCTTCCCTTTGAGAAGTTAAAGGAGATTCTGGTAAACAAGAACAAAACGGGCACTTAGCTGATGATGGTTTTACACCTTGTGTGGTTTGTGGCTGTCCTAGTCAGGCTTAGGATTTTAAAGGTGGAGTCAAACAGGGGAAACTTTCCTGGGGAGAGTTGAGACCTGTGTACTTTAAACCTAATGCAATCACCAAAAGGAAATCCAGCTAATCTATGGAAACAAATCCACTCATACTTAACAGTGGATTAAAGGTATCTTACTGGTAAACACCAGTCTAAGGGACAAAGTATCACTACACCGTGTTAATGAAGTATTGAAATGGAAGGTCCTACTTTCTTGCTAAGGCTCAACTAAAATCTTTGAGGCACATAATTGGCAAAATAGGAAAGTACACACAATTTCATAAAATATCTTAAGAGTAAACAAACTTTCTATTTTTCCCCTTAGAAATTTAGAATGGCACCAGGTAGTGCAAAGTGGAAAAAGGTAACATCAGCCCTGTCTCTTTCAGGTAGATATGTTTCAACAGAACCATGAACCAGAAAAGCATCCTCTTCTTCCAGCATGGCCAACTAAGGCTTTTCTTTCAGCTTCAAGTCAATACTGCAAAGAAAAGAAAAAGAGAGAGAAACATGAGAAACCAAATGAGAGACATTTAGTAATGATTTGGGTAGCACTGTGTTTGCTTTTTTCCTCAAAGGACATACTGAAAATATTTAAATCATGCAAGTTTCTTATAATAGAAAAATCTGGTAAAACCCAATCCTCCTCTTGTCAGGCTTTTCTCCAACATATGAAATCTGTTTAGTTCTACAAAATCGTTTCTGGAAGCATTTTACACCTTTTCAAAATGATCCAGGGAGGTAAAAAACTCATGTAAAGGCTCATTCCCAAAGTCAATTAAGATAAGGAGCATTAGTGTATTCCAGAAATCATGCCATTTTATTTAATAAGTGACCTTTCCTTGTGAAGCAAACAAATGTTCTGCCTCAAGTAAGTAATGTCTGACAAGCACTAAATAGTAAGAAATGGTAAACAACAAAACAACACCAAACATTTTCTAGAAGCCAAAGGAATTGACTGAAAGGGGTTAGCCTACCTTACTGAGATGGATGTTTATAACTAAAGAAAAGCTTGTTTTTCAGAAGGTCAAATGGGTTCCCAAGTATCTGAGGAGTAAGCCTAAAACTCACTCGAATCACGTCTCTCTTCTGCTTCTTAGTGAACACAGCACAACTTCCTACCGCATCCACCCAAGAGGAAGAAAACCAAAAGCCAGTAAATAGAGGAAGAATTTCAGTTGCGATAAAAGAGAAACTATTAGTTTGCAAAGGGTGATTTGGCACGTATCTGTGGATTTTGCTTATCTCTGCTCCCTGAGCCATAAGCTTGCATGTTGCAAAGGTTACTGTGCTTTACTTGTGGAATTTGCGGCAGCTGAGCAGTGTTCATTCTAGAAGCTTTGCAAATAAAGCCACTGGCAACTCACGCTGCCTGCCCATCCAGTTTACAGTAGTAAAGTATCTTTCCTTTGAAATATAGTCAGCAATTCCGTCACTTATTAGCAGTGGGGACTTGGCCAAGTCACCCACCTTCTCTAAGTTTCCATTTCTGTATCTGTAAAATGGAACGGTCATACCGCTTTCACAGCTTGCTAATGAATAAGTCTAAAGCATTTTCAATTGTACATAATGAACATATCATAATGTCTGTTATTATTAGCAGCAATAGTACCTCGGTGGATTTTTTTTGTTGTTGTTTTGTGTGTGTGGTTTTTTTTTTTTTTTTTTTGAGATGGAGTCTTGCTCTGTCGCCATGCTGGAGCTCAGTGGTGCGATCTCGGCTTACTGCAACCGCCGTCTCCTAGATTCAAGCGACTCTCCTGCCTCAGCCTCCCGAGTAGCTGGGATTACAGGCAGACGCCACCATGCCCAGATAATTTTTTGTGTTTTTAGCGAGACGGGGTTTCACCCTGTTGGCCAGGATGATCTCGATCTCTTGACCTCGTGATCCGCCCACTTCAGCCTCCCAAAGTGCTGGGATTACAGGCATGAGCCAGCATGCCCGGCCCCTCAGTGTTTTTTTGAAATGAGCAAATAGCTCTTCGCTTTATTACCCTACTTGCAACAATCTTGTCTCCTTTGGAAAGCCAAAATCATCATGAATATTTCTAGTTTTCAGGCCCTCTGACTTGTTTTCTTACCTGCAGAGTTTGCTTTAGAGGTATCCTCTTTTTATCCACTGTGACCCCGACATCTTTTTCATATACCTTTACAAAACAGGTCATTTAAAAAATATACTGTTTTTGCTTTTAAAAGGTCCTTCCTGTTCCCGGAAATCTGTAGTAAGTTTGATTTGGTGATTGGAAATTTGATTCTTTCTCTCACGGTGTTGGTTGACTTTTTCCCATAGATGAAGAGAATATTTACTAAACCAAAATTTGGGGCACATCGTCTAAAAACTGCGAGAGTGGGTCAGAATATGTGAAATAGTCTTGGAAGCTTAAAAGAACATGGTCACCTTGTTTCACCATCGGGCCCCTGAGCTAACACTTACACCAGGATGCCCATCTCGATTATTTTTCGTACTGACTTTTTTGTAAATCTTCTAGGATTTAATTCATCCCTTCAGCTTTCGTTAACTCAAAAGCTAAAAGACTGGAACCTGTTTACCCAGTTTATGAAATAAATGAGATAGTCAAAAGTGAACAATTTTCTTGTAAGTAAATACAGGAAACCACTTGGAAGGTTAATATTTGAGAGAACAGCAACGTTGTGGAGTTAACAAAGCTATTAACAATGATGCTAATTTAAGCTTCTTCAAATAGAGCCACTCTTGATCACTGTACTTTAAACAAATATGTAAAAATATAAAAAGGCATGTTGCAAGTTTTGGAACATGAAGAAATTCATAAAATCCAAACCTAAAAGGGAAGGAGACAAGCACCCAGGGCTATTTAAAAATAAATAAATAAATAAATACATAAATAAATAAATAAATAAAAGTATCCTTTTTGGAAAAAAGAATACTTTTAATTAGAATTGAATATTCTTAATCCTCGGGCAAATGGGCTTAGTTTTCTATAAGCAACTTTTTCCTGAGACAGAGCAACCTTCTGATAATTTTACAATAGGCCATTTTTGTGTCTAACACGTATTAAATGAGGTTCCTTACAAACTGTCAGACAATATTGTTTAATGATGAATAAAAACATTTGCATTTTATGTAGAAAGAAGAAAATGGGCATAACCTTCCCTTCTGTCTCTGAGGAAAATGAGAGGCCACTACGATAACAGCACACACTCCATCTTATTCTTGGACTGATCGAGCCCATTGGAAGAACCCTTGCCCATTTTGCAGTGTATTCATTCAACACTAGCTCTGGAAGGTGTAAAATGCTTCCACACAGAATGCTCCTCTGTCCTTGATGGCCTACAGTGTAAAGGTGCCAGAAGAAGTAAATGCAGCCCTTATTCTAATACCAAAGAAAGCCAGAAATCCAGGACTGGAAGTCAGAAAAAAAAAAAAAATTCTTGGTTACTCTTGCCCCTTATCCTGATCTCATCATCCACACTGTGATCTTGTGCCTCTTAAGGGCTCAGGAAAGAGAGGGCTGAAGAAAGGGAAGACTTGAGAAGAATATGTTCTTCTAAAAAGTGGGAAGTAACAATAACAATTTGTAGTATCCCTCCCTCCTCCATGCCCAGCCCTGAAATGAACCCAGACAGGAAGCAATGGTTGCCCTCTTCCCAACCAAACAGCCCTACGTAGGAATAAGAAGCAAGACAGACAAGGCAAGCAAAGAAGTGGGTAAGCCCCAAGATGTAGCAGCGATGGGCCAGCCATTGGCTGGGCTTCCACATGTGCCCTCTCTGCTGCTTGTTAACTGTGGGCTCTGTTAACTGCTCAAGGGGGGTGCTGTTTTGCTGAGGGAAGAAATAGTTGCAAAAAGAATTATCGTGCACTGGGGAATTGAGGTATTATTGCTTTGCAGAATTTCATGTGCCAATTTCCTTGAAGCAATTGTTATCTTCATCTAAAAGAGGTGGGACAACAGTGACCTTTGGAAAAATAGCTGTGTGATTTCAAAGGTCTCTCTATGGTCTTTGTTCTTTTTTTAAAATTTTATTTAGAAAAAATAAATTTTCCTTGCAGAGCAGGGCTAACTCATAGGCATGCATCCAGAATTGGCCCAGTCTTTGCTCTTTGTGAACTTTTTCAGTTGGGACTGTCTCTGGAGTTTTTGTGCCTAAACTTCCTTTAAGTTGCAAGGTCAACATGGCAAATGTGAAGATATTTCACTATAATTTTCCAACTTCCTTTTGGACCTCAACGCAAAGGAGGTCCAAAGACAGCAAAAGGTGACAATAGAGATGAGACACATTTAAAACTGATCTTTCCCCTCTGCTTCCTGATTGCTAGGAACAAGGGCAATGTTAAATTCTCCACAACTCAAACCAAATTGGAAGCTCCTTGTCGGATGACCAAGTTCTCTCTGAAAGCTTGCTGGTGACCACAGTTTATTCCCTGAAACTGACTTGGCCACTAATTCGCTCTGTTCTCTTAGGTGAATAGTTTTGTCTTTCATTAAATTGGAAGTGGTACACCCATCTAGCATTAAGACCACCTCTTTCTGATTTAAAAACCATTGGCCCTGGAGCTATACTGCCAAGGTCCAAATTCCAGCTCTGGGCCATTTTTACAGCTGTAAAACAGTGGGCTGGTCAGATCGTCTCTCCATGCCTCTCTTTCCTCATCTGTGAAATGTACCTCATAAACTTATTCTGAGGATTAAAATCAGACACTGCGTGTGAAGCTTTTTACAGTCTGGAACGTGGTTAAGAACTCACTACATGTCCAATTTCTGCTTCTCACAGGATGGCAATCCTCTAAATAGATCATTCCTACAGTCTCATACAGGCTCGAATTCCTCCTGGATGTTGCAAAACAAGCACATTTTCTCTCCATCCACCAAAGTATTAAATGGAAGTTCCAACTTCCACTAATTAAAATAGAGATGATGTCATTCAGAAAGCAGAATTGCATTCCTCTTGCCCAAATGTTCTTACATCTGGTCCTAATATTCATTTTCTTCCCATTTTTGGATTGGAAAAATAGAATGCCATGTCCACAGGTTGTCCTTTAGAAATTTAAGGGGTGATCGTGAATGAAATGGTGTGAAGCTGGCAAATATAGCTTCAGGTTTCTAATTTCAGG
Source organism: Homo sapiens (assembly GCF_000001405.40). Classification (NCBI taxonomy): domain Eukaryota; kingdom Metazoa; phylum Chordata; class Mammalia; order Primates; family Hominidae; genus Homo; species Homo sapiens. The sequence continues at coordinate 76,619,215 of NC_000009.12, forward strand.
AATGGAGCACAGGAAAGCTGAACATCTAAACAGGGTTTACCCAGTCCTCAGTGTGTTTTCTTTCAGAGCCCAGCCATACAACACTACAAGTAACCACATAGCTGTTATTGATGGTGAATTCTTACTCCTTCTCCATAGAAGACATTTCTGGATCATTGTAAAGGCAGCTAGTTCTGAGTGCAAGGAAAAAATAGGAAGCAGTCAACATTTCCCCACTGTCACCACTGTGAAAGCACAACAGATTTGAGGCATTTGAAACTGTTTAATGTGGTCCCATTGCTAATACTGAACAAATCCATACCTGAACAGATGATAAGATTAAGCTGTAACCCTTACCATTGGTTTTGAAATACAAGTGATTGCCCATGATATAAAAACACAAAGCAAAGATTAAAAACTCCAAACACCTCCAGTGGTCTCTTCTGTCCTCATTTTTCCCTGCCTTTTCAATTTGTCTTATTCAGGGGACATATTACAAAATTGTTTTGGTACCCCAAATAATAAAATACACACAGAGGAAAATCCCTCTCAAGCAGCCTAATTTTATTCACCCATGAACACAGTTAATTTTCAGTTTTCACGAGAATGAGGATTTCCCAATACACTGAAAGAAAAAATGTCAGCGTCAGCTCTCCTCATTGTTGTTGTTACAGAAATAACAGGACACTTACCACTCCATACAGCTGAGCTGTGTCCAGGTGATACAAATGAATCCTACCATTTACCTCAACTGAGTATGCCCAGAAAACAAATGTAACCTTATAAAATAATAAATAAAAGTGTTTTTATGGCATTTATGTTTTTTGTGTAGTATTAGCTGTTTTTGATATACTGGTGTGATTTCTCTGTGAGCAAATTTCAAATTTGCTTCCTATTAATTCTTGATGAATACTCATTACACCTCAACTTTTATACCCCTCCCATAATTTTTTTTTTTTTTTTTGAGACAGAGTCTTGCTCTGTCGCCCAGGCTGAAGTGCAGTGGCACTATCTTGGCTCACTGCAACCTCTGCCTCTCAGGTTCAAGCGATTCTCCTGCCTCAGCCACCCAAGTAGCTGGGACTACAGCTGCATGCCACCATGCCCGGCTAATTTTCATATTTTTGGTAGGGGTAGGGTTTTGCCATGTTGCCCCAGGCTGGTCTCAAACTCCTGGACTCAAGCGATCCTCCTGCCTCGGCCTCCCAAAGTGCTGGGATTACAGGCGTGAGCCACTGTGCCCGGCCTCCCATAAATATTTTATTATTGACAAACAAACACTATTCTATTTAAAGAGCTTCTATGATCCTTTTTAAGTGCAGTTGTCCTCTTAGTAATATAATTTCACAAGCTAATTTATCTGTTTGCACATAAGAGGATCCATGATGAAGGTCAGGTGTTTTGTTGAAAATGACAGGCGGCTATCTCCCCAGGTGAGATAGCAACCTTCCTTTCTCACTCCCCACCCTTCTTGCTGGTGGTCTGATATTTTTATAGGGAATATTTGGGAATTCCAGTGAGCAAGGACAGTCAAGTAAGTGTTGACAGCGTGCTAAAAAAAACCTAGCAAAGCTGGAATGGAATCAAGAAAGGGCAATCTTCCAAACTCAGCTTTTCTGCTTTTTAATTTTGAGTAATCCTCCCAAGGAAAACAGCAATTTGCAAACCCTTTAATACTGTCACTCCAAAGGCAACACACGGATGCTTCCCAATTTTCAAAATAAGAATGGTTCTAGGTATACTATTTATCCTTCAGAAGTATAATACTTTCTTTCCTGTATACAGCTAAGGTTTTAAAGAAAAGATAAGGCAGGCTGAGGAAATCACCTTCTGAAGTCAATTAGAGTTGGGGTGCAGTTTGAGTGGTGGTATGTGTGTGTGTGAGGGGAGAGGGAGAATGTTGAGAAACTAGTGGGCATAAAGCAAAACAGTGGACAGATAGGTTTTGTTCCCTGACCAAGTGTACGTTTGCCTTTGGTTAGACCTAGCCTGAAGCTTTCTGAACAAGTCATGTGGAAAGTCAGGCGCATCTGTCAACAGGAAGAACCTGGGCATGTCTGGCTTCTAACCATAGATCTGCAGTGATCATGTTTATCATACAGTTTCTCCTAGAATTCAGGGGCTACTTCAGAGGCTAAAAGGTAGTTGAAAAAATGTTGCTGGTGGCCGAGATGGTGGGATTCTAAGGCATTCCAATCACCTGTGGGGTCAACAGAGTAGAATTTTTTCTCTGTACACATTTTCAAATGTGCAAATATATTTCAATTCCTCATACATGTGATGTTACCATCAAAAAGGTAGGATCAAAAGATCCTAGAGGGAGGATTCTTCAGGCAGATGGCTTACCCACTGAATCCAAAGCAAGAGCATAGACCTCCAAAACAAATCTGATTATTTTTATTTGGCCCTTGACTTTTAGGCAGTGGTTCTCAAAGCTGGGTCCTGAGACCAGCAGCATCAGCATCACTGGGAACTTGTTAGAAATGCAGACTTTTTTTTTTCTTGAGACAGGGTCTCACTCCGTTGCCCAGGCTGGAGTGTAGTGGTAAGATCAATTAGCTCACTGCAACCTTGAACTCCAGGGCTCAATGGATCCTCCCACCTCAGCCTCCCATGTAGCTGGGACTGCAGGCACATACCACCATACTTGGCTAATTAAAAAAATTTTTTTTTGTAGAGATGGAGTCCTGCTATGTTGCCCAGGCTGGTCTCTAACTCCTGGCCTCAAGCAATCCTCCCCACTCAGCCTCCCAAAGTCCTGGGATTACAGGGCTGAGCAACCTCACCTGGCCAGAAATGCAGATTTTTAGGCTCCACTCTAGAGCTGCTGAATCAGAAACTTTGGGGGTGAGACATGGGATTTCGTGTTTTACCATGTGCTCCAGGTCATTGCAATGCACAATAAAGTTTGAGAACCCACTGCTCAACAGCAATGAACTGAATGTTATGCAAATTCATTAATTTATGCAGCATAAATTTACTGAGCATCTACTATGTACCAGGCACGAGCATAGTGCTTCCTTTAGGAGGGAGATCAAAATGTCTCAGGACCCTCTGAGCCATTTAGACACATTGGGAGAGGGTAGGTAGGGGTAAGGAAGAGAACAAAATAGTGGATGTGAGAGAAAAAAGAGAAAGCTACAAAACTACCCAAAAACAATAATCATTTTACTGTGGCAGCTAAGCAGAAAGAGTATAAATATAGAGGAAAAAAATCTATTAAAAGAAGCAAGATTTCATGGTAATAATGAAAGAAACATGACAATATGACTTTATGACAGGTTTGTCTGAAAAATTATTGATGTTCTTTCCCCCATCTTTTGTCTTCAAAATAGCGCTTTAATTTCATAAATATGTTATCATCCTGAAAAAATAAATCTGAAAGAAAACTGAAAAAATCTGAAAGAGAACTCTCACTGAGCGTTCTCTCTCTCTAGGAAATCTCATGATACAAAGCAATTTGAGTGCAGGTAAATGCTAAAGGGATGTTACACCAACACTCAGTTCCTTGATTACTAGTATTTTCCTTACTTCCACAACTTCTTGTTTGTGACAGTTGGGATCAAGACTAAGAAGATTTTTTAGAATAAAAAATTACACAGTTTTGAGTTTCATTATCTAATTGGGTGTCAGTTATCTTGAAAGAAAATGAGAAGACTGGAATATTGTAACAGTAAACTCCACTAATGCTAAACTTTCTAAAGCAAAAACCTATCCTTTAATTTTTAACACAAAAGATTGGCACACTACAAGCAAATAATCCTATAGGTTATTATAATAAAAATGTACCATAGGGGAAAAATGTCTAAATGGATTGTTTTAATGAGGAATTGGCATTTACAACTATGCAGAAAATGTCTATTAGTTAGATTTTATTTATTCAGAATTTATAGCTGTTAGGACATTGTCCAGGCCTTCTGCTTTTGCAATGTCTATTAAAATGGGAGCTGGTTTTAAAAATTAACAGCATAAGCAACATTTAAAATAGGGAAGAAACTTAATGTGCTTAATTCAGCAAACTTTTCAAATAGTACTTGGTTATATCTAACATGTATTATCAGAAAATTTCTTTGTAACTTGGAAACGAGAAAAGAGAATGACTGGATTTTTTTTTTTTTTTGAGATGGAGTCTCGCTCTGTCCCCAGGCTGGAGTGCAGTGGCATGATCTCGGCTCACTGCAATCTCCGCCTCCCAGGTTCAAACGATTCTCCTTCCTCAGCCTCCCGAGTAGCTCGGACTATAGGCGTGCACCACCATGCCCAGCTAATTTTTGTATTTTTAGTAGAGACGGGGTTTCACCATGTTGGCCAGGATGGTCTCGATCTCCTGACCTCGTGATCCACCCATCTCGGCCTCCCAAAGTGCTGGGATTACAGGGGTCTGACTTTCTATTGGTTGGGCTATTTTACAGCTCAATAGGGGCAGAGGTTAACTTGTAGTTTCTGTCCAGCAGAGATGCAAATAATTTCTGTCCAGTGGAAAAGACAACCTCAATATTACAGTTTATTGCCCTGTTGTTTATTAACCAGTTTTGTATCTAACCCAACAATCTTATCCAAATATTCTTCTATAAATTGCCTATAGATATCTAGCTGCTCAAATGTTCTTTGAACTGGCTTTAACACCTTAGTGGTTCCTGCATTAAATAATTAGTTGAATAAAATCATTGGCATGTGTTCATTTTATATTTGCATGAGAGTTGTAATTTTGCCTTTTTGAGATTCATACTTTAGCAATAGTGGGCAATGACTTTTGTTTTTCTATTCATCAAAATAGCTCAAAGGCTGTTAGTTAAGCAATATTTCCAAAGTCATTAAGTAAGTTGTTGTTTTAATTCATAGAAGGCCGTGAAATTGATTCTACAAAAATCTTCCAAATCTCGATGTGTTATTATTCCTCCCCACTGGTATGAATTAGTGAGGTTCTGTTGCCTCAATACCTAATGATCATCTCGATGTCACACTATATGTGGCAGTGCCTGTGATGTGCTCTTTTGTTGTGGTGCCTAGAATTGCGTGTACATTAAAAAACAACAACAACAGTGACAAATACATTCCTCAGTATAAGCAAGATCATGGGGAAAAATAGATTGTAGTAAGAATAATAGAGATTACATCTATCATAGGAGAAAGAGAATTTCTAAAGTGCATTATTATCAGGAAGCAGGAATAAAACACCAGGCATGCAGATTTTCCCAATTCAGTTCTGAAATGCAAGCCAACATCATGCCAGCCGCTAAACGAAAACCAAGTCTTACTTAGCTGCCTCTGATGCTTCCCTCAGTTCTTCATCCAGTCTGCAGGAGCAAAAATTATTGGTGTGGAAAAGAAACAAAAGAGAAGCAAGCACAGCATGAGACAGTCACTCAGCAAAGCAGGGCCAAATGAAAGTGGTGCATATGTGCTTTTCGAAACTGTCTTCTGGAGCCCTGAGACGTACTCCTTCCATTAAATATGTTGTCATTGCCTCCCATTCAGTGTTTATGTACATTTACTTTGCAAATTCCTTCATAAAATGTAGACATAAGTTGCAAAGGGATCAGAAACATGCTGGCTGAATAAAGCTGAAAACATCCACGTCAGTCTGGTGGGTACAGTTCAAGTTAGCTTGCAGCCTGGGCCAAGTCAGGGATGTATCTGGTTTAGTAGGTTTCAGTTGCAAATTAGGTTGACCTCAACAGCTTTACACACAGGACAAAGACTGAAAATGGCATACAAAAGACTGATACAGTGACCTCTTGCTCTGGTAGCTTGTTGAGGTCACCCACAAGTAAAACACTGGTGTACACACACAGGGTCCAGCATGAATAGGAGATCAGGAGATTTTACCTCACACTTCTCTTATAAGATCTCTCTTCATCGTACCTTACAAGATAAAAAACGAGTGCCATAAGGAAAATGAGCAAACAGATGGGAAAAATGACAAGTAAATGATTTAAATGACAGTCAAATCATGAGAGAAAATGCCTATCCAGATACAGTCATGCACCATGTAACATCATTTGGGTCAGTGATGGACCACATATATGGTAGTGGTCCCCTAAATTAGAATACCATAATTTGACAGTATCTTTTCTACGTGTACATACACAAATACTTACCATGGTGTTATAGCTGCCTGCAGTATTCAGTACAGTAACATGCTGTACAGGTGTGTAGCCTAGGAGCAACAGGTTATAGCAGATAGCCTAGGTGGTGTAGTGGTCTCTACCATCGGGGTGGTTTGTATAAGTTCACTATGATGTCTACACAATGATGAAAACATCTAAAGACGCACTTCTCAGAACATGTCTCTGTCATTAGGTGATGTATGATGGTAATAATAAAATTGACATTTGGGGGAAATCTTATTTTCATTAGAAAACAATCAATGTTTATAATTTATAAATATATGCAGTCAAACCTCATTATTTGCAGATTCTATATTTGTAAATTTGCCTCTTCACTAGCATGTATTTATAAACACAAAATCAATACAAAGTACTTTTTGGGTCACTTGTGGACATGTGCAGAGTGGAGAAAAATTTGAGTTGCCCAACATTCATGTTGCCACCTGGCAATGTGTGAGGCTCTGTCTTCTTGTTTCATACTGTAAACAAGTGTCCTTTTCACAACCTTTTTAGTGCCTTTTTTTCCGCTCATTTTTGTATTTTTCCTTGGTGATTTTGCTGTTCAAATTGGCTTCCAAGCATAGGGCTGAAATACTGTATTGGGAATACTAGTATTCCCAAGTGCAGGAAAGCTGTGATGTGCCTTATGAAGAAAATATGTGTATTAGATAAGCTTTGTTTATGCACAAGTTACAATACTGTTGGCCATGAGTTCAATGTTCATAAATCAACAATGTATACTAAGTAAGGTTCATTTAAACAGAAACACACATAAAAAAAGGTTATATATTGATTGATTGATGAAAACATTGTGACCAGATGCTTGCAGGAACTGAACATCCTGTATTTTCCCTTGGAACACTATTTCAGTATTCACTAATTAAGTGTTTGCAGTGACTTTATAGAACATAACTGCCACAAATAATGAGAATCAACTGTAACCAATGATTATAAATTTGGTTCTAGGTTGGGCAAGTTTTTCTTTCATTTAAGCCCTTTGATGACAGGCTCCATCTCAGCTGAGGACTGGTTGTGGGAGTGGCTGAGATTAGATCCTTTGAATGTTATTCAGTGATAAAAAGGAGCCATGGCTCGTATCCATTTGAAATTTGCAAAACATGAAATTGAGGTGATGAAGGTCAGTAACAGAAATGGCAGAAAGGACATCCCAAGGAGATGAATTACAGAAAACAGAACACATGGACATGTGGGCAGCACATGAATGGTGGTAAATTTCTTTCTCCAGAAAAAAATTTTTCCAACTAGAACCCTTCCTCCTGAAGTAACTTTTCCCAAATGGAGCCCTTGAAAACTGATGTGTGCAGTTGAATGAAAAATGTCCTAGGTATACTTAACTTCTCATTTGAACTTTCCCATATGATGGAGAGTCTCTAAAAGCAACAGGTGTAACAATAAATAAGATTCTGGATTGCGAACTCTGTGCTGGGAGGCTTTGCAAGTGCTTTGTGTACCCTGTTTGCATTCAACCCTCAGAACCATTCCAGGAAGTGCAACTTACTTCCTTACTTTACAGATGCTGAAGCTGAGACTCAGAATATTTTAATTAATTAATCATTTTAATAGATGACTTGAAGTCTCAGAGACATTGAGAGGTAGGAGAGAAGGTTCAAATCTAAGTCTCTAAAGCCCATTCACTTTTCATTCTATTGCCTCTGTCACACCATGGAAGTGTTACCGTGTTTACTTGGAAAGTGGTCAATGCTCAATTCCACTAGAAGAGAGAATGTCCTTGTCATCTTATAGAATGTGAGTGTTTCCATACTTCTTCATCTTTTTTTTTTCTTCTTCTTTTTTGAGACAGCGTCTCACTCTGTCAACCAGGCTTGAGTGCAGTGGTGCGATCTCGGCTCACTGCAATTTCCGCCTCCCAGGCTCAAGCAATCCTACCACTTTAATCTCTTGAGTAGCTAGGACTACAGGTGCATGCTACCACACCCGGCTAATTTTTGTGTTTTTTTCATAGAGATGGGGTGGCGGGGGGCTCACCATGTTGCCCAGGCTGGTCTTGAACTCCTGGACTCAAGCTATCCACCCTCCTCAGACTCCCAAAGTGCTAAGATTACAGGTGTGAGGCATCCCTCTCTGCCTCCATACTTTTTAAATTTAAAGAGTAGAAGTGGGATTTGAAGACGGAGTACACCTTTTTGAGGCAGCAGCCCAGAGCTATGAGGTATGCTGGTTGTGGAAACGCTGTGAAGCTAATGAGGGTTGAAGCCGTCATTAGGATCTAATGAACACTCCGTTTGATTCAGCTGAGCCCAGCTGACCACCGGAAGCCCAGTCAGTATCCTGTGTTCACGCCCGATATTGCTTATGTAGGAGAACCAAATGAATCTACTTCTGAGGTTTGAATTTTGAAGGATTCTCTGAGAGAGGTAAAGGAATCTACTAGAAAAGGACATGGGAATTTTAGTGCCAGGCTGACCTGAATTTGAATTTCCGTTCCATCTCTTCCTGGTTCCTACTTATACTGTGCATAAGTAACTTCCTACTAAGTTACGTCCCCTGCATCTGTAAAACAGGGGTTTACTATAAGAGTTAAATAAATGATATAAATAGAGCACTGCTATGCTTGGCATATCATAGACACACATTACATGAGAATTCTTTCCTTCCAGTTTCTAGGCTGGGCCTTTTTAATTAATTAATTAATTTTTTAAAGTGAGAGGACTCTTTTTTGGAATCCCAAACGAGAGGTACATTTTGCTATCCATTTTATGGAGGAAGATGAATGATACTTGCCTGTTTTCTTTGAGCTAATGGTTAAGTCCCTCTCCATTCAAATGAAATGAAAAAAGCTAGTGATTCAGATACAGTGAACAACAACAAAAAAAAAGACACACAGAAAACAATCGTTCTTTGCAACAATGTACCAGATACAACTGTTCATTCTCCGATATCCCTGTTTTAAAATCCCAGCTCCAAGTATTTATTTTGTTAAATTTTATCCTAGTTTTTGTAGCATCATCCTGAGACCTTCAGTACCCATGCAGGATGCTGACGCTGATACTGCGTTACCCTCTATTGAGCAAGGAAACCATTCCTCACCACCTCACCCACCACTGGGCAAATGCCCTCTACTTAATCATGACAAACAAAAAAGGTTTAGAAGAAACAGAGAAAGAGTTATTTCTTTCTATTTTCCTAGCATCATGCAGATAAATTACTTTGTATAAGACAATAAAGAAATCCAAGCTATGCTAAGACCGTCTTGTGTCTGTGCAGAGTGGGGGACACAAGAAACTGATACACTGTTAACCAGTAGAGACAGTATACCAATTAACCAATGTAACTGTTACTTTTTCCAAAGTGGTAGTAAAGTTCAAGCTAAAAATGAACAATAATCAAATAACCCCAGGAAAAGATTAGGTGAAAGAGGATCTAAAAGAACACAACAATTATCTATAGGTTATAGGAAAAAATTGTATTTATTGGAGGATATTTAATATTGTTTTAAAAATAAGATAGTGCCATTTCCCCTGTTCCAGAACTGACCTCTTTTCCAACCCACTTCTCCAAACACACACTTTTTTTTTTTTTTGATACAGGGTCTCACTGCCACCAGGCTGGAGTACAGTGGCACGATCACAGCTCACTGCAGCCTTGACTTCCCAGGATCAGGTGATCCTCCCATCTCAGCCCCCTGAATAGCTGGACTACAGGCAAATGCCATCACGCCTGGCTAATTTTTATATATTTAGTAGGAATGGGGTTTTGCTATGTTGTCCAGGCTGATTGCAAACTCCTGGGCTCAACTGATTCTTCCACTCAGCCTCCCAAAGTGCTAGGATTACAGGCGTGAGCCACCACACCCAGCCTCAAACTAGTACTATTTCTTAACACATCTCTGAAACTGTCAGGACTTACTTGATGATGCTCTCTGGAATGTGGATGCAATCCATTGGGATCAGCCCACTGAGTTCTGATAAGCTATTGACATATTTAATTTTACTGCTGAATTTTGAACTAAAAAAAAAAAAAAGAAAAAAATATGTATCATTAGTCACTACCTTATCCATTCTAAGGCTATTGCCTTTTCTTGAAAATCCTGATACTTAACACCTTGCCACAGCACTCTTACTAAGAGGCTAACATTATTTGACGAGTTACAATGTGCCAGACACTGTTTTGTTGTTGTTGGTGGTGATGTTTTATTCTGTTTTTAAAATTTATTTTTTAAATTGCCATGTAAAAAAGTATAACATGATGTTCTGAAATATGTATACGTTGTGGAATGGCTGAACTGAGCTAATTTACGTATGTATTACTTCACATGCTTTTTTTTTTTTTGATACTTAAAATCTACTCTCTTAGCAATTTTCTAGGATGCAATACATTGTTATTAGCTCTGGTCACCATGTTGTTCAATAGGGCTCTGGAACTTATGCCTCTTAACCGAAATTTTGTGGTTTTTGACCAACATTTCCTCACTCCCAACCCCCAGCTTCTGGTAACCACCATTCCACTCTCTACTTCTATAAGCTCAACTTTTTTAGATGCCACATATAAGTGAGATCATGCAGTATTTGGCCAAATGCTGTCTTAAGTGGTTTACACATATGAATGCAGGTATTTCTTATTACAGCCTAGTGAGGTAGACACTATTATTATCCTATTTTCAAAGATAAGGAAACAGATACAGAGCAGTTAAGTGTTTACCCAAGGTCTCACCATTAGTAAATGGCAGAGCCTATACTAACCTGGGCAGTCTGACTTTGGCATTCACACTCTTGACCATATATTGTGCGGCCTCCCGGTGGTTCCTGCTACTCTGAATAGTCACTACTTTATGCCTTGTTTGTCTCTGTTTACTTATTTGTTTGTAACAAACAAAAATCTTACCATTAGTTCTTTCAGAATCTACCAAGTTTGATGATACTTTAAAAATATATGTAAACTCATTTTTCTTTTTTTTTTAGTTTATTTTAAAAATTTTTGTTTTTTTTTTTTTAAAGTTTTAGGTTGAACGTTTATTCTGGATGAACCAACATTCAAAAATATGTTCCAATAATTGGATTTGAATTACAAACAGCTTTCATCTAAATGTGTTCGTTTTAGAGATGTGTAAATGCACAGAGAACAACTTGGAAGGATACCAATGAAACTGATAAAAGATTTTGCCTCTGGGGAAGGGGATTAGGAACAGGAATTGGTAATTGTTAAAGGAAGAACTTGGTCTTATGCATTTCTGAAGAATGCATTTTCTTTTTTTCTTTTTGAGACAGAGTCTCGCTCTGTCGCCCAGGCTGGAGTGCAGTGGCACGATCTTGGCTCACTGCAAGCTCTGCCTCCTGGGTTCACGCTATTCTCCTGCCTCAGCCTCCCGAGTAGCTGGGACTACAGGTGCCTGCCACCATGCCTGGCTAATTTTTTGTATTTTTTTAGTAGAGACAGGGTTTCACTGTGTTAGCCAGGATGGTCTCCATCTCCTGACCTTGTGATCTGCCCGCCTCAGCCTCCCAAAGTGCTGGGATTACAGGCGTAAGCCTCTGCACCCGGCCTGCATTTTCTTATTACTTGTGTAATGGCAAACTAATTTAAAAAGTATATCCAAGGGTCTAACATTCTTGAATGGTTTCAAATGAAAAGGTCTCTCTAGTCTACTGGGATCTTGCTGAGCTGTCTGCCATCTGTATTACCTTGTGTTCAACTACTATGCATTCTAGTAAGAAGCTTTTTTGAGGTGTGTCTTCTATCCATCTATCTTTAATACTTTACTTGCAATTTTGGCCCTGGGCCCAAGACACTTGTGAACAACCGTCCTCTCCATACAGTAGCTTCTGTCCCTCCTGATAAGTCTTGGGTCAACACACACTACCAGTGATATGCTACATTAAGCCTTTTTCCTCCTGTGGAGTTGTTGAGCTAAATACGGTTTTGATAAAAGACTGAGTGGGTGACTGAGAGGGAAAAGAAGTCATGCAAAAGGAAAACCTCCAGCTCCAGTGTTAACATTCACTGGAATTTCGCAGTTCTCTGAACATGCCATGTTCTCTCTTTATTGATGTATTTGTATCTGGCGTTTTGTCTACCTGTTTCCTCAACCTGGATTGCTCTTCTCTCTAATTTCAGCTGGCCAATCCTGCTAATCCTTTAAAACTCACCTGGAGGGAAGGCCTCCTTCTGCAAAGCCTCTCTTGATGCAGATTATCAGCTTTCACTCTCTACCAGGTATACCCCCAAACTCACCCTCACCTTGAGTCATCACCTCCTCAAGATGCAATTGTATCCTGTTATTGTAACTGTTCACTTGTCTGCCCATGTCTGCTCCAGGCTTTGTGCTCCTTAAGGACAGCAATCGAGCTATGTGATTTCCCAATCCAGTGCTTGGCACAGACAAATTACTAATTTTTTCCCCCAGCTTTTATTCAGGGGTACATGTGCAGGTTTTTACATGGGTAAACTGCATGTCACAGTGGTTTGATGTACAGATTATTTTGTCACCTAGTTAATGAGCATAGTACCTGATAGGTAGTTTTTTGATCCTCACTGTCCTCCACCCTCCACCCTCTAGTAGTCCCTGGTGTCTGGAGTATACTCAATGTTCAGCTCCCACTTATAAGTGAGAACATGCGGTATTTGGTTTTCTTAGGATAACTCACTTATGATAATGACCTCCAGCTCCATCCATGTTGTTGCAAAGGAAGTGATTTAGTTCTTTTTTATGGCTGCTAGTATTCCATAGTGTATATGTACTGCATTTGCTTTATCCAATCCACTGTTAATGGGCATCTAGGTTGATTCCATGTCTTTGCTATTGTGAATAGTGCTGCGATGAACATACATGTGCATGTGTCTTTACGGTAGAATGAGTTATATTCCTTTGTGTATTTACCCAGTAATGGGATTGGCAGGTCAAATGGTACTTCTGTTTTAAGTTCTTTGAGAAATCTCCAAACTGCCAATAACTCATTGTTTAAAATGAACTTGCCATATACCTCTATCATAGATGCTACCCTTCAGTAGCGAGAAGACCTATAATACATTTTAGTGATCTCTTTTTTCATATCTACAAGTTGCTAACACTGAAGTAAATTGACTCAAAGGAGGATCTTTAAAGAGGCTCCTACATGATGAAACTGTAGAATACAATTATTAAGTACTTGATGTAGGTTTTCTTTAGAATTGGGCAGACAATTGGTTTCAAAGACGGAGCCTATCATTTCTAGGCTGTGTCACCCTAGACCTGAGGTTGGTAAATGATAGCCCGTGGCTGAAGCCAGCTGCTGTCAGTTTATTATTATTTTTTTAGAAGCTAGGACTCACTCTGTCACCCAGGCTGGAGTGCAGTGGTATGATCATAGCTCACTACAGCCTTGGACTCCTGGGCTCAGGTAATCCTCCTATCTCTGCCTCTGGAGTAGCTAGGACTACAGGCACATGCTACGCTGCCTAGCTAAATTTAAAAAAAAATTTTCCAGAGTCAGGATCTCCCTATGTTGCCCAGGCTGATCTTGAACCCCTTGCCTCAAGCAATCCTCCTGCTTCAGCTTCCTGAGTAGCTGGAATTATAGGCACAAGTCTATCTGATTTTTATAGTCCCTGAGTGAAGGATGATTTCTATGTTTTTTAAGGTGGTTTAAAAAATGTAAAAATAAAAATATTCTATGATGCCGGCTGGGCGCAGTGTCTCGTACCTGTAGTCCCAGCACTTTGGGAGGCCGAGGCAGGCGGATCACTTGAGGTCAGGAGTTCAAGACCAGCCTGGCCAACATGGCGAAAACCTGTCTCTACTAAAAATACAAAAATTAGCCAGGTGTGGTGGCACATGCCTGTAATCCCAGCTACTTGGGAGGTGGAGGCAGGAGAATCGCTTGAACCTGGGAGGCGGAGGCTGCAGAAAGCAGAGATCATGCCACTGCACTCCAGTCTGGGCAACAGAGTGAAACTCCCTTTCAAAAAAAAGAGAATATTTTACAATGTAAAAATCATAGTAAATTCAATTTCGGTTTTCATAAATAAAGTTTCATCAGAGGCCAGGCATGGTGGCTCATGCTTGTAACCCCAGCACTTTGGGAGGCTGAGATGGGAAGGTCACCTGATCTCAAGAGTTCAAGACCAGCCGGGGAAACATGGCAAATCCTGTCTCTGCCAAAAATACAAAAACTTAGCCAGGCGTGGTGGTACATATCTGTGGTCCCAGCTACTTGGGAGGCTTAGGTGGGAGAATCACTTGAGCATGGGAAGGCAGAGGTTGCAGTGAGCCGAGATCGCACCACAGCACTCCAGCCTGGGGCAACAGAGTGAGGTTGTCTCAAAAAAAAAAAAAAAGTTTCATCAGAACACAGCCACTTACTTGTTTGCATGTTTCCTACGGCTGCTTTTGCTCTATAATGGCAGAATTGAGTAGCTGTAACTGAAATCATAGGGCCAGTGAAGCCTAAACTATTTACTAGTTGAATCTTTATAAACAATGTTTGCTGGTTCCTGCTTTAGACAATTTATTTGACCTCCCTGAACCTCAGCAGTTTTTCCTATATAATGGAAATAGTAAACAGTATCTGCTTCAGGCTGGGCATGGTGGCTCATGCCTGTAATCTCAGCACTTTGGGCCAAAGCAGGCAGATTGCTTGAGCCTAGGAGTTTGAGACCAGCTTGGACAACATGAGACCCCATATCTACAAAAAAATAAAAAAATTTAGCTGATTGTGGTGGCATACACCTATAGTCCCAGCTACTCAGGAGGCTGAGGTGGGAGGATTGCTTGATCCCAGGAGTCTGAGGCTGCAGTAAGCCATGATCGTGCCACTGCACTCCAGCCTGGGTGACTGAAGGCGACCGTCTCTCAAAACAAAAAACAAACAAAAAAGTATCTACTTCAGAGGACTGTCATTAGGTTAAATGAGATAATGCAAATAAGCACTCAATAAATTAAGCCATTATTAGTCATAATTTACCACAACACTGTTGCTATAATTTTATTATTACTGTTGTTGTTATTATCTTGAAGCTCCCTTCAATAAGTAGTGTTGAATTATAATAATGTTTAATAGCCTTACAGTAACAAATGTTTTCTTATTGTTAAACTACATTTGGCTTGAGGCTTTCTCTGTAGTTTGAGTTCCTAGGTAGCTAACTGCAACCTAACATAGTATGTAAACAAAATTCCAACCTAACTTATGAGTATATTTTTGCAAAGACTAGCTGAGTCTCAGCCAATCAAAGCAGCTGAGCTTCAGCAATCACAGGTTGCCAAATGATCAGACCATGACCATATAAGGCAAATGCTTCATCACACTGTACCCAAATAAGATAACTGCTGAGCTGTACCCAATCAAGCTATTTCTATACATCACCTTGCTTTTCTCTGGACAAATACTGTCTGCCCACTTTGCTGGGAGGAGCTCTCTGAACCTCTCCTGGTTCTAAGTCATGCTGGATTCATAAATCATTTTTTGCTCTAATAAACTGATTGATTTGTCTAAAGTTTATCTTTTAACATTACTTAATCAAGAAAAAACATTTGTTTTATAAGTGCTGAATTATTAAGCAAACATCGATGAATCAGTAACTATGCTAATGTTTACCTTTCTACCCATTAAACTTTTTGAAAGCTTATCAGCATACATTGATTCCTACTCCCTAGTTACAACATTTCCTGAAAATATTAAAATAAGTGGCTCTTTGTATACCTTAAATAGGTCTAATATTTTTGTTTGTTTTTTGGAGGCACAGTCTCACTCTGTTGCCCAGGCTGGAGTGCAGTGGTGTGATCTTGCCTCACTGCAACCTCCTCCCAGGTTCAAGCGATTCTCCTGCCTCAGCCTCCCTAGTAGCTGGGACTATAGGCACACCACCACCATGCCTGGCTAATTTTTTGTGTTTTTAGTAGAGATGGGGTTTCACCATGTTGGCCAGGCTGGTCTCAAACTCCTGACCTCAAGTGATCTGCCCGCCTTGGCCTCCCAAACTGCTGGGATTACAGGTGTGAGCCACCCCGCTTGGCTGCTCATAATATTTTTAAAAGCAATTTAACACAGTATGGTAAACAGCTAATCTTTGCCAGAGGGAAACTAGGGTGAATCCTGCTACTCAATTGAAGATAAATTGAAATTTTCCCATCTTAAAATTATTAATTAATTTCGTCTAAAAATTCTGATAACTTCGTTTTTTCAGTGGTTTCTTCTTGTGTATAATGAAGATAATAACAGTATATCATGTGATTGTTTAGCCTTCAGTTTACCATTTTAACAATTCTTGATTTTCAGGTATATTTTTCAGCATTAGCAATTGGAAGTGGGGAATAAGAATAATAAATAAATATAACTAAATACTTAACAAGAAAGGTAGAATTTGGAAGCTACAGTAAAATCTATGTACACACAAAAAAAAGATTTTAAAGTTTATCTTTTTCCCCAGAAGCAAAGTTATCAGAATTTTTAAAAGAAATTCATTAATAACTTTGAGATGGGAAAATTTCAATTAATCTAATCTGTACCCTGATGGTGGGCAAATTTTATTGTTTTTAAAGCTATCTAGAAAGTAAATACTATCCCTTTCATTTAACTATTTGAAGTCTTACTATATTATGAACATAACTTATTTTACTTTGCATCCCTAAGATGTAAGGTTATGCAAAACCTAACATAAAATAAGTGACAAATAAATATTCACTGAATTGAAACCAAGACTCCTCAGGGGTGATCAAAACACAGCTCTCAAAATGGCTGCCCAGACTCTATATAACTTTGGTAGTTATATAAACGTTGTGTAGGTCTATTCAGAAGAAATGGCACAATTGAGACATGATATGGCTTCTGTTTCTGCCCTTGATTCATCTTTACTTTCCATTGTCATATTACTCTACCTTTCTATTCTCTACATAATAGCATATCACTTTAAATGTATTATCTATTCTCCTTTCTAATGTGGCATGAAAATCCCACCACTTCATCTTCCGTGTTTATAGCAAGCAATTTAGAGGTCCTGTTTTATAATGATCTGGGGGAAATATTCATCATGACAGCATTTTCTCTCTTAATTCGGGATTCTTGATGAATAGTCCAAAGCACCTTTCTAGGAAAGACAGAGACAAATATATTTCCCTGGGTACTCTTAGTTTATGAATTCTTGTTTTTAGGACAATGAGTACATATTTTTTAAAACTACTAGTAGTACTTTTATTTTATGACAACATTAACTGTACCTTATAAAAGGTCGTGTCACAGCAAGGATTGTTCTGATGAACCAAGATGGATGAACAATGATGAATGATTTCAAATTCTTCCTCAACCTATTTTGAAAAAAGAAAAAAAATACATTACTCTTAACCCATTTTCAGTGGGAATTAAAACATAAAACATATTCCTAAATAAGAATATATATAATTTAAGTCTGGCATGGTAGCTCATGCCTATAATCCCAGCACTTTGGGAGGCCAAGGCAGGCAGATCACCTGAGGTCAGGAGTTTGAGACTGGCCTGGCCAACATGTTGAAACCCCATCTCTACTAAAAATAAAAATAAAAATAAAAATAAAAAAATTAGCTGGGCGTGGTGGTGCCCGCCTGTAAGTCCTGGCTACTCAGTGGGTTAGACAGGAGAATCGCTTGAACCCAGGAGGCGGAGGTTGCCGTGATCCAAGATCATGCCACTGCACTCCAGCCTAGGCAACAGAGTGAGACTCCAACAACAACGACAACAACAAAAATGTGTGTGTGTGTGTGTGTGTGTGTGTGTGTGTGTGTATAATTTTAGGGAGTTCTATGCAAGTTACTATTACCTGGTAGGAAGATATAGAATGGCCATGATTAATTACAAGAATGCTTTTTGAGATGTAATTTGAAACTTGTATGATTCAAACGTCATTTTCTCATAGAAGTAAATGTAAAATAGAATGGTTGTGTTCTTAGAGTGCATGAATCTATAACCAACATGGTGTATTTTTGTTTAATGATGCTTTTATTCTCGTCAGTATTACCTTTACTATTTTGAAAAGAATACATGCTTAATAGCAACTTAGACAATTTATTTGATCTTATTGAGACTTGGTTTCTTCTTGTGTATAATGAAGATAATAACAGTATACCATGTGGTTGTTTAGTCTTCAGTTTACCAAAATCAAAATAGTGATTAAATAATAGAGCCCACATACCGTCTGTCAATCATCTGGTAGCATTTCTTCATCCAGCCTAGCCCTGGCATCCTCCTTCTTGGGGTTGCACCATTCAAGTACACAATCATATAGTCTTCAGCTACCATCAACTCTAAAGTACTTATTACATATCTGATCACAGGAAGGAAGAGGAATGTTTTCAGTTCCCACATCCTATTGACACCATAATTACATAACATCAAAAGTACAGGGTGTATGAAATTTAAGAATGATTGTGCATATTACCTCTTTACCTTGGGAAGAATACAATTACCTAAGAGCATTCCTCTGAGAGTATTACTCATTTATCGGTATGGCTATCTATCTTTTAAATGGAGGTACACTAGAAAAATGTATGGGTTAGAAAGAATCCTGACTTTCAAAACTGTCAACAATGTTATCAAATACTAAGGGTAACTCAGGTTAAATAAGGGCAGATATTAATGAAGTCAGGTTATAGTCAGTCTTAGCTGACTAAGAACATGTTATGAAGGAACAAAAATAATACTTTGCCCAAAGGAAATGTTACAGAATTTTAAAATGCAAGCAAAATTCTGTTCATCTTGGTTTCAGTCTAGTCTACCCACAAAAGAGCTCCTTTAAAGGTTTTAGCCCCTTGAGCAACATTCCTTGACAGAAACCTTACTGACTTTTCACTGAAGGCTTAGAACATTCTACATCATCTATTTTCTTTAATTAAAGGTGCTCTATCTGCCATTACATGCCACAGACATTAACTCAAAGCACTTTGTCATAAGTATCACTCACAGGAAAAGATTTTCCATGACATAGTGGTAATCCGCCCGACTGCTGTCTGGCAGAAAACAGGCGGCAAACACAATGATGGCATTTAGACCGTCCCCATAGTATCCTGGGGGACAAACAAAAAGACACTTGTAACCAATTGAAAGCTCTTAACAAGGTAATATCTGACCTAATGGATAAATATGAAGCCTTGGCAAGTGTGTCTTTGTGGGTATATTAGCAGCATGAAATGGGGATTATGTTGACTATAGGTCTGTAGGTATATACCCATATAGTTATCTTTCAGTGGTTAACATCTATGTTTTATAGAGTGTTAAATATATAGGGCAATTATATTTGCATATGTAGGCTATTTATATATTACGGATGATTATATTGTTGTACATAGTTGTGAAGAGGGTGTGTAAATATTCGACATCACAAAAAAATGAGAGGGGGCAAGACTGACCTAAATGTCAGATTTATATCATACTAATACATAAGTACTTATACAGCACTTCTTTCTTCTGATGGCTAAGAAAGAGATTCTGTTTGATCCTCTATAGTTCTTTTTAGTCTTAGACACTGCTTAATTTAAAGGGAGAATTTAGCCACTGAAGTGCAACATAATCTCTCATCCACACACTCCAGTGACCAAATACTAGTGAGTAGACAAGTAAAACACCTTTATTTTGATTTCGAGGCCTGCAGTGCCCCTGGGATCAACAGACAGTGTGAGAACCCATGAAAAGTTCTAGCCAGGCCTTGTTCTGTCCAATATTTTACTACCATGTAATCACCAATGGGTATGTAGAGTTCTGAAAAAACTGACACATTGGGCTCTGGGAGGACTGGACCAGGCTTAAGCGTATGTCCTGTCCTCCTACTCAAAGCTTGGAGGAAATCTCTATTTAATGATTCTACAGTCCAGAGCTATATGACGTTCCCCCATCTTTTTTGCAGTAGAGTCACACTCTCTTTGTAGAGAACATCTTACTAAACTGCTTTTCAAGAGTTAATTAACTCCATCCAAATCTATATACAGCCAGGCCGGGCGCCATGACTCATGCCTGTAATCCCAGCACTTTGGGAGGCCGAGGTAGGCAGATCACTTGAGGCCAGGAGTTCGAGACCACCCGGACAGCACGGTGAAACCTTGTCCCCGCTAAAAATACAAAAATTAGCCAAGCGTGGTGGCACACGCCTGTAATCCCAGCTATTTGGAAGGCTGAGGCAGGAGAATTGCTTAAGCCTGCGAGGCAGAGGTTGCAGTGAGCCAAGATCGTGCCACTGCCCTCCAGCCTGGGTGACAGAGTGAGATTCTGTCTCAAAAAAACAAACAACAAAAAAACTATATACAGCCAATATTTTACTGCCACGTAATCACTCAGTGAGTATTTAGAGTTCTGAGAAAATTAACACATTGAGTTCTATTAAGGGGCTAAGGTTCTGAATTCTATGAAGAGGAAGAAAACTTCCTCTCATAAGAGGAGGAAAACTAAAGATGGGTCTGGCTAAATTATATTTGAGTAGTATAAAATTCTGTACTTTTGGGAAAACTTGAGAATTGCTTCCTGGTAACATGGAACTGAGGAGTGGAAGTGCTACTTGCAGGAGCTGCTGAGAAAACAGCAGGTGGGAAATGCGGAAAGTGTGGCCATTGAAACTCCGGGGGTCAAGGAACATGTAGATACATCTCAGGACACCATTCCCCATCTTTTGAAAGCTCTGGCATAATTTTGGAATTGCCCTGTCTTTTAAGTAAGCTTTATATTCCCATAGTTTCTTTGAAACTCACAGCAGGTGTCAGTCAGACCCCCACAGGTAACTATATGGAATGTCATGCATCTTTCACACTTAAAAAGGGAAGCAATGTGTGAATTTTTTATTTTTTAGTATCCCTGTCTAAACGATTGAAATTGATGTCATATAGTTTTGGACTGTTGAATCATTAAAGAGATTTTCTTCAAGCTTTGAGTAGGAGGACAGGACATACGCTTAAGCCTGGTCCAGTCCTCCCAGAACCCAACGTGTTAGTTTTTTCAGAACTCTAAATACCCACTGGTGATTTCATGGCAGTAAAGTAATGGCTGTGTATAGATTTGGATGGAGTTAATTCACTCTTGAAAAGCAGTTTAATAAGATGTTTTCTACAAAGAGAGTGTGACTCTACTGCAAAAAAATATGGGGGAAGAGAGCAAAACTAACTAAAAATATACCCAATTATGGGTTTGTGTGTATTACTAATTTGAGGTAGTTGTATACAGTATTTATACTACAAGTGGTGATACGGTGTTGTTGTATACAGTATTTATACTACAGATCTTAGAAGATGCTACCTATGTAAGTATTCAACTGATGCAACACATGTTTGTGAGAGAGCAACGTAGTAGCTTCTCTGGATATTTTTGCTTTCGTTCCATCTTTTCCAATATGCAGGGTATTTATCAACTACTTTTTAGAATGCAATATGAAGGAAAATGGCAGGAGGAGACATATCTTAATACAAAAATTGCTTGTTACAATAATTTCATTTCTGAAGATGCATAATTAAATGGAAATCCACAAAGGATATGGTGGCTTAGCTATACTAATCCTCATACCGCACAGATAAGCAATTCATCCTCAGCATGACGAAAAGACAGACGTTCATTAAAAGAGACAACAGACATAATGAATCCAACTTAAAAGCAAGAAAGCATCCTTTCAAAAGCGTTTTTCTAAATGTAGCAATCTGGCTCCAGAGTGTTACAGTAATTTCAAGATCATGACCACTCAGTTACTTTGATTTCTTTCTTTATTTCCATGAACTTCTAAGAAATTTTTTTCGAAAGGGAAAGACTGAGGTTTATAAACAGTACTTCAGATGTCATTTTAAATGGCAGTTCAGCTCACTGTGTAAATGCTGTCTGCCCTTGGAATGTTGCAGCGTCATGTTCATCCAAGTTTATTTAACTAAAGGAATACTACGGGATCAACCTACTACTTCATGATCGCTGTCTAAGTAAGAAATGTCTCGATATAAAAAGTATGGAAATTTATAAATGAAAATGAAAATTTATAAATGAAAATGTGTTATTTTGGGCAGAGAAGCTTTAAGAAGGGAAGAAGAGGCAAAAAGAGCAGGAAGAAAGTAGCAGGAGAGGGGATAATTAAAAGAGGGAAATAAAAGAAAGATTTCCACATGAAAGTTTTCCTCCAAAATCAAGAGCCAGTGCCGTTGGCAGGCTTGGGAGATATTTCAGGTAATACTGTAATTTTTCTATAGCTGCTTCCTGCTAAAAAAAGTTTAAATTTAAATTTAAAAAATCAGATAATACTATAATTGCAAGCAAAGTGCAATAACTAGAATGCATAGGATCAATCACTTTTTGCCCCTCCCAGATACCTTGAAGGGGTCAGCTAACCCCTCAATTTCTATTCTCAAATATGCAGCTTACTCTAGTAAAGTTTCCTGTTGGCAACAGCATAATTCATTTGAAGTCTGGTTTTTAAAACATTTCTTTCATTAGACTTTCTTCTCAATAAAGGTGAGGTGAATTCAAGGTGTATGTGCTGGGTGGGGTGCATGAGCAACCCCCCCCCAGGAGTCTCCTGAGACCCTCTGAAGCAAGGACGCAAACCTTACCTGAGTGACACAGACAGGCATGAAAGGGATGTAACACAAGTTTGCTGGCCAGCAATGGAATGGAGACAGAAGGAAAGATGTCACAGTCGCAACCAAAACATACACACACACACACCAGCCAGCAACTCTTCTCCTCATTCTTTCCAGGGTCATTTGTCCAGCAAGACTTCAGAGAAGGTTACCTGAATCTCCTATAATGAAATAAGAGAAGTAAAAAAAAAAAAAAAAGAAAAGAAAAAGAAAAGAAACTCCTTGTTAAAATTACTTGGCATTATTGTTCTCCATTATTTAAATGGGTTTCTCAGCTCCAAGTTCAAAAAAAAAGCCAGTTCTAGCCTCAGAGGGACCCCGTACTGTTGGCTGAGCAAAACCATTCAAACCCCTCTTTGCTTTTATTTATGCAGATGGCAAGGATATTGCTGTTGGCTCATAGGATGTGAACAGTGGTGTTGAGATTACCCTCATTTGGCTGATGATGTCATTGAGGCCCAGAGAAGGTAAGTAATGTACCAAGGTTACAGACTAGTAAGTGACAGAGATGGGTTTTGAGCCCCATTCTTCTACATTGTGTGCAATAGCTCATATCAAGGTCACTAAAGCTGAAGACTGAATTATTTATTCAAATACTGCCATCATGCACCAATATTCTCAACAGGTAGGACACCTGGCAGGGCCTGGCTTTGGGGCTAACTTCTGCAGCTCTTTTGATTGCCCCCACCTTACAGTTTTTGGCACAGAGCACTGTGTAGCTGGCACTTCTCTACTGGCCCGAATGAGAAAACTTCCTCAGAGCAAAATGTCAAGCACCAAATAAGATTCATGTTTACTGTGAAGTGATTGCTGCTTTTTAAATGCTTATCAGAAGCCGAAGGACAAACTCAGTAGGTTGGTAAGTAAGGAGATTTTTCATCATTATGGTCTAAGAGAGTGCTGTAAACTCCTAATGTGGAAGACAAAGCTTTAGCAAATTCAGAAGTAACATCTGAAGTATCTTTACCTACAGAGCACAAAAGCTGTTCAGGGTGTAGGAAAAGGTGGCATCTCTCTAAAGTTCCGGATGGGTGCAGCCAGAGGCACATTTCATGCAGGCTGGTGCCTGGAGAGGGCCAAGGCAGGGCTGGGGAGAGGGGAGGTGGCCTTCTCTTCAAAACAAACCAGACAGTCACACAGACAAAAACTGAGCTTGCGACACAGAATGGAGACGAGCAAATGGCAAAGGGAGGAGGTGGCAGGGACGGAGAGCACAGCAAACCAGGTTAGCCCTGAGGGCTCAGGTGAATTGTTACAAGACTGTGACAGGCAGAAGCAGTGGCTTTTTCCCAACCATCAGTGCACTGATGATAATCATTCTCTCCTGATTCAGACAACAGCCCACCTAAAGAACAAGCAGGCGAGTCTACTGGAGTATTAGCAGATAACTAGCCCTAGAAGAGCAGCAGGACCATGAGCTTCCTTTCAACACAGGGACTCTGCATTTAGGAGCTGATGTTTATAGGGCTTATCACTGGGTGACTTTGATGTGACAGACATTTTAATTTTTTAATACTTTTTAAAATGAACACAGACTACTCTTACAGGCAGCCTTTGTTTTGTTTCTATTTTCAAAAAGAAAACAAACCAAAAATATCTGATGGGTGGTGCAAAGGAGATGTGACCTGGGAAGATGGGGAAGATTGAGTGTTCCTCTTATGGTTTTCACATAAAAACAAAAGGGTTGACTCTACAGCCAGCTGTGTGTCACTTGCAGCAAGATGGGGCCAACTCTCATTCTGAAGGGCTACGGGCATGATTTCCCTTAGAGGAAACTGCTCCTGACCCCACAGCAGCTCTCAGCGGGGCATATTTCCATTTCAGGTCAAACAGTAAGGCAAGACAAAGAAAGGCCATGGCCAGGGCCAGGGACTGGCATTCACCTTTGCTACAGTGGTCAGGTTCCCTGGGTGGTCCTGATACTTATGTGGGGGTAGCAATGTATGGGATGGAAGGTGAAAAATCTGCTGGCGGAGAAAGGTTTGATTGAAATAACAGATCAGCCTTCTGCTTGTTATAATAGAAAACAAAAGCAGTGTTTTGAGGCAGTGCTAAGACTCTCATTTCCCTGTCCTCATTAAGGAAGAGAGAACTGAGAGAGCAACAACTGCCTTGTCAGCTCACACTCTTTCTGAACAGCTGGGTGGTTACAGTGGCACCTCAGGCTCGGGAAAGGAAGGCACGCAGCAGAAGAATCAAAATGCTGTCGAGGTTTTCTGAAGTTGACAATGTTAAATGTGTTGCTTCCACTCATCTGACTTTTTGTGACTCCCAAATTAATCAAGGCCACATATGCTCCAGGAGCCCTCAAGAAAGTGCTGGAAATACAAACACACTTTTCTCTCTCCCTTGTCTCTCACCAAACAGGTGGAGGCTTTGACTGGGGTTGGCTGTTGTCAGGCCTAGATTTAATGTAGTTTACTAGTTTACAGAAAGGCAAACTTCAGTTAGGGGAAACAATTACCAGGCTAAGTCTAAAAAAAAAATCCCCAAAGCTTCTGAAGAGGATTCAAAAGGCCATTTTGTAATGAGAAGCACCTCGGGGGTAGTGTTATGACACAGGCCATGGTGTCACATACTCTGTTCAGTTCAACCGTACAATGGACTGATAAGAATGCCAAACAGACATTTAAATTAGACAACTATGACTTTCAATAAATTTGCACAAGATGATCGCTATCAGATATGTAGCATGAAAAGCCCGTTTTATATTGGAAAGTTGTCTTTGCCTAGTAGGATTTCAAATGTTTATTGAATTGAATATGAGGAAATATACTTAGCTCTATAGTTCCCTGAATATTGGCTCTAGAATAGGGTCTTTGAGATGTCATGTTCCGGAGAAGTCTAGACTCACTTCATGATTTTAAATAAAATGGCTGCCCCTTCCCCATTTCCCAGATTCATGCTGAGCTCGACTACCTCCGTGAGAAATGACTCTCCTGTAGGGCTCGATGACCTTCATGTCAATGCGCTGCTCTTGTTCTCCAATGACCACTGTCCTCCAAAGCCGGTTGTCCTCCCGTTCCTCTTCGGCCGTATATTCTGGAATAGACTCTGACTCTTGGCCAGAATCTTTGTTGGCTGTGGGATCTTCTGGAAACAAAGCACAGAGCAAGGCTGAAGGAGCAAGACCTCCACAGTGCAGCTAAACAGCCAAATGGTAAGCTTTACAATACAGTACTCCTACGGGCAGCCTTTGTTTTGTTTCATCCTGCAGAAACAACCTGATCAAAGTCCTTGTTTTGTACAGCCTTTACAGAGCTTAGCACTATCCTGACCATATAAAGTACACTCAATGAAGTCTTCTTTTATTAACTGAACAACCACATCCATTGCTAAGGCCATGCTGAGGGGGAGACTAGGTGCAAAACTTAAGCTGTCTTGCATGGGTAGTGGTCCAAGGACCAACTCATCCTTGATCAGGGTAAAGAAAGATTGCAGGTCTTTCTAATGGGGTGAAAGGCTGTGTACTAGACTCAGAAAATCTTGGGGTTTTGGGGCCACATCTCTTCAGTGCTCAGAGTCTTTTGGGGCCCTCAGCTTGGAATCGTGATGATACTACAAGCCAAGACTCCTACTCTAAGACTCTTACAACTGGGCTGAGCCCCCTATTGGGAGCATATCTGGACATAAATTTGATATTACTTTCTATGTACTGTTTCAAAATATGCCACACCAAGACTTTATAGTGAGAAACAAACAACTTTGTAGACCAGAAATGCTCCAAGACCCCAAATGCACAAGACTCCCAAATTGATGGGTGCATAAGACAATAAAAAAGCCTACTGAGCATCCTCTGGGAAGAAATTTACTCTTGTGCATTTAAAAAAAAAAAGTAACCATTTTTATTAAAAAAATAAGCAGCAATTGTTTCCATTTTTACTAGAAGTATTAGTAGAGCTTAATGATGGTTATTCTTTGTATGTTTAAGTAATCTGAAAGAAAAGATTATTTATAACCTTCACAATAATTCCAAGACATTATCATTCTTATTTTTCCATTCCTGGAAAAGCACCATTGAATTTACACTGCATTTCACTTCTTTCTATGGCACTTTGATGATAATAACAGCACTATTGTGTTAAGTATTGACCTTGTACCAGGTACTAGTTGGTATTAAAATGGTCATTATACCATTATATTATTATACCATTGGCATTATATGCAAAAACTGACTCTGAAGTGGTTTGCCTCAGATCACAGTTACTAAACAAATATAGTCAAAACCTTTACCTTTTTCAGCCCTTCTAATCTACCACATTGTACCTTGAATGTGTGATTCTCTTTCTTATTTATTTTACAAAGAGACTGTGAGTCCCCTGGGCTAAGAAACTGTGCCTTGAATAACCTTTAATATTCACTTCCAGCAACCCACTCCCTACTTAGCTTACAAACTTACTCAGAGCACTCAAAAACAATTGGGAAGGTGGGTGAGTAAATTAAGAAAAACTTGGATAGTTTCCTGGAAATGGAGCTAATCTGTAAGGAAGCCACAACACTGCCATTATGTTCTGGAAGAATCTGCAATTATATATTCAGAAGTGTCTAATTACCAGTGACTTAGATAGCAAAATGAAGTTCGGTTGGGAAGCAATCCTAGCCTTTTTTGCCAACACCAACAGCTACCACCACCTACAGAGCCTTGGCTCACTCTGGCTTCCACTGTGTTCCCACCAGCATGCGGCAGCTTATCAAGGACACAGATCATAAACCACTGGCTTCAGGCCAAGCGTCGTGTCCCTTGTGCAAATCCACCCATCTCTTTGGAATCCCTTCCTGCTTCTTCCTTCCTACATGGGTTAGGACCCTAGGATGCTAATCTTATATCCCTTCCTGGAACTCAATTTCCCATCTGGTCTCTACTCCCCCAGAACTCTGGATTCTGAAGCAGGTTTGTATTCTGATGCTCTTGTACACACCCTCCTTTCCCTCTAGTGAACTTTCCATCCACCAGACCCTCTTCATCCTGTTTGGTACCCTCTGACCTGCTCTAGCTTTACCCTGGTCATCTCTGTGGGGTGAACGTAGGGTTGTTTTGTTTTATTTTCTGCAAATTTTATTAAAATTCCCTTATGTAAAAAATTTTTGATTGGGTGTGGTGGCTCAAGCCTGTAATCCCAGCACTCTGAAGGCCAAGGCAGGTGGATCACTTGAGCTCAGGGGTTCAAGACCAGTCCTGGGCAACATGGCGAAACCCAGTCTCTACAAAAAATACAAAAATTAGCTGGATATGTTGGCATGTGCCTGTAGTCCCAGCTACTTGGGAAGATCACGTGAGCCCAGGAGGTTGAGGCTGCAGTGAGCTATGATGGTACCACTGCACTCCTGTCTGGGTGACAGAGTGAGACCTTGTCTCAAAAAACAAAAATTGTATACTACTTTCTTTATTATGGTTATAGTAAAACACATATCACATAAATATAGTCAACTGATCTTAGACAAGGAGCAAAGGCAATACAATAAAGCAAAGATAGTCTTTTCAACATAGTGCTGAAATAACTGGGCATCCACCTGTAAAATAATGAATCTGGACCCAGGCCTTTGATCCTTCACAAAAGTTAATTGAAAATGGATCATAGACCTAAATGTAAAATTCAAAACTGTAAAACTTTTAGAAGAGAAAATGTAACTGGCCTTGGATGCAAAGATGACTTTTTAGATACAACACCAAAGGCATGATCCATGAAAGAAATAATTGATAAGGTGGACTTCATTGAAATTAAAACTACTATATAAAAGACAAAAATCAAGAGAATGAGAATAAGAAGACAAGCCACAGACTGGGAGAAAACATTTGCAAAACACATATCTGATGAGGACTGTTATCCAAAATATACAAAGAATGCTTAATACTCAACAATAAGGCCAGGTGCAGTGGCTCACGCCTGTAATCCCAGCACTTTGGGAGGCTGAGGTGGGTGGATCACGAGGTCAGGAGATCAAGACCATCCTGCCAACATGGTGAAACCCTGTTTCTACTAAAATACAAAACATTAGCTGCGCATGGTGGCATGCATCTGTAATCCCAGCTACTTGGGAGGCTGACACAGGGGAATCGCTTGAACCCAAGAGCTAGAGGTTGCAGTGAACCGAGATTGCGTCACTGCACTCCAGCCTGGCGACAGCACGAGACTGTGTCTCAAAAACAACAACAACAACAACAAAAACTCAACAATAAGAAAATGGGCAAAAGACCTGGACAGGTACCTCACAAAGAAGATATACAGGTGACAGGTAAGCATGTGAAAAGATATTCAATATCATGTGTCATTACAGAATTTCAAATTAAAACAATAGCAAGATACCACTACATACCTATTAGAATGGCCCAAATCCAAAACCCTGACACCAAATGCTGGTGAGAATGCAAAGCGACAGGAACTCGCATTCATTGCTGGTGGGAATGCAAAATGGTCCAGCCACTTTGGAAGAGTTTGGCAGTTTCTTACAAAATTAAGCATACTCTTACCTTACAATCTAGCCATCATACTCCTTGGTAATTACCCAAATGCACTGAAAATGTATGCCCACACAAAAGGCTTCACATGTATGTTTATAGCAGCTTCATTCATAATTGCCAAAACTTGGAAGCAGCCAAGACGTCCTTCAGTAGGTGAATGGAAAATAACCTGTGACTTGTCCAGACAATGGAATATTATTCAGCATTAAAAAGAAATGATCTTTCAAGCCATGAAAGGATATGGAGGAACCTTAATTGCGTAAGTGAAGGAAGCCAGTCTGAAAAAGCTGCATATTGTATGAGTCCAACTACATGGATTCTGGAAGAGGCAAAACTATGGAGACAGTAAAAGCATCAGTGATTGCTAGGGGTTGCGGGAAAGGGAGACATAGGCAGAGCACAGAGAATTAAGGCAGAAAAACGATTCTGTATGATACTACAATGGTGGATAAATGCTGCCACTATACATTTGCTTAAACACATAGAGTGCACAACTTGGAATCGTGATGATACTACAAGCCAAGACTCCTACTCTAAGACTCTTACAACTGGGCTGAGCCCCCTACTGGGAGCACATCTGGACATAAATTTGATATTACTTTCTATGTACTGTTTCAAAATATACCACACAAAGACTTTATAGTAAGTGAGAAACAAACAGCTGAACCCCTCATGTAAACTATGGACCTTGGGTGATAATGATGTGTCAATGCAGGTTCATCAGTTGTAACAACCCAACCACTTGGCAAGGGATGTAGACAGTGAAGGAGGGTGAATGTTTGTAGAGAAACAGGTACAGGAAAACTCTGTACTCTCCGCTCAGATTTGCTGTGAACCTAAAGTTGCTCTAAAGAATAAAGTTCATTAATTTTTAAAAAGCAAAAAGCATTAATGAAAGTACCAGGAATACAGACATGCTTCATGAAAACAATGAGAATGACCAATGCCACTTATCTGTTACTGTGTGATGTGTATTATTCTTCCTCTGCACATACACAGACACGTTTATTTTTCAAAGAGTATGATTATTCTATATATTCTGCATGTTCTATACAGATTGTTCTATAATTTGTTCCTATCATCTATTAAAACAGTACAGGTTTGAGACCAGCCTGGGAAACGTGGCAAAACCTCATCTCTACAAAAAAATATACCAATTAGCTGGGTATGGTGGCACATGCCTGTAGTCCCAGCTACTCAGGAGGCTAAGGTAGGAGGGTCACCTGAGCCTGGGTGGTCGAGGTGGCAGTGGGCTGAGATTACATCAGTGCACTCCAGCCTAGGTGACATAGTGAGGGCCTGTCTTAAAGTATAGATAGATAGATAGATAGATGATAGATAGATAGATAGATAGATAGATAGATAGAATAGGCTTTTTGTCTCAGTAAATATAAATCCTGCTCATTTTTAAGAGTAGCCCTCAAGTATTCCATTTTGCTGATGTCTTATAGTTTACCAATTCCATGGACACAACTATTAAAGAAAATTGCTTGAAAGAGAAGACCAATTGAATATATTTGATAGTGAGCTTCACAAATTTTCCATAAGCAAAATTGCATTGTGAGCAAAAACCCTGGCAGAGGTGTTTGGTCATCAGCTACTGAATAAAACAGGCAAATGGCCTGAAAACCTTTAGGCATTTGGTAGAGTAACGCTTACTTTTTTTTTTTTAGAGTCTCCCGCAAGTCAGGAAAACTGGATAAAAAGAGGCCTAAATGTGAGCAAGAGCTATCATGTTTGGCTTCAAGTATGTAAGTCCAATCTGGTAACAGACCCTTTCCCATTCATTGTTAGCATATTCACTGGGAAGCAGCATGGGCCAGGAACTAAGGGCAACAATGAGCTGTGTGACCTTAGGCAAATTACTTAACTTCTCTGTGCTTCATTGTTCTAGTTATAAAATGAAATAAATTAAATGAAAACTATATAATGAATTATATAATATAATGAGGTATATAATATACAATGAAAACTATATAAATGAAAAATATATAGTACAAATATATAATATATAATGAAACATATATAATGAAAATATATACACGAAAAATATAATATAAATGAAAAAGTATTCATTAAAAGAAAATAAATTATGGCCCAAATGTTTTTGAAAAACTATACCTTAAAAACCCCTATTTTGTTTAGAATGTACATTCCTGGTTCAAAATGGTCGCGTGAGAAACCTAAGAAACAGGCTGCTTTCAAGCATTTATTTCATACTTCAGAACTCAAACATATTTATAATCCAACCCTCTTATACAGTCACTTATCCATGTCCTCATGTTTACAAAATATAGCTATTCAGAGGCACTTTGTGTTTTCAAAGTTTCAACCTCTGACTATATATCTTTCATTTGAAAATTAAGGTAGATTTAAAAATTCAACTTAGTTTACAATTCTGTCCTTTGCATTTAAGACCTAAAACAGGGTTGTGGCCATTAAACTGGTTCTTTCAACACAGCTATGTTAACTACATTAAAAGAGCCATGTCAGCAAGTGGCAGTGTTAATTACCAGCTTGCCCAGCCACCACTGCTTTGCTCGACAGTTTTACTATGTTTAAAAATAAAAGGTTCAGATGTGGTGTGACAAAGCTCTCCTGACAAAAAGGAAGCAAATACGGAGGCAAGAGAGGGGCCAGTTGGGTCATGCCACAGTCTTCTGTGGGATTTTGTCAATATATTAGCAGGAAAGGAGCAGGAGCTGGTAGGGGCAACTGGGATGGATAGAGGAGCTGCTGAAGACTCTCTGGGATGACAGGAAATAGTACAAATTCCAGACCTTCTTTCACCTCCTATTTGTGTATTTCAACCTACAGAATCAACTACCCAGATAACTACAGAAATTCACACATGATAAAAATGCAATATAAAATCTCTACTTACACTAAAGAACTTACTCATGTAACCAAATACCACCTGTACCCCAATAACTTATGGAAAAAAAAAACTCTACTTAAGCATAATAGACTATAAAACAAGTCGTTTAGCCATTTCCTTTTTGAGGAAATAAAGCCTTAAGCTCTGTCAAGGTAGAGTCTGAACTGCACTGCTCATGTCGGCTCAATGACCATTGGTTGAAATAATTAGCTAATTTGGTGAATTTTCTAATTATGCTCTTCTAGGAGTGGAACTGCTAGAATTAGCATGTCTCTAAAAGTCAGGCCACCACTTAATTGTGGCACTGTATTGCTTTTAAGATTGCGTGAATTTTAAAAATGAATAAAAGCAATAGCTGTGTCCCAGACTCTCTCGCTTTCACTTTCAAATATTATAACTTCAGAGAATTCCACCCTGGCTAGAACTGAAACAGAAACTACATAATGCCATTTAAAAAAAAATGATTGTATTTGTACATATTTCTTAAACCAGATTTCATAGAGTAAGAGAAAGAACTAAAGAAAGACTGAAGTTCATATCAGGAGTGTCAGTCTTGGATGATCTGAAAACTTTTAATTATCTTCTTTTTTATCATTTCTCTCACTCCCCCTAAACCATCCCTTCCTTCCTTCCCACTTTATTGGAGACGCAGGATCAAATATAAAGTCCTTGCTCCTGTGGAGCATACATTCGAGTGGTAAGAGAAAGACAATAAAGATGCAAACAAATAGTTAAATAATACAATTTGAATTAGTGATACGTGGAAAATAAAATGAACACTGGGACAGAGAGTGACTAGGTGGTGGGAGTCGGGAAGTGGGAAGCATCTTTGATTACAGAGGTCAAGGAAGACTTCTCTGAGGAGGTGACATCTGATTAACATCTGAATAAAGAGAAGGAGTCAGTCACGTAAGGATCTGGGGAAAAGAACATTGCAGATAGTGGGAACTTATACAAGAAATTGGCAAGCTCTGATTTCTCTTCTTCAAATTTTATCGTCCTGATTAAATTCTCTTCCCCTGCAAACCCAGCCCCAGGTTTCTTGTAACACAGCATGTAACAGTCTTCCCTCAGCCCCAGTGCCTAGCATAAATGCTAGCACAGAGTGGGGGTTAATAAAGAGCAATGGTTATGTATGGCCTCTGTGACCCATACTTTCTCTGTCAGGCTCCAAACTGTCAATCATGGCCACCTATAACCTGAAATAAAAACAGAAGCTTCTAGAAATCACAAAAAGGATCCACTGGCACAAAAATGAGAGGTCTGTTAGAAAATCTTTTACTTATTTAGCATTTAACTTTGGCCTTGCCAACTTAGTGACTTACCATGGCCAGTGTACTCAAAAGAATCTGCTTCATCGGGGGTATCAAGTTCATCCACATTGATGTCAATTTCATCTGGACTGTCCAAGTTATCATCAGAGAGAATAGATCCTTCACTTTGGTCCAGAGAAAGATTGATATTTGGGGCTGTGAGCTTGATTCTCCGAGGATGAGTGTCATTAAGATCCAGAGAATTAGGAGGTTCTAAAGAAGAAAGAGAACAGCAACATCAAGTATTAAACCAGAGGAGCAATCTAAATCAAAAATTTCAAAATCCCAAATGCTCCAAAATCTGAAACTTTTTGAGTGCCAACATGACGTGTCAAGGAAATACTCACTGGAGCATTTTGGATTTCAGAATTTTGAATTTGGGATGTTCAGCCAGTAAGTATAATCCAAATATTCCAAAATCTGAAAAAATCCAAAATCTGAAACACTCTGGTCCAAGCATTTAAGTAAGGGATACTTAACCTATACGTGGCTGCCAAGAGTGGGTTTGGGCCCAGTGGAAAACATTTTTAAAGTCCTTTCAGCAAAAGCAGACCTGATAGAAATCTTTGTATGAGATATAGACACCCTTCTTGAAAGCAGCCCTCTGTAACTGGATCCTCCCAACCCCCTCAGCCTTGGCCATGTAGAAACAGGAAGTAGGAGTTATTACTAAATGGTTAGATAACTAGTTTTTAGAATTTCCCTGTTCAAGTTTGAAAACTTGAAATTGCTATAATAATTGAATTAAATTTTCACGGGGTATACTGCATAAGAAAAATAGTTAAGTTTACATATACAGTTGTCCCTTGATATCCATAAGGGATTGATTCCAGGACCCCTGGTGGAAACTAAAATGTACAGATGCTCAAGTCCCTAATATAAAATGGTGTAGTGTTGACATATAACCCATGCACATCCTTCTGTATACTTCAAATCATCTCTAGAATAATTATAATACCTAATACAAAGTAAATAGTGTTTGCACTGTGTTTAGAAATAATGACCAGGAAAAAAAGTTTGTACATGTTCAGTACAGATGCGATTTTTTTTTCTTTGAATATTTTTCTTCTGTGGTAGGTTGAATCCACGGATTTGGAACCATGGATAGAAAGGGCCAACTATATTTTCTAATCGTTTGTGTTGACTTTGCTCCTATGGAATGTACGTTAAGAACTTTGTCATGTTCACAGACACTCCCAAAATACTTCTTTTAGGTCCTGACAACTCTGTATATGATCTTCAGTGCCCTTTACCTGGCCGAAGTATCCTCCCAGGTAACATTCTTTGAACTCACCCAAGCAGTCACCAGCTCTTATGCCAATCTCGCTTGACATTGGTTCCCATAACATAAGTGACAATCTTATGTGTAGGCTCCCTCCTCTCATTGTAGTATGCATCTTCCCGCTCAGCTGCCTTTCATTTAATAGAAGCAGAGCTGGAGAAGTCATTTTTTAACCAAGCTTAAACTAACAAAACAAAGGTAGAGACATACCCTACTGTAGTATAATAAGAAATGTATTTGGTCTTTGGCCCTGGTTCCAGGCACAGAGGTCTTAAAACCCTTGTCATTTCCTAAGGTGGATAGTGTCAGAATTGAATTATAGGACACCCAGTTGGTGTTCATTAGAAAATTGCTTGGTGTGTGGCAAACAAAACAAAACAAAACCCTACACATCTGGTCACAGAAGTGTTCAGTGTGAGAGCAGAGTAGGAGAAAACAGTTTGTTGCCTTCACCTAAAACCAGAAATGACAGGATTCCTAAGCACGAAATATTTTGAAGACCATTTGGCATACCCTTCAACTCTGGAATTCTGGCTCTGGCCTTGTCCTGGAGAAATTGGCACTGTTCCCCTGTCAGTCATTAAGCTTTTTCTTTTCTGAATGGAACATCACCCAAACTCTGTTCTAGGTAATGGTTTTATGTATTACTTGAAAAAGGTTTCTATTGACAAGTAAGTTTCAACACTGAGTTTCTATATTTCAGGAATTTGCAGAGCAGTGATGTCCCAAAGAATTCTTTGTGATGATGAAAAGGTTCTATATTTGGCTATTGAGCACTTGAAATGAGGCTAGTGCAACTGAAGAAGAGCATTTTAAAAAATTGTTTTTAATTTTAATTAATTTAAATAGCCACATGTGACTAGCTGCTTACCATATCAGATAACCATAGCCTTAGTGCCTTTATCATTCAAAAGTACATTGTGAACTTGGAAGATTCAAATAAACATACTGTGGTTACCAAGCATATTTGGCCATAGAACATTTAGAAATAATTCTGTTACATGACTAGTATTTTGAAGAATGCATTTCAAATACTACGACAGAAAAGAAATGTAATTGCCTTCCTTCTTCCTACCACACTGTAGGCTTGGCTGAGAATACATGATTCAGGATCTTGGTATGATCCTGGAGTTGGTGTAATGCAAGAGAGTGACCCTGGAATACAGTGAGAGTCATATAAGTTGCAATTGAAAAATTAAATTCCTTTTTGTGTATGCCTTGGGTTGTAAACCCCTAAAATGTAGGGTAGTTGTTTTTTATTGTTGTTGTCTTGGTTTTGGTTTTGATAGTTAGGATACTGAGCATTCTTGATATCACATTTCCAATTTTAAACATTCTTACAATTATGTGTAAATGCGGAGAACTTAGACATTAGTCAGAATTTGGTACAATATACAGTAGCCAATTATCACAGGAACTGAAAACATTGGCAGATAAGGCTGTGGTCTAGGAGATAAAATGCAGCCCACACTAGCGAGCATCAGTATTCAAGCCAACTCTTAAATTAACCAAATGCAGCCTAACACCTTCATATCACACATTTCTTTTTTCCTCTCACTGTTATCACTGAAATCATAAGTTAGATGCACAGGAAATAATTCTTTCACTGAATAATGAAAACGTTGGGATACAGAATACCAACGAAGGAAATGAACAAATGCTGCTCTCACCAGGCCTCATGTCTGCAGCACTGGGACTCAGCACGCCCTCTTCAAAGGGGATGTCCATTCCTACATCCTCTGACAGTAGTCTGCAAAAAAAGCAAAGCAAAGCGCGTCAACAACAACTGTGTAAGACTTCATTTCTTTTGAAAAGGAAACCCACAGAGTCCAGGATAACATTTTCAACTCACTTAAAATAAACCATGTATGGGGACTGAATCCACTGTAAGTGGTCCCAAATTAAAGACTTTCTGCAGTTATGGTAAATGAGAAAAATGGACACCAATTTCACTTGCTTACATCAAGTCACTTCTGCTAGCTCACTTAATAAACACACACCAAGTGGGAAACTCAGAAATAGGAAATGCAAACAACTAATAAAATATACTTCGGGGACATTTAATATATATATATTTTTAACAACAGGGTCAATATATGTGCTTTGTACACATCTCTTACTCTGTAAATTTGAGTATTTTAATTAAATTCCCATGGACAGAGGGAGAGCATATTCTGTTGATCTCAGTTTTCATTTGTAAACTAGGGATATACACCTACTTCACCACGTTGTTTAAAGATTAAGCTACAAAAGTAAAGTGCCTAACACTCCTGAGCAGGCATAGACTGATGTTATTTTTCTTCCTTTTTTGAATATTTAAAGAGTCACTGTGAAT
Source organism: Homo sapiens (assembly GCF_000001405.40). NCBI lineage: Eukaryota > Metazoa > Chordata > Mammalia > Primates > Hominidae > Homo > Homo sapiens. Next base: position 76,656,088 of record NC_000009.12, read on the forward strand.
ATATGTTGGTGAAGATGGCTCTGGTCATGACTTCCCACCTCTTGTTTCTAATCAGTGCTGAGCCCACAACCATCTGTATTAGCACATTTGGTAAGAAGTGTAGGGAAACAGGAAATACCAAAGGCAATTGTGACGAATCTATATGTTCTTCTAAGAAGCTGACCACTGTTCACGATAAATTTCTCTTGATTTATTTTCATCCCTGGACCTTTGTTCAGTAAGACCCCATTTACCATAATATATATTTCTTCTCTGTGAGTTTCACGTAATTTCATTCACCTAGGGTGAGTCCTTATGATGTGGGCACTAACCTAATTTTAAACATGATAAACCTTTATGTTAAAGTTCTTAATTTAGTCCCCTTCTGCCTCTCTTACTGTACTTTGCACTATGTAACGCTGGATCTACCAAACCTTTGGAGTTTAATCTGCTTCTCCAGGATGCAAGTCAAATCCCCTACTGTCAATAAAGCACTATGATGAAAGAAAATAATCTGCACCCTTAGCGATTACTGCATTTGCTTCATTTATTCAACAAATATCTATTAAGTGTCTACTATGTGCCGAGGATATAGAGGAACAAAACAGACCCGTCTCATTCTCGTGGTGGAGTTGGGATGATGGAGCTAATACAATGACCCCTACCTTCAAAAACTCAGTGCTGCTCCCCTGGATAGAGGTAAGTGCCTGTGTACTTACCTACCAACTCCTGAGACCCCTTCAAAAGCTCAGCATCAGGGAGTTTCTTTGTCCACATTCTTCCTGTGGCTTTGACCCTGTGTGTTCTCTAAAACTAGACCTGTGCCCTGGTAGCAAAGGGGCATGCAAGAGGTTGGCATGTAAGACAGACAATAATGTATCAGCAGGAACAAGACAACCTGTGCCAAACAGAGATACACTATGATAGGTGGAATCAAACCACGTTATTCAGCAACAAAGATTGGGGAGGTATGCAAAGAGAAGATCTGCACCAGGCCCCAGTTTTGAAAGTCCTAGGACCTAGAGGGACAGATGTCTGGGTATCCCATGATCCTGCAGTTTTTGGAATTCCTTACAATGATCTTTGTCATTTTGTGTGTTCTCCTTGACATCAAACTTCTCGTACCTGTCAAGTAGCAAAATGCTGCTATTAAGAGCCACTGGGTTTAAATCTTAGTTCTACCACTTACTATGTTGGATTGAATTATTGAGCCTGAAATATTCTAAAGGCACATGTACATTATTTTTCTAGTTATCTGCCTAAGAGTCAACCTTGAACAAAAATAAAGATATCAGATTTCTATCTGCCTGACAGAGCACACAGGATGTGGGCCTTGGCATCAAAATAAATATGATGGTTTTAAAATAGATAGGATCAGCTTAAGTTTAATAGATTTTTTTAAACAATTGTGAATTATGGGCAACATCATGGAATAATTGCAGGAGTCCTGCCTGGATATGAGGTTTTAGTTCTGAGTTATAGTTCTGCTGCCAGTATCAACAAGCTGATTAACTCTGAGAAGATTAGTTGGCCATTTCTGTGATTTTAAAAGGGGATAATACCCAACATCACAGTGACTGTGGAGAATAAATACAATCCAAATAAAAGTACTCTGTAAGTCATAAAGCACTGTCTGAGTTTAAGGTATTACATACCCTCCACTTAAAACATAGTACAGGAGCAGTGGTTTAATTAAAGTATGTGTCATGGTTGGACAAATCATAATTAAGGTCACTATAATTTGGGCATTAGTCCAGGTAAAAGATAATCTTATTACTGCACAAATCTCCACAGAGCCTAGAAATGCTCCTCAACTCATTGATGTTAGAAAATAGAGCCTTTGCCTCTAAGTGCTCCTTTTCAACACAAAGCAGAGACCCTATGAAGAAGGCACAGATTTCTTCCCCCTGTGTTAGCATGCACCGGGGGAAGAAAAATGCTGAAGGCTGTGATCAGCGGATGACCCAAGGAGAGAGATTCACACAAACCCATGGATATTAAAGAAGGCTAGGCCGGGCGCAGTGGCTCACGCCTATAATCCCAGCACTTTGGGAGGCTGAGGCGGGTGGGTCACCTGATATTGGGAGTTCAAGAACACCCTGACCAAGATGGAGAAACCCCATCTCTACTAAAAATACAAAATTAGCTGGGTGTGGTGGCGCATGCCTGTAATCCCAGCTACTCGGGAGGCTGAGGCAGGAGAATTGCTTAAACCTGGGAGGCAGAGGTTGTGGTGAGCTGAGATGGTGCCATTGCACTCCAGCCTGGGCAAAAAGAGCAAAACTCCGTCCCACTCCCCCCCAAAAAGAAGGCTATAGGGACATGTTAGAAAACCCCTGGGACAGAGGGAAAGCTGAGCCAGAATAGCCTAGAAGCAAATCTAAGAGAAACCCAAGTCACGCTCTTTGTAAATACTTCAACCACATTCATACATTAAGCCCATAAACATTTGCAGAAATGAAGTGGCCAAACAGCAGTTGTTGACTAAGCAGGACAGCAGTTTTGTGATCAGTAACTGAAGCCTCTCAAGATCTGTTAGGTAACAAACCAGTCCAGTGTAAAGGTCTGTATTTTACTTTATCTATCTGTAGCCTCTACTTAATTTTGAGTTTCTTTATACAGAATGGAGCTAACCAAGAGGTTGAGGGAGTTGTAAACACAAGTCAGGCTGTACTATGGCTGAAACAGCTACATGTCTCCATCTAGAGGATGTATTAAAACTGCTTCATGGTTTCTTTGCTGGATGGTACTGTGACATTAACACCATGTGTGTTAGAAGATCAATGTATTATGACATATTGATCTTCACCAAGTATTTCTGGCTCTCTGCCTTTTGAGTGCATGGTAGTATTGCACTTTCCTGTCCCCTTTGAAGTTAGGGTAGCCACATGACTTGCTTTGGCTAATGAAGAAAGAGTGGAAGGGAGAGATGTCGCTTCTGAGCAGAAGGCTTAGGAGCAAGCGTGTGAGGAGCCACATCCTCTTCCCACATAGGTGGCTGTGGAGGGGCTCGGCCAGGCTGTGTCCCGAGTGCCTCTGATGAGCAGAGGCCTCGATGAAAGCTTGCTGGAAATGTAAACAAGAAATGAACTTTTGTTGTGTTTTGCCCTGAGATATTGTAGTTATTTGTTACCACATTACGATCTAGCCCATTCTTACTATATAGCTGGCCTTTATTGTTTCAAAGGGAATATTTGACTTATGCTATGCTCAAAAATTTATTTCCTGATTTGGGTAACCAATTTTCCACATTCTTAGCCCAGATTCATATTGACAGTAAATATCTTTACGTCTGGATTGCTAAAGCATCAAAGCATATAGGAACAAAAAGCTTGAAAAGACACTGAATGCTTTTAAATATTCTATAAGACTGAGTATTAATATATCACCTTTAGGGTTTTTGTCATAGCCTTTAATCACTTGCCAATTTACTTAACATTTTCTTTAGATTGACTTATTTTATTAAGGTTATTTTGAGAGGAATGTTTGTATCACTAGTGTACAGGTTGAGTATCCCTTATCCAAAATGCTTGGGACCAGAAGTATTTAAACCTTCCGACTTTTTTGGATTTTGGAATATTTGCATTATATACTACAAGTTGAGAATCCCTACTCTGACGATCTGAAATCTGAAATGCTCCAATGAGCATTTCCTCTGAGTGTTGTGTCAGCACTGAAGAACATGAATTTTGGAGCATTTTAGATTTCAGACTAGGGATACTCAACCATTATATGTAAACTTAAATCACTCACGTAAAATAAATGGTGAGTGATTTAAGTTACATAAAATAAATAACATATATAGAAAAAATTAAATATAATAAAAATAAAATAATACTATTAAATTTAAGTTAGAAACCCCTGGAATCTCACTCAGAGGTTTTTCCTCTTTGCTAAAAGAGAGATGTTAGGAAGTGTTGGCTAAGTCTGACAAGGTGTAAAGCCATGTATCATTAAAAATACAAGAAATGCTATATGAAATAGCATACTCCAAAAGTTACTAATACATTTCCAAGCTTAAAAAAATAAGATTAAGTCCACAGGTGCCAGAAATAAAGAGTTATTATAGAAGGCTGATAAAAACCTAGCACACAGGGTTCTTGCACTGGACACAGGACTTAGGGTCTCACAGCATAAGGGACCTCCTGGTGATGGAAGAAAGGCCTAGACCTGAACTTCTATATAGGGCTCTGGACCTTCAGGAACTTTCCCCTTAACAAAAAGGGGATGGAAAAAAACTCTCTCCTCTGGCCTTGGAGGTTTTGGGTAGAAAATAAAAAGCAACCAGTAGGAGCTGGAGACACTAGCTGTGGGCCGCTCATGTCTCAATTTATATTACCTGAATGATGTAGAAATGAATCAAGAAATTAAGATGAAAATTCATCTAGGATCACTGAACACCTAGGACCCTAGGGTTCCAAAAGAATCAGATGTGGGCCAGGCACGGTGGCTCACGCCTGTAATCCCAACACTTTGGGAGGCCGAGGCAGGTGGATCATGAGGTCAGGAGTTCAAGACCAGCCTGGCCAAGATGGTGAAACCCCATCTCTACTAAAAATACAAAAATTAGCCGGGTGTGGTGGTGCACACCTGTAATCCCAGCTACTTGGGAGGCTGAGGCAGAAGAATCACCTGAACCCGGGAGGCGGAAGTTGCAGAGAGCCGAGATTACATCACTGAACTCCAGCCTGGGCAACAGAGCAAGACTCTGAATCAAAAAAAAAAAAAAAAAAAAGAAAGAAAGAAAGAATCAGATGTGAAACCACTTGGTAGTGCTTACTTCTACAAGCAAGTTTCACTGGAAATCCAATTAGGTGCAAGAAAAAACTCTCTGAAAGATGAGCTCATATAAAAAAACCCTATAAACTACACTTGGGAAAAATACTTTGAGGCATTTCCAGGAGATGCAATAAATAGAAAAATTAGCAATAAAAGTAATAAAATAAAAGAATAGCATGAAAGAGGCCATAATGATTAAAGAATAATATCTAAACCTTTGTTGTGTTAAACCACTGAGATTTGGGGTTGTCATAGCAGGTAATGTCACCAAGACCTCAGTAGCCATTCTGCTTAAAAAAGAAACATCTAAAACATAATAATGCAGAAGTGTTGACAAGAAAGTGGTATTTTTAAAAAACAGAGAAATACTAAACACAAGAAAGCATTACAATATTATTATTATTTATCATTATTGTTAGTATTTTTTGGTACAGTCGTCCAGGCTGGAGTACAGTGGTGCAATCTTGGCTCACTGAAGTCTCCACCTCCTGGGTTTAAGCGATTCTCCTGCCTCAGCCTCCCAAGTAGCTAGGATTACAGGCACCTGCCACCATGCCCAGCTAAGTTTTGTATTTTTAATAGAGATGGGGTTTCACCATGTTGGCCAGCCTGGTCTCAAACTCCTGACCTCAGGTGATCTGCCTGCCTCAGCCTCCCAAAGTGCTGGGATTACAGGCATGAGCCACTGCACCTGGCCAGCATTACAGTATTAATGCCCAGCAAAACAGACTTCAGAAAAGGCATTATTAAGGCTAAAGAAAGTTATTATTTAGTGATACAAGGAATAATTCTTCAGAAGATGTAATAATTGAGAGCCAATGTGTTCTTAACAACATAGCCTCAAAATATGTAAAACAAAAATTGAAAATACATTATAAGGCAAAATAAATTTCATGGGGTAAAATCTGAGTATACCTCTCAAGAATTTATAAATTAATTTGAAAAGAAATATATAAGAATATGGCAGATCTGAACAATGCAGTAATATAGCTTGATCTAATGGAGAGATCTGCAGTCAATAAAAACACAGTTTTTTTTTTTTGAACTCACCAAAACTTACCATACGTGATGTCTCATAAAATACCAAAAGTCAACATCACATGTACTATATTCTCTGACTTCGGGGCCATACCTCTAGTTATCAATCACAAAAAGTCTCCAATCACAGTTTGGAGACTAAAAAACACACGTGTAAGTAACCAAACAATAAAGCCCTGCACATCCAAACTTGTGAAAGCAGCTAAAGAAGTTCCTAGAGGAAAATAAATAGCCTTAAGTTCAGATTTTAGGAAATAAGATGAACTGAATTAGCTAAGCATTCAACTCAGCCCAGGAAGTTATAAAAAGAAACATGCTCTTAGGTGACTTGATGCTATTTATGCTAAATCTTTGCACCTTCTCTAATGATCCTGAATACCACCAAATGGAGAAAGAACGGTGATAGAAATGGAAGTCTCCAATTTGAGAATGAAGCCCACGTATATTCGTAGATTGTGTGTTTCTGATACTTACATTTCTTCATATGGAAGGCTAATTGCAGTATGTGACAGAGAATGAAGGACAACAAATGCAGAACTTTTGGACATAAATGCACCTTCTTGCCTTTAGAACAGGTACAAAATTAAGCCCATTCTGCATTTTGTATTTTTTCAACGTATCTGAATCTGGAGGGATTTGACTGTTGTTGTAGGATTAGCTTTGCCTGAGATTAGGTTCTTTTTAACAGGAAATGAGCAGTGAGCCAAGAGCTGGCACACACATACCAGTAGCATTTCTAGATGGTAATGTTTCCTGACAGACACGGATATCCAGCAGCAGGTGGCACCCCTTTTCAGGAATAACCACTTTTACAAGATTGGCCACTGAAATATATACCTCCATAAAAAGTAAAGTAGCAGGTCATGACATGGGGTCCATTGTTCTTTAGAAAAATACTGACGGTTATGCTGATATATTTTGGGAAAATGATTACATAAAGAGAAATATCTCTTGTGTTAAGAGTTCCTTAATACTCTCCTGGCTTCTTTCTAGTCTATTAAGATCTGCTGGACTGATAAGGTTGCTGTCTCTAGAAACAGAGATAAAAAGAAAAAAGAAAACACAAACAAAACCTTTCATGAGGTGCTTGCCTTCCCTCGTTAAGAATATCAATTAGCCTATGGGCTGGAGGACTGCCATTTGAGGGTTCTTGTCTGATAAAGTAGGCTGCTCCATTTAAGCCAGCAGTACATGGCACCCTGTGAACCACAGAGTACTTATCAAATTACTCAAAGTAGGAGGTGAGACTGAAGCAGCACTGAGCTTCACACTTTGCCTAATCAAGCTAATCCCAAGACAGGAAATGCTACAATAGGAAGCTGGGGTCAAGCCCATGAAATAACGCTCTTTAGCAACAGTTCGCTAACCCAGCTGGGCCTCTCTCATCCTAGAACAGGTAAGCACTGTGGCCAGGCAGGGAGAAGCATCTTAGAAGCCAGCCAGCTGAAGAGAGATGAAGGAGGGAGGTGAGAGCTGGAAACTGACTGCACACAGTAGGAAGATAAGCGCCGAGCACTCGCCCAGACACCTTCTTTAGGGAATGTGCAAAACTGCAGAAACCACAGCTAAACATTCTCAGGTTCTCAGAGGTGGGGGACACGACGCAGCCTCCTTACCCAGGGTCAGATTCTAAAATTCTGCAGGGAGCAAAAAAATCACTTGTAGCTCAATGATCCTCAAACATTTTCTTGAATTGTTCCCTGAATAGAGTGTACATGGTTTTGCATGTCAATTTTTTTTTCTTTTTACAGTGAGGCTTAAACATGAAAATTTGAGGAACGCTGAGCAGGAATAGAAGGAAAGCCTACATTTTTATCATTTCAACCTCTTTGCTTTTCAGAGAATAATTAACTCCTTGGCTGTGAATGATGGATGCATGGAGAATTCTACCTCTTGCCTGCAGGCTATTTGCTAGCTTCTTTTAATATTTTTCCTATAACCTTAAGATCTATGAATAGATTTGTTTGTTGTGGAGAAGATTAAATTAGATGGCATAATCTCACATTGGAGAGGGGCATATACTTATTTAGGAAGTGAGTTTACAGTTCACAACCAGGATGGCTCAAAGGGATCTCAAACTGAACATGTTCAAAACCTAATCCCACATCTTCCTCTACGCAGATCCGCTACATCCTACCTTCTCTGTGACGACTTTGAAAAGTGTCCATGAATTCTTTGACACTCTTTTCAAAAGGTGGAGCCTAATTTCCCGTCCCTTAAGTGTGGACTGATGATTTGCTTCTAAAGAACAGAATAAGGTGGAATGGATGGTAGGTGACTTCTAAGGCTAGGTCCTAAAAAGCACTGTGTGCTTTGTTCTCTCTTGGGTCTCTCAGTCTGGGAGAAACCAGCTACCCTGTTGTAAGGACAGTCAAGCAGCCCTGTGGAGAGTCCATGTGGCAAGGAACTGAGGCTTCCTGTGAAAATCCAGGAAGGAACTGAAGCCTTCTGCCAACAGCCATGTGAACGAGCCATCTTGGAGGCAGATCCTGCAGCCTGGCTAATGTCTTGATGGCAACTTAACAAGATACCTTAAGCCAGAACCATCTAGCTAATACACTCTTGAATTCCTATTACAAACACTGGGAAATAATCAATGTTTGTTGTTTTAAGCTGCTAAACTTTGATATTATTTATTTTATTCATTTATTTTTTGAGACAGGGTCTTGCTGTATTGCCCAGGCTGGAGCGCAATGGAGCGATCTCGGCTCACTCCAGTCTCCATCTCCTGCGTTCAAGTGATTCTCCTGCCTCAGCCTCCCGAGTAGCTGGGATTACAGACGTGCACCACCATGCCGAGCTAATTTTTAGGAGAGATGGGGTTTCACCATGTTGGTCAGGCTGGTCTCCAACTCCCAGGCTCAAGTGATCCTCCCACTTCGGCCTCCCAAAGTGCTGGGATTACAGGCATGAGCCATTGCACCTGGCCGAGATTATTTATTATACAGCAATAGCTAACTAATACATTCCTCATCCTAGTGAATGTCTCTACATATCACCTGGGCACTCAAGCTCCCAAACTGGCATTCACTCTTACTTTCTTTTCTTTCCCACCATTTCTTCCTCATCCAGTTGGCCATCCAATCCTATAAATTTATGTCATCCTCTCCACTCCATTCTCACTACAAAAGCCTTAGTTCAAGTTCATTTTTTTCATGCAGAAACATCACCACCTTTCTGTTTACGATCGTCATCCCTACCTCCTCCAAATTATAACTAATATCCTTCTTCATCTTAACCTTGACACCACCTTCTTGTGTTTAAATCCTTTCAATTCACCACTTCAGGGAAAGAATTTGGCTTCAGAGAAGGGCTCACAAGGCCCTCTTGACCTGGCCCCTAAGCCCAGACTCAAGCCTCCTTTCTCATTCCCCACTCCCCACTTAGCCTTGCCAATCTTGCTGTCCTGTACTACTCAGTGTGGACATCTCCATCCTGGAACCTCGCCTCCATCCCACAGAATCGGGATCTGGGACCTCACCTCCACCCCACAGAGTAAGGTCCTGGGACCTCACCTCCATCCCACAGAGTGGGGACCTGGGACCTCACCTCCTCCCCACAGAGTCGGGTCATGTCCCATAGCACCCTGTGCTTACCTCACGTGGATGCTGCCATGTTCCTATGATTTCCTGTTTGAAATGTGTCTGCCCCCACTCCTCCCCACTGCCACCCTCTCCACACACACATGAATCTCCTGGGGGACAAGCACACCCAGTGCTTAGCACAGGGCTCAGCACATGGTGGAGATGAATGAGTCACTATTGAACAACACAGATTTAGACACGTGAAGGTGCCCTGCCCTTTGGGTAAAGTGCTCCTCAGAATGTCTCACCACATAGTGAAACTTGACCATAAAAATTATCTTCCAGGCCAGGCGTGGTGGCTCACACCTGTAATCCCTGCACTTTGGGAGGCTGAGGTGGGCAGATCACCTGAGGTCAGGAGTTCGAGATCTGTGGGCGGCAAGCCACCTAGGTGCCAAGGCAAAAGACTGAGGGCACGAGCTGTTTCAGTATAATAAAATATATAAAACAACAAGAATTATACTAGATCTAGATCATAGACATGATTATATATGAATATCATTAATCATTAGTTCGTAGCAATTACTCTTTATTCCAATATTATAAGAATCTTCACTCTATAATCATAACCTAGGAAAAACCAGGCCATACAGTGATAGGAGCTGAGGGGACATAGTGAGAAGTGACCAGAAGACAAGAGTGTGAGCCTTCTGTTATGCCCGGACAGGGCCACCAGAGGGCTCCTTGGTCTAGCGGTAATGCCAGGGCCTTGGAAGACACCCGTTGCCAAGCGGACCGTGGTCTAGCGGTAGTGTCAGTGCCAAGGGAAAACACCCGCTACTTAGCAGACCTGGAAAGGGAGTCTCTCTTTCCCCGGGGAAGTTTAGAGAAGACTCTACTCCTCCACCTCTTGTGGAGGGCCTGACATCAGTCAGGCTTGCCCGCAGTTATCCGGAGGCCTAACCATCTCCCTGTGATGCTGTGCTTCATTGGCCACGCTCCTAGTCCGCTTTCATGTTCCATCCTGTACACCAGGCTCTGCCTTTTAGATAGCAGTAGCAAAATTAGTGAAAGTACTAAAAGTCTCTGATATGCAGAAATAATGGCGTAAGCTGTCCTCTCTCTCTCCCTCTCTCTCTGCCTTGGCTGCCAGGCAGGGAAGGGCCCCCTGTCCAGTGGACACGTGACTCATGTGACCTTGTCAATCATTGGAGATGACTCACACTCCTTATCCTGCCCCTTTTGCCTTGTATCCAATAAATAACAGTGCAGCCTTGCATTCAGGGCCACTACCAGTCTCCGCGTCTTGGTGGTAGTGGTCCCCCGGGCCCAGCTGTCTTTTCTTTTATCTCTTTGTCTTGTGTCTTTATTTCTGCAATCTCTCGTCTCCGCACACAGGGAGAAAAACCCACTGACCCTGTGGGGCTGGACCCTACAGAGATCAGCCTGACCAACATGGAGAAACCCTGTCTCTATTAAAAATACAAAATTAGCCGGCTGTGGTGGTGCATGCCTGTAATCCCGGGTACTTGGGAGGCTGAGAAAGGAGAATCACTTGAACCCAGGAAGCAGAGGTTGGGGTGAGCCAAGATCGCATCATTACACTCCAGCCTGGGCAACAAGAGCGAAACTCTGTCACAAAAAAAAAGAAAATTCTCTTCCAACAAATTCCTTTTGATAAGAAGTTTAGCTTTTGTCAAAACATAATTTAGAAATATAGGTGATGCTTATGGGAGTGTTTTACAAAGAAGTCATCACTGTGAACCCAATTAGGCAACGGTCACTCTCTGGTGTGGCACATATTGTGCTCTCTCCTCCAACAGTAAAAGCTCTTTGATAATATTAGGAGCAACTGGGAGTGAATTTGAAAGAATGAGGTTCTTCCGAAGGGAAGGGGGAAAAGTAGACCATTGTTTTTCTTCAGAATTGGAGACAATCTTCAATGCCAGGGATGCCAGCATCTGCAGGACGCCCAAGTGAGCAGCAGAACTGGCTGGGCTGGCAGCATAGGCTCCTGCCATCTGCAGCCCCCATTTCACCTGCTCAGCATCTCCTGGGATTTACACTTTGGGAAGACTGCCTGCCTGCCCCACCCTCCTGCCCATAAGATAAGCTCACAAAGGGTCCCCTTCCCCACAGTGCAATGCAAAGCTGCACTCTTGCAGTCTGACTTCCTGCCCCAAGTAGTTCAAGAGTGTGAAGTCATCCAAATGCCTTGGACAAGCTGGCACCAGAAATATGAACCACAGGAACACACATAGATAAGATATTCCTTCAACTGCTGCTCAGCAGTTATATTTGCTAATCTGCAGGACATGGGAGGGTTGCCTTTGACTTTTCTGGAGGTGGAATCAGCACAGTGTTTCTGGAAGGGCTAGATACTGAATATGTTGGGCTTTACATGCTCTACAGTTTCTGTGGCAACAACTGAGCTCTGTTGTCCTAGCACAAACGTAGCTATAGACAATATGTAAATGCATAGGTATGGCTGTGTTCCAATAAAACTTTATGGACAAAAATAGGTGGCTGACTGGATTGGGCTTGGTGGGTAGCGTAGGGGGAGGTTTGACAACCGCTGTCCTAGAGTCTAACAACTTAAATAACATTTCATTTTCTTAAAGTTGAATATATATTTAAAACTGTGAAGCTCTCATATTGGTGCAAGTGGTACACCCAAATGTGTTTCTATAAGGAATATAAATTGAGGTACAGTTTTTGGTTGTAGTCATCAAAATTTTAAATACACATAGCCTTTGACCAGCTGTTCTAAGAATATATAGTGCAGAATACTCACAGGTATATACCAAGATATATGTAAAAAGATGTTTACTGTAAAAATACAAAAACAAAACTGGAGGGTTTTCAAAAACAGTCTGAATTTGATGATCATGCAAACACGAAATAATTAAAAATTTCTCAGATCTCTGATTTTCCCAACTGTGCTATGCTGAATCTTCCTTCCCTACATCATGCTATCTTGTTACTTTCAATTACTAAAATCTAATCTAGTTTAAAACATCCAGTTTCTCATCTAAAAATTCTATCTCCTTCACTCTCCTACCTGGGCCAACCAAAGCTGTGCTTCAGGGAATTTGGGATAGGAAGGGTTCTCCCATTCCTCCTCTTACCCCAGGATTCTGATCTGTGAAAAGGGCCTGGGTGGGAGGGTGAGGTGGAAGCTGGAGAGAGGCCTGGATCATTCTCTCACTCCTCTTCCCAGCCTGAACTCTGGGAGCCCCTCCCTCTGTTGGAAACTTGTAGGAGTTCCTTGAGGGCCTGTGGGGCCTCCCCACTGTACACTTCACTGATACAGGAGGACCGGCTTCATTCCACATCTTCCTTTTGTCCTCAGCTCCTGGCACTGCCTCTGGCTGGGGACTTCTCACCTTGGGAGGCATCGTCGTTTGGAGGGCTTCCATAGCAAAGTATCGCACACAGTAACTTCACCAACAGAAATTTACTCGCTCACAATTCTGGAGGTTGGAAGTCTGAGATCAAGATGTCATCAGGGTTGGTTTCTTCTGAGGCCTCTCTCCTGGACTTGAAGATGGCCATCTTCTCTCTCTGTTTTCACAGTCATCCCTCTGTGTGTGTGCATGTCCTAATCTCTTTTCCTCATAAAGACACCAATCCTACTGGATTAGGGCCTACCCTAATGAATTCATTTTAAAGAAACCATCTCCAAATAGAAGATAGGACTTCAACATATATGGATTTGGAGAGACACAATTCAGTGCATAACAGGTGGGATATTACAAAATGACTCAAATCTACTACTGTCCATGGGGTCACTGCACCCACAGAACACCTATACCACCTTGTCCCTCCACACAGTGATCACACTGTGTACAAGATCACACACAGTACAAGGTCACACCACCACCACCCTCTCAAGAATGTTCTTTTCTTTTCCTTTTTCTTTTTTTTTTGAGATGAAGTTTCACTCTTGTCACCCAGGCTGGAGTGCAGTGGCGTGATCTCGGCTCACTGCAACCTCCGCCTCCTGGGTTCAAGTGATTCTCCTGCCTCAGCCTCCTGAGTAGCTGGGATCACAGCTGCGGGCCACCACACCCAGCTAATTTTTGTATTTTTAGTAGAGACAAGTTTTCACCATGTTGCCCAGGCTAGTCTTGAACTCCTGACCTCAGGTGATCCACCCACGTTAGCCTCCCAAAGTGCTGGGGTTACAGGCATGAGCCGCCATGCCCAGCCTCGAATGTTGTTTTCATTGGCTCAGGCAGGATCAGGGCAGACCCACAGTCCAGTCTAAGCTGACTTCCAACTGGGCGTGAGATGCCAGTCTTCCTTGTGGAAGGAATTCCAACTCTTTACCCAGGACTCTTCTGGGGCAACCCTCACTTGGCTTTGGAGGAGCAGAAAGGGATGCACCCCAGTACTCCTAACAAGGCAATGACTTCATAATTCCCTCACTCCTCCCGAGTCTTCTGCTCACATGGAATGGGTTGAGTTGGGTAAATCTGAGTCACCTTTTAAGAAGCCTTCAGGGAAGCATCTACCCCAACTGCCAAGAGCTTCTTGCCCTCTCTCTCTTTGGGATAAAGAGTACTTTGCACCACTTTGCCCTCAGCCTTGGACCCTAGTTGTTCATTCAGTGACTTAACAAAATCTTCGGGGAGGAGCCAAGATGGCCGAATAGGAACAGCTCCAGTCTACAGCTCCCAGCGTGAGCGACGCAGAAGATGGGTGATTTCTGCATTTCCATCTGAGGTACTGGGTTCATCTCACTAGGGAGTGCCAGACAGTGGGCACAGGTCAGTGGGTGCGCGCACCGTGCGCGAGCCGAAGCAGGGCGAGGCATTGCCTCCCTTGGGAAGCGCGAGGGGTCAGGGAGTTCCCTTTCTGAGTCAAAGAAAGGGGTGACGGACGGCACCTGGAAAATCGGGTCACTCCCACCCAAATACTGCGCTTTTCCAAAGGGCTTAAAAAACGGCACACCACGAGATTATATCCCGCACCTGGCTCGGAGGGTCCTACACCCACGGAGTCTCGCTGATTGCTAGCACAGCAGTCTGAGATCAAACTGCAAGGCGGCAGTGAGGCTGGGGGAGGGGCGCCCACCATTGCCCAGGCTTGATTAGGTAAACAAAGCAGCCAGGAAGCTCGAACTGGGTGGAGCCCACCACAGCTCAAGGAGGCCTGCCTGCCTCTGTAGGCTCCACCTCTGGGGGCAGGACACAGACAAACAAAAAGAAAGCAGTAACCTCTGCAGACTTAAATGTCCCTGTCTGACAGCTTTGAAGAGAGCAGTGGTTCTCCCAGCACGCAGCTGGAGATCTGAGAACAGGCAGACTGCCTCCTCAAGTGGGTCCCTGACCCCTGACCCCCGAGCAGCCTAACTGGGAGGCACCCCCCAGCAGGGGCACACTGACACCTCACACGGCAGGGTACTCCAACAGACCTGCAGCTGAGGGTCCTCTCTGTTAGAAGGAAAACTAACAAACAGAAAGGACATCCACACCAAAAACCCATCTGTACATCACCATCATCAAAGACCAAAAGTAGATAAAAACCACAAAGATGGGGAAAAAACAGAACAGAAAAACTGGAAACTCTAAAAAGCAGAGCGCCTCTCCTCCTCCAAAGGAACACAGCTCCTCACCTGCAACGGAATAAAGCTGGATGGAGAATGACTTTGACGAGCTGAGAGAAGAAGGCTTCAGACAATCAAATTACTCTGAGCTACAGGAGGACATCCAAACCAAAGGCAAAGAAGTTGAAAACTTTGAAAAAAATTTAGAAGAATGTATAACTGGAATAACCAATACAGAGAAGTGCTTAAAGGAGCTGATGGAGCTGAAAACCAAGGCTCGAGAACTACGTGAAGAATGCAGAAGCCTCAGGAGCCGATGCGATCAACTGGAAGAAAGGGTATCAGCGATGGAAGATGAAATGAATGAAATGAAGCGAGAAGGGAAGTCTAGAGAAAAAAGAATAAAAAGAAATGAGCAAAGCCTCCAAGAAATATGGGACTATGTGAAAAGACCAAATCTACGTCTGATTGGTGTACCTGAAAGTGATGGGGAGAATGGAACCAAGTTGGAAAACACTCTGCAGGATATTATCCAGGAGAATGTCCCCAATCTAGCAAGGCAGGCCAATGTTCAGATTCAGGAAATACAGAGAACGCCACAAAGATACTCCTCAAGAAGAGCAACTCCAAGACACATAATTGTCAGATTCACCAAAGTTGAAATGAAGGAAAAATGTTAAGGGAAGCCAGAGAGAAAGGTCGGGTTACCATCAAAGGGAAGCCCATCAGACTAACAGCGGATCTCTCGGCAGAAACCCTACAAGCCAGAAGAGAGTGGGGGCCAATATTCAACATTCTTAAAGAAAAGAATTTTCAACCCAGAATTTCATATCCAGCCAAACTAAGCTTCATAAGTGAAGGAGAAATAAAATACTTTACAGACAAGCAAATGCTGAGAGATTTTGTCACCACCAGGCCTGCCTTACAAGAGCTCCTGAAGGAAGCACTAAACATGGAAAGGAACAACCAGTAGCAGCCACTGTAAAATCATGCCAAAATGTAAAGACCATCGAGACTAGGAAGAAACTGCATCAACTAACGAGCAAAATAACCAGCTAACATCATAATGACAGGATCAAATTCACACATAACAATATTAACTTTAAATGTCAATGGACTAAATGCTCCAATTAAAAGACACAGACTGGCGAATTGGATAAAGAGTCAAGACCCATCAGTGTGCTGTATTCAGGAAACCCATCTCACGTGCACAGACACACATAGGCTCAAAATAAAAGGATGGAGGAAGATCTACCAAGCAAATGGAAAACAAAAAAAGGCAGGGGTTGCAATCCTAGTCTCTGATAAAACAGACTTTAAACCAACAAAGATCAAAAGAGACAAAGAAGGCCATTACATAATGGTAAAGGGATCAATTCAACAAGAAGAGCTAACTATCCTAAATATATATGCACCCAATACAGGAGCACCAAGATTCATAAAGCAAGTCCTGAGTGACCTACAAAGAGACTTAGACTCCCACACATTAATAATGGGAGACTTTAACAACCCACTGTCAACATTAGACAGATCAACGAGACAGAAAGTCAACAAGGATACCCAGGAATTGAACTCAGCTCTGCACCAAGCAGACCTAATAGACATCTACAGAACTCTCCACCCCAAATCAACAGAATATACATTTTTTTCAGCACCACACCACACCTATTCCAAAATTGACCACATACTGGGAAGTAAAGCTCTCCTCAGCAAATGTTAAAGAACAGAAATTATAACAAACTATCTCTCAGACCACAGTGCAATCAAACTAGAACTCAGGATTAAGAATCTCACTCAAAACCGCTCAACTACATGGAAACTGAACAACCTGCTCCTGAATGACTACTGGGTACATAACGAAATGAAGGCAGAAATAAAGATGTTCTTTGAAACCAATGAGAACAAAGACACAACATACCAGAATCTCTGGGACGCATTCAAAGCAGTGTGTAGAGGGAAATTTATAGCACTAAATGCCCACAAGAGAAAGCAGGAAAGATCCAAAATTGACACCCTAACATCACAATTAAAAGAACTAGAAAAGCAAGAGCAAACACATTCAAAAGCTAGCAGAAGGCAAAAAATAACTAAAATCAGAGCAGAACTGAAGGAAATAGAGATACAAAAAACCCTTCAAAAAATTAATGAATCCAGGAGCTGGTTTTTTGAAAGGATCAACAAAATTGATAGACCGCTAGCAAGACTAATGAAGAAAAAAAGAGAGAAAAATCAAATAGACACAATAAAAAATGATAAAGGGGATATCACCACCGATCCCACAGAAATACAAACTACCATCAGGGAATACTACAAACACCTCTACGCAAATAAACTAGAAAATCTAGAAGAAATGGATAAATTCCTGGACACATACACTCTCCCAAGACTAAACCAGGAAGAAGTTGAATCTCTGAATAGACCAATAACAGGAGCTGAAATTGTGGCAATAATCAATAGCTTACCAACCAAAAAGAGTCCAGGACCAGATGGATTCACAGCCGAATTCTACCAGAGGTACAAGGAGGAACTGGTACCATTCCTTCTGAAACTATTCCAATCAATAGAAAAAGAGGGAATCCTCCCTAACTCATTTTATGAGGCCAGCATCATTCTGATACCAAAGCCAGGCAGAGACACAACAAAAAAAGAGAATTTTAGACCAATATCTTTGATGAACATTGATGCAAAAATCCTCAATAAAATACTGGCAAAACGAATCCAGCAGCACATCAAAAAGCTTATCCACCATGATCAAGTGGGCTTCATCCCTGGGATGCAAGGCTGGTTCAATATACGCAAATCAATAAATGTAATCCAGCATATAAACAGAACCAAAGACAAAAACCACATGATTATCTCAATAGATGCAGAAAAAGCCTTTGACAAAATTCAACAATCCTTCATGCTAAAAACTCTCAATAAATTAGGTATTGATGGGACATATTTCAAAATAATAAGAGCTATCTATGACAAACCCACAGCCAATATCATACTGAATGGGCAAAAACTGGAAGCATTACCTTTGAAAACTGGCACAAGACAGGGATGCCCTCTCTCACCACCTCTATTCAACATAGTGTTGGAAGTTCTGGCCAGGGCAATGAGGCAGGAGAAGGAAATAAAGGGTATTCAATTAGGAAAAGAGGAAGTCAAATTGTCCCTGTTTGCAGACGACATGATTGTATATCTAGAAAACCCCACTGTCTCAGCCCAAAATCTCCTTAAGCTGATAAGCAACTTCAGCAAAGTCTCAGGATACAAAATCAATGTACAAAAATCTCAAGCATTCTTATACACCAACAACAGACAAACAGAGAGCCAAATCATGAGTGAACTCCCATTCGCAATTGCTTCAAAGAGAATAAAATACCTAGGAATCCAACTTACAAGGGATGTGAAGGACCTCTTCAAGGAGAACTACACTCACTTGAGCACTGCTCAAGGAAATAAAAGAGGATACAAACAAATGGAAGAACATTCCATGCTCATGGGTAGTAAGAATCAATATCGTGAAAATGGCCATACTGCCCAAGGTAATTTACAGATTCAATGCCATCCCCATCAAGCTACCAATGACTTTCTTCACAGAATTGGAAAAAAACTACTTTAAAGTTCATATGGAACCAAAAAAGAGCCCGCATCGCCAAGTCAATCCTAAGCCAAAAGAACAAAGCTGGAGGCATCACACTACCTGACTTCAAACTATACTACAAGGCAACAGTAACCAAAACAGCATGGTACTGGTACCAAAATAGAGATATAGATCAATGGAACAGAACAGAGCCCTCAGAAATAACGCCGCATATCTACAACTATCTGATCTTTGACAAACTTGAGAAAAACAAGCAATGGGGAAAGGATTCCCTATTTAATAAATGGTGCTGGGAAAACTGGCTAGCCATATGTAGAAAGCTGAAACTGGATCCCTTCCTTACACCTTATACAAAAATCAATTCAAGATGGATTAAAGACTTAAACGTTAGACCTAAAACCATAAAAACCCTAGAAGAAAACCTAGGCATTACCATTCAGGACATAGGCAAGGGCAAGGACTTCATGTCTAAAACACCAAAAGCAATGGCAACAAAAGCCAAAATTGACAAATGGGATCTAATTAAACTAAAGAGCTTCTGCACAGCAAAAGAAACTACCATCAGAGTGAACAGGCAACCTACAAAATGGGTGAAAATTTTCGCAACTTACTCATCTGACAAAGGGCTAATATCCAGAATCTACAATGAACTCAAACAAATTTACAAGAAAAAAACAAACAACCCCATCAAAAAGTGGGCGAAGGACATGAACAGACACTTCTCAAAAGAAGACATTTATGCAGCCAAAAAACACATGAAAAAATGCTCATCATCACTGGCCATCAGAGAAATGCAAATCAAAACCACAATGAGATACCATCTCACACCAGTTAGAATGGCAATCATTAAAAAGTCAGGAAACAACAGGTGCTGGAGAGGATGTGGAGAAATAGGAACACTTTTACACTGTTGGTGGGACTGTAAACTAGTTCAACCATTGTGGAAGTCAGTGTGGCGATTCCTCAGGGATCTAGAACTGGAAATACCATTTGACCCAGCCATCCCATTACTGGGTATATACCCAAAGGACTATAAATCATGCTGCTATAAAGACACATGCATACGTATGTTTATTGCGGCATTATTCACAATAGCAAAGACTTGGAACCAACCCAAATGTCCAACAATGATAGACTGGATTAAGAAAATGTGGCACATATACACCATGGAATACTATGCAGCCATAAAAAATGATGAGTTCATGTCCTTTGCAGGGACATGGATGAAATTGGAAACCATCATTCTCAGTAAACTATCGCAAGAACAAAAAACCAAACACCGCGTATTCTCACTCATAGGTGGGAATTGAACAATGAGATCACATGGACACAGGAAGGGGAATATCACACTCTGGGGACTGTTGTGGGATGGAGGGAGGTGGGAGGGATATCATCGGGAGATATACCTAATGCTAGATGACGAGTTAGTGGGTGCAGCGCACCAGCATGGCACATCTATACGTATGTAACTAACCTGCACAATGTGCACATGTACCCTAAAACTTAAAGTATAATAAAAAAAAAACCAAAAACAAAAAAAACTAATAGCCAATATTTTTAATAAATTAAAATTACATTAACAGTTGACAAGAAACAGAATTATGCAAGTACTCTAAATCAAGCTTGTTTAACCTGCGGCTGCAGATGGCTTTGAATATGGCCCGATATGAATTTGTAAACTTTGTGAAAACATTAAAAAAAAAAAAATCTTCCACTCAAATTTTTTTTTTTTAACAAAAATGTAAGTGCTAATCTAAATGCCTATCAGTAAGGGAATGATTAAATATAGCATGAAACACATTATGGTATTTCAATGTAAAAAAAAATCTAAATGTATTGACATAGAATGGTATTTAAGACGTATCTAATGAAAACTCGTTACAAAATGGTACATTTAGAATGATACTATTTCCATAAAATTATATACATTTATATGCATTTTTAGATATGGATAATATCTAGGAAGAATACATTGTTAATAGCAGTTACCTATGTGGAGTAGGTACAGGGGCGAAAGGAATTCCTACATTTGATTCACTTACTTTTCTGTGTTTCAATTTTTAAAATATGAACATGTGGCAACATTTTCAAATAAAAGGTAATTTGAAAATATTAAGATTCTATGCACTTCTAGGAATTTTGGGCAAATTCAAGTTAATGTTAGAAAAAAAGAAGTGCCTAGTAAGTAGTAATTTCAGTTGTTTATCAGTAGCAATATTACGATGTCACATCCACTGCCACATAATCGGGGCTCCTGACATTTTCCAAAATAAAGTGTAGGAAGCAGCAGAAATAGCGAAGCACATGAGCTGAAATGTTACCATTGAAAAAGAAAGCCAGAAAAACCCGAGCTCAGATTAATCCATCATTATGGAGGTCCTGCTGTTCCCACTGTCCACATGTCTATTATATTTGTTCATCTTCACAAATATTTTCTGAAGGTCCGATCTGTGCAAACAGTGGGTATTTTAAAATAAATAAGACACACCTGCTTCTCATGGCAGTTGCTGTATATAGCTTGGCTGATTCATCTTTCGCAATAGGTTGATTTAAATGTATCTAATTCTATCCTTGCGTTGCAGTCTGTTTTCCAATATCTGCAGTCTGTTTTCCAATTCAATAGTTTCTCTTTTGCAATGGTCTTTTCACTTTGGTTTCTTTTACTGTTGCTTTGTCTATTTTGTTAGATTTACTTTTCTTTTTTCAGTTTTGGATTTTTTAAATTATTTGCTTAAAAAAAATTCATTATTTTATTTATGTTCTTGTCCTTAAAGAAAAAAGAAACTCCTTGATTTTCACATAGTATTTCTCTGACTTCGAAAGCCTTTATACTTTTAAAATTAGCATCGTTTTTGATAGGATCCCTTTAAGGCATTGTTTTCCGTTCCTGTTTCACAGGTGAGGAAAATGAGGCAGAGAATGAAACATTTCCATCTGGATGACCAAACCGTCAGCTCCTAAAGGGCCGCAGAGGCTGAGGGCGCTGCTGGCAGCCGGCCCTCTGTGGACATTTGCTGAATAAACAGAAGATATGTGCACCAGTGTTCGCTCCTTTGGGTGATACCATCCCATTTTTATTTTCTGGATTTCCTTCCTGATGGGTCCATTGTTCCTCATTTTCCTCTAGCATTAAATTCCTTTATCTTTTCATTCCCACACAGTCGCTGCCTGTGGTTGAAAATTGAGTCACCTCTCAGGCCCCAGTGACTTTCCTGGAGAAGTCCAGGAAGCAGGCCTGCTGCAAGATCCGGGCAAATTCCTGGAATCCATTCCCCGAGGTCAGCATATGAGCTCAAACCTGGGACTGACCGGGGCAGACATAAGAAGGAACACTTCCCCCACACCCCACGAGGATTTGCACTCGAGTGTTCCAAACCATCCTGGGGCGAACGGGACACAGTGGGGAACAACTGGTCATATCTTTATGCCAGCGTTTGCCAGAGCCTGCGCCCAGAGAACCAGCTCCACAGATCTATGCCAAAAGGCTCTATGCCAATTAAGTTTGTGAAGCATCATATATTATATTCTCTGGGGATTGGCCGGGCTTGGGGGCTCATGCCTGTAATCCCAGCACTTTGAGAAGCTGAGGTCAGGAGTTTGAGACCAGCCTGGCCAACACGGCAAAACCCCGTCTCTACTAAAAGTACAAAAATTAGCCAGACGTGGTGGTGGGCGCCTTTAATCCCAGCTACTCAGGAGGCTGAGACAGGAGAATCGCCTGAACCCGGGAGTGGAGGTTGCAGTGAGCCGAGATGGTGCCACTGCACTCCAGCCTGGGAGACAAGAGCGAGACTCCATCAAAAAAAAAAAAAAAAAAAAAAAAAAAGGAAGGAGAAAGGGAAAGGAGGGAGGAAGGGAGGAAAAAAGGAAAGGAAAAAAAGAAAAAATGAAAAGAAGAAAAGATTTCTTGGTCAAAATGAGACATACAAAACCAAACATTTCTAGAGGACATCTCAGAGTCTGTAACAGATTCTTGGGCATTATAAAGACCTTCCTTGGCCGGGCACGGCGGCACACGCCTATAATCCCAGCACTTTAGGAGGCCGAGATGGGCGGATGACGAGGTCAGGAGATAGAGACCATCCTGGCTAACACGGTGAAACCTCGCCTCTACTAAAAATACAAAAAATTAGCCGGGCGTGGTGGCGGGCGCCTGTAGTCCCAGCTACTTGGAGGCTGAGGCAGGAGAATGGTGTGAACCTCGGAGGCGGAGCTTGCGGTGAGCCGAGATGGTGCCACTGCACTCCAGCCTGGGCGACAAAGTGAGACTCCGTCTCAAAAAATAAATAAATAAATAAAAATAAATAAATAAAGTCCTTCCTCCCTTCCTTCGAGAAGCACAGGTCTGAGACATAACCCCAAGAGATATGTGGGCCTCTACGGACAGCTAGGACTGCATCTAACAAGAATCTAGTAAATGCAGCCTGAACTGCTCTGTGGTATTTTTATTCCAGAAAGCCTCAAGATTCAGGAGGCAGGCTGCCTGCACTTGAATCTTGGCTCTGACCTTTTAAAATGTGCAACCTTATACGAGTTACAGAATTTCTATATGCCTCAGTTTCCTTATCTGTAAAATGCGAAAAGTAACACTACTTACTTAGAAAGTTGTTGTAAGGATTAAATGCGTTGATTTAGGTAGGGATAGGGAACACTGCCTTGCCAATCATGACTGATGACATATAAGGATTAGATATTGCTGTTACCATCATTTCAGTAATTTTGTTAAAAATTAAATACAATAGTGGTTTTCAAAACCAAGTGACCTGGATTCCAATGGAATTTTTTGAAAAAATAGGAAAATCTATTCTAAAATTTATTTGAAATTTCAAGGGACCTCAAATAGCCAAAACAATCTTGAAAAAGAATAAAGCTGGAAGTCTTACACCTCCTAATTTTAAAACTAATTACAAAGCTACAGTAATCAAAACAGTATAGTACTGGCATAAACACTGATATAGCTGAGCACTGTGGCTCACTCCTGTAATCCCAAGTACTATAGGAAGGCTGAGATAGAAGGATTGCTTGAGCCCAGGAGTTTGAAGCTGCAGTGAGCTATGATTGTATCATGTCACTGCACCCCAGCCTGGATGAGACTCTAAAATAAATAAATAAAAAGACAGATATATAGACTAGTGGAACAGAATAGAGAGTCCAGAAATAAACCCATGCCTATATTGTCAAATGATCTTTGATAAGGTTGCTGAGACCATTTAATGGGGAAATTATTCAACAAATGATGCTGGGAAAACAAGATATCCACATGTAAAAGAATGAAGTTGGACCCTCACCTTATGCAATATACCAAAATTGCTCAAAATGGATTAGCAATAAAAACATAAGACCCAAAATAGAAACTTCTAGCATAAAACATAGAAGAAAAACTTCATGACATTGGATTTGACAATATTCCTTGGATATGACACCAAAAGCATAGGCAACAAAAGAAAAAATAGATGGGACAACATGAAACTTAAAACCTTCTGTGCATCAAAGGATGCAATCAAGAGTGAAAGGCAACCTATGGAATGAGAGAAAACATTTGCAAGTCATATATCTGATAAGGGGTTAATATCTAGAATACATAAAGAACTCCTGAAACCCAACAACAAAAATGTACATAACCTGATTAAAAAATGGGCAAAAGAAATGGGCAAAGACATTTCTCCAAAGATGATATGCAAATGGCCAACGAGCATATGAAAAGATGCTCCACATCACTAATCATTAGAAAAATGCAAATCAAAACTACAATGATATATCACTTCATACTCATTAGGATGGCTACTGTTAAAAAAACAAACAAAAAACAAACAAACAAAAAACCAAAAACCAGAAAATAACAAGTGTTGGTGAGGATACAGAGAAATTGGAACACTTGTGCACTGTTGGTGGGAATATAAAATGATGCAGCCTCTTTTAAAAACAGGATGGTGGATCCTCAAATCGATTAAAAATAGAATTACCATATGATTTATCAATCCCACTTCTTGTTATAAGTCCAAAAGAATTTAAAGTAGGATCTCAAAGAGATATTTGCACAACCACATTCATAGCAGTTATAGGCATAATAACCAATAGGTGGAAGCAACTCAAGCGCCCATTAATGGAAGAATGGAAGTATTAGTCCATTTTCATACTGCTACAAAGAACTACCTGAGACTGGGTAATTTATTAAAAAGAGAGGTTTAATTGACTCAGAGTTCTGCATGGCTGGGGAGGCCTCAGGAAACTTACAATCACGACTGAAAGCAAAGGGAAAGCAAGGCACATCTTACATGGCAATAGAAGAGAGAGAGCAAAGGGGGAAGTGGCACACTTTCAAACAACCGGATCTCGTGAGAACTCACTCATTATCATGAGAACAGCAGCGGGAAGTCTGCCCTCAGGGTCCAATCACCTCCCACAAGGCACCTCCCCCAACACATGGAGATTATAATTCAAGATGAGATTCAGGTAGGGACACAGAGCCAAACCATATCAATGGATAAAGAAAATGTGGTATATGCATACACGAAATATTATTCAGCCTTAAAAAGGAAGAAAATCCAGTCACAGGCTATAGTATGAATGAACTTTGAGGACAGCATGCTAAATGAAATCAGCCAGTCACATAAGCGAGTCACACATGAAAAAACAAAACAAAAAACCATTACTGTATGATTCCACTATCTGAAGTATCTAAAGCAGTGACATTCATAGAAACAGAAAGTAGAATGGTGGTTGCCAGGGGCCGGGGAGATGGGGAAATGTTGTTTAATGGGTATTGAGTTTTAGTTTTAAGAAATGAAAACGTTCTGGAGATCTAGGCACGGCAATGTGAATGTACCTACCATAACTGAACTGTACACTTAACAATGGTTAAGACGGTAAATTTTATGTTATGTGTTTCTTACCACGATTAAAAAAAAAAAAAAAAAGCAGGTGCCCTGGGAAAGGGTACAAGATAGGTTTTTCTAAGCTCACAAAACCACCTTTGGATCATAAATCTGAAGGTGGACAGCCTGACAGGGACACTTAAGAGCTGTGGGATCTGTCTGTGAAGATCTCGACTGTGTGGGTGCCCACCCAGGTGCACTACAGCTTGATGTCCTGGGACAGCTGATGCTTCCACCACTGCTTCAATTTAGGCATCATTTTTACCCCTGAACCACCAGAAAGGTGCTCTTCAACCGCTCCCACAAGGAGCTATATCCTATCAGCCTGTGGAAATAAATCATCTCAGAATGTCACATAAAACACTTGTAAAAGGATCCCAGATTTATGTTAAAAACTCCTTTCAGGGAATTCTTATCAGCTAGAGGTTATTAAAAAAACTGGCAATTAAATCTAATCTAGTCAGGGTGTATCTTTTTAAAGACACAATGTCACCTTGAAATTTTAAGTAAAGTCCAAATAGTTTATTTTTAAGATAAGCTGATATTTTAAAGATGTATTTTAAATACATTAGGAGGAACTCTGAGAGTCATGGGAAGTGGCAAAGGCAGAGGAGGTGACAAAATGAGACCTCCCTGGAGACCAGAATTAGCAGGAGACAGTGAAGGCGATAAAAATGTTAGGAGAGAGAAGAGATTTGGCTCTTGATCTTAGCCAGAAGCCCCTCAGTAGACGGAGTGATTTAGACTTTAAAAGAGGCTTTATTTTCTCAGAGATATTAATAAAAAAACTTTTAAAAAGTCTTATTCATTATAAAAACATAGTTTACTTATAGAAAACTTACCATATATTTTATATATAAAAATAGAATTATATATGATAGAAAATATAAAGGAAAAATATTCCTAAATTTTGCCACTATGGATGATCACTATTAACTTTTTTTTTTTTTTTTGAGTTGGAGTTTCACTCTTGTTGCCCAGGCTAGAGTGCAGTGGCGTGATCTCGGCCCACAACAACCTTCGCCTCCTGGGTTCAAGCTATTCTCCTACCTCAGCCTCCCAAGTAGCTGGGATTACAGGTATGCGCCACCCCGCCCGACTAATTTTTTGTATTTTTAGTAAAGATGGAGTTTCTCCATGTCCATGGTGGTCAGGCTGGTCTTGAACTCCTGACCTCAGGTGATCTGCCTGCTTTAGCCTCCCAAAGTGCTGGGATTATGGGCGTGAGCCACTGTGCCCAGCCCCACTATTAATTTTTTATTTTATTTATTGATACACAATAGATGTACATATTTTGGGGAGTACATGTGATAATTTAATACATTAATATAATTTGTAAAGATCAAATCAGCATCACTTGGGATGGCTATCACTTGAAATATTTGTCTATTCTTTATGCTAAAAAATATTCAAATTTTTCTTTTAACTATTTTAAAAATATATAATAGATTACTCTAAACTATAGTCACTCTAATGATCTGGCAAAAACTAGGGCTTAGTTCTTCC
This sequence comes from Homo sapiens, assembly GCF_000001405.40. Taxonomy (NCBI): domain Eukaryota; kingdom Metazoa; phylum Chordata; class Mammalia; order Primates; family Hominidae; genus Homo; species Homo sapiens. The sequence goes on from NC_000009.12 coordinate 76,682,932, forward strand.
ACCAAACTGTACTTTTAATTGACCTCTCTTCATCTTCTCCTGACCATTAAATTTTTTAGTGTATTCAGATGTAATAGTTAGCCCAGTGTCCTCCCCAGACTCTTTCTTCTTTTGATAACAGCACCTCTATTCCCCTTTGGGGAATAATTTCTGCATCACACTAAGTCCCAGGGTTTGAGGGATGAAGGTAATTTCCTTTCCCGTCAGAGACAGGCAACTGACCCAGGACTGACCAATCAACAGAGTCCCCGCCCCTGCCAGAGTGATTGGTTCCACGAATAAGCACGTGACACCAGTTCTTCCAAGGAGACTCAACCCAGATTTTGTTGAAACCTCTGGGAAAAAGAAAGCCTTTCTCTGGGGATTGCAGTTGACTGTAATGTAAACCTGAGGGCCTATGGAGAGAGGAACCCACTGTATTAAGAAACAGAGACAATGAGTGAAGGAAAAAAAATGGGTAAACATTGACTGCGTGGTTGGAGCTTTCTTATTCACTTCTTCCTAGAGCCAGATTAGTTCTTAGGTTTTCATAATATGAGCCAATTAATATTCTTTTTAACCTAAGCAGGGTAAGTTGAGTTTTTGTCACCCATCACCCAAAATGACCTCACTGATAAAACAGATTGGGAAAAATATGTATGTTCTCAGGAAGCTTACATGTGGTATATTCTTGATTATAGAGACAGGGTTAACTCCCATATAAAGGAAGTGCCAGGGTCATGAACCCTGAAATTAGGCACACCTTCATATATTTGTTGGATGAATGCATTTCGTTTATCACTCCTCTAATTCTGAATGCAAATGAAAGAATATCATAGAATATCATGGGAGGGGACAGGCCCTGAAACCTGATGCTAACATATATGTGCATGTATTTATCTATATATATATATTTATGCCCCCATAAATTATATTTGTGTATGTATATATACATATATACACATATGTATTTGCATACCCCATGAATATTTTTGTGTATACATAAAATATATATAGTATACATTATATGTACATATTATATATATATACACATATATACACACACACGAATATATATTGATGGGATACAATGTGATGTTTTGACATATATTTACACTGTAGAATGATTAGATTAAGAAAATTGACAAATCCATCACCTCACATACTTATGTTTTTTGTGGTGAAAACATTTAAAATCTACATTTTTAGTAATTTTGAAATATACAATGCATGATTATTTATTATAGTCACCACTCTACAACAGATCACTAAAGTTTATTCTTCAGATCTAACTGAAATTTTGTACCCTTTGATCAATCACTCCCCTTTCCTTCATCCGCTTTCCAGTCTCTGGCAACCACCATTCTACTCTACATCTACGAGTCTGAGGCTACTTTTTGAAAAAGCTGCTTGAGTTTGCCTGGCCTGCTAGTTTGTCTCCCAGCACGGTTTCTCAGAGACAAGTCAAAGGGAGCAGGGAGAGGAGGAGGAGTCAGCTGCAGACTCAACCCCAGGGCAGCTCCAGAGTCCCTGTGCTCCCTTCCTGTCTCAGTCTCATTTCCTCCACTTTCCCAATGGTTGGGGTCTAACAGATCTAAGTTAGCTACCTCTTCGCAGTGGCAAAATTCCAGGTTAACTTAGGGTTTCAATATTCTTTGAGGATTCTGGACTTCCTTAGATATCCAGCGTAAAGCTGATGGACTTCTTCAGGTCCCTTCATACTCATTGTCCCACAAGAAATTTCTCCTTAGCCTTTCACACCAGTTTAAGAAAAACAATGCTCACAAACAGGGAGGCAATCTACCCTGGTGGGGGTCAATGGGACTCACTCCACTTCTGCCTCTTATTTATTTATTTTTGAGATGGAGTCTCGCTCTGTTGCCCAGGCTGGAGTGCAGTAGCACAATCTCAGCTCACTGAAACCTCCACCTCCCGAGTTCAAGCAATTCTTCTGCATCAGCCTCCCGAGTAGCTGGGATTACAGGAGTGCACCACCATGCCTGGCTAATTTTTCTATTTTTAGTAGAGACGGGGTTTCACCATGTTGGTCAGGCTGGTCTTGAACTCCTGACCTCAAGTGATCCACCCTGCTCGGCCTCCCAAAGTGCTGGGATTACAGGCGTGAGCCACCGCGCCCGGCCACTTCTGCCTCTTATTAACCATGTAAATGTGCTAAAATTACTGACTTCTCTTAAGACTCAGCTTCCTTATCTGCAAAATGGGAATGAGAGGACAGATTTCAAAGAGATAATGAGTAAAGTGCTTGGCAAAAGTTCTATTATATGATTACATCTAATATTACTATTATATTATTAGAAGATGCTGGGTTACACTTAGCCTTCTATATTTACTCTGGGTCTCCAAGGAGGTTATGGATCCCCCTGAAGGGATGCAGAGACTCATCACTGAAGTACAATAAACGGTTTATGGGGTTGGGGGCCTGTCACCAATCACAGGACCATCAGGAATTCCTGGCACATATGCTGTCACATTCCTAAGGTATCTATTATGGGAGGAATTGCATCCTCCAAGATTCTTATGTTGAAGTCTTAACCCTTAGTACCTCAAGGTGTGTGTTTGGAAATGGGGTTTTTGCAGAAGTAATTAAGTGAAAATGAGGTCATTCGGGTGGGCCATAGTTCAATATGAATGGCATCCTTATAGCAAGAGGAAATTTGGACACAAACACACACAGAGGGAAGACCGGAAGACCAGAAGACATGGGGAGAAGACAGCCATATGCAAGCTAAGGAGAGAGAGGCCTCAGAAGAAACCAATTCTAGCAATACCTTGATCTCAGATTTCCACAACTGTGAGAAAATAAATGTCTACCGTTTAAGCCACCTCATCTTTGGTACTTTGTTATAGCAGCCCTAGCAAACCAATAAAGTATCAGATCTTCACCGGTATATCCAGTGTCAAGGAGGAGACTCTTGACTCTGGAAGGAGTATATCAGTCCTTTCATTCATCTTCTCTGCTAGAAAGCCCTTCTATGGCTGCCTGACAGATCTCCAGGGAGAGAGAGAAACCTAAGTTAGGCCCCTTGACACTGGGAGAAAGAGGTCATCCCGCTTACTTACATGTATCCTGCTGCACAGTATAATCACATTCTATGAAGCTAATTATAAGACTTGATTAATTTCATACCCTCCTGAGGGATACATTCAGTAATCATACGGCTCTGCCAACCTCTTGGGGAGAACTGATTCATTTAACCATCTCTTTTTCATTTCTATGTCTTCACTGTATAAATGTAAACAGATATTCAGGGAAGAAAATGTGCTTATGCTTTTAAATAATTGTTGTTCACAGAGTTATAGCATTACATGAGATTCCATGACTCTGTCTTATACATCACTCACATTTTTGGGTTACCAGGTCCCTGCTGATAGATGAAAGTACTGGAAAATAAACATAACAGCTCAATACCAGCTATATACTCATCCAGCTAATGGCAAGCACATAAAAAAACTTGGTGAGACACTCATCATAGGAAATCCAATCTCTGTCTTTATTGCAAAGACAGGAGCTCTTTTGTTTTTATTTTTGTTTTTATTTTTTTGTGACAGGGTCTCACTCTGTCACCCAGGCAGGAGTGCAGTGGCATGAACACGGCTCACTGCAGCCGTGACTTCCCAGGCTCAAGTGATCCTCTCACCACAGTCTCCAAGTAGTTGGGACCACAGGCATCCACCACCATGCCTGGCTGTTTTAAAAAAATTTTTGGTAGAGTCAGGGTCTGACTGTGTTGTCCAGGCTGGTCTGGAACTTCTGGTCTCAAGAGATCCTCTCACTTTGTCTCCAGAGTAGATGGGACCACAGGTATGTGCCACCATGCCCAGCTAAGTTTTTAAAAAAAGTTTTTTGGTAGAGATGGTGTCTCACTATGTTGCCTAGGCTGGTCTCAAACTCTTGGCCTCAGGAGATCCTCCCATCTTCGCCTCCTGAGTAAGTGGGACCACAGGTGTGAGCTACCACAGCTGGCTAAGGCATTTTTTGAAAATTTTTTCATAGAGATGGGGTCTCACTGTGTTGCCCAGCCTGGGGTCAAACTCCTGGCCTCGAGTGATCCTCCCACCTTGGCCTCCCAAAGTGTCAGGACTACAGGCATGAGCCACCGCACCCAGCCCAGCCATGAGCCTTGATTACATCTGAACTTAGTCTAATGTACAAGGAAAACTTCCCCATGGCCAGCCCGGGAATGAGGCTCAACTCCATCCCACATTTGCTTTCTTTCAATGATCTCTACTGACCTTTCTATAGATAAACAGTCTCTAGCTCTCCTTTCATCTCCATTTTACCTGTGTCCTCCTTACCTACCTCATGCTCAGCTGCTCTCTTGGGATCACACTATGTTGGTTTCACTCCTATTTTATTTTAGGAAGAACTATTTTTAGAACATCCAATTTCATCAACCTTTCCTGGATATTTCTGGGAACTGGATGTAGAAAAATATAATTGTTAAGGGGTAACACTGGTGGGCAATGGTGGCTTTATGAATGGGACTTTCATCTTGGGTTTGAGCAGCACTAAATCCTGCTTTTCAGGGCAATATTGAAAGCATGTGTTTGGTTTTCAATTTTTGGATTGGAAGGGATATTGAATGCTCTCTCTCTCCAGGTAAAACCATATCAAGATTGTTCTAGTAATCTGCCTAGGGTTTCCAAAGCAGACTGCCACAAGCTTTGACAGTTGTAGCTTCTTTCTGATACTCACTGTTTGTTTCTCAGGCCATTCATTCCGGTAGGAGTTCAACAAACATTTGAGTCCTAGAGCCATATGGAAAGTGTTAGCCTCGGGGGAGGCTGTATTACAAAAAGAATGGATCAGAGACACATTCTGCTCTCAGAGAATTTAAAATCTAGGAGGATAAAGAGGAAAAGACACATACAGGTTCACACAAAACAGCACAGGAGGGGCTAAAAGACATGAGAGTCCTACACGAATTTCAGAGATAGCAGCAGTTCCTCCAGATGCGGGGGTAGAGTAGAGCAATCTAGAAGCCTCCAATAAAAGGTGGTATCTGGCCCGTTAGTAAGCCAGGGAGGCAATGAGGATAGATTATATCTGAACTCTCCTGTTCTTTTTCTTCCCACTTTCTCCTCAGTTCCTGAGCCCACAATCAAGACTCATTCTGTTCTTGCAACCTATGAGTCAGAATCTCCTTGGAGCTTGTCACAGACAACATTTGGCCTCACCCCTGCCCTGAAGCTGGGTGTTCTCTTTCTATAGCAACTGCCCAGGAAGTAAGAGCCTGACCAGAGGAAAACGTCACCATCCTCTTCACACCCCATCCCAATAGGTACACCTCAGTAGATACAGAGGTCTGCAGACCTGCCCTCTTGGCAACAAAGAAAGTGTAGTCATAGAGACCATTGTCCAACACCAGGACCATGACCTAAGGCTGATGAATCAGATGTGGTTTTTCACTTGCAGTAAGTGTTGCTGCCCAAGTCGGCTCTGTCTTGTTCCATTGAGGAGAGAGTTTTGTGCTTTCTTTGCTTGCTTATATGAACTTATATCAAGTAACTCACCAAGGCTGCAGGTTCTCAGACACGAAGAATGAAATGATGACCTTTCACAGGGCTTGCCAATTCTTCTGTGGGCACCTCCCCAGTAGGTTCTCATCTTCCTCAATTTTCATGCCCTCTAGCTTTCTTCCGTGTCTGCAGTTCTAAAACTACCTCCCTTCTTTCCATCCCAGGAACAGTTCCAGCCTTGACTTCCAGTCTCAGGTGGATTGCCACTTCCCATCTGCCCTCCCATTTCTCTTGCATCATTGCCAGTCTATTGCAATCACAATACCCAGCTCAAGAAACATCAGCTTTCCATTGCTGACAAAAAACACTGAATACAGACTTCCTTGTTGCAGCCTCAGGGCCTCTTAACCATTTAGAATAATCCATCCTTAGCTTCTCCAGCTGCTCTACCTTTTAGGCAAAATGAGATTCTCTTAAGTCTCCCAACTCCAACCGATAGCTCTCCTGACTCCATAGCTGGGTTTATTATATTCCCTCCAGCTGCAGTGTTCCTTCTCCCAACCTATTGAAATCTACCTCATCCATGAATCCTGTGGTAGCCACTCTACAACAAAGGAAATGAAGCAACACTTTCTGACCTTTAAGCACCCAGAGCCCCACCGTTGTGTAATCTCTTATGGAATTGATTTCACTCTGTCCTTCACAGCCATTTATTTTACTCTCTCCTCCCCACACTAGAGTGAGGAGAGACTGCACCTTAGTTACCTTTGTATCATATGCATTTCTTAGGGATAGCATCCTGTTAATAATAAACACTCAAGTTCTGACAGTAGAGTTGTTTCATTTTCCCCAAATGCATATGAGTTTAAGGGTTGTAAATGAATTAGGAAATGCCACCTTATCCTAAAAATAGAAGAGTGGTAGATTTATTTTTAAGCCATGAAAAATGTTAACGCATGGACTAGATTTCTTTTCTTTTTTTGAGACAGATTCTTGCTCTGTCACCCAGGCTGGAGTGCAGTGGCATGATCATAGCTCACTGCAGCCTCAACCTCCTGGGCTCAAGGCATCCTCCTGCCTCAGCCTCCCAAGCAGCTGGAACTACAGGTGCATGCCACCACATTCAGCTAATTTTAAAATTTTCTATAGAGACAGGGTCTCTATAGAGACCAGCTCAGGCTGGTCTCAAACTTCTGGTCTCAAGTGATCCTCCTGCCTCAGCCTCCCAAAGTGCTGGGATTGCAGCCATGAGATACCGCACCAAGATTTTTTTCTCAAAGGCCCTGGGATGACAGGAAGTAGCACAAGGTCCAGAGCTAAGACCCCTGAGTTCTGATCCCAGCCAAGCCACTGATTGGGTGATCTTAAGACAATCACTCACTCTAACTAGGACTCATTTTCTGCCTGTAAACTCAAGAAGTGAATCCAAATGAATTCTAAAATTTAGTTCAGCTTCTATTACTTTAGCAGTTGAATTTCAGGATTCAAGAACAATACAAGGAATCAAACAACTATCAAAATAGCAGGCAAATAGGCAGCTATCAGAACAAGATAGAGCCAACCTTGGCAACAGCCCTCTAAGGAAAAGAGTGCTCAAATGAAGGGCATCTACTCCAGCTTCTTCTCCAATGCCCCTCTTATGGGGCCAGAAGTTTCAGACTAGCCTGAGCAACATAGTGATAAACCTATCCACAAGCATCTCATGATTCCTGCCAGGATTAATCCAGAAGGAGCCATGTTCTTTGTCAACCTGGCAGACAAGATACCAGGGGACAGAATCTGTCCTTCTCTACTTTTCCTTCTGCCCTTTCTCGCCCCTTCTTCCTTCCCCCAACTACCAATTACCCTTAACTTGGATTGGTAAGGAATTGAGAAACCATCCCAGATACAAATACTACTCTGGCAGGAACTTGGTTCATGTAAAGCCTCTGCCTGCAAAATCTTGACAATAGCAAACAGAGGGCAAGCAATTCCAGGCTAGTTAAGTAGGAAAAAAACCCAGCTTTTATTTGCTGTAGATAAACCTAAGCTTTTGCACTGTAACCTATATCAGGTACCTGAACCTATGTGCAAACCCTGCACCTTGTCCTCTAGCTAGAAAGGGTGAAGTTAAAAACTCAAGAAAGTACTGTGATCTCTTATTGGAGAGATAATCTTCCCAGGAGTACAAAGCCACTCAAGATTGAGAAACCAAGTGGAATGTAAATAGAAGTTCACTGGGATGTACCAAAGAGAGCACTAACCATTGGGGAAAAAAAGTTAATTTGACTTCTTGTTAATAGGAAGGAGAATCTGGCTCACTATCCTCAAGTATCTATGAGGCATTAAACCTTATTTAGGACATAAAGGGTAACTTTGCATTACAAAGCTACATCTCACAGGGATGTTTAGGTGCTGCTGACTTCCAATGACAATAACCTCATCTTGTTGTTCTGAGTTGGGGAACAAGGTCCACACCATTTTAGAGTACTGAGCTTTCAGTACCCTAAAAATGTTTAATTTGCCCATAGAGACATTTCCATAAAAGCCGTTTTGTTTTATTTTACCTCCCAGATAGGAAGTTTCTCTTAGCAATTAAGAGCAATTCCATGGGTCATTTTTTTGATTGCCAGGCATCGTAATCTAATTATTCCAGATTTTACATTCCGTGCATATTATCTGTTATGATTCTAAGAAAACTTTCATCAGATGAAGATTTTGGAATAGACTCATGCAGGAGCCGCTCCCATTTTCTCTACAGGAGGGGCGCAGGGCAGCCATCTGGCTGTAAGTGGTCCTGGAAGCTGCACTCACATAGCAGCTTACATAAGATCAAACCATGTCAACAGTTCACATCAAAGAGGGGGCAGTGGATGGAGATTATGCCCCCTTTCCCTTTCATCCACATGGCCAGTACCCTGATCTCTGGCAGAGTCACACTTTAAATCACTTCTACTAGGTAAGAGTCTACCGTTGTTTTCTAGTTACCACACAGAAATTTAATAACCTGTGTATTCCTGGTTGAAACTGACCAGGTAGTAATTTTTTTACTTTCTCACATAACTTAGTTTCTCAGTGAAATACTGATATCCTTTCAGTAGAGTATTCTTTCTTGATTTTGAAAAGACAAAGGGAACAACATAAGCCCATGTTTGAGGATGACCTATTTCTGCAGCTTAAAACTCAGGTAAGACTTAAAGGTTACAAGATTCTTTAGAAAAACAGATGCACTAGCTTCAATAGCAATTAGTAATAACATTTAAAAAATGCCTCTCTACCAGAGCTGTCCTGCTTGTCAAATAATCCAAAGAGACATTATATTTCTCATTAGGCAATAGTCCCAAACAGTTTCAAATCTGTCACTTCCTTTTATTTTTCTCTCTCCATTTTCATCATAAATATAAAGGAAAACAAAATGATTACAGCTGTGCAAAGTCTGTTTCCTGATTACCTGATAGCCAAGAAAGGGGCGGGGACAGCATAACGACCACAAGCTTTTCTAGGATGAGTGGATACGGAATAAAATGCAGCTGGCAGCTGTCAGTTGCAAGGGGCTGGGCAGAATTCGGCATCCTCTCATCCCCCTCCCGTCTCCCCCGCCAACTTCCCAGCAGCAAGAGATTAGTCTTTGAGAACAACACTCTCCATCTCATTCTGTCCTTCCCGTACCGATCTCCTAAAAGCTACACCAGGACCCACCTACCTTCTGAGGATGAGAGGAGGCTTTCTAACGGAGGGTGAGAAGGATGCACGACTACAGCTCTTCAGCATCTCTCTTCTGAGCAGTTAACTGGAAATACAGATTCGCCTCCATTTTCTGGTCACATGATCTCTGGCACATCTAAATAAGGATGATCACCTGCCTCCCAGATCTCCCCATGCAGCCGCTGTGGCTAGGGGGCACAGCTGGGGCTGTGCTGAGTTTCATTTGGGAATATACGATACCCTTTCACCCACGTTGTGGAGTCAAAAATGCTCTTTAATTTTTATGTCAGTTGAGGAAAACTGCTGCTACTCCTGCTCCCGAGTGAGACTGGATGTGAATGGGCTCAAAGCACAAGTTGTAAGGAATTTAGTTCTCTTGAAACCTCTTTTTAAAAAAAAATCCTGTAGTTTCACAGCACATACCTATATGACAGCAATGTAATTATTTTCATTGAATGAACAATGGTTAAGATCATAATAAAATGGACTGTGGAAGCATAGCAGGATTCATAAGGAAGTCCAGCTTCGGTCCTAGAGAAAGTTAGGATGCTTGTCTAAGATCAGTACGACTTCAGCGACTGGGAGAAAAAGGGGTGTGGAAGTTAACCTGTGGACCCTGCAGTCACAAGGCCAAGTTCAAAGCTGATTTCTACCACTTATTAGCAAGTGTGGACGTTACTAAACCTCATGGCACCTTAAGACTGCTCATTTACAGAATGGACAGTAATCATGATGTTCTTTAAAAATGGTAAGATAGCCGGGTGTGGTGGCACGTGCCTGGAGTCCCAGCTACTCAGGAGGCTAAGGCAGGAGAATCTTGAACCCAGGAGATGGAGGTTGCAGTGAGCCGAGATTGCATCGCTGCATTCCACACTCCAGCGCTGGCAACAGAGTGAGACTCCCTCCACCCCCTCCCCCCCTCCAAAAAAAAAAAAGGTAAGATAACCTATGTAGAGACTCTGGGTTAAAATAAACTCACAGTACATGTTAGCTACTACTACTATTATTAATTCTAAAAATGCCAGCAGATATATTGACACAATTAAGGCAAACAAAGTATTAATGAAATGTTTACAAAATAGAAAGGCATGTGTTTATTTGTATGATCTTCAAAAAATATATATTATCAGATAAACCAAAGACTTCTAGCAAAATGTCAATTTGGGAAATAACTAAATATCCAATGTTACATAATCTTTTTCTTTTTTTGATGGGGGGGGCAGGTGAGGAGGGGACCATGGCAGAATAGGGGGATGGGCAATTTTAGGTAATCTCCAATTGACCTAACTCTAATGGAATGGGAAAGTGAATTACTCAGCAGATGACCACCAGGGTAGGTGCTTAAGAGATGTTAGCACCTACTCTTTTTTTTTTTTTTTTTTTTTGGAGACGGAGTCTTGCACCATTGCCCAGGCTGGAGTGCCGTGGTGTGATGTCAGCTCACTGCAACCTCTGCCTCCCAGGTTCAATCGATTCTCCTGCCTCAGCCTCCTGAGTAGCTGGGACCACAGGCGTGCACCACCACGCCCAGCTAATTTTTGTATTTTTAGTGGAGACGGGGTTTCATCATATTGGTGAGACTGGTCTTGAACTCCTGACCTCGTGATCCACCCGCCTTGGCCTCTCAAAGTGCTGGGATTACAGGCGTGAGCCACTGCGCCCGGCCTTAGCTCCTATTCTTATGGTAAGAAAGGGAGTAGATGAAGAAGGTGCAAATTTTCTATCTTTATTTAAACTAAAAGCCTACAAAATTCTTCATAATTATGAATAGTCATGAAATAATTTCTCACGTGCCATGTATCTTTCAGCTATGAAGGAGACGGGGGTGGGGCCCACAGGAAGGTGTCACTTTGCAGGGTCACTGGCTGTCAGAGGTTCAGCAAAAGCATGGGTGAATTTTCCCAAATCATTAGGGGAGAAAAAATAACTTCGGAGCTGGTTGTATCTTGGGAATGTCTGCCCAGGGCAAAGGCTGAAAATGGGGATCTTGTCTTTAAGAAGTGCTGGCTCATTAGAAGGGGCTTCCTTCCCCATTTGGGAAAGGCAGCAACTGAAGGCTACAGAACAGACACTGTAACTAATTCTGTTTTATTTGTTTTGTTTCGTTTTTTTTTTGAGACGGAGCCTAGCTCTGTTGCCCAGGTTCGCCCAGGCTGGAGTGCAGTGGTGAGATCTCGGTTCACTGCAACCTCTGCCTCCCAAGTTCAAATGATTCTCCAGCCTCAGCTTCCTGAGTAGCTGGGATTCCAGGCATGTGTCACCATGCCCAACTAATTTTTGTATTTTTAGTAGAGACAGGGTTTCACCATATTGGCCAGGCTGGTTTTGAACTCCTGGCCTCAGGTGATCCTCTCACCTTGGCCTCCCAAAGCGCTGGGATTACAGGTGTGAGCCACCACATCCGGCCTAATTCTGTTTTAAATAATAATATCTGTTTTGGAACTTAGCAGTTGGCCAGGCACAGTGATTAAGTTATTGTCATCAGGCCAATCATAGATACCTTAAAAACATTTTAAGTAATACTTCATTAAATGGAAATGTGGGACATAGGTTATCACCAGTAATACTCCTTTTTGTCTTGCAAGATGTTCTCACAGATTGTGCCAGGGCAAAACAGTCCTAACTCAGAGTATGCTGGGCATTTGAGGAAATGCATTATTTTATTCATTATACAAAGGCAGTTAAAAAAAATTTTTTTTAAATAAGAATTACTGCTTAACTGCAGTAAATAGCATTCTATTATGTTGAAAAAAAGGGCACGTAGATGTCAAATTCTCCAGTGGAGTTTTAGTTATTCTCTGAGAGCCTAATTAATACTTTTAAATTATTATTTAATAAATGGAAGTTTAAAAAATAAATATAAAAAGGTCTTTGAAGATTACATATTATCAACAGCTGCTTGAGTTGATGGTATAATAGATGACTAATTAAATAAAACCATGTTCCTCTCTAATAAAAAAAGTTATTATTATTATTATTTGAGATGGTCTCACTCGTTCACCTGGGCTGAAGTGCAGTGGTACAATCTCAGCCCACTGCGATCTCCATCTCCCAGGTTCAAGCAATTCTCCTGCCTCAGCCTCCCAAGTAGCTGGGATTACAGGTGTGTGCCACCACGCCTGGCTAATTTTTTTGTATTTTTAGAAGAGATGGGATTTCACCATGTTGGTCAGGCTGGTCTCGAACTCCTCACCTCACGTGATCTGCCCGACTCAGCCTTGCAAAGTGCTGGGATTACAGGCATAAGCCAGCGCGCCCAGCCAGGAGAAGTTATTTCAAGGTGAAGAGATTATAATACCCATGGTATAGGCAACAGATGACCAAGAAGGAAAATTGAACAGACACACCTATTTTCTCCCCATGAGGATGAGTGACTAACAAAACTCTAAGAAAACTGAAAGGCTGAAAGAATCTTGGAGGAACTGTAATGAACAAGAAAGGCATGGGAACACTGAAAATGGGTAACTATGGCCTCAAATTACAAAAGAAGGAAAAAGATGGATTTGGTAACTTGAGAAAAGAAAGATGCATATTCCTTCCAAACTAAAACTAGCACATCTCCCTTGGGAAAAGAAGCAACAAATGCCAGAAATTATCACAGTGTCATTAGAAGCAAATTATGTTGAGCAAACTACCCTTTCTTTTCTATTCATTCAATCAGGCCTATTTATGGGGTGTCTAACATGTGGCAGGTGCTATTCTAAGCAACAGGGGTACCGTGATGAACAAGACAAACCAAACTCCTGCTTTCTTGGGGGTTATACTCTCATAGGTGGAGACAGATGCAACAGAATCAATTAAATAAATAAGTAAATAGAAGATCTTTTCAGATGGAAAAAAAAAAGTAGTAGCAATAAAATAAGGCAGAGAGATGGAGCAGAGTTCTCGACACTGGCAGTGTTGACATTTGGGGCTGGATAACCCTGTGTGGCGGGGGGCACTCCTGTGCACTGTAGGATATGTAACTGCATCCCTGGCCTCTGCCCATTAGATGACAGCAGTACCCACCCCAGTTGTGACAACCAAAATGTCTCCGACGTCAGCAAGTATTCCCTGCTGGTTCAGAACCGGCAGCTTGGACTTCTACAAAGGGTTACCCAATCCTGCACTGACTTTTTGATAGCCTTTGTTCCTGAAGAACTCTTACATAGATCTCAGAAACTGATCCTCCAATGTACTGGAGAAACAGTTAACTAATCGTGCACAGGAACATCTCAGGACAGTTTTCAGAGGCTGAGGTCCACCACTCTCCAATTCGGCTAGCTGCACTGAACAGCTTCTGTTTGCTTCGTCAGCTCTACTCTCCTACTTTCTCCATTTTGCTTTCTGCCCCAAGCCTCCCTCACCCTCCGACTTCCACTAGGTTTTTTGTTTGTTTGTTTGTTTGTTATCCAGGCTGGAGTGCAATGGCATGATCTCGGCTCACTGCAACCTCCCCCACCCAGGTTCAAGTCATTCTCATGCCTCAGTCTCCCGAGTAGCTGGGACTACAGGTGCCCGCCACCACACCCAGCTAATTTTTGTATTTTTAGTAGAGACGGGGTTTCTCCATGTTGGCCAGGATGGTCTCAAACTCCTGACCTCAAGTGATCTGCCCGCCTTGGCCTCCCAAAATGCTGGGATTACAGGCATGAGGCGCCACGCCCAGCCTCCACTAGGTTTTGACCAGTGAGGATCCCTGGTGGGAGATGCGGGGGAAGAGGCGGGAGTGCCTCCCGCTGGCCGTGTCCCTCACACTAGGTCACTATGCCTTTCAGGGTGGCCTTTTCTACCTGAAATAGTCTTTCTGGGTTCTGGTCATCACTCTGTCTCCCCACTCCTGGGGTCTAGGAAGAATAACAGCCGTACTGCTCCTGTTCTTGGGCTACGCACTATTCCTTGTGAGTTCCTCACACTTTGCCTCCATCTTCGTAAATACTCTCTTTATTAAATCTCTCAAATTTTCCTAATTTGAATGTGTCATCACTTTCTTGCTGTGCCCCTGATATGCGAATATACCCTGCTTTCGAAAGTCATGGCTTCTTGTCTTCCTCAAATACCAGCAATTTTCATAGAGATTTTTTTCCCCCTAAAGCAAGCAATGCCACTAGTTGTGATGTTTCAAGTTTCCAGCCAGAGAAGCACCTTGGGTTTTTCCTCAAACTAGAAGCCAATACAACACAAATGGACTCCTTTGTGGGCGTTCCTCCCACGGGGAAACAGAGTTGCACCACCTCATCTTGGCACTTGTGGCTCTCTCTGGCTGTAAAATCCCTCACCACAAAATACCACACCTATAAATATTTGGAAAACGTAAATGAACATTGAGGGGCTTTGATGCTCTCCCTTCCCTCTGGCCTCCAACCACTCGAGTTGGTCCCACACACCACAGATGGGGAGCAGCCCACTGACATGGCACAAGCACTCACAGATCCACCGTGGGAGCAAATATTTACTCAGGTATCAAAAAAGCCCAGTAGGTCACAAGACAGTCTGAGGAGTCAGGCATGGGTTCTGGCTCAGTCTGTCTCAAAATATCTCCTGTTACACTTTATGTGCCTTTCAACGAGATAACGGGAGAACAGGAATGAAAACATCAACCTATAGAAGCAGCTCAAGAGAAATGCTTGTTTGGGCAGCTGTGTTTCATTGACAACCACTGGGCTAGACAGAGAAGACTTAAATTTAGGTCCTAACCTCACCACTTTCTCATTTCTGGATGACATGAAGCAGTTCATGTGTTAAGTCAGTTTGCTCATCTGGCTGGGAAATGGGGAGAGGAACACTTGCCCTGTCTATCTCAAGTGTCATTTGGGTGGACCAAAGAAAATAATCTATTTGTCAGTCTGCAAGCACTTACTATGGAAAGTCTGCTCTGGGTAGGGCTGGCCAGAAATGTAGAAGTGGGTGGAGGGCATGACAGAGAGAGAAAGCAAGAGAGAAGAAGGAAATGAAGGAAAGAGACTAAGTCCTGAATTAAACTGCAAATGTAAAGGATTTTTTTTTTTTTTTGACAAAGTTTTGGTCTTTCACCCAGGCTGGAATGAAGTGGTGTGATCTCGGCTCACTGCAACCTCCGCCTCCTGGGTTCAAGCGATTCTCTTGCCTCAGCCTCCCGAGTAGCTGGGATTACAGGCGTGTGCCACCATGCCTGGCTAATTTTTGTATTTTTAGTACAGACGGGGTTTTGCCGTGTTGGCTAGGCTGGTCTCAAACTCGTGACCTCAGGTGATCCACCCGCTTTGGCCTCCCGAAGTGCTGAGATTACAGGCGTGAGCCACCGTGCCCGGCAAAGGACTTTTAATGATACTTATCACCACCAACTCACCAACATACCACACCAACAGATCAAATATAATTACAAAAATAAATGAACACAGAGTCAGTGCTAAGTTTGTTCTTCCAGGTTTGGTACAGGGCAAAGCCCAAAAATGGTGAATAGGCAAGGGCGCACTGGAGTTTAGAGAGCATCAACTCACCTCTGAGAAACGGCAAATGTTCAGAACTGGGGTACAGCTTGGTCTGCCTGATGTTTCTCAGGGTTCCCATTATCCAACACTGAGAGAAAGAGTCAACTGATTTTTAAAATCTATTTCTCATTTTCAACATTCACGTGGATAAAAGACCCAATGTACTAAACTCCCCAACCATAAGTCATAGACAGAAAAAGTCTGACTTCACGAAAAACAAAAAGATCTCACGGTGTCACTCATAAGCAGAAAGATAAATTCTTTTCTACAATGTTATCAGACATGAAAAAAGGTGAAAATTACTAATTTAAAAAGAAAAGATGCAGACAGATCACCATAGAACCAAATACACTGTGTTCGAAGGTCATCTTTATTTCAGGGAATACTGAATACCTCACCTCACAGAGCTAGGAAACAAGATACAGCTCCACAAGTATGAGGGTCAGGTGATGTCTCAATACTGTTTCAAAAGTACATGACACAACGATTTCCTCTCTTCTCCTTCCCCACCCCACCCCCACCCCCTCCCTCCATCCCCCATGGCTGCCTGTATCTCCAAAAGATTCATCAGTTGAATATCATCCCTTTTCTCAATCCTCTTGGAAATGATTTTTTAAAATTCCCTTGCACATTATTTCCTTGCTCATATCTATGGAAAGCCAATATATCTATATATCGATTATCACATTTTCATATAATTCAGATAGTGACTTTTAAAATTTTAATGACTTAATCCTTGTTTAACATATAGATCAGATTTTTTACTATAACCTGTGATAGTTAATGTTTATGTTTCGACTTGGCTAGGCTATGGTGCCCAGTTATTTGGTCAGACACCAGTTTAGATGTTGTTGTAAAAGTATTTTTTTAGATGTGATTAACATTGAAATAGGCAGACTTTGAGTAAAGCAAATTACCTTCCATAATGTGAGGGGGCCTTCATCCAATCAGATAAAGGTCTTAATAGCAAAGTCTGAAGTTTCCTGAAGAAGAAGGAATTCTCCTGAAGACTGCAGCCCAGAAACCTGCCTGCATTTCCAGCCTGCAGCCCTGCAGAACTCACATTCACGACTGCAATGCTGACTCTTCCTTGAGTTTCCAGGCTGCCAGCTTGCCCTATAGACTTCAGACTTGCCAGCCCCCATAATCGCATGAGCCAATTCCTTAAAATTCTCTCAGTAGCTAGCTAGATAGCAAGATGGAGATCTAAATACAGATATCTCCTATTTGTTCTGTTTTTCTGAAAAACCCTAACATGTAACCAAATTACCCCTTTCTTCACACATCATTCTTCCAATCATGCTTTCTTTAAAATAAACAGCTAAATGTTTCTTCCTTTTAAGAAAGGTCTGTGTGCTACAGATTACCCTGCAAATGTTCTTTGTGACTATGTAGGAAAGATCAGGCACATCCATCACTGTCTTGGGGAACTGGTATTTGATCCCCTGCTGGACAGGTCTATAGCTGGAGGATGACCAAGGTGTTGGCAAAGGATTCTGGAAAGATTGATCCTAGGGAACATGAATGCAGTGCTGCAAATCTCAAGGGAGAGAGGTTATCTTTCAGCCCTAGTAACAAGTTTTGTTAACAAGAGTCAGTAGGTGGCATATGAGGAGAAAAGGCATTTTTCTCATGCTTTCTCAGATTTTCAAAATGTGGCTTGCAGCTCTCAAAACAGTTTGGCAGCTAAGAGAGGCTGAGGCTGAAGGAGGGGAGGGAAGAAGCTGATTTGCAGCTGGTGAGTCATATTGCACATACTATGAACCTATTTCTATTTAAGAAGAGGCTTTCTTAATTTTCTTTTTTGCAGAATGGTCTTGATTTTGGATCTTCTGTTCTATGATCAGATTATGTGTCAGAAGATGTTTCCAGGTTTTTGTTTGGGAAACCACAGCTATCTCATTGTTTTGCTTCTGTGATTACCTTCCTGTCCCCATGGCTTCCTTCATAGTATTCATCCCAGTTCACTCAGCTAGCTTCTTACCCTCTTCTTTGCCTTTCCAAATTATGACCTTTCCTTTAGTGACTTTCATAAGCCCCTTGAGGAGTGCCTTCATAAGCCCCTTCTGTCATTAAAACATTTTTTAAAAATTTATTTTATAACTTTGTTGGTATAAAGACAAATCCACTTGAAAGTATAATAATTTTTTCTTCTGACTATAAAAGAAAATATTCTCATGGGCTCCTTAAAGTATCATGGGCCCTGGGCACTCTGTCTCCTGTGTCTGACAGAGAATAAGCCATTCCTGCTGCCTGCTCCATAAAGGCGCCCGAAACAGATATCTCTCCTCTTATTTCCTCACTTGTATAATTCTTGTCTCGCAGGGTTGCCCTATGTAAAGTGAAATAGCGCAGAGTGCTTAACACCTGGTCCAACAGCAAATAGCCTGTAGTTAGTACCCATTTTATACTTAAACTGACATTGGGCATTGACTAGCTTGACTTAAATATTACACTGCTATCTACCTTTTTACTTATGTCTAACTCTTTAGTTAAACTGTAAACTCCTAGACGGCTGACAGTATGTTTTAAACCAGTGGTTCTCAAGCTTTGGAGGGCATCAGGAGTTGCTGAAGCTCAGCTGGCTGGGCCTCACCCCCAGAGTTCCTGATTCCGGAGGTCTGAGTCGGAGCCGATAATTTGCATTTCTAACAAGTACTCAGGTGATACTGATGCTGCTGTTCTTAGGACCCCACTTAGAGAACCACAGTTTTAGACAACTCTTTATTCTCCCAAAATCTAGCACAGAGGGAGACTTACACATTCACAGTAAATTATTTATGCAAAAGATAATACACATGCCGGAGGGAAAATCTGCCCCATCCCCATTGTGAGAAAAGTTTCAGTACTACAAAAGCTGAGCAGAAAGGGATGAGCAAAGAAATCTTGTTGAAAGAAAAGGTGCTGGTGGCACAATTGAACACTGACTGTCATCTGTTGGATCTCGGGGCATGTGCAAAATGCACACAAGAAGCCAAACAATAGCTCAGCCAACTCATGGCTGCCTGAGTTCTGAGCTCAATCTATAACAATGCCAGCAGGGCTGCTGGGATCCATCTGCTACTCTCTTTCTGATAACGGATCTGGGGTCTCTCTGGAAGAAAATAGCTTGACAGGAAGAAAGAAGGATTAGGCCAGCTGACAATGTCTGGATTTATGAAGCTGCCCTGGAATATGGTAGAGCTTTTAACCCCTTCTGCACTTGGCTAATCCTCAACATACCCCAGCTATTCTTTCCATTGTCCTTGTTCCTTTCATCAAGAAATGTAATTTGTGAATGCCAAAGCTCCCCTGGACACATTCTGTTTCCACACAAATTAAGTTCCCAGAATTTAATACTGCAGGAAGCCTTGAGATCTTTCAGCCCAACTCACTAATTTTACGCATGAGAAAACCTAAGCCTGGGATTAATCCTAAAATGTATAATCAGTCATGGTAGAGGCAGGCTGGAATCCAGATTCCTTGACTCACTGTGGGTATGTGATGTGTATAGTCCTTTACACTCCCAAGCTGAGTAGCAAAAATATATCTTTTCTCGCTTTTTTTTTTTTTTGAGACGGAGTCTGGCTCTGTCACTCAGGCTGGAGTGCAGTCACACGATCTCGGCTCACTGCAACCTCCACCTCCCAGGTTCAAGCAATTCTCCTGTCTCAGCCTCCCAAGTAGCTGGGATTACAGGTGCTGCCACCACCCCAGCTAAGTTTTGAATTTTTAGTAGAGACGGGGTTTCACCATGTTAGCCAGGGTGGTTTCAAACTCCTGACCTCAAGTGATCCACTCACCTTGGGCTCCCAAGGTGTTGGGATTACAGGTATGAACCACCGCACCTGGCCGATATCTTTTCTCTATTACATTTTAAGGAGAAAACATGACTTTCCCCGTTACTTAAGTTACTTTTCACAATTTGTTCTTTTGTCCCTGGAAGCAGGTGGGCTTCATAAACACAAATGAAGAGAAATGAAGAATGCTAAACAGTTTCAGCAGAGACTGGAAGCTTGAGGGCAGTGATGACATCCTATTCCCTGATATATGCCCATTGGCTACCCAGAACCACGGCACAGAGCAAGCTCTCAAAAACCACATGGTGAATGAATGAATGAATGAATCACTGATTTAATGACAGTTTGCCAATTTCTCTGCCAATTAGGGAATGAATGTGTTACACTGAGATTTGGAGACTGCTGTGGAGCCTGTCTCTTATCTAACTATAAGTTAGGTGCTTACATAAAACCAGAAAATGCCTTGTATTTGAAAATATGAAAATGCCTCTGTATGCTAAGCGGTGTGTCAACTGAGAAAGTACAGGCTTTGGAGGTGGCAAGCTTCGAATCCCAGGTGTTCACTCTGGTTACTTAATTCTAGGCAAATTATAGAAAATTTCTGAGCCTTGAATCCCCCTACTCAACCCTACTCCTTCCATTCCCCCCACTGGCATGTTAGGATTAAATGAGATAATGTATGCAAACTGCCTTGCACATAGTAGGTGCTGATTAAATGTTAGTGTCACTTCCTTGTATTCCCAACTGCCTGTTGAAGAGTCATGTAGGTATTCAAGTAGGTGGGGTGGCAGTTGGGGGGTAGGTATAAGACTGAATGAAAATTGAAGGGGCTTTTTGGCTGAAAATGTACATAAATTATCATTATGGTTATAGTTATCTAGTAGCTGCTTTTACTGATGGTGTGCCTTGCATTCAATATAAGCAAAGCTGCTATCATCCAGGTATTCCTCATATTCCATAACCTCTAACCATTTCCCAGGTTTCTAAATAAATTGCTTTTCAGGAAAAAAAATAAATCTAGCTTTTTGCTTACCCATTTGGTCTTGATATCCTGGTTCCGAGCTCAAGGAACTCTGTCTCCTCCTCCATTTCCGTGTCAGGGATCATGTTTTTCTGAACAGGCTGTGGTGAAAGCATTTCCCATTCATTGTCATGGGTGACAGCCTGCAACGTAACTGCATCCGGGCCAGCCCTGCCTCGGCTCTTACTCTTCTGTGATTGGCTGACTGGACCAGAGGCTTCCTCTAGTGCCAAAGATTCTAGAGGCTTCATTTCTTCCAGAATCTGCAGCTGGGGACCCTCACCCAAGCCGAGTTCAGAGAACGGCTCCACAGTCTTGCCAGACCACCCAGGCCCTGAGTCCCTGGCATCCAGTGATGGATCACCAACCTCACTATGGCCCAAGAACATCCAACTCTGGTCTTGTGCAGGGCTTTCAAAAGATGATCTCGTATCGCTTTTAGAAGACATTTTCTCTGCAGAGAGACCTTTTCTTTCATTTAAGGAGGCTGGCTGACATGTGTCTGGGAAGCTTGCTAACTGAGTTCCCTGCAGCCCTGTTTCTTTGGAACCTACATACAATTCTAATTCAGCTATGCTTTCTCTTTCTTCACAGGTCTCTGGCTTTGAGTGTGAATTTTCTTCACGGTTTACAAGTATGTAATCCATGTGTAGTGCATGACGATCTTCATTCTTCTCTGTACATCTTTCTTCCTTGTATTCTGATTTTATCTGCTCAGGCTCTTTGGTAGGAATTGTTTTTTCTTCTTCCAATTCTGATATTTCCTTGCTGGCACCTAGAAGTGGAAGTTGAAAGTGAGAAGAGGAGAAAAAGGTTTAATTAACACATTGTGTGATTTGTGATCCTTGCAAATGATCATCTAAAAGAGGTAATTTAATATTTTTTATATATTTTATTTATTTATTCATTCATTCATTTGAGACAGAGTCCCGCTCTGTCACCCAGGATAGAGTGCAATGGTGTGATCTCGGCTCACTGCAACCTCCACCTCCTGGTTTCAAGCTATTCTTCTGCCTCAGCCTCCCGAGTAGCTGGGACTACAGGCACCTGCCCCCACGCCCAGCTAATTTTTGTATTTTTAGTAGACATGGGGTTTCACCATGCTGCCCAGGCTGGTCTCGAACACCTGACATCAGGTGATCCCCCCTCCTTGGCCTCCCAAAGTGCTGAGATTACAGGCGTGAGCCACCGCGCCCAGCTAGAAAATATTTTTATTTTGTAGAGTCATTCGATTTTCTCGTGCACTATCAGGAATAGGTATTACATATGCACTAGATTTTACTGCTGTTATAATACAGGACTTAGTGAGGCATGCCTTGAAAATGTAGTTAGTTTTCTCTCTACCCTCATTGGTAGGAAGAGTGTGTCTTACAAATATGCACTAGTTTAATCAACGCAGCAGTTTCTTGGAAGTGGAAGAATGGAATGTTTCTTACCATTTGGTGGTCCTATGTCTCCACCTGCTGGTAAATCAGAATTATCTGTTTCTACTTCCCAGTCAACGTTTGATGGAGACAAAATGTTGGAGCCTGCTCCTACCGGCAAATAAACGGACTCAGGGTCTTCACGAATATGCAGCACAGCCAGCTGGGATCCAGGCAGTCTGTTTTTGGTCTCAGCCTGGTTTCCCTCACTTCTTCGATCAGGAAGTGCAGAAAGCACTATCTCTGCTGCTCTGCATCCCAGAGATTCATCCTCTGGAGACCCAGCTTCCTCTATTGTTTCAGCACTCTGGGCAGGTTCTGTGAGATAAGACAAATCAAAGGGAGGTGTGTACGGTGCCAGCGACTGCTTCAGAGAATCTTCCTCCAAAGGAGGGTCACCACCATACAGGAAGTGTTCAGGCTCTCTCAGTAAATCTTCATCGATATTCTGGCCCATTACATCATATTCAAAATCACCCCACGAGGCTTCAGATGAGCAGATATCTTGCTTCCCTAGGTCCCCATCAACTGGCGTTTCCGGATGGCCTTCGGATAATGTCAGTTTACTCATGTCATCTATTGTTCCCGTGGATGTGTTGAGACCTGAGGCATCGCTGAAACTGTGGTCAAAGGCAGCTTCGCTTATATCCAGACAAGTGTCTGAGGCTAGCAAAGCATCAGGAACCAAGGCAGGATTCTCTGTGGATAAATGTGGATCACCATCAAACAAAGCTCTTGCACCAGGCTGACTTTCAGGAGAAAAGCTGTCTGATATCCAAGAACCGTCACCTTCTGGAGTTGGCTCTTGGTGAGTTACAAAAATGCTAGTTGCCACATTTTCAATCCTTGGGATTCTTCTGTCAACTGGTTCCAAAATTGGTGCCATATCTGGGCTGGCTCCTTTTTCTGATACTTGTAAACCTGTACTGTTGTCACCGTTTATTTCAGAAGGTTCAGGTGAACCTTTATGAGAGGCGGGCTGAGAGGAGCCCTTTATGTCTGCTTGATAGCCAATTGGAGGCAGCACAGTTGCGTTTTCAGAATCGAGTTCTGCATTGGATGGGACAAACTCCCGTCCAGGCTCATAAATGGGTTCTTCATCTATCTCTGGCTCAGTGAGACAAAGCTCACTGGATTCCACTTCAGGTCCCATGCAAGCACTGAGGTGCTTCTCAGTCTCTTGCTTTGCTTCAGAATCGTGACATATATCAGGGCTGTCGGAAGCCTGAGAATTGCTGTCATGTTCGCAGTGCGTCAGGATATCAGGATTCTCACCATCTGCTTTCAAACTGAAGGGCTTCTTAGCATCTATCCACAAGTCAGGCGCGGCAGAGGCCAGCTGCCCACCCTCTTGAAAGTTGCCATGTAAAATATCTGGCACAAAGGTACCTCGGGAGTCCTCACTTGGGGTAGAGCCATCCCATTCAGAGCCTGGCTTCATTATCAGTTGGGTGGGAGAACTGACAGCAGGAAAATTTTCTGTGGCAATGCTTGAATTTGTCATCTCACCTAGGTATGATTTTTCTTGTTCCCACTGATTTGTTTCTTGACCTTCATTAGTTGAAACATTAGATGTAACACAACTATTTTCCTCTGCGTGAGTAAAGGCTGTGTCCGGATGATCACAGACTGGCAGCATGGTGTCCTGACACTGCTCTTGGGTAGGTGTTTCAGGAGTCAGCTCATCACCAGCAGCAGACACAAAGGTTTGCTCTCTTGAGTCCTTTTCTTTAATTTGGTCTAATTTTACAAGCTGGCTGAACTTGTCAGCATCTGGGTCTGGCTGCCTTGGTTGAATGTTCCAGAGTTGCTCATGGGAGTTCTTCCCATTACCTTCCAGAAAGGGTGACTGATGGTTGTCACTAAAAGGATTAGTATAGTGTGTTTCCACGGGCTCAATATCACCCTGAACTGGTACTCCCCAGGGACTGGCATTTTGGTGTACTGAAGAATTTATCTCCAACACACCACTGGAGTCAGACAGCTCCCTTTCAAATGGACTTTCAATTAGTCTCCCTTCCTGGGGTGAGGCCTTCCACCACTCAGTGCTATCAGCTGAGAAGCCCAGCATTTCCAGTTGAGAATTATCTTCGTTCTTTGGGAACGAAGCTTTGGGAGATATTTGCCATGCAACATCTCCTGTTGTCCCTGTTTCTGGAGAAGATCTCTTCTCCTTCTCCACTGCTGTAATCTGCATTTCAGTCTCCGTTAATGGTGAGAAAGTCCAGGGATCAGGGCTGCTTTGTTGATTGTCACAGAATGGGTTTGACTTATTCTCATTCTCTGCTGGCTCTGAGCTGTCTAGGTAGTCATAAATATTTTCAGACTTAGGATCAGCTGTGACCAAGAACTTATTAGATTCATTCAATGAATCCCAAGCTCTGGATTCATCCTCAGCAACGTGGCAGTTGGCCACCTGGATCTCTTCCTCTATTGACTCTTCACCACCGACACTGTCATCATCAGAACCTGAGCTTGTTGAAATGACCCTGGCATCCTCTGGCTGCACAGTTGCAGAAATGTCATGTTCATTTTTCTCCTGGTAGCTAGCAATTAGATTGCTTTCCTGATGTGTCCCTGAATGTTCAGAATATTTGCCTGTTTCAGGACTGGATAAAGAGGAAAAGGAATCACCATCAACTGAGTCATTCCAGATCTCTAAAAATGTAGGAGTTTTGCGATCAAAGCTCTTTTCAAACTCATTTATTCTGTTTTTCTCTAAATCCTTCACTTTGGTAACTATTTCTACTTGGCCATCAGTGGTAATTAGTTCAGATTCTTGGTGATTCTGTTCACTCCAGTTGCCTTGGTTTTCTTCTTGATACCCAGAACTGGGTTGCTGGCCCCAGGAGGACAGTGCAACTGAAGAGTCATTTAACTCAGGACTTGATGCACTTGAATGAGTATACTCACTAGAAATAGTATCTCTGTCAAAATTTCCAGACGAACCGGCTCCTGGAAGGCTATTTTCAGACCCCTTAACGTCAAGATTTTTGGTTATCTCAGAACATGTGCTGCTGACATGCACATCACTGTCTATAGGGACGTCCCCAAAATCAAGACTTCGGGGAACTCTGTGAGGTGGCCCTCCACCCACGTTCTCTGGCTCTAGAAAGTTACATTCTTCAGTTTTCTCAAGATCCTTTTCAGGTACAGATACATATTTTGTGAAATTCATCCCATCTGAAGTCTCAGTAGTTTCACCTGAATTTCTTTGACTCATGAGGTGTTTTTCATGGGTATCTTTTGGCTGCAGGTTATCTGCGGACATCCCTGTTTGCACATCACGGGAGTCTAGATTGTAAGACCCCTCCTCATACTCTAAAACTTCCTCTGGTTCCTCGGTTTGAGGACTGAAAGTGACAGCAAGAGAGCTGATTTTGCCTGATTTAATGCAGATTTCCTGATGTTCAGATGCAACCAGAGAAGACAGTTCCTGGTCACTCTGCCCTTTTTCAGAAATCCCTGAGGCATTCTCCACACCAGAGGCGATCACCTCCTCTTCATCAAGGTGCCCCCTGTCAGTGGCTCCCTGGGCTTCCTTCTCACTTTCACTTTGTCCATCGCCATGACCTTTCCATGGATCTGGGTGTGGAAAATACCCTGGATTCTCAAGCCTAGTCGCCAAGGATGCTGCATCACTTTGCAGGGTTTCCCTCTCTGTGTCCTGCTTGTCAAGATGAGATATAAGTGCCTCTGATTCACTGGTTCCAGAGGCTGCTGGCGCATCTGGGGAATGAGTGTCTTTAACATTTGCTGAATGGCTGGGGATTTCAGGAGGCAATTCCCTTTGCTCTGAATCTGTGATATGTGAGGAGCCTGGTAACATGAATGATGACATGTCTTTATCTCTCATGACAGAATCCCAAATACTGTTTGCAATTAGCTGCCCACTTTTCTCATTCAATGTGTGATGTTCACTGGGAGCACTGTCCTTGGTATGCTCATCAGAGGCAGGGAGCTCCCAATCTACCTGATTTGCTTCCTGATACTCCAAGCCCCAGGGTTCCAGCTGTCTCACTGTAAATCGGGTTTCCGGCTCGGAACCTTCAGCCATGTATCCTTCTGTTTGACCATCACTGGGGATTGCCGCACCCCCACTGCAGTCATCCCAGTCCAAATCATTGTCCATATCTGAGATCGTTGCAGTGGACTGAGTATCCTCCAAAATCACTCTGTTCCACAAGTCGAGACTGTCAGGGGCCGTCTGCCGGGAGTTGGTGCTGCTGTGCAAAAGTGTGAGTTGTCGGTTTGTTTCATTGTACAGTTGCATCATGCTGGGGTCGTCGTAACTGGACTGGCTGCTTTCCCCGACGTCATCCTCCATGGAGATATTCTTACCATCTGTGTGCTCTGTCTTGAGTTCATTTTCATCCAGGTTGTGAGTGGTATTTATTTCAGAACTGTTATCTGTATGAGGTGAAGCCCACATGTCTAGGTTCCCAGGACCTGAACTGATTCGATTTCGAGATGACTGTTGCAGTGACTGAGGAGGAATGTCAGTCTCCTCTGCCGTGGAGTTACCATCTTTTGACTCAAAACCTTCCTCTTTAGCAAATGGCTTGTGTTCAGTTTCCTTTTCGTCTCCAGCAAATGTTGGTGATGTGTAAGAGTCTGAGGTGGAATAATTGGTATCTAAGGGGGAAGGCACCGAATCTTCTCCTAGGTTGGATGCACTGTAATCAGAACATTTGTAAGATAAGAAGGAATCTTCCCAAGGAACTAGGACATCTGACCCTCCTTTCTTCATATTCTCCTCAAAAAGGTTCCAGGAATCTACCTTTTCATATACCTTGCCCCTAGTTTTAGGATCCACTAAACCATTCTGATCTTCTTTTGGTGGCTTAGAATTAGTCCATGTGTGATCCAGATCAGAACTGGGATTTCCAGGTGCAAAGATGTGATCCCTGGAGTCATTGTTTTTCTTGCCCCAGATTTCTGGAGCTGCTTCATTGTTTATCTCACTGGGTGAATTGTCCAGTAGTTCTGAAGAAGAAAAGGCAAACCCACTTTTTGCCATGGCCCACTCATTCGGGTCCCTAACAGAAGGTGTCTTGCTGCTTGTTGGGTGCAAATTCCAGGTATTTTTTAAAGCTTCATCATGATCTTCTTTACCAAATGCACTCCAGGCTGGGAATGGCGCCACAGCTGCTGGTTCACCATCATCTGTAGGATTTCCCCAGGGCTCGGGCATGGCTGTGGGAGAGCGACCAGAATGCCACAAAGAAGCAAAGTCTTCTATCAGGTGGTTTGTTCCTTGGGGAGATGTATTTGGCAAAGGTGACTTCTCCATGGGCAGGTTCTGGAACGGCAAGCTTTCCTCATTTTTGTCTTGAATATCATTGCTACCCAGTTCAGGCTGACCAAATTCAGACTCCCAGGGACCTGACTTTGTAAATTCGAGGCTCTTTGGTTGAAATACAGAATCTGAGGCTCTCCTATCAATGGAGCTTGGCTTATGCTCTTTCCATGATTCAGGGCTCTGGAAAACAGATTCCTGTTCACTGGAACTCCACGCATCTGCAATATTTTTGGAGTCAATTTCCAAACCACCCCACCAGCTGCTGCACCGTGCATGGGTCTGAGGTGGCCCCATGTGACCTGTGTCAGTTGCTTTTTGGGTCATATCTTCTGTATAGAGTGAGGCTGGTTCTTCAGTGGATGGCGAGCTTTCTACTAAACTATTCATGGGTGTTGGTGGGATCCTCTTTCCAGTATTTTTTAGCCTTTCTGGGGAAGGGGATTCATCTCCCACAAAATCTGTCAGGCTCAAATTTCTTTCAGAGTTATCTCTGGGACTGTCTTGTCTCTGGACAAACTCCTCATCATGTTCCACAAGGCTATCTTTGCCAGCCCCTGACAAAAGTGAACTGGATGAATAATTAGACATGTTGGTTCCCATGCCATCAAGTCCTTCAGGCCCAGCGGGGAGCTGTCCTTCTGACAGGTCACTGTTGGGGAAGAAGTCATCTGCTGGGGAGTAGTCTGCAGAATGAGAAGATTGCTGGGACTGCCCAGAAGCCATGGGTGCTGGGTCAAAATTGAAGAGGTCGAAGTGCTCACCGTGTTCTCCAGACCATGCATGTTCCTCCGCCACCGCCCCTTCAGGGATGGGGCTGTAGGAGTCAAGCCCTGGGAGAAGGGTGTGGTGAGGCCCAGCACCTTCTCCCACGGGGCTGTCGTCACTGAGGAAAACAGAGCTCTCCTTGGATGAGCGGCTGCTCCTAATGGTAGCCAGTCCGCTGTCTGGGCTAACAAGGTCTACATTGGCATCCACCTGAGCCTGGTTAGAATCATTGAGATCTGGAGGGTTCTCTATGAAATTCACAGAGCTGGGTTGTGGCTCTATGTCAGAACCATACAATTCCATAATCCCAGAAGACCCCTGGGAGAGGGGGGCACTGCCTGCCACGGCTTCTGTTGAGGATGTCCGGCTATTGGAGACCATCTCTGGACACCTCCTGTTGATGACTTCCTTGACAACGAGAACCACCTGATCACAAGTCACTGAAGGGTCCTCTTGTTGGTACACCAGGATCTCATCACAGCCACAGTCAAAGGGCTCCAGTTCTAGGCAAGGGTTCTGACACTCTTCCAGCTCACAGCAAATCTGTCGGAAGGCACAGGAATTTGTGTCAGCACTCAAGCACTGTTGCACTTTGCAATTGCACTTTGCAATTTATCTCGCTTAATTTTTAAATATAAAATTAATCTGTGTTCATCTGTCTGAAAAAGAAGATCTCAAACTTAGAAAGTTCTGATTACTGTACCACCAACCCTTTCTCCAATTCTATCCAACTGTCTCTCTGTTTAATTCAAAATCCAGGTGCTCGATTTTGAAGGCTCCTGAACGTTTGGGTAAAGGAGTTTAAACCACCTATTCTTTCCTAACTGTAATATAATACCATCTTCCAATAGCAATGTAATTCGAGTTGCAAAAAAGCAGAGATAATGCATGTTGCTGACAACTATAGGAAAAGTGTTGGAATAAGGGGACAATATCAGGAGACAGGCTGTTGTTTGGGAGGGGGCAGCCAGGGCTGCTTGAACCTCTGATAGCTTCAGAATGCAAAAGAGAGAGTAGGAAAGACAAAGATGCTCCCGCAGTCTGATCTTTCCGAACAGCACTCAGGACCCCTCAGTCCCTTTCACCCCAGGTAACGGAGGCATGGAGCCCAAAACAGGCAAAGCTAACCTGGGAGGCAAGGGGACACTGACGGATGGTCAGTGTGAGGCCAGAACTGGGTTACGGCTTTCTGATTTTTAAGGAATGTCAGGAGTATTTTGTTGTGCTGGGCCTTTGAAATGGCCCCACGGGATTAGTAGAGATAAAATTAATAATAATAATAACAACCACCACTACCACCATGGAGCTCACATAGATACTACTACTACTACTAATTAACATTTATTGAGTGCTTTCATGTGCCAGGCATGGTTCTAAGGGTTTTATGATCATTATCTCTTTTAATCACCACAGTAATTCCACAAGGTAGGAACTCTTTTTATTCCTATTTTACCCATGAAGAAATGAAGATACAGGAAGATTAAATAACTTGTCCAGCAACACACAGCTAACAAGTGCTGGAGCCTGAGTTCTGTACCCAGGCAACCTAGCTGCAAAGGCTGACTCGGCCAGTGGTGTGACCACACAGGCCAAGAGGAACTCGCTAGGCCAGAGCCAGGACTCTGTTGCTTAAGATTCCAGCGATCCACCTCTGGCTATTGCTAGGATGGGGAGGGTGGGTGGGGAGAAGAGAGGAGGACTGGGGTCAACTCAAGAGCTTTTAACTCCTTCATCTGCTCTTCTACTTTTGTCTGTTTCCAATGAACCAATTTTCACATTGGTTTGAAAAAGGGGTCTACTGCTAAAAGTGATGTGAAAGCCGCCATGTTGTAGGCTTCCAAGGCCTAAATCCCGTCCCTGGGAAGCCAGTGACCAAAGATGAAATTTAGCTTTGAAACCAAATGCAGAGGAAAGTGATGAAAAAACCACAGGCTGGTGATGCAGGTCAGAGGAGGAGATGCTCTTTCACATTCGGACTTGAGAGAGCCCGAGAGTACCCATAGGCATGGGTCAAGAGAGCTACAGTGGAGCTCTTGGGGGACAGAAAGGAGGATGTAGAAAAGAAAGGGGCAGAGACTGTGCCTCTAGCCACCCATGGATACATAAGGCATTGAATCCATTAGTGAAGAGAAATAAGTAATGAAGCATCTGGGGCCCCGTGTGGCTCCTATTATAATGAATCATGTATGTTCTCATATTAGTTATTAAGTACACCTGGCTTGGTATATCCGATGGCCTATTTTGATTAATTTATCTAATTCTTTTTTTTTTTTATTTCCTAGGCCTTGGGTTAAAAGACTCAGCTATCAACCTGGAGGATAACTGATTACCTAGTCAGAGTTCTGGTACCTGGAGACAAACTAACTTTGATTAAAGCATCAGATCACCAGGTCTTAAACACTGGGCACCAAACCGGTCCTGGGACAGGGGCTAAACCTTGTCAGTTATGATCAGGGAGCAGTCCTAGAAGAAAATAGCACCCAAAGGAGAACTTGCTCTTTTGGGAATGAGAAAGAGCTAATGTTTTGCACTATGGATTCAGTCAAGAAGAGAAATGCTTTTGGGGCTTTCTTAAAAGGCCAAATGTAAAAAGTACCCCCATCATTTCCTAAAACTCAAACCTCTAGGACTCTACCTCTTGGGCTAATTGCTCATGAGCCACCAATCTGTTCTGTCTTGCACTGTGTGTTCTGAGAGCCAGCAGGTTAGGACAGAGGGAACATGACGGGGTCAGAGGAGGGGCTCACCTGACTGCACAGCTCCATGTTTTCTGAGTACACAGCAATCTGTCGTCTCGGCTGCTGCTCCTCTGACAGATAGCTGGAGAACAGGATGAGGACATCAAAACCAAACTTGTCTGTAAATGCTTTCAAGTCACTGGTAATATTGCTGTGAAATAGACAATTCTGAAACGACAACAGGAAATTTGATATTAATGTCAAACTGCCCAGCTGCGGGGAGTTGTTCCACAAATTTGTCCAGTCTTATGATGTATTTAGGAGAGATATTTATTATTTAAGGCAAGTGAAATACAGTTTGCTTTGAGAAGGAGTGGAAACTTTCATGCTATGGCTTAAAATACACTTTGCTTGTTTGTTTTCCCAAACCATGTAAGAAAGGAGTTTTTGCCATTATTAATAATAGTTTAGACAAAGAACAGATATCCTAAACATTTTTTTCTAAAATATTTATTCAGATGCTTAATTTGCAAATCCTATTTTCCCTCTTGTCGCTTATAGGATCTATATACGAATGTCTGCTATTGTTACAATTTATCACAATAAGAATAGGAGGAAGTTATTTCTTCCTGTATTTTTTTTCTAATGATTATTATTAACTCCAAGGAGAAATTCCTACGAATCAACATAGCTGAGTTTACTGGGTGATCTTTATTCCAGTGTAGAATTCTGGGAGATTTTTAAAAGAGCTGTGATGTCAGATTTGCTTGTTCTATGTGGCAGCTGTGGAGGAATGAATAATTGCAGAAAGGGATCCCAATACCTCAGATTACCCAGATGTGGCTCATATCATTTGCAAAAATGTTCTGGCTGCTTCAAGTTTTATTTACTGTATGTATGTACTTATTTATTTATTTTTGAGACAGGGTCTCACACTGTCACCCAGGCTGGAGTGCTGTGGCGTTATCTCGGCTCACTGCAACCTATGCCTCCTGGGCTCAAGCAATCCTCCCAGTTCAGCCTCCCAAGTAGCTGGGGCTACAGGTGTGTATCACCATGCCCAGCTAATTTATTGTATTTTTTTGTAGGCGTCAGGTTCTGCCATTTTGCCCAGGCTGGTCTCGAACTCCTGGGCTCAACTGATCCACCCACTTCATCCTTGCAAAGTGCTGGGCTTACAGGCGTAAGACCGCACCCGGTCCGGTCTTTGAGTTTTATTAACTACAATGAGAGCCACTTTCTCTGTGTGGGTGTCTCTCTTCCTTAAAGAAGTACAGTGAAGAACATATGCTAGCCCCTAACATAATGCCTGGCATATACTAGTTGTTCAAGAAATGTTTGTCGGATGACTGGAGAGACAGGTACACAAAATCAACCTGTGCTCCATCATCCATAATCTTCTATCATAGTCCACATATATATCTATCCTAGCACATATATGATCATACCACATAATTCATCAACTGACAGTCTATTGTGTCACTCAACAAAAAACACCATGATGTGCACTCAAGGGATTTAAAAGATTCTGTTCATTTTTTCTGATTATAATAGCAATCAGAATTATGCCTGTCATGGGTAAGATACTAAAACAACACAGAAATGTGTACCACAGAAAGTGGAAGTGCCACACACATCTCCTAGGACAGCCACTGTGAAGATGTGAACGATGCCGTGCAGAGAGTTGCAGATTTCCCCATACCCACATTAATGTCTATGTGGTCATTCTTTGAAACTCGTGGATTGGGTATTTGTGGCTTAGACTATTTACCAGCCACTTCAAAAAGCCATCATACCCGTACTCTGTAATTCTGCTGAGTTGAATCTCAAGGTCTGTGAGGCTCTGAAGAGGGCACACAAGACCCTGGGTAGGTAGGCAGGCAGGCCCCGCCCATCACGGGCTTCCATGTTTCGAGGAGGCTTTGCTGTCTACTCCAAGGCAGCCACTCTCATCTGGCATCTTACTGGGCCACTTTCCCTTTTTTGGTTGCAAGGAATTGCACATACGAATCCACAAAGGTCTCAGGATCTATTCTCATGCTGATGAACATCAAGGATCTATTGTAATGACATTTATGATCATATAAGTCATATGCGTTTGGAACATATGCTTTTGGAAGTGTGTGTTCCAAAGTGTGTACTGTCAGCTTTCATGCTTTTTATTTATTTTCCAAATGGCCTAATAACAATCTTTAAGTAGATGTTTAAAAAATTAATTCATCCACAATAGAAAGACATTAAATATTTAAAAGGAGATTTTTTAAATAATCAAAACTCATATACAATGTGTGTTCAACAGATAAAATTATTTCAAACCATCATTGAGGGTGAATCAAGAACCTCATTGCTAAACTTGTAGCAACTATGAACTGTAAAAAAAGATATAGCCCTGAAAAAAATAAAAAGAGACTACAACTAACTACAACTTATTTCCAGTAACTGAAGGCTTCAGCACAATAAGCCTTACAGTTTTCCTTTCTAAGTATTTTTCGTTATGTATATAAAGGCCTCCAAATACATTTATAAACCCTTGAAAGAAGACACACATTTCTAAGAGATTTTTACATATAACAAAATTCTCACTACACTCCTGGCCGGGTCACTGAAACAAGAGGGGGCAGGTTTTATTTGTATCTGAGCATAAGATTAAGAATCAGTAGAATCAACACTGTTCAAAGCCACACTTGTGGAAAGTTTCCTATTCAAAAATGCCGGCTGATCTCCAAACTGTTTTAATTCTTCTGTGTTAAACTGATGGCTCTAGGACCTCGATGGACTCAAGTCCAAAAGCATTGGCAACACCAGGCATCTTGTTGGAAATGCAGAGTCTCCGGCAAAACACTAGACCTATTGAAGCAGGATCTGCATTTTCCAACAATCCTAGGAATTGGAATGCACGTTGAAATCTGAAAAGCACTACTCCAGAGAGGGATTTATTAGTTGATATATTTTCCTACAAACCAGTCCTTTGGACTCTCTCAGCACTGTCACAGGACTTGTACTGACTCACACTGCCAGCTCTTTGTTCCTATGGCAACCTCATCATAAAAGTCCCCTTAGGGTGTGCGTTTCTGGGCCGATTTGCTACAGGTTCTCATTTAGCAGGTTGGGCACTGGATCAAGACTATATTTTCTTTTTCTTTATTTTTTTTTCAGAATGGTATAGGTATGTTTATTTTTAATTTAATTTAATTTTTAAAATTTTGTTTTAAGTCCTGGGATACATGTGCAGAATGCGCAGGTTTGTTACATAGGTATATGTGTGCCATGGTGGTTTGCTGCACCTATTGACCCATCATCTAGATTCCCTCCCCTCGCCCCCCAACCCCCCAACAGGCCCCAGTGTGTGCTGTTCCCCTCCCTGTGTCCATGTGTTCTCATTGTTCAACTCCCACTTATGAGTGAGAATATGCAGTGTTTGGTTTTCTGTTCCCATGTTAGTTTGTTGAGGATGGTGGCTTCCAGCTTCATCCATGTCCCTGCAAAGGACATGACCTCATCCTTTTTTATGGCTGCAGAGACTGTATTTTCATCATGTCCCTCAAGTGCTCTAGCTCAGTTTTCCCCTGGGTGACCCCAAATTCCACAGGACCAAATGAAGCACTGATAAATCAAAAAACTATTTGAATCACCTAGGCAAGTTAGAGAAACAAAATACATTTTACAATAACCCTAAAACAGATTCTCATCAGCTCTCCAAGCCAGATTCGATCTTACTGGCCTTGGGATAATGTCAAGAGTTTCATGTTTAAAACAGAATTAAACAAGGGAATGAGTGAGAATCTTCAGGATTCCAGGAGGCAGAGCGTGTTTGTTCTGCTTTTATGCCGGTGCTGTTTGCATAGGGGATAATTTATTATTGTCTTCTAGCTACGCAGGGAGTCATGTGCTGCGGTGGCTCTTATGTTGCTGACAAGCTAGGCTGGCCCTGAATAAACAGCACTTCATCATCAACACAACCCAACTGTAGATACAGGTTGGCATTTTATTCCCCCCATCTGCCTTCTACCTGATAAATTACTGTTTTAGTTACATGTATACAAATACTATTTGTTAATCTGCTCAAATGTCTCCAAAATGTTCCCCCCACTTAAATTAAAATTATATACGTGCATACATATATATCTCCCATTCAATTTACTAAGGATTTAGACAATAAAAGCACTTCCTGTTGAACTTACCACCCCCCCCACCAGCCACACACACCTTCTGCATTTGTGACCCCAGCCTATAACTGCTGCATGGAATTTAGGAAGTTACTTTATGAATCATTGCAACTGGGAATTGGCTGGCAAAATCTCATACTAATGCCAGCAGTTAGGGAGAATGGCAATTGCTCCCTGTCACAGCCCTTTGTCACTCGTGATTCCGAAGGGTCGATGACTAAACATTTTTAGAGGTCACGTGTCTTGTTGTCTGAGTAATTTCTAGTTTGGGAATGAGTGGGAAAGCCTGGAAACGTGGGGAGAAAAAGCCTTTGTTATTTCCTGGTCAAAAAAGCTAAGGTGTAGGTCCCAAGAATCCTAAAAGAAGTTGATGCTCATTATAACCCAGAGGAGGAAAACAGAAATAATACAGCTGTACCTGAACTAATATCAAAACCAAGATAGTGATAGTGATGGTGCCCCATAGATTACTCCATTCACAGCTGAAAGTGCAGATGCAGTGAAACCTTTCATTCTCACAATATCCTATTTTACGTTTTTCATTGCTCAGAAAAAGGCAGTCTTTATGCTGTCTGCTGGTAGCTTCAGTGCATCGTGTGAAACAAAAGTGATGTAAAGAATGTCTTGTAAACATTTCAGTAGATATCCTTGAGAGACAGAAACCCTCTTCTTGCATCACTCACACATGCTCACCTTCTGTTGTCTTCTCAGTCCCCCTGGTGGGGGATCTGGCTCCGTCATTTCACTGAAACTCTCTTCTCAAAAGTACCAAGCACTCCGAGGTTGCCAAATCCAAAGATAACATTCCATTTCTTACCCTACTTGATTCTCTACAGTATTCCATGAGATTGACCCTCCCTCTGTTTTGAAACACTTAATTCCTTCACCTTCCTGACACCACACACCTTGTTTTTCTCCGGATTCACCGACTGCCCTTCAGTTGCCTTTGCTGGTTGCTCTTCCTTATTAAGCCTCCAAATATTCACACCCAACTTTGTTTCCTGTCCCCTTTCTCTTCTCTCTTTCCACTTTCTCCTTGATGATCTTACCCAGCCACATGGCTTTAAAACCATTTGTCTGCCACTGATGACAGAATCTACATGCACATGAGATCTGCATGTAGCTGTTTAATAAGTATCTCAAGTAAAATATGGCCCACCGCCTCCTCAGTTGTGTCTGTCCTATTAAATGGCACCACCGTCTACCCAGTTATTCGAACCCAACATCTAGGAATTATCCTTGATTGTTTTTTTCCTCATCTCTCACGTAATTCACCAGCAAATCCTATTAACATTGCCTTTAAAATATATCTGTAGTCTAAACACGTCTCTAATATCTCTTCATCTCCATTGCTGTCCTAGCCACAGCCACCATCATCTCTTGCCAGAACTTTAGCAGCAGCATCACAGCTGGTCTCTCAGTAATGTAGTCTCCACATAGCATCAAGGGGCAGCTTTATTTTATTTTTTTTCCACCCCTTCCCCAAGAGGCAGCTTTTAAAAATATAAATTGAATAATGACACTCTCCTGCTTAAAGCCTACTGAAAGTTTCCCAATGCAATTATTATTATTACTTTTTTTTTTAGCTAGGAGGAAAAGGTTTAATGTCCTCAAGAATAAGAGTTAATATAAATCAATGAAAAAAGGATATATACCAATGGAAAAACTGTTACAAAACATAAAAGACAATTCACAACTGGAATTCAAATGGATAATAAATAGATCTGAACTCATTAATCAAAGAAATCCTTTAATAACACAAATTTTCTTCTTTTCTTATTATTGGTAAATATTTCCAAATGGGCACTATCAAACTTTTTTTTAGAAATATATTCTTTTTTTTAGGCCGAGCATGGTGGCTCACATCTGTAATCCTAGCACTTTGGGAGGCCAGGGCAGAAGAATCACTTAACTTAGGAGTTTGAGACCAGCCTGGGCAACATAGTGAGAGCTCCTCTCTAAAAGAAAAAAAAGATTAAAAAAATATATGTTCCTTTTTTTTTTCAGAGTTGGGGTCTTACTCTGTCACCCAGGCTGGAGTGCAATGGTATGATCATGAGTCACTGCAGACTCAACCTCCTAGGCTCAAGCTGTTCTCCCACTCAGCCTCCCTAGTAGCCGGGAATACAGGCGTGCACCACCATGCCCAGCTAATTTTTTTATTTTTTGTAGAGACAGGGTCTCACTATGTTGCCCAGGCTGGTCCTGAACTCCTGACTTCAAATGATCCTCCCACCTTGGCCTCTCAAAGTGCTGGGATTAGAGGCATAAGCCACCATGTCCAGCCTAGAAATATATCCTAACGAAATAATCATATATGTACACAAAGATTTGTGGACAAAGCTGTTAACTGGATTATTACTTTAATAACTAAAACTTACAAACAATCTAAATGTCCAACACTAGAGCAATGGTTAAGTAAATCATAGAATGGTCACACAAAGGATTGTTAAACTGCTATTAAAAGTTATGCTATCAAAGAATACTTAATGACACAGGAAAACACTCATGATACAGTGTTAACTGGAAGATAATTTTTATAACCACATAAAAGTAGAATGTCATTTCTAGACGTATTCAAATAATACGTATTGAATTCTAATATACAATGGACATTAAGATTCACTGATATTTATTAAAGTTGTCATAATTTAGCCAAATTGCTATTCTGAAACCTTATTGTGTCTCTCCATTATTTTAGGGAGCTCATGCCAAGGTAGTAAAGACCTACGAGTCAGCCAAACATGAGGTTAACCCTCGCTGTGACACTCACTAGCTGGGTGACTCAAATCAGTTACTTCATTTTCATGAGCCTTAGTTTCCTCATCTGTAAACCCTCACCTCATAGGACTGTTGTGAGAACTAAAAGCATATATAAAAGACTGGTCAAGTGCCTGACATATAGTAGACAATAAATATTAAGCCTCTTTCCTTTCCTGTTTTTTTATTATTATTTTTTAGGTTATTCTCAGGATTTATGGGATTAAATCTGATTCATAGAAAGTACTTTTGCAAGATTCTGTCTGTGGGGACTGGTTATGACAATTTTTGCCTTATGTTCTCCATAATATATGTGAACTTTCAAATAATAATCACACACATCTTTAAGTCATTTAAGTGATTTACATGTAAAATTCTTAGATGTGAGATGATGGAGGAAGTTGCACAAAGTTAAATATGAAGTAAACTCATATAAAAATGATGTAAGGTTTGGGAGGCTG
Organism: Homo sapiens; assembly: GCF_000001405.40. Lineage (NCBI taxonomy): Eukaryota > Metazoa > Chordata > Mammalia > Primates > Hominidae > Homo > Homo sapiens. The sequence continues at coordinate 76,720,881 of NC_000009.12, forward strand.
AGGCGGGCGGATCACAAGATCAGGAGATCGAGACCACGGTGAAACCCCATCTCCACTAAAAATACAAAAAATTAGCCAGGCGTGGTGACCGGCGCGTGTAGTCCCAGCTACTCGGAGAGGCTGAGGCAGGAGAAGGGCATAAACCCAGGAGGCGGAGCTTGCAGTGAGCCGAGATCGCACCACTGCACTCCAGCCTGGGCAACAGAGCGAGACTCCGTCTAAAAGATGTAAGGTATAAAACCTACTGATAGGTCAGTGTTTATCTCATTATCAAATTTTCTATCCTTAATTCCAAGTTAGACTCAGTGAATGAGCTTCTGTCTGCCACTATGCAAACAACAGCTTTTAAAGCATTAAAAAAATGTATAGTGATTTTTCCTTCAGCTAAATCACAATGAATAGTCTTTTTCATCATTTCCACCGTTTCACCTCCAAGGGCCAAATGACCTTCAGTGAATTTTACTCCTGGTGCTAATACTTCCCACATAGGTCAAGCATTCTGGACTATACCTATTATAGTGTTGTCTTCCTCACAAATTACAGATGAAATATATTGAGTAAGACTTTTATTAAGAATAAATTACTTTCTAATGTCAGGAACAAGCAATTCCCAGATTTGTTATTTCTGGGTTTTTTTGTTTGTTTGTTTGTTTTTGCAGGAAATGGAAAAATCAAGTGAGTATATGTCACTTGTAGTAAAATGCTTGCAGATAAAAATAATTACCAAGATTAAAACACCAGTGTGTACGGCTGCATTTTTGGGAACAGTGAGTCTTACAAACACAGTGTGACAATTCCTAACTACCTTGCAAGCACAGTGGCCAGCCTGGACTGCTGAGTTACTGAAATTTAAGAGTACAGTTTGACATTTACAGTCTGCATGGATTTATTTCTAGAATGAGGGCTATTTTTTAAAATCGAGATATAAGAAAAATGCTGAGGTATGTACACAAATGTTCTAACTTGAAGGGATTATGATTTATGCAACCAAAATTCCATTGTAATATTTAAAACATTCAGCAATAATAAAGTCTGATAATTTTGACAGGAAAATGATTTATGAGAACACCACATGCATAAATTAAGAGATTTTATTTATTTTGTTTTTTGTACACTCTTTAATTGGTAAGCAAAGATATTTTCCATGTTTTTTCCAGATGTCATTTATTTATACTCTATTGTTCTTTTTTATTTTTGAGACAGAGTCTCTCTTCATTGCCCAGGCTGGAGTGCAGTGGTGTGATCTCGGCTCACTGCAACCACTACCTCCCAGGTTCAAACAATTCTCATGCCTCAGTCTCCTGAGTAGCTGGGATTACAGGCGTGTGCCACCACACCCTGCTATTTTTTTTTTTTTTTTTGTATTTTTAGTAGAGACAGTGTTTCACCATGTTGGCCAGGCTGGTCTTGAACTCCTGACCTCAAGTGATCCTCCTGTCTCAGCCTCCCAAAGTGCTAGAATTACAGGTGTGAGCCACCGCGCCCAGCCTACACTCTATTGTTCTTGTTTTTATGAGGCAGCCAAAGCATCATAGTAGTAAAAATTCACTGGGTCTATTAAAACTATATTAGACATCACATTTTGAAAAGAAAGTTAGACAGTACATATTATCATTCTTTATAGCTAAAAAGAGAGCCCTTTTGTGAAAATATTTTGTGAAAATTAAAACTACTACAATATGTACATGAATATGTAACACATATAAATGCCAATATAATCTTCATTTACGTCAATAGTATATTGCCTGACATAATTAAGTATTGCCTCTGCATTAAGTGCTCTGTTAAGTACTTTGCATCATCTCATCTAAACTTTAAGATGCCCCTGTGAGATAGGTAACATGGTCTCTGTTTTGCATTGAGAAAATGGAGGCTTTGGAAGGTTAAGTAACTGATGCCACCCAGCTCACAGCTCGTATGTGGGACAAATGGGACTTAAACCCAGGTTAGTTTAACTTCAGAGCCCATGTTTTCACTCCTGTTTTATCCTTAAATGAGAACATCCCTCCTCACCAAAGATATTATTGATTAATTCAGTTTTTAATAAAAATAGTTTTTAACTACTCCATTTATTTCAATTTGGTGTTGGTTCTCTCTTGTCACTACACACAAGCAAGCAACATCCTTGATTTTGACAATTGCTAACAATAATGCGCTGCTTACGTCTTTTGAAGATCGAACATTACCATGCTTTGTGAGCAATTTCCAGTTATTCATCTGCTCTATAAAATAGAACTGTAGGGTGACTGTTAACTATATGTAAGATCCTAAAATTGAAAAAACCCAAAACTTCTATAAAGAAGAATGTTGTGATATTCTTGCAGTAGTATGTACTTTTGAAAAGTTGGGCATGCAAGTGTACACAGGCAATGGGTGGGAAAACAGGAGATGTGGCATAATCACTGGTTATCCAGAAGTATCCTCACGTAGACTTTCTTGCTCTGGTAGCTTAGACACACAAGCAACGGAAGAAGCCTGCTTTACCATTCAGTATGTACAAATCTTATTATCTAAAGATGCTCCCAATATAAGCTGACTTACGTTCAAAAACTCAGAGAAACTAGAAATTAGAATTGCCAGAGGGGAGTAGAGAGGCTAAAGGGGCTTAGTTTTGGTTTGGTTTGGTTTTTTTCCTGACTTAGCAGGTTTCTTAACAGAAGACCATAAAAGCGAAGTCCTCTCACTAAGGTACAACTATGAAAGGCAATCATAATAATGTCATCCATCTGCAAATGCTTGATTTAGGTTAAGCATGTCGTAAGTATGAAAAGAAAAACCAAGAGTTCTTCAAGCAAAAGCTCTTGTGATGCCCTCTTTTGAGTTGAAGAATTCAAGAATAGAGGGGGAGATAACATGTTTATTGAAAACTGAAAATCACTGCTTTCTTGTCATGGAGCAAATATTTATTACCTCCTATAAGCATATCTTTCTTTTTTTTTTTTTTTGAGATGGAGTATCGCTCTGTCGCCCAGGCTGGGGTGCAGTGGTGCGATCTCGGCTCACTGCAAGCTCCGCCTTCTGGGTTCACGCCCTTCTCCTGCCTCAGCCTCCCGAGTAGCTGGGACTACAGGCGCCTGCTACCACGCTCGGCTAACTTTTTGTATTTTTAGTAGAGATGAGGTTTCACCATGGTCTCGATCTCCTGACCTTGTGATCTGCCCGCCTCAGCCTCCCAAAGTGCTGGGATTACAGGCGTGAGCCACCGCACCCGGCCAGCATATCATTAATGAAGGGAGAGAGAAAATGTTTGGGAGATAATTCATCTGAAAGCACAGGTTAAGAACTCCTTGAAATCAGGCTGGGTGCGGTGGCTCATGCTTATAATCGCAGCACTTTGGGAGGCTGAGGCGGGCAGATCACTTGAGCTCAGAAGGTCGAGACCAGCTTGGGCAACATGGTGAGACCTGTCTCTGATAGAAATACAAAAAAAAAAAAAAAAAAAAAATAGCCAGGCATGGTGGTGCATGCCTGTGGTCCCAGCTACTGGGGAGGCTGGGATGGGAGGATTGGTTGAGCCTGGGTGGGGGTGGAGGTTGCAGTGAGCGGAGATCCCATCACTGCACTCCAACCTGGGTGACAGAGCAAGACCCTGTCACACAGACACACACAAAAAGAACTTCTTGAAATGAAGTGGGCTGATTTCAGGCACACCTCAAATAAGGGAGTTAAAATTCTTTCCCATCTTTTTCCATCCCATCCTATCTTCCATAAAGAAGCACTGTTGTTACACAGACAGAGAGTTGGGCCTGGAATAAAAGTAGTCCCAGGCACTCTTACAAGCAGTTAATAATAGATTGAATACTTGAATGGGGGAGTTTCACAACCAATCAAAGACAAATAAGTCATCACCTCATTAACTAACAGCCTAATTTACATTTTCTTTAAGGACAGACCCATAATCAGGAAAACTTTCCTCTATTGGATGGACTTAAGTGCTTGGCAAGGAAAGGGCTAGACTGCTGTTTCCTTTAAGGGCCCCTTTTTGTTTCTGTATGTTTATAAGGATTTCTATACGGGAACGAATAATTCAGGACACACATGTAATGAAACCCCGCTCATTAGCCATGCTCTATTTTTGAAATGGTAGAACCTGGGCTACACTCTAGCTCCCAGATAAAAATAATAATAATGAATGATTTCTATAATTATGTATAGATTAAAAAAAAAGTCCCTGTTGGCTTGTTTTGAGCCATGAGCCTGAACACTGACAGCTTTATTTTCCTTTGTAAAAATAAATCATCTAGTTTGAACCCAATTTCAAGAAAGCAGGAAAACCTTTTTTCCTCTCTGGGTTCCCCTTTCTGATTTATGGAAACCACAAGGCAAGTCTCCAGAGCACTTTCTGCACGTGTGCATTGCACACACTTCTGATTTTTCTAAGCTGTGTCAATATTAACCTGACCAAATGAAGATCAAACTGTCTCTTTTGTTCCTCACGCTCCTTGCATGGGGAGCACAATATGGCTCTTGTCAGAGGTGCTTCATCATTTTGGCTCAATGAAAGTGTCAGTACAGTTTGGGATTCGTTCTTCATGGGCAGATATCCTGATGGGTCTAATGAAGCCTCTCTGCTGACAACTCATTTGCTAAAAATACCCAACCATCGCCAAGCTTAAGTGGGGAATATGGTTGTGCCCCCTTTGCTATCAACCCAATGAAAGTAATTAGTTTTTTTTGAAGTCTAAAAAAAAAATCTATCTATCAAGGCACACACCTTTCACCACCCATCTATGTGTTCTTGCTCATTTCCATTTGCTCACTGATAAACTTTATGACATTCTTAAATTGGCATATATAGGGTAAACACCAATCTTGGAGCACACATGCAGAGCCAGCAGTCTGTGTGTACCATTTGTTGCAGTCTAAGCTAATTACCAGAAACCCCCTCCTGAAAACAGATACACTCTGGGGTTTGTGGTTTTACTTTTGTTTGGAGATGGCTGTGTTTGAGAAGCTGGAGGAATCCCTCTTCAGGTAAGGATGCTGCTGTCATGACTGTCTCAGTCACAAGTCACAGAAACTTAACTGTAACTGATTTAAGTAGAGAAAGAAGTCAGCAGGATCTGGGGAGTGTTCCCACAGAAGCCAAGAAGAGCCTGAGCACGCGCTGGGAGAAGGGCAGGGGTTGCCAGGGATATGCAGGTCGTCCTGCCTCTCCATCCTCTTCTGGCTGCATTCTGCTGTCCTGCAGCCAACTGGCATCCTCTACACGGTGGGAACCACAGGTGGCTGCAGCATCTCTGTGTAGACCTTGCCAAATGAGTCACGACTCCCTTTTGGTCATGAGTTTGAAAACCCTGGAGAAAGAACTCTGGTTGTTCCCACTTGGGTTCGGTGCCTATCTCTGGGCAAAACAATTGAGGTAGATTGGAAAGACCACAAATCACAGACACCACACCAGTTATAACAAAGTTGGTGGGTAAGAGTCACTTCCTAGAAGAGGGATGCTGAGCAGATAAGCCCATAGGTGGGCACTTTAGACATCAAGCACGAAGGTGTAACACGCATACACAGGCACACGCACATACATTCTAACACACACATGCACACTCATCAGATACTTTCCCAAAGCCCCATTTTAGTTCCAACCAACCAAGCCTAGTTGTAGGGAGAATCATGATGCTTGGAAAGATAAGTTTAGTGAGACAATTTAGTTAACTTTTATTTTCATGTTAATTTTTATTTTACGCTCCAATTAAGGAGGGTATTAAAAAGAGGAGTGATAAATCTATAAAAGCGTTAAGCTTAGAGAATGAAAATTATGCTGAATCAATTGAAAATACATTGTACTATTTAAACAATCCAGGAAAAAGCAGTCAAGCCTCCTTAATCTTTATTCTTTCAGGTCAACATGAGGGTGTTTCTCTTTTTGGCCCTTGAAGTCTTCAGAAGCTCAAATCTCCACTATAACTGTCAAACTTCCATTGCTATTAGTACCATCTATGAGGCATTAAAATGCTTTAAATACAAATTTGAAATGTTCTACAGGCCCAGCCTTCCAGGCAGAGAATACCTGGGCTCACTCTGGTGGAACAAGAGTAGTAATTTAATTGTCATTATTTTATACAAGAGTGATTTATAGAAGGGCTCTAAGCAAGCCAAATACAGAAAAAAACCTAAATTCGTAACAGATAAAAAGTAATAACTTTAGACCAGGGTTTCTCAACCTTGGCACTACTGACATTTGGGGCTGGACAGTTCTTTGCTGTGGGGGCTGTCTTGTACCTTATAGGGTGTTTATAGCATATCTGGCCTTGACCCACTAGATGCCAGTAGCAAGCTCCCTGCCCTAGTTATGACAACTAAATATGTCCCCTGTGGGGCAAAATCACCCCAGTTAAGAACCACTGCTTTAGAGAAAAACAGCAGGAGACTCTTAGGAGCTTACAAAATAATTCAAGTCACACTCAACTGTTTCAGAAATCTTACTACATAAAGCAAGACACATGGTTAATTCTGCCTGGTTTAACAGGCAGGAGAACTAGAAAAGTAAATCAGGGATGGGGAGCATCTACATGAATACTTTTTATTAATTGGCCAAATATTTCCTTTTTCGAAGCCAGTAAAAATAACATCTTTCCATCAATTGTCTTTTAGTTTAGATTGCTGTGCTTATAAATGAAACCAAGCTTCGATTCTCTTAAACAAAGAAAACAGCAGGATGGTTTAAAAGAGCCAAGATTTTATAAAACATCTACTTCCTATTCCAGGAAAATGAAGTTTACCCAGGTATTTTCCAGAGTTGTTTCTTTCTTCTTCTTCTTCTTTTTTTTTTTTTTTGTCAAGCAAAGTTGTACTATTATTCCAACTTAGTTATGGGTAAACAGGGCTTTTTTTTTTTTTTTTTTTTTTGAAACAGGGTCTCACTTTGTCACCCAGGCTGGAGTGCAGTGGGGTGATTTCGGTTCACTGTAACCTCTGCCCCCAGGTTCAAGTGATCCTTCCACCTCAGCCTCCCCGAGTAACTGGGACTACAGGTGCAAGCCACCATGCTTGGCTAATTTTTGTATTTTTTGGTAGAGATGGGGTTTCACCATGTTGTCCAGGCTGGTCTTGAACTCCTGACCTCAGGTGATCTGCCTGCCTCAGCCTACCAAGGTACTGGGATTACAGGTGTGAGCCCCCCGACGCCTGGCCTTAAACAGGGCATTTTTAAATGCCAAATCTTATATTTAGGATTCCTGAAAAATCTATCTTTTATCTCCATAATGGTAACCTAAAATATGGCAGATATTTGAGGGTATAGCTATGTTATGCCACACTCATGGGGCATTACAACTGTTCAATGAATGGCTAGCATTCTTGCCTGATAACAGGCTACCAGCATCTTTGCCCAATAACTTAGGCTATGTGGAAAAACTCATCAAAACCCATTAAAACCCATTTCTGGGCCTGAATTATCTAAACCTGTATGTTCACATCTCAATCCATTCTCAACCCCGGCTATACCTAAGAATAGCCCAGGGAGCTGTTAAAAAAAAAAATACAAGTACTCACAGCCCACCCCATGAGATTTAAATTTAATTGGCTTAAGGGTGAGGCCTGGGTATCAGTATATTTTTCAAGGAGGTACATTGATTAATGTGCAGGTAGGGTGGAGAACAGGAGTCTGTATTGACATAAAGAAATATTTTCAATTTGTATTGTCTACACATAGTTTCTACATCAGTGATTCTAGTTTCTATTCTCTAGTCATTGACTGAACTTTGATAGTCACTGGGGAAAAATATAAATTCCAAAAACTTGGTTCATATTTGCGTATGTGTGTTTTTAAATAAGCAGCCCTAACTTCTCCAAATGAGCAAATAATAAAATGTAGTGCTTAAAAGAATAGGCTTTGGAATACAGCAGCCCAGGACTCACATCCTAGCTCCACAGCCTGTTATCTCTGCACCTTTAGGCAAGTTACTTATTAGGCTAAGCTTCAGTTCTTTCCTCTGGAAAATGAGTATAATAACCTACTTATAAAATGAGAAAATGTATAAAACACTTAGCTTAGGATCTCTCACACAATCAGCCCTCAATACATAGATGGTAGTCAGCAGCAGCCAAGACCCAACAGCTACAACTCCATTAACAGTAAGTTTATTTGTCAATTAGGGCATTAGAATAATCCATTTTCAGGGACAGTTTGGAGATTGTCTTTCTACCTTATGTATGTTAGAAATAGTCCTTTTTGCCCTAAGATTCTTTTGTTGCAGCCATTGTTTAAATTACGGAGCTACAGAATTTCTGATTAAAAGAACTCTCAGGTTTGGAGAAAGTGTGGGACAAATGAACCAGAGAGTGTAATGGAGCAATGGGTTCTCCAGGTGCTGTCTTTAGGATGTGATCTAAGTCAATGATCCTCAAACTTTAGCTGAACTCATGAATCACCTACAGGGCTTCTAAAAATACGGACACCTGGGCCCCACTTCTAGCGTTTCTGATTCAGTAGGTCTGGGGCTGTTAGTTCTAGCGAGCTCTCAGGTGATGCTGATGTGGCTGGTCTGGGAACCACAATTTGAGAACCACATTTTTATCTAAAGCAAGACATTTCATTTTTCTGAGCCTCAGGTTCCTATCTGTCAAAAACAAACAACAACAACAGCAACAAAAAAAGCCAGAGTCCATTAAGGTATAAAATTCTTGCTTCTACTTTGCTTGGCTCTTTAGAAATGAAAGTATACAGTAGCATTCTTCTACTGTATATTTTTTATATTAGCTGATATGATTAGGACAAGGAGTTGGTTAATTAAAAATTTGGCTAAAGAGGTAAACTGTTAAAAAGAAATGTTTTATTATAAAATAAAATAAAACGATCTTATTTGAATTCAAACATAAAATAATGCATCCATTTATAATCTTTTCATGTAGAACCAAGGTCTTTTAAAGTATTTTTTTCTTTTAAAATATTTAAAAGCATGGGTTTATAGGAGCTTTCCAACTTCTTTGTTGCAGCCATACATATAAAATTTAATTTTCCATTTCTAATTTCAATTTCCTTAATGTGGAATAAAAACTTAGACATATGTAAAAAAATCTGAACACAGACTCCTACATTTTTACAAGTCTGCCAATTTTTTATAGCTGTATTATCCTAATTTGAGACCATATTTTTCTTGAGAGCATGTTTCATTTCATTTTCTTGTCTTTCCAAAGCATTAATCTTAGAAATAACTACCTTAGTCCTATTTCATCAGTTTATTCAAGATTGTGTAATTATATTAACATGTACAATTGATTTAAATAGGTTTGGAGCAAACACAGCTGATACTTGGCAAACATTAAATGCAGCTAATCCATATGTACACACCTGTTCAGTCTAGAGAGTTTTTGGCTGGCTGTCAGCATTCAGCTAAGGTTATCGATGAGTATACGTTACAGGGTAGAGTGGACAATGTCATTTAGTTCAGTACATTAGTTAAGGGAAGATCAATAAAGAGAGCTTCTACTGTCAGAGGTAACTGTGCAGCCCTACCTCCTCACCTGTAGAAAAAAGATACATATAATCTTGTGATTTTGAGTCACAACATATATTAACCCACGCATCTGTAACTTAAACACAAATCACCTGGGATTCTTGCTAAACCACAGATTCTGACTCAGGGGGCCTGAGATTCTGCATTTCTACATGCTCCCAGGTGATGGCTGTGCTGCTGGTCTGTGCACCACATGTTGAGTAGTAAGATATTAACCAATGCTACCAGAAGCCATAAAAAAAGGAGAGGTTCTACCCCTGAAATAAAAGATGAAAGAGGGCCGGGTACGGTGGCTCACGCCTGTAATCCTGGCATTTTGGGAGGCCAAGGCGGGCAGATCACGAGGTCAGGAGTTCAAGACCAGCCTGACCAATATGGTGAAACCCCATCTCTATTAAAAGTACAAAAATTAGCCGAGTGTGGTGGTGGCACACGCCTGTAATCCCAGCTATTCGGGAGGCTGAGGCAGGAGAATCGCTTGAACTTGGGAGGCAGATGTTGCAGTGAGCTGTGATCGCACCACTGCACTCCAGCCTGGCGACAGAGCTAGACTCCGTCTCAAAAAAATAAAGAGACGAAAGAGATGAGGCAATCTGAAAGGAAACACCAAACATTCTTAACATCTCTCTTTTGCAAAATGCGGAACCCAGAGAGTGTGGAATTTATCTAAGTAGAATGCAGGATCTCAATATGATAGAGGAAATGATTTCACACTGAGAATATGGCAACAGAAGAGTGGCTTGCTGGTCAACCTCTCTCAGAAGATAGCTTAATGAGCAATGGGGCTTTCATATTTCATATTTCTTTATGCTATGAAAAATGAAAAAGATATATATACTTGCTGCTGTGGAAATATTCCAAGACATATTATTATATGGGGGAAAATCAAGTTTAACACACACATACACACACACACACTATAAACATATATTCCCTCTCTCTATCTATCTATCTATCTATCTATCTATCTATATATATATATATTTTTTTTTTTTTTTTGAGACAGGGTATTGCTCTGTCACCCAGGCTGGAGTGCAGTGGTAAGATGTCAGCTCACTGCAGTCTTGACCTCCCAGGCTCCAGCGATCCTTCTGCCTCAGCCTCCTGAGTAGCTGGACTGCAGGCACACACCACTATACCCAGCTAATTTTGTTTTTTTATTTTTTTGTATAGACAGGGTCTCATTATGTTGCCCAGGCTGGTCTTGAACTCCTGGACTCAAGTGATCCCCCCATCTTGGCCTACCAAAGTGCTGGGATTGCAGACCACCATGCCCGGCAGGAACAATAAATATATTTTTTAAACTTACAAAACAAAATTGTATCTTTCTAGTACGTACCAAAAAGAGCAAGGAGAAAATTCCAGAAAAATGTACACCTCATTGGTACACTTATTATTTAGAAAAAGGACTGGTATTTGAATGAGGGTATAAAAAGGCCTTGAGCTTTGTCTGCATTATTTAGATTCCTTTACAGTGTGAACAAACTCATGTATTATTTATGTAATAAACTAAACAAAAGAAAGAGTAGCTTGCAATTACATTTTGTTAGTGATCAAAGCAAACCTCCTTTGCTTATAGTAAAGGAGTCAAACCTTTTTACTCAGACACCCCCGCTGCTCCCACCACTAGCAAGCATCAGGTCCTCTAAGGGACCCTGATACGTGCATTTATGTCATAGAAAATTACACTTGGCCGGGCGCGGTGGCTCACGCCTGTAATCCCAGCACTTTGGAAGGCCGAGGCGGGTGGATCACGAGGTCAGGAGATCAAGACCATCCTGGCTAACATGGTGAAACCCTGTCTCTACTAAAAATACAAAAAATTAGCCGGGCATGGTGGTGGGTGCCTGTAGTCCCAGCTACTGGGGGCTGAGGCAGGAGAATGGCTCCAGGAGGCAGAGCTTGCAGTGAGCCGAGATAGTGCCACTGCACTCCAGCCTGGGGGGCAGAGCGAGACTCCGTCTCAAAAAAGTAAAAATAAAAATAAAAGAAGAAAAAAGAAAATTACACTTAAGATACATTCTTTGGGGAAAGGCAATCTTCTCTTTGTCTATCATGGTCTAGAACCTCTGAGAAATCTGCCCTTACCACCCACGCACATTTGGCTTGGTTTTTGACATGTGTTTTGAATCATCCTTCTGTTGCCTTTCATTTACTCTAACTTTAGAATCAAGCAACTGCTAAGGATTCCTTATTTCTTATACAGGGGCAAAGATGAGCAGCCCAGTTCTCCACAGTGTCTGGTTAGCAGGCCTGATTAACTTAAGAATGTGTAGTGTCTAGGTTGTATAGTTTGTCTGTGTCTGATTTTTCCTGGGGCTTGAGACATCACATTAGTAAGACTCAAAGAGCATTTATCTTTGCTGTTCCCAGCTTCTAGCACGTCTCTTGCTGACAGCTCTGTCTGAGCTGGACTGAATGAGAGACAGAAGTAGACCTCCAGCAGCCACTGGACCCTGGGCCTGGCTCATGATTAGAAGATTTCATGTCTGTATGTCTGTATCTATCTCTCTGATTTTCCTCCATTATTCTCAACTCTGTTCTCACTCTCATTCTAAAAGGCCACCAACAGACCACCGATTTCTCTTGGCAAGAGGGAAAGAGGAGTTTACAAAAATACCTCAGAAGACAGAACTGGACATCTGCTTCTCGTCTCCATTGCTGCCATTTATATAGATTTTTTTAAATTTCTGAAAGTAGTTAGGTACCTGGTTACTTGGGGAAATAACGGTAGAGTCATTTTTCTACCTGCTGAGAGAGATCGGTCTTCTGCCTGAGTAGCCACAGGTATGGGTGCTTGCTCCTGCATCACAGTACTCAGCCTCCCCCAGTACCACCCAACACACACAATACAGCACTGCCCCAACATCAAGAAAACAGATGGCAACATCTTCATGGACTGAAGTGCTACTGCACATCAACACAGCTTCATGGACTGAAGTGCTATATTGCACATCAACACAGCTTGTTCCAGACCACAAATATCTGACTTCATTCCTTGGCTCTCTAGTGTCTTTGCAATACTCATAAACCACAGATTCATTCATTCATTCATTCATTCATTCATTCATTCATTCATCTATTTGAGACAGGGTCTCACTCTGTTACCCAGGCTGAAGTGCAGTTGCACAGTCACAGCTCACTGCAGCCTTGACCCTCTGGGCCCCAGTGGTCCTCCCACCTCTGCCTCCCACGAAGCTGGGACTACAGGCACGCCTGGCTAATTTTTTTTTTTTTATTTTTTGTAGAGACAGGGTTTCATTATGTTGCCCAGGCTGGACTTGAACTCCTGAGTTCAAATGATCTGCCTGCTTCGGCCTCCCAGAGTGCTAGGACTACAGGCATGAGCCATAGCACTTGGCCCTATGAACTTTGTACAATATCAGAGGTAAGACAATTAATTAATTTGCCTGTACAATATCAAGAGGTAAGATAATTAATTAATTTGCCCTAATCTTCACACAATTCACAGAACAGGAAAATATAATAACTGTCATTTTACTCTTAGGGTTTTTCCTGCTACTGACTTTGTGATCCAAAAAGATTTTTTTTTAAAGCAGTCTGTTCCTTAAAAGTTTTAGTTGTTTTTTTTTTTTCTTTGAAAGATGGATAACGTTAATGATTTCAGTAATCCTGTAGCCAAAAACTAGTTTGATTATCAAAGAACAGTGTTTACTGAATGCCTTCTATGTAGGGGATTCAGGTTATTCAATGGAAGGGCTACTCAAGTCTGGGCATCATGAAAATGAGTTGATTTGTCTGTTTCCAGATTTGGCAGCATTCAAACACTCAGAAGTCCACAAAAAGGACCTCCCTGGAGGTTCCACAGAAGATCTCCCCTCCTTCTGTGGAAAGGAGGGGCTGGGTAGATGTTTGTAAGGTGCCTTCCAGTTCTGATATTCAATGATTTAATAATCCTAAAATGGAAAGACGTTCAGGAGGTAGGGGTCGAATCAGGGACAGAGGAGAAGGTGGTACAAGCACAAAAAAAGTTTAAATTTTAAGATCATCGAACCTACAGGAAAAAAGATGGTGAGATAGTGAAGTCAGGAAGACCCTCTAGCTCTCAAATGAGACAGACTTCTATTTGAATCTCAGCTATGCCACTTCTCATTACACAACTTTGGGTGAGTTACTTAACCTCGAAGCCTTGGTTTCTGTATCTGAAAATGAGAATAATAATACCTACTACATAGTTTATCAACAGGATTAAATGAGATAGTTCATATAAAATGCTAGCAAAGTCCTTGGAATATTAGAAATAACAGTTTAAAATAAAAATGAGTTCAGATTGTCACAGACATAAGCATTTTTGTCTGTCATCCCTTCTTTTGGGGAGGAATCCTCCTAACTTCATATGGCTGACATGGGGCTGTCTTTACCCCTAACCTGAGCTCTAGGTGTGGCAGGTGACCCAGGCCTAGCCATACTCTGTTCCATCCACTTGGCCACGGTGATGGTTTCAGGAATAACATGTGACCTGAGCGAGGCTACTCAAAGACTCCATAGGGGTTTTTGAAGCTCCCTGTTCCTCTGAGACACGGAGATCTAGGATCACATGAGTCTAGAGCTGCCCAGAGCCATCCTGGAGAGTCATGGAGAGAGGAGTGTCCCTGAGGATGAGGACAACACTGACAAACAGAGGCAAGGGGTGGAGAAAAAAGGCAAGCCCTGGAGCTACCCAGAGCCATCCTGGGGAGTCATGGAGAGAGGAATATCCCTGAGGACAAGGACAACACTGAGAAACAGAGGGAAGGGGTGGAAAAAAGGCAAGCCCTGATGGCACACTTGGAGTTTGAGTCCAAGAGTATCAGAAGCTAGATCTATCCTGGATTATCAACAGAGCAGTTTGTTGTTTTCCTTAAGCAAAATTGAGTTGAATTTCTGTCACTTACAACTGAAGAATAGAGAGATGAGGCCACAACTTATGAAAACCTACTGATTATAATCAGAGAAATGAACATTTGCAGGAGCAGAGGCCACACAAAGAGAAAAGCTTTTCTTCCAAATTATTACTTGTTTACGTTTTAGAAGCAGAGTCCCCCACATTTTATTGAGGAAGATAGTTTTCTTTCTTCTTTTTTTTTTTTTTTTTTTATGCCAGTTATGACTAGCAGCTAGCCCCGTAGTGGCTGACAATTAAGTTACCGAGATACCAAAAGAACTGGGGCTCCTACCAGCTGGACTCCTACGAGCCCAGAACAAGGGAATAGCAGGAGTAACTGGAAGGCTGACCATGGAAGACTTTAGGATCACTCATTAGGCTGCACCAGCCTAAGAAGCTTCCATCAAACAAAGGTTGATATTATCATATGCAAAGAATCAAAACTTAAAAGTGTAACAATACTTAAAGAGAAAGTAAAATTTTATGTCTATAGAACAATATTGGCTTTTCTACATATGATCAAAATAATCTTAATTGATGTTCACCAATTCTTTAGCTGGTAGTAAGATAAGAATTGGTGATACCCATTTAACAGATGAGAAAGCTGAAGCTCAAAAAGCTTCAAAAATATTCCCAATATCATACATAGTTATTTGATGCTGGAGCAGGAACTGGAACCCAAGTTTTCTAAGCTTTATTCTAGTACATTTACATGCGTCATTTGTTCTCATTTGAGGTTGGGCATCATATCTGATAAGAACATACAAGGAAATTTCTTATTTCACATAACATTATCTTTTAATCATTTTTCATTCCCTTACTGTAATCTAAGGAGAAAATATGAAATACCAAATTTGCATAGCTGATGAAAATATTTTTCAGCCTTAGAGATTAGTAGGGTTTGTGTGAGTGTGTGTGTGTGTGTGTGTGTGTGTATTCAAAATTTGTAAAGGGATACTTTTTCTATATACTTATTTTCAGAAATAGTATAAGCACTCTGGTGGTATGCTTTCAAGAGACTCAATGTGGGTGTGTGAAAAAAAACCACATAAAGTAAAATCAGGCACAATGTCATATGACATACTTTATGCTATGGATAATTTCTGGTCTGGTATCTAAAAGAAAGAGGAAGTTCCAGTGTAAACCTCTAGAAGGAAAACAAAATGAACAGAAGGTAAATAATTTAAGAATGGTGTGTTAGTCCATTCAGGTTGCAGTAAGCAAATAACACAAACTGAGTAGCTTATAAACAACAGAAATTTATCTTTCACAGTTCTGGAAGACGGAAAGTCCAAGATCAAGATCCTGACATACTCGCTGTCTGATGAGCACCTGCCTCCTGATTCATAGGCTGCCATCTTTTTGCTGTGTCCTCACGTGACAGAAAAGGTGAGGTTCTCTCTGAGGTCTCTTTTATAAGGGCAATAATCCCACTCATGGGGGCTCTGGCCCCATGACATGATCACCTCCCAAAGGCTCCACTTCCTAATACTATCATTTTGGGGATTTGGATTTTAACATATGAAGTTTGGGGCAACACAAACATTCAGACCGGCGAGTAGGGAGAAAATAAAGCACTTCTTTGTACATGACTTCATTCTTGGGCTTCCTAGTATTCCAGTACCTGAACATGGCAGCAGAAGAGGTCTAAATGGAAGCAATTATTGTATTATCTATTGCCTCATACAGGTTTTGAGAACCACAAGCCTTCCTACCCTCCACACTGACCCGGGAAAGGTGGGGCCACTCTATGTGGTGCAGCATCCTTCTTTATGGGACAGTATAAGATGGTAAATGGAGAGGCTACCCCATTTCTGTTCGCACACAGTTCTGCTGTCATCAACAGCAGCCAAGTTCTTTTCGTGTGTAGCTGTATTCCTTCTTGATGAGATAAAACTAAGAAATGTGCTCAATTGTAGCCTTGCTGTATAGAAAGCACAAGAGGCTACCTTGTACCTTCTCTTCCTTATTTACAGGTTAGAGTCTATTTATTAGTAAGCTGCCAGGTTGATGAGTCAAGGAATTATGAAGCTCTGGCAGTTGCTTGCCTCCAGCCCCATCCTTTCTTGAGACAAGCACAGATGAGCATTCAAACCAAGCTCAATATTGAATCACTGGCAGTGCTCGACTGTTCTGCTAACATCAGTGACAGCAGAAATTTATAGACACCGCTGCAGGGCAGCACATATAGGTGTGGAGTGCATGACCATACAAAAATATTACAGGTCCCGTATTCAGAAACTGTACCAGGAGCTATCTACTTTAGCAACATAGCCTCAGGTACAAATTTACATGCAAGAATTCATATTCTACCAAATAAATCCCAGGCAAACAGAGTAATGCAAAAACATATTTCCTGCTGTCAAGAAAATTTCTGGCAAAATTAATCAACCATTCATCCATTCAGGCTCTTTGCATACCCTTTTGTCAAAGAGGGAATACTAAGAGATTTCTTTTCTCTTCCATGCACTCATTTCAATGAATTGAAGAATCCATCAAGCTTGAGTTGATTTATTGAACTGTCTCTTGGCTCAGCAGTACAACTACAGCAAATGAACTGGTAACTTCTCCTAAAACCAGCAGTGATTCAATTCAACAATATCTGATTTATTTAACTCTTTATAATTCCAGATTTAACTTATTTTTGCATTTCTAAGCAGAACAATTTTTTGGATAAAACCTTGCATATTTGCATGCATTATTTAGTATTCTGAAAGCAGTGATTAAAACATACAGAGCCTAAGACTTCTTCTTTTAAGAGACTTTAATAGCACATTTAAATTAGGTAGTTTTTTAAACAACGACTTATTTAAATACCTACAGCTGTGTTTTAAATGTTTCAAAGTGTTTTTTTTCTGGTGGTTAATGTTAATATTAACATTAGATGACCAATCACTTTGGTTTAGAGCACTAAAAACATACAAAATGCTTATTTTTGTATTTAATCATTCTACCAGGTAAGGAGAATCACTGTGAGGGGATATTTAAGGCGTAAACATTAGCGAGCAACCGAGCTGACTGTTTAAACACGGGTTTTTTCACTAAATCGCGTCCACTGAGCCCCATGGAGCCCATTTATCACACAACCAACTTTGCATTTTTCTTTGTAAAGATGTACGACCTTTGCCTATTAGATTTCATTAGCAGGGCACCATACAAGGCTCCTTTGCACATGGCAGGATAGAAAGCTCAACATCCTCGCCTCGAGGATTTGTGGGAACAAGCTCGTCTTCAATCTTTGTCCCTGGGAGGCACTTTTAACACCTGCCAACCATAGCACTATCATCAGAAAAACATTTAGAGATTTATCTTCGGGCTGGTAATTATAAGAGATAATTTGTTTGGAGTATGGATAAAGTTGGTCTAGCATAAACAAACTAGAGGCTCAAATTACATGATGAACATCATTAACTATTGATTTAACCACTGCAGGTCTGCAGGCTCACTGACACTCTCTGAAGATGGCGGGTTCCTAAAAAGTCATGAGAGTTGAGGGATGCATTTCAGTGTATGCTCAGAGACATCATGGCTTTCATCATCTTCCTTCTTCTTCTGAGTAACCAACTCTAGGTAACCTCTGTTTAGAAGTCTGAACATTAAGCACAAAAGAATTATTTGATACTTCTCATGTTTTAGAATTGAAATTACTTTGCTTTAGGAAGATTTTTAGAGGGATGAAGTCAAAGGTAGCATGTGTCATAGAGCACATTAACCTTTCAAAGCCCTTTGAAAGACTTTGAAATATATTATTATCTTATCACAGCCTCATAATCACCCTGTGAAGTGGGCAGAGCTGGTGTTGGAATCCAATTTTATAAGAAAACTGACACGGGGAGGGAGCTAAGAGCTTAAGGGCCTCAACCAAACTACATTACGCATGGATTACCTCGTATATTCCACTATTCTTATCCCATTTTCCACAAAGAACACCAAACTGCAGAAGTAAAACAGGATACTAAGGAGGAAGAGAAAAATCTCATGGACAAATATATAGTAGATGTAAAAATAAATGCTAGAGTGCAGGAGTAGAATTCCTGGTTTGGATACCAGCTGTAGCCCATGCAGCTCTGTCATTAAGTAGTGATGTGGCTCGATGTGAAAAGTGACAGCCTCAAGCTCTCGGTTTAGAGCCATGCCTATAAACACAGGAAGTACTCAATAAATGACACTATTAATAGTCTTTAATGCTATCATGAATGATGATAACAAAAAGAATGGGGTTGGCAAGCACCACTGAGCCTTTCCCAAATATAAGTCTATATAATCGCTTACCAGAAATCCCTGGAACCAGGGATATAGTTTGTTACTGAATTTTTTTTTTTTTAATTTGAGAAAGGTAAAATGGTGCTTATAATGTATACTATGAATCAACCCAAGTGAAGCCTAGGGCAGCTCCCCTAAAGCACACAAATATATATGCATCAAAATATATAAAGAGGGATAAAGGCCATAAATATCACATCAGAGTTTGCTGTCAGAGTTTCAAAAGCCCTAGAGTTTTCGGAACTCTTTAGATTTCAAAATTGTAGATGGGGGACTACAGACCTGGATTAATTCTCAATAAAATGTTAACTATCCACCAGGCGCGGTGGCTCATGCCTGTAATCCCAGCTCTTTGGGAGGCCAAGGCAGGCAGATCACGAGGTCAGGAGTTTGAGACCAGTCTGGCCAACATAGTGAAACCCCGTCTCTAATAAAAATACAAAAAATTAGCCGGATGTGGTGGTGTACACCTGTAATCCCAGCTACTCGGGAGGGTGAGGCAGGAGAATTGGGTGAACCTGGGAGGTGGAGGTTGCAGCGAGCTGACCTGGGCGACAGTATGATACTCTGTTTCAAAAAAAAAAACAAAGTTAACTATCAAATATCCAGTGCTCAGTGAAAAAGAGCAGGGATCATTTCTAATTATATGTGGAGGTTAATTTAGAATTAGGCATTGAAGACCGGGCACGGTGGCTCACGCCTGTAATCCCAGCACTTTGGGAGGCCGAGGCAGGCGGATCACGAGGTCAGGAGATCGAGACCATCCTGGATAGCATGGTGAAACCCCATCTCTACTAAAAATACAATAAATTGGCCAGGCATGGTGGTGGGTGCCTGTAGTCCCAGCTACTTGGGAGGCTGAGGCAGGAGAATGGCGTGAACCCGGGAGGTGGAGCTTGCAGTGAGCTGAGATCGTGCCTCTGCACTCCAGCCTGGGTGACAGAGCAAAACTCCGTTTCAAAAAAAAAAAAAAAAAAGATTTAGGCATTGAAGGGTCATCTGGCTGAGCCCCAACACGAGTCAATTCAAAGAGAGCCAAAAGGCATTAAAATAAAATTGTATTAATATGAACTCTACTAATTAATACAAATGGTGGATTGTTTGAAATTTGCATTTGCTTTCTCAATGAAAAAACATCTATTGGTTCTCAAATAATGCAAGACAAATGTTTTCCTTGCTTAAGAATAAGAACCCTTTATATTTAATTAAACATTTTTATAATTAAAACATAAATTTTAATATTTAATTAGAATTCCCTCTTAGCTAGTGATCGAGGTAGATAACCAAAATTCCTCTAGTTATCAGGCATCTGTTGGCTGATTGAAGTTATATGTTTCTAAAAGTTAGAAAACTAATTTTGTTTTTTAAATAATCACAAATTCACATCTCACTATTGAGATGGTTTCTCCTAGACACTCTTACATATTGATTTCTCCTACACTTATTTAAATTAGTGATGCTTGAACCCCACATCAAATGAACTCTTTCCTAGAGATAGGGCCACATTAAGATTTCAAAGCTGATTTCTTGTCAAGATTTAAGGGTGAAGAATACACTCACAAAAATTTTAAAATAATCTATGTGTAGGAACCCAAAAATTCCATTAAGTATAATACATTTGCTAATCATATACAAATATGGCCTATAAATGCACTGTGGTGTAAGTAGTACTCATTTCCCCATCAGCTGAGTTTTTAATTTAAATACACTGACAGAATTAGTTCTCAACTATCTCAAGACAACTGTTTTTCTTTATGTGATTTTTCTCTAACCAAATTATTGTAGTTGGCATCCCTCTTGAAGTTATCAAGATATATTTGCCATAACCCAAAGACATGTGTCATGGAATAGATGGCAACTAACAGTATCAACTGATAGATTCATGAAACAGAATACAGAGCCCAGAAAGCATATCTAGGAATTTAATATACTGTGGAGTCCTAATTAGGGAAAAGGAGTCAGGCTGGTGGGACCAGGGGAAAGCAAAGAGATAAAGCAAATAAGCTAGGAATCAGCCTTTCTTCATGGTCCAGAACATACAAACAAAAAGAAGAAGCAGAAAAGCTATAGGTCTGCTTTTCTTTATGGGCCAGGACATATGGCCCTCCTGCGAAGGTAACTCACATACCTCACAAACTTCCTGCTTACCATCAAACGCCTCCATTTATCAAAACACCTCAGCTGACAGAAGAATGCAAGTTAGCTCCCCCTACCTTGGTGTTATCCATCAGGCTGAGAACAATCCTATAAAATCTCCAGCAAGCCTTTGTCTCCTTGCAGTCAGCTTCCCGCAAGCTTATTTGCCTGTTGCCTCCTTGCAACACATTTTCCTACGTTCTCTACTAAATCTGCCTTTCTCTACCTACAGCTGTCTTGGTAAATTCTTGTACTCCCATGCCACTGGCCCAGATAGTCGTGGCTCACCCACAACATATATGACAGGTTGGTGTTTCAAATTCACCAATCTGGCTGTTTTGACTAATAAAATGTTAACAACATAATTGGTATACATCTGAAGAAAGAATGCTAGAATTAAATTTCAGATGAATTAGAGATCTAAACGTAAAAATGTTAAATAATAAACTATTTTAAGGGAATCAGGAGGATTACATAATCCTGTACCTGGCAGAGCTTATTAAAAACACCAAAAAATTCAAAGACTGTGAAAGAAAAGAGACATACTTGACTTTAAGAAATTAATACATTTTTAAACTATATGTTAACATATCATAAAGCCAAAAGATAAATGATGGACTAGGAAAATTATCTGCAGTACTTATGATAAACAAATATTAATCCTTAACATACATAACTTTAAAAAAAATCAATTAGAAGAAAGTGAGGCTGGGCATGGTGGCTCGTGTCTGTTATCCCAACACTTTGAGATGTTGAGAAGGGAGGATTACCTGAACCCAGGAGTTCCAGACCCAGCCTGGGCAACATAGTGAGACCTTGTCTAGACAAAAAAGATCAAGAAAATTAGCTAGGTGTGGTGGCATGTGCCTGTTGTCCAAGCTACTTGGGAGGCTGAGGTAGGAGCATTACTTGAGCCCAGGAGGTCAAGGCTATAGCAAGCCAAGATTGTGCCATAGCACTCCAGCCTGGGTGATAAGGTGAAACCTATCTCAAAAAAAAAAGAAAGAAAGAAAAGAAAAAGAACAAAAGGCAAGCAATCCAATTGAAAAATATGCAAAAGACATAAACATGCAACTGAGAGAAGTAAAAGCAAATAGTCAATGAACATATGAAAAAAGGTTCAATCTCATGAGTAAATCAAGAAAAAACCAATTAAACACAAATGAGATACCATTTTTACTATTATACATCTAAGATTTTAAAGGGAGAAAAAGGTCTAGAGCTGCTAAGGATACAGGAAAACCTCTCAAGTTGATAATAGTGAGAGTCATATGGTTTGGCTGTGTCCCCACCCAAATCTCATCTTGAATTGTAGTTCCCATAATCCCCACATGTCGTGGGAGGGACCCAGTGGCAGTTTAATTGAATCACGAGGTCGGTTACCTCCATGCTGTTCTTGTGATAGTGAGTTCTCATGAGATCTGATGGTTTTATAAGGGGCTTCCCCCTTTGCTTGGCTCTTATTTTTCTCCTTCCTGCTGCCATGTGAAGAAGGACGTGTTTGCCTTCCCTTCTGCTATGATTATAAGTTTCTTGAGGACTTCCCAGCCATGTGGAACTGTAAGTCAATTAAACCTCTTTCCTTTATAAATTACCCAGCCTTGGGCATTTCTCTATAGCAGCATGAGAATGGACTAATACAGAGAGCTACAACAAAATTTTGGAAAATAATCTGACACTATTAATATTAAAAATAAGCATAGCATAAGGATCAACAATTCTATAGTTTTGAGAAGCTAGTCCATGAAATAAAGAGAATACTATGTAGAGATATACACGTGAGAATAGTTAATGTAGCATTGTTCATGGTAGCAAAAATTGGAAATAGTCTGACCGTCCCTCTATGGGGAACAGTCCCATAGAGGGACAGTCATGTCCCAACCAATCATAGCAAAGAATATCATGCTAATATTAAATGACCGTCCCTCTTGGGGGAACAGTCCCATAGAGGGACAGTCATGTCCCAACCAATCATAGCAAAGAATATCATGTTAATATTAAAAGATTGATATAAATATTGATCTTATTTGACATACTGTTAATAGGAAAAAGAAAATTCCAGAATAATGTGTATACTATGATTCTATTGCTAACATTGATATAATTACATATTCCATACTTCCATATATTTATTTCCATAAGTATGTATATATGTCTGTATGCAGTTGTGTAAACACAGAATTTGTTAACTTTAGTTACCTTGGGGGAAGGTAGTTGAGGGTGTAAGAGTGCAGGTCAATTTACTAAATATTTCTTCATATATTTTGCATCATTTTTCTTAATAAAACAAGCTAGCATTCTTTTTGCAATTTAAAAACAGATAAAGGGAAATGAGAGAATAGTAAAACAAACTATGAGGTTGTCTTTGTTTTATATTGTAAAGAATCTGGATAATATGCTCAAGTTTGTCTAAGTGCACTAATAAACACTAGTGGTTGAGAGTTAACTGAGGCGCCTTCAGCAACTCATTTGTTAAACAGTCAGTTCCTTCTGAACGAAATGCAAGTCATTATCTACCCACACAAGAAAAAACTCTGCAGATGCGTCTCCTATGTCAAGTTCAGAGGCTGTGTTATTATAATCATTTATTCTGTTGGCAAATACTCTTGTAAGATTTAAATTAGACAAACCAAACTTTCCAAGTTCAAAGTGATAAAGGGAATTAAAGCACTAGATGAGTGACTAGGGAGAACTCCTTCCAGAAGAGAGAGTGGACACAGAAGCCTTCCACAGTAGAGAGAGGCCTCACTGGTGATAGGCTGGAGAGCAAAGGGTCCCAGGGACTTGGGGATTAAATAGATACAGGTTTTTCTACCCCAAGGGCGGGGCTGTCTACTTCTGACTCATTTCTACACCTCTCCACAGCTGCCTCCTACCATCCCTCTAGTATACACAGCCTTACATCAAAGCAACCCACACACCCTTCCTACTCTAAACCTTGGAGGTGGGGCAGAATATGAACTTGCTGAGACTGTTAGTTTACAAAGGCATACCCTTCTATCACTTGCTGAGTTCCCACATGTTCCCCACACAATGGGTAATCTCTCTTTTCCCTTCCCTATCCGACTCCTACCCCTACTCTGAGCCCCTGTTTGTTTAATCGTCCTTGAGAAAGAAGCCCCGGCCCTTAAGTCTCATCCCAGGGGAGCTTGCAGCTCTCACCAGGGCTGTGCCTCACCCAGCTGCTGGACTCCATACCAGTCTATGTGGTGCCTTCTCTGCAGGTAGCAGACCAAAGGATGCTGAACACCACTCTATGCCTCGATGAACATCTTTATTTGGCTTATTAAAGCTGGGACAGCTTCTCCTAGACAAGGTTGTTCTCTAGGAGAAGGCCCAAGGTCAAGCCCTAGACTTTCCCCACCAAGCCTTACCATGACCATACATTTATTGCTTTAACAAGCCCTGGAAAGTTACACTTTCCAGCAAAGAGGGGAGAAAACAGGAGTAGGCACCCAATGAAACCACCTTTGCAAAATTATCACAGAAAATTATGACAGTGAAAGAGGTCTGATTTAACCAACCTCCACTGCCTTTGGCCTTCAAACTGCCCTTAATTATTCCTCGGTTTAGGCCAAGCTAACTTTGGGGGACATTAAGTTTATAGTTTAAATAATAACAGCCCTTCCCTAAAATTCAGCTGCCGTTGTAAAGCTAATGAAAGGCTACCAGGCTAGGATGAGAGGAATTTGAATTCTGCTGAGGTGTAGACATAAACAATTGCCAACCCTCATGCCAGAGATCACAAGACGTACAACTTCCCCCATCAATCCTACAGATAACATCACTATTGCAGAATCTAAGATTGGCCTTTTAGGATGTCTTTTCAGGTTTTCTGCAAGTCTGATGACTGATGACTCCACCTGGACCTGCCAACCACTCCTGTGGCCCCACTCATAAGTGACTCAGCATGTTTGATGTCCCACACCTCTATGATTGCACCCCCAACCAATCAGTAGCAAGCACCCATTGCCTAGTACCTCCCCCTTCCCCCAAACTATCCTTGAGAAACCCTAGCTTCTGATTTTGGTAAAGGCTGATTTGAGTAACAGTAAAACTCTGATCTCCCGTTTAGCCAGCTCTACATGTGTAAATAAAACTCTTTCTCTATTGTAGTTCCCCTGCTTTGATAAATTGGCTCTATCTGGGCAGTGGGCAAAGAAGAACCCACTGGACAGTCACACTATTGCTTCTGTCTGCCCAGGACCTTTTCTCTTTTGTTAACTCATCCCTCTCTCCGACCACAAGGATGGGCATGTGATTCAAGCTGCACTAACCATAGTATTTCACCCTCACTTCCCCTGGTGACAGGTAAAGGGAATAGCCTGTGTCCCTACAGGCATCAGTCAGTGTCCTGAGCTTGAAGAGAGAAGCCCTTTTCTCTGATGATGAGACTTTGCTATGTGCATCTAGAGCTGCTGACAGTCCCTGTGCTCAGAAGGGGAGAATAAGGCCAACCCAGAGGGCAGCAGGATGTGATATTGTGAAGTATGTGTGGTCTTTGTCCCATCTTCTGGCAAAAGCTCCTAAAACCCGTGGACTCTCCAGAGGGATAAGACTGTCTTATCTCTCTGAAGATAAGATGACTGATGACTGTTGGCTGGGGGCCCCTAAATAGCTTCAGGATTGGAACTGGTCACTGGAAAGATCAGGGCATTATTAGAGGCTTGGGACTTTCAGCCTCACCCCCCAACCTCGGGAGAAGGCAGGCAGGCTGAAGCTTGAATTAATCATCAATTGCCAAAGATGTAATCAGTCATGCCTATGTAATGAAGCCTCCATAAAAACCCCAAAGAGCGGCCGGGCGCGGTGGCTCACGCCTGTAATCCCAGCACTTTGGGAGGCCGAGGCGGGTGGATCATGAGGTCAGGAGATCGAGACCATCCTGGCTAACAAGGTGAAACCCCGTCTCTACTAAAAATACAAAAAATTAGCCGGGCGCGGTGGCGGGCGCCTGTAGTCCCAGCTACTGGGGAGGCTGAGGCAGGAGAATGGCGTGAACCCGGGAAGCGGAGCTTGCAGTGAGCCGAGATTGCGCCACTGCAGTCCGCAGTCCGGCCTGGGCAACAGAGCGAGACTCCGTCTCAAAAAAAAAAAAAAAAAAAAAAAAAAAAAACCCCAAAGAGCAGGATTTGGGGAGCTTCGGGATAGCCGAACACACAGAGGCTCCTGGTGACGTTGCATGGGTGGAGGCTCATAGGAGCTCACACCCCTTCTCACATGCCTTGCCCTGTGCATCTCTTCCATGTGGCTGTTCATCCACATCCTTTGTAGCGTCCTTTATAATAAATGGGTAAATGTAAGTGTTTCAGTTCTACGAGCCATTGTAGCAAATTAATTGAACCCAAGGAAGCGGTCATGGGAACCCCAATTTATGCCCAGTGGGTCAGAAGTTCCAGAAGCCCAGACTTTTGACTGGAACCTGAAGTAGGAGGTGGTCTTGTAGGACTGTGTCCTTAACTTGAGGGATCTGCTGCTAACTCAGGCTAGATGAATAGGCTTGTGCAACTCCCAGCTGGTGTCTGCTGGAGAAGGGTTTGATTGGTGTGCAGGGAAATACCGCCACGCATCTGGTGTGTCAGAGGTGTTGTGGTGTCTAAGAGGTAGAAGAGAGTTCACAGTTTTGTAATATGAGCTAGTGAAACCCTCCCATTAAAAGAAAATTCTTTTAACGAGAATCAGTGGGTTTTCTGTCTTTAAAACCAGAGTTTTAACTTTAACTTTTGCATTTAACTACTGCAAAAGTTACTGTTTGTTGAGCCTTCAATGTGCCAGGAATTGTACTATATTCTTTAAACACATGGTCTCATTTTGATTTTATGTTCCATGATA
Organism: Homo sapiens; assembly: GCF_000001405.40. Taxonomy (NCBI): domain Eukaryota; kingdom Metazoa; phylum Chordata; class Mammalia; order Primates; family Hominidae; genus Homo; species Homo sapiens. Next base: position 76,747,458 of record NC_000009.12, read on the forward strand.
ATCCTATTCTTTCCTTAATTTTGTAAGTGAGGAGACTGAGCCTCAGAGGGGACAATGTGCCTAAGGTCACACGAGGTCAGAGTAAGAGCCTCAATTCAAACTCGGTTCTGGTGGACCCCAAAGCCTCCAGCCACTACTTCTGTAACTGAGTTGGTTCCTGTATGTGCTAGGACAACTTCTTTTAGGGAAGAAAATCAACTGGTCCTCTTAAGAAATGGATACTTGAAGAAGTTCTTTAAGCAGTACTGCTTAAGGATGACAACAAATCCCACTGTGGCAGTTCTTCTGAGTACAACTCTGTCTTCCTTAACACGCTCACTCCTCCTCCATTCTCCACTTCTTTTTTTTTTTTTTTGGAGAAGAAGTCTTGCTCTGTCGCCCAGGCTGGAGTGCATTGGAGCAATCTTGGCTCACTGCAACCTCCGTCTCCCGGGTTCAAGCAATTCTCCCGCCTCAGCCTCCTGAGTAGCTGGGATTACAGGTGCAGGCCACCATGATGGCTAATTTTTGTATTTTTTTTAGTAGAGACGGGGTTTCACCATCTTGGCCAGGCTGGTTTCAAACTCCCGACCTCATGATCCACCCATCTCGGCCTCCCAAAGTGCTGAGATTACAGGCGTGAGCCAACGTGCCCGGCCCACTTCTCTTATACTAGGAATTCTGGTCAAAGGTCAGACATTTTCTGTCACCAAGAAGGCCTGCTTTCCCTAACAGAGTAAGAATGAATACTGATATTTGAGGCAGTAGATAAATAAGCTTTGGGGAGAAAAGATAGTTCAAATGCAAAATCCTTTATTTTTTCAACCAAATGTTGAGGTTCTATCATGTTTGCAAATCAAGCCAGGTTCTCAGAATACAAAGCTGAAGACAAGGTCCCTGCCTGCTAAGACCCTCAGATTGTCTGGAGGAGACTGGCCGGAAAGACAACCAGGCCAGCTAATGGGATGCAGTTATGACCAGAGGAGAGGCACCAAATTCTGAACGGGACATCTTTAGAGAAAATGTGGATTAGTAACTGCTATGGCTGAGGGTGGAGGAAAGATTGGGGAGTGACTGTTAATGGGTTTTGGGGGTAATAAAATGTTTTAAAATTAGATTATGGAGATGGTGGCACAGGTCTATAAATACACTAAAAACCATTGGACTGTATAATTTTAAAAGGTGAACTTTATGGCACATAAATGATATCTCCATAAAACTTGCAGAAGCAATTTGACTTGGAGCGTCAGTGGAGGCGTCTTAAATCTGGATGACTGAACTGCATTAGAAGAGGTGAGTGGGTCCAGCTTGGTGAAGAAGTAGGGAAAGGCATTTCAGGTGGATGGAATAGTGGCATGCAACAAGGCACAGACATGGGAAAGAGCTGCAGAATGAAACACCATACATCGTAGGAGCTGCCCACGGTTCAGTACAGTGGGTGCAGGGGTATGTGCTGAGTGGAGGGAGGTGAACCTAGAATTAATACGAGTGAGGCGGAGCAGGGACCCCTCTTAAGGGCTTGCCACCCACTCCCGACCTCCGTAAGCAAGGAAATAAAGGAAAATCTTGAGTTCCTTCAAGGGACATTCTAGGCACCTAGGTAGCCCTGAGAAGAAAATGAGCAACCTAATAGTCAGAAGGTAATAATGGCTTAAAACAACAGCCAAAGAAGTTAGGATTACAAGACGTCGGTTCCATGTAGAAACTAAAGATTACACTGTAACATATACCACTGAGTTGTTTTTCAGAAATCTGGCCTCCCACCAAGTGGAAAATGCCATCAGCTGGTACAAAGACCTCAGATAAGGGCAAAACTGAGGGCTGAACTCTGACTGCAGTTCTTTGTTCTAAATTTCTTCCTAAGGGTCCTGGAGAAAGTCAGTCCCAAAGTGCAGACGTTAACATTCCTTTCTTCTCACCCCCAAGTTTTCAGACAAAGCCCTGCTTCCTTAACCAACTGCAAATCAGAGAATCTTTGAATCCATCTATGACCTGTAAGCCCCTCACTTCAAGGTATTCTGTCTTTTTCAGCCAAACCAGTGTATAACCTCCATGTACTGATTTGTAGTTTTGCCTGTAACTTCTGATTTTCTGAAATTTACTCCTTCCTTTAAAAACCCTTGCGTGTAACCGTTAGAGAGGTGAGGTCTTAAGTGTGAGCTTCCCAGCTGTCCTTGCTTGGCACCCTGCAAATAAATGCCCTCCTTTCTCTTGCTGCAAAACCTCAATGTAGATGTTTGACTTTACTGCGTCAGGTGAGCAGACCCCAGTTTGGTTTGTAACACAAGGATCAGAAGTCAGTACCCTCATTTGCCAAGCAGGAAAGTACCACTTTAACTGGAAATGTATGGAGAGCCACAGAAGGATTTTAAGAAGGGAACAGGGCATGACAGATTTGCGTTTCAGTGTGAAAGGGCAGACTGGAAATGATTTAGATTCAAGATCAGAATCGCTTTCTGATCTTGAAATAGTATTTGCTCTGACCCTGGTTCCTGACACAGTATTCCTACATCCCTTAGAATTTCCCGGGTGATAGGAGCGTCTTTTTGTTCTAATGAGATGACACTTGGTGGGCTTCTGGGTGGGCTTCCGTGTTGAAGAACACATCCATGTGTCAGGAGGGTGGTGCATTCCAACACCAAAGACACAGAAGCTCCTATGCTCAGGACCCTTCTCGACCCCTAGGTACCTCTTCATCTGTATTCTTTGTCATATCTTCTATTATATATTAGTAATAAACCAATAAGTGTAAATGTTTCCCTGAGTTCTGTGAGCTGTTCTAGCAAATTATTGAACCAGAAGAGAGGGTCTTGGGAACCTCTGATTTATAGCCAGTTTATCAGAAGCACAGGTGACAACCCAGACTTGTGATTGGCATGGAAGTTGGGGCAGTCTTGTGAGACCAAGCCAATGAGGCTTGCACTCATTCCAGGTAAACAGTGTCTGAATTTAATTGAATTACAGAACACCCAATTGTTGTAGCAGAGAATTGCTTGGTGTGGGAAAAAAACACCCCACACATTTGGTGGCCAGAAGTACAGAGGAGAGGAGAAAATTAGTTTTCCTATGCATAGTCAATATCTCCCTGTCAGGGCCACAGCTTGCAGGGCCTGAAATCCAGTTCACAATCCCAGCCAAGATGCATTTACAAAGTCAGTTTTTGCGGTGGGGCACTGTGAACTGAAGGAAAGAGTCCCTCATTTGCACAAGAGTCCATGGGCTAGTCTTGATTGCTATGCTCTGGGTAAGACAAAAGGAGGTACTGAACTAAGGCAGTCGCAGTGGGAGCAGAGAGAAGGTGACATGCTCACATTTGCCTTGTTGAGTTTGAGGCGCTTGTATGAAAACCAAGAGAGCTGTATGCCATTCCTTGAAAGGTATCCTTATGTGTCTAGAAATCAATGAAAGGTCAGGCTTACAAATATAATTGGGAAGTTGCTAATGCAAACCTAAAGGATCGTTTGTGGGAATGTGGACTGGGATTGAGACTCTGTAGCAAAAGGCATGGGAATTCACTGTTATTTATTGAACCAGACTAGGAGACAAGTATAAAGATTAAGGAAAGAAATGATTAATGTTCAACAGAAGGCTCCTGCTGTATCAATTTGCCAAGCTTTTTGGCTCAACATATTAGCCCACCTAAATCTAGACCCGTAACATACGCATAACGCACAAGAAGTTGAACTTCCTTTTTGCCTCACAAATAGCCTCATCTAATGCACTCTGCTAAGCAGTCTGGATGTAAACAGCTGTTCTTTGCAAGAATGCTAGATGCTCTTCACTGACAGATGGCAGAAGTTCCCTAGGGGACACAGACACACACACACACACACACAGACACACACACACACACAGAAATCTTAGTAGGGTCAATAACATTGATATTCATCAATGAAGTTACTGAAATTTAGAGTCAGTGAAAGGCCTGGAATTAAAAGCATACTTAAGTTAGTGTGTCTTCTAGGCTTAATGCCAGCACAGATATTATTATTTTGCATACTTGCTATGAACAAAAACACTTTCCATTTTATATTTCACTTTTAAGAGTCAGAGATCATTTGCAACAGTTAAATCCTTAAATGCTTGTCCTATATACCTCTGATTTCCTTCTGCCCTTGTCACAGGAAATAGAAGGCCTTTAAATTTGTATCTTCGTGGGAAATGTACCAGGCAAATCCATACTGAAATATGGCAGAATAGCTCTGTTTGGTTTGTTTAAATCAATATATTTGGAAAAAAACCTCTCACCGAAAATACTACTAGAAACTCTTACTGATCCCTCCAACCTCCAGTCAAAATGAATAACTAAATAGATTTGGTTAGACAGTTATTGTGATAGAAAAGAAAGGATAGGGCTATTTAGATTACATTCTTTACCAAAGTCTAAGTCAGAAAACTAGTGGTGGTTTGGAAGCAGTGGATTTTGTTCCTATCAAATTTAAGTGTGGAGAACTATCAAATTTGGATCTCATGAAAAGCCATGACATCATTTAGGAGCATCCACTGAAATTTCTTCTCCCCAAGACAGATAGATTAGTTAGGCTCTTCATAGACTCATATAACTCTAAAATTAAAATGAAAGAAAAATCAAATATCAGGATTAGATGGGCCTTAAAAGCTATTTAGATCAACGACTGACTCAATTCCTGTTTTTTTTTTGGTTTTTTTTTTTTTTTTTTGAGACGGAGTCTCACTCTGTCGCCCAGGCTGGAGTGCAATGGTGCAATCTCGGCTCACTGCAAACTCCGCCTCCTGGGTTCACGCCATTCTCCTGCCTCAGCCTCCCAAGTAGCTGGGACTACAGGTGCCCGCCACCACACCTGGCTAATTTTTTGTATTTTTAGTAGAGACGGGGTTTCACCGTGTTAGCCAGGATGGTCGCGATCTCCTGACCTCGTGATCCACCTGCCTCGGCCTCCCAAAGTGCTGGGATTACAGGCGTGAGCCACCGCGCCCGGCAACTCACTCAATTCTTAAATGCCTTATACCTCACTCTTGCAGGCAGTTACAAAGCCGGGGATTGAACACTTCTACAGACGGGAAGCTCATGACCACATGAGATGTTCATTCCATCTTTGGATAGGATATTAGAAAGTTTTTTTCCTTATATGGAAGTAAAATTTTCTCCTTAACCTTTTTTCTATAAGCTTTCAGTCTCCTGAATAGAAGGTTAATAATAACAGCAAATATTTCAGCACTTATAATACAGCAGGCAACGCTCTGAGCATATCACAGGGATTAATTTATCAATTCCTCAAAATAATCATTTTGGACAGGTTAATAATGGTATTAATATCATTCCCCAATCTACATATAGAAGACTGGGGTGCAGAGAAGTTAAGCAAGACTACGTGCTTTAAAAATATTTGATCCAGCAGTTGGTTAGGGATACTGACTCCAGAGCCCAAGTTCTACCCTTGAATAACCCAAAGATTGGGTAGTCCAATCCTTGAGAGCATTTGAAAAGAGTCATTGGGCTGCCCTCTGATAATTCTAATAGAAAAAGAAAACTATTGCTTTTAACCTCATCTATTAATGAGATATTTAAACTATGTATTAACTCTAAAGAAAGTATTACTTTTTCAAAGATACACTGTTTTGTTTTTGTTTGGAGACAGGGTCTTGCTCTGTCACCTAGGCTAGAGTGCAGTGGTGTGATCACAACTTACTAGAGTCTCCACCTCCTGGGCTCAATGGATCCTTCTGCCTCAGCCCCTTGAGTAGCTAGGACCACAGGCAAGAGCTACCATGCCTGGCTAATTTTTGTATTTTTTGTGGAAATGGAGTCTCATTATGTTGCCCAGGTTGGTCTCAAACTTCTAGATTCAAGTGAGTCCTGCCTCAACCTCCCAAAGTACTGGGATTACAAGTGTGAGCCACTGTGCCCTCCAAAAATATGTTTTAAGCATATTTATTACTAAAGGATGCAATTTATATGAAACTTACAATATGACATTAGAACTGAGAGCCATCTGCTTATGTAGGCCTGTGTTTTCTACTGCAACAAAATTTTTAAAAAGCTCTTGTTCTCTGTCAGGAGTAATAAGGAACCTTGTGAAACAGATGACCTGTGGGTTCTCCATTCTGGATGAATGTTACAACACCTGAGGGTGCATTTTGAAAAATGACCCCCAGGCCTGCCAGTGCTCACCTCTCCCCTGAGATTCTGGTCCAGATAATCAGGAATAGGGCCACGCTTCAGTAGTTTTTCAAAGTTGCCTAAGTGCCAGCACTTTGGGAGGCCGAGGCGGGCAGATCACGAGGTCAGGAGATCGTGACCATCCTGGCTAACATGGTGAAACCCCGTCTATACTAAAAGAAATACAAAAAAATTAGCTGGGCGTGGTGGCGGGCACCTGTAGTCCCAGCTACTCGGGAGGCTGAGGCAGGAGAATGGCGTGAACCCAGGAGACGGAGCTTGCAGTGAGCTGAGATTGAGCCACTGCACTCCAGCCTGGGTGACTGAGCAAGACTCTGTCTCAGAAAAAAAAAAAAAAAAGTTGCCTAAGTGATTCCACCATACAGGCAGGGCTGAGAACCATGGATCTAGTGACTAGACATGGTTCAGATTGCAAACCTGTAAAAGGCCACATGGCTAGTAGGAGGCAAAAGATGAGACTGAGACTGGAACTCAAGTTTTATGACTTAATAATCTGGAATTTTTTCCAATGCGTGTTATTGTCAGCATCTCTTCTTTACACCTAGTCCCTTAAAAATAAAAAAAATAGCCCTTTGCAGTGAAAAGGATGCACATGTGAGTGAACATAGAGAAAAGCTAGTTTTAAGGCTGCTTCAGGTTTGAACTACTCAGAACCTGCTAATTTGTGGGAGTGGGGGTGGGGTGGGGAAGCAGAATAACAGATCTATCTCTGCTGTGTTAGGACTTCCCCTCCTTGATTTTGCCGTCTGACACATAAATTAGTATGTCCCAGGACAGCCCAACTTCACTAACTTCACAGAAACATTCTATCATGTCTTAGGTCCTAATGAATCATCTATCCATGAACGTCCCTTTTTATATGGGCACGCATGAACATCATTTTCTAAGGAGTGCCTTCGGGTGGTTCTTACCTTAATTCAACTCCTTGCTGAGTTTTACCGGCCAAACACTTCCTGTCTTTCTTTTGAATGCTTGTGGAGCTATGGTGGCAGTTTGTACACTTGCTTTGCATTTGACCAGTTAGGTAGGACGTTTCCTAAGTCCATCACCTTAGCTCTTAAAATTTCATTAAAACTTTATATCCTTCCGGCCAGGCATGGTGGCTCACGTCTGTAAACCCAGCACTTTGGGAGGCCAAGGCGGGTAGATCACGAGATCAAGAGATGGAGACCATCCTGGCCAATATGGTGAAACCCTGTCTCTACTAAAAAATACAAAAATTAGCTGGGCATGTTGGCACACTGCTGTAGTCCCAGCTACTTGGGAGGCTGAGGCAGGAGAATCGCTTGAACCCGGGAGGCGGAGGTTGCAGTGAGCCGAGATTGTGGCACTGCACTCCAGCCTGGTGACAGAGTGAGACTCGGTCTCAAAAAAAAAAAAAAAAAAAAAAAACCCAAAAAAACAAAAGCAAAAACAAAAAAAACTTTTTATGGTTCCTTATCGCTCTTTTTAATATCATTACTAATTTATCTTTTTTATTCATTCGACGATTAAACAGATACTTATTGGAGGACTTCTGTATTCCCAAACCCTGATTTATTTTTCTTTAAGGTGCTTTCTCAAAACATGAAATCACACTGTATATTTAATTGTTTATGTGTTTGCTATTCGTCTCCCCTGCCCCCAGCACAGCAACAGGGACTTTATCACGTTCACACCATATCTTTGATACCTAAAGCACTGGCTCATTCACGGTAGATGGATACTTACTGAATGAGTGAAGAAATAAACAAATGAGTAAACGAATGAAAAAAAGATAAACCGATGGAGAGAGAGAATGAGGGAGGGAGGAATGGATGGCTGGATGGGTGGTTAAGTGAACACCATGTGCCACTCTGGGGATATAAAAAAAAATACTCAGCTTCCTGCCCTAAAGAATTTGTGGCTAAGCATTCAAGAAGCTACACTGTCTAGTGGGGGTGTGGACAAAGAACGCTGGGAGGAGAGGGCAGGAATCTAGAAGCCTGCCTTGAGGAGTCAGGGAAGGCATTCAAGGGGCAAGAAGGGGTCTTATTAAAATGCAGATTCTGATTCAGATACCTCGGGGAGAATCTGGATTTCTCACAAGCTTCCAGGTAACGCTCAATCTGCTGCTGACCATACTTTGTTTTTGTTTCTGTTTTGAGTCAGGGTCTCACTTTGTCACCCCAGGCTGGAGTGCAGTGACGCAATCTCGGCTCACTGCAGGTCGACTTCCCTAGTTCAAACGATTGTCTCGCTTCAGCCCGCCAAGTAGCTGAGACCACAGGTGCACGCCACCACGCCCCGGTAAATTTTTGCATTTTTAGTAGAGACAAGGTTTTGCCATGTTGTCCAGGCTGATCTTGAACTCCTGAGCTTAAGTGATCCACCTGCCTCGGCCTCCCAAAGTGCTGGGACTATAGGCGTGAGCCACCGCGCCTGGCCAGGGGATCATACTTTGAGGAGCGAAACTTTCAAATAATTTCCTGGTGGTCCTTCCCTTTCACCTCCTACCAACCACCAGCTTTGGCTACTAAGAAAGTGAAAGTAGATGAAAAATATTTAAAATTAACAAACCTCAGCTCTTCACAGAGCCATTTTGATGAATATCTGAAAATCCCCCAACTAATGAGAGGTCATGTAAGTGCATATGTCAAAAGGAACTGCTTTTTTAAGATAAAAAATTACTCTTGATTTAATGTATTCCACATTTATCAGTGACTTACCCTAACGTCTCTTCTAATCTGCATGAAAACGTCTCTGTATATCCTGGATCACTTACGGCACCCAGGAACTGTGAAGCTGGCCTAAACCAGTCCCTGGCAGCTCTCCTCTTTGAATTGGTAAACCCCTGGGAGCTGCCTGTATGGCTCACTGGCCAGATGGCGCTGCTTCCCCATTCTTTCCAGAGTTGCATGGCTGTCGCAACTAGGAACCAGGCGCTGGCTTTCCATCCTAACATTTGAATGCTTCCTCCATCAGAACAGCTGCATTCTCTTTGCCAACACATGTGTTTTTCAAAATCTCATTAGACATCTAACATTTTCAGCCAGATTGTGTCCTGAAGGCACTGTGGCCTCCCAGGAGGATTCCCTGAGTCTGGAAAAGGTACTAGGATGAGGAAAAGGCAGGTTATTAAAAAGTGGGAAACAGAGGACCTGCTTCAAGTCTGCAAACCTTTGTCATGGAAGCAAAATGGATGTTTCACGCCAAGTGTGAGAAAGCCTCCATCACCAGGGACAGGGGGGTGCCTTGATGCTTGATGCTGTTCCCCACCCACCCTGCCCGTGCCCTGCCCCCCCGTGATACTTAAACTGCAGTATTTGCAGCATTTTTGGGGGGCTGGAATAGCCAATGCAAGCAAAGTGTTTAATCAGTATTAATCTCCCAGAATGTCACTGTTACCAGCTATCAATCTGCATAAATTCTACTGCAAAACTTTAGGAAGAAATGCTATTCAGAGCAAATGATGCATCAAATTCAAACAGGCCATCAAGACTGCTAATGGATTTTAATAGCAGCTATTACAGCATAATAGTATTTTCCCAACAGCTGTTTGTTGATACAATTCTGCATTTACAGGACCTTTATATCCAATCCCAGGAGATGGCTCACCATTCATTTATAATCATTTGGTTCCACCTACAAACAAATGCTACTTTATTTGCATTTGGAGATTGTGAATGGTCTGCAGATCTGACCTACTCCCACCTCATTCAATGAAACCAGCAGCGAATATTACAAGCTAGATTAATTAGTTAATATTTAGATGTACTAACTACTGCCAGAAAAATACTGTCAACTGGCAAACTCAAAGAGAAGCTTTTTTTGATTGCTTGGCTGCATTCTGAGTCATGTTAGTTTTGAAAACTGCTTTTTACTCGTATGTAAATGAGTAAAGGGCCTAAACTAGGATTCAGACTGAAATTTCAGAAACTAAAGCATCTATAAACCATTCTAAGTTTTTCTGCTTGAGATGACTAATATTAGAGAATGCCAATAAATCACTGCCAGAGTGAAGGGCTCAACTGGTAATAATTGCGATAATAACTGAAGTGAGGAAGAATTTATTAATGAAGCTCAAAGCTTTGTTTCTTGTGGAATGGTCAAGAGATTACAACAGGCCAGGCATGGTGGCTCATACCTGTAACTCCAGCATTTTGGGAAGCAGAGGCAGGGAATCACTCGAGACCAGCCTGGGTAACATGGAGAAATCCCATCTCTACAAAAATTAGCTGTACATGGTGGCATGCATCTATAGTTCCAGTGACTCAGGAAGCTGAGGCAGGAGGATCCCTGGGCCCCACCCAAAAAAAGAGAGATTAGAATAGATCCCGAAAGTCTTAGTGCAGTTTTAAGCTTTAATGACTTCAGAAACATGCATACTAAAAACTTACATAAAACATCATTTGAAAGTTTGTTTTCATTCCTTTTATACTGATTTAGTTCTGTGAATTAAAAAATTTTTTAAATAATAATTTTTTCTTCTGGTTAACCTTTGCTATCTTCAATCAGGAGACTATAACAAAATAGAAAGTTCAAAATACATTATTCAAAACTTATAAAACTAATAGAGTAAAAGAGATGAAAATAACTAAACTTCCAAAAGCAGCGTTTTGTAAGCTTATAGTATTTCTATATCTGACAGTATTAACGCATAAAACTGCACTGAGGCTTTTGGGACCAACTGTGTAGAACTTAAATAAATGCAAACTTGGTGAAACTAAGAAGTAATGCTGAAGTCACCCTCCTGTCCAGCCATGGGTGGTATGGTTCTTAAAGGAATCTGCATGCATAACTCCTAGTATTTTCAGTCCAGGAGGTGCTGAGGGGTTTCCTTGCTTAGTGCTGCAGAGAGTTGCAGAAGAATCAAGTGGGAATAACAATGATAGGAAATAATTGCTCTGTTGAATCAGGGTGTCTGGTTGTTATATCTTTAAAAAAATTTTTTTTTTTTTTTTTTAGACAGAGTCTCACTGTCAGTTAGGATGGAGTGCAGCACCGTGATACTAGCTCACTGCAGTCTCAAGCCTCAAGGGCTGCTCCCGCCTCAGCCTCCTGAGTAGCTGGGACTACAGGCAAGCATCACAATGCCCAGATGAATCACGGTGTTTGGAAAGGATGCAGGCATTTTCTACCCCACAGAACTTTACAATCCATACAAGCATTTCTCTCTACATTATCACATTTAACCCTCAACACAATCTGGATAGGTGGATAAGAAGGCTGAAACCACAGGAAATTTTTGTGATGGGTCCAGGAAAAAAAAAATTACGGGTAGCAAATGGCTGTGAATTTAAAGTCAAAGCTTCTGATCCTTTTCTATTCCATGATCACCCTTGACCAGGGGAACTGGTCCAGGCAACGTAGTCTAGGAGGGGCTCAGGGGGTTCAGACAGGAGCAGATCAGAAGGTGGCAAATAGGGACAAGAACCTAAGGTCTGCTCTGCTCCAGTGCAAAGCAGGTGTTTGCTGGAGAAGCAGACTTCATACTGGAAGAAACAAGCCCCTTTTAGCTGGTGGCCACTGAGCTGACTGAGTTACAGTCCCCTCGAGGTAGAGTGTTCAGCCACAGAAGCCTTGCCTGCTCACCTCCCCGTCTGGGTCTCCCTCCCTGGAGACCACCATTTGAGGTGTAATGGAAATAGTGCATTTGATGCCTGCCTCTGTCACAGAGTTTTTGTGTGACTGTGAACTCATACTTACCTCTGATACAAACAGGAAGCAGGGAGATACTGGGTAGAAGAGGGCAGTTCCCTTACCCCACCCTCAATCCTGGAAACCCGTATCCCTAAATGGGAATAAGCATTCCTGTTTTCACACCCAAATGTTGCCTTTTGGCCCACCACGCCCTGCTATCCTGTGCCCACACAGACCCCAAACCCCAGGCTCCATGAGCAGATGAGCAGAAGAGCAGAGGGACAGCAGAAGAGCAGCGTGGCAGAGAAGGAGAGAAGAAAAGGAGTGTCTGAACATCGAGAGGACTTTGGCTGGGGTCATTTGGAGAGGAGAGTGGCTGAACTCCAGGGGAAGATCATCTTCCCACTCCATTCCCTTTCCAGCTCCCCATCCATCCTGCTGAAAGCCATCTTCGTCTGGCAATAAAATCCCCCACATTTACCATCTTTCAATTTATCCATGTGGCCTGATTCTTCCTGGATGCTGGACAAGAACCCAGGTACCAAGAGGGCACTGAGCTGGTTAACACTTAAGCCATCTGTGGACTGCAGAGTTAAAAGAGCACTGTAGCATGCCCACTGGGGCTTTGGGAGTCACAGGCACCCAGCCCTAGATGCTACCACGGGGCCGGAGCCCAGAAGCACTCGCCCTGGCTCCTGCACCTGCCCATCTGCGTGCTCCTCCTCCCATAAGGGGTTTGAGCACACAGCTGCCAAACAGATGAGCCACACCCCTGTCACACGTCCTGCGAGGGCAGTCAGGGAATTCTCCAGTTTCACTTCCTTTGTACACTAACATAATAATAGTTATCCCCTACAATTTAAATAAATTAGTTTAAAAAGCTGGTGCACTTGGCAAAGAGCTTGTCCATTGGCTCTAATCTGGCTCCTTGGTGTAGAAACAGGGCTGCCTTCCTCTTCCCTGGGTACCTGGCAGTTGGGGTCTGTTGATGGTACTGCAACCTGAGCACCCGGCACACAGCAGGCACTCCGTATATGTTTCTGAATGAATGGATGGATATCAAAACCATACTCACATTTTCTCCATCACACACCAGCTACTTCCCTGGTACCCTTTTGTCCATTACTGATGCTATAGGATATTATTTCTATCATTTTCTTTTCCTCATCACCTAGGGCAGATATTTTGGAGTCACCCTTGATATCACTGCTCCCCCATATCAGTACCAAAGATTCTTCTCTTTTTCTCTAATCTACTTTTTCCCTTCTTACTTTAATAATTCCAGGTCACATGCTTATGACTTGTATCCAAAACCATTAGAATAACCTCACTGCTCTTCCTGACATCTGTTTACCCTGCATTAGTCCACACTACATGCTGCATCCAGATTAATCATCCTAACTATGACCATGATTTTAGCCAAAAGCCCCCCAAAAGGAACAGGTATCACAGTATTCCACATCACAGCCACGTCCTACCTCTCCACCCTCATCTTCTATGTGTCCTTCTAGACTCACTCTACTTCAACCAAGCCGAAAACCCTGGCTCTCTACATGCATCTTAGATTTACTGCATTCATGCCTAGCAAGAAACCTGTACATGTCCAGACTCGGGCCGGGCGCGGTGACCTGTAATCCCAGCACTTTGGGAGGTGGAGGTGGGTGGATCACTTGAGGCCAGAAGTTCGAGACCAGCCTGGCCAACACTGCGAAACTCCATCTCTATTAAAAATACAAAAATTAGCCGGGTGCGGTGGCCCATGCCTGTAGTCCCAGCTACTTGGGAGGCTGAGGCACGAGAATTGCTTGAACCCAGGAGGCAGAGGTTGCGGTGAGCCGAGATCACACCACTGCACTCCGGCCTGGGTGACAGACTGAGACTCTGTCTCAAAAAAAAAAAAAAAAAAATACTCAACAGAGGTTTGCTGAATTTAATCCAACCAAATTTAATAGAATTGCCTGAATCTTTATGCTGAAAAATGAATCTGAATTAGAAGCCTCATTTGGGGAGTTTAAATCTACCTCATGCCTTTCTTCCTCCTCCACCATTGGTCCTGTCTTCTGTGAGATTGCTGCCCCATCTTTTTTTTTCTTGAGTCATAATACACAAACTGGTCAGAAGTGGAACACACCATCAAGGAAGGGGTGATGCATCTGTGAGGAACAGTCACCTATATTTGTGTAAGTCAGACAATTCTCATTTGATAAAATGGTGTCGACAAAAATTAATCATCTATATACCTCAAGTCTATGTTTAGGGGCCTTTAATCCCCAAATAACAAAAGACTTAGTCAATTTAATTTGTAAGAATTCTACTTTTGTAGACCTGAACTGGATACAATTTTATCTCTGGACATCAAAGCCCGGGGTCAAATGATTGCTTTTCTCTTTTGCTGGGAGTTTTTGTTGTCATGTTTTATACTTTAGACATTTTACTTTTGGTCACTAGGTGGCTCTGAATTTCCATTAGAAAGTGAAAGTCTTTAGAAAACACTGGAAAACATACATAATTTTCACCAAATAATTTTAAAATACTTCATTCAACAATGATTGACTTGAGAATATTAATCAAAGTTTATCAAAAGACCCATAAACTCCAAATAGCACTCTGTCAATCTATCTTATGTAGATTTTGAGATAGATTATTTATAGCTTTACATGAATTATAGCTTTTGCATTGGTTATAGGTACAATTTTTAAATGATTCATAAACTCTGTTCCAAATAATGCCACTCTGGAGCTATATCATATTATGTATCATGTATGGTCAAACAACTGGGTCCGTCATATTTAAAAGACAACTTCAAAATACTGTCATATAACTTTAATGGCTTTAAAGTCTTTCCTAAGTGTACTTTAGCAGCCTCCAATGCATCTGGTGCCAACTCTGAAATCATTTTTAAGGTTAGCAATTTTAAACAAAAAGAATGGTTAGAACAAGGACCTTTAGCCAGTTTGGAAGTCACCAACAGTTTCCTTCTGTTGTTGGAAAAAGTGATTTCTTTGCCCTGAGTTCTACAACAACCATTAAATGTGCTGCATTTGACTCCTGTAAAGATTTAACTTTTTTCCAAATCTTTAATGACAATACTCTCTGTTATTTCATCAAAAAGTGTGTTAACATAGGAAGCAGTGATCCAAAGTCATTTCCGGATAACCTATTAATAAGGGAGGCAGGAATGGCGGTTGCAGAAATGTGCGCAGAGAGAGCAACTACCATGGGAATAATCCAGATGGCGGTCTGCTTGGCTCGAACTTTCTGGAAGAGGCCCATCTTTAAAATGCTTAATACCACTTTTTACTATAGATTCCACACATGTTCATTTCTTAACAAACTCTGAGAGAGGTGGTGAGATACTCTTGCAGTAATTTTACCCCCAGCCCCCTGGACCATCCTTTTCAAACTCTCCAAACTCTCCACGTTTCTTTTTACATGTTCAAAATGCAGGCAGTGTAGAATGACTGTCTGTGGCTCCTCCAGTCCTAGCTCTTGTATGGAGGCGGAGGTCCCTACATACACGACCACATGAGATTGAGCTCCAGAGTCAGGCCCTTCGCCATGAGCATGGCTGTGGACACGTAAGGAGCCTCAGTGGCTCCACAACTTGGCAATCTTAATCCAAACAAACCAGGTAAAACGTTTTTAGTTGGACTCAAGATAAATCCCAGGCAGAGCAATCCTCAAAAGAAACCAGCAAACTGGATATTTGGTTTCTGATTTACAATTTTTTTAAAACAGACAAAATAGCTTCCTTCACTCCCCACTGTGTCTTTGGCTCCAACCTCATTGAATGGTTGCCATTTCTGAGACACATCCTCTACCGCAAACCTGCACTCCTCCCACCTCGTGCACCATCTCCCCTTCTAGCTCCATCTGGCAATGTGTACTTTTCCTCAAGTCCTGTGTCAAACGATGTGAAGACTGAGGTCTTCTTCTGGTCGGGGCAGCATTATAGCATCATGACAAAAAGCCCAGGTGCTGCCTGCACTGGAAGTCAAGTCAATTACTGGTCATGAGATCTTGAGCAAGTTACTTAATTTCAGTTGCCACATCCATAAAATGGGATCATAGCAGGACTACTGGTGTCACAGAGTTACGTGAGGTTTAAATAAGTTACCTTAAAGGACTTAGTACAGTACCTGGTATACTATGTGGCTTAAGTATTAATAGGCTTTGCAGTAAGTGTAGTCATCTAAGTGAGCCATAACAAGCATAGGCGTGCTTCTGGGAGTGCTCACCCCAAGTCTGAATTAGACGCAACTACTCTCTACTCTCCTGGAGAAAACATACTCGTAATACCACTTCAAACACAAGCTGGTGGTGTACTTGCCCAGTTCTACCAATGAACTGGGATGACACAAAAGTAATGAACAGATGAAGTTTCATATCCCCCGTCCCCAAGAGAGGATCTGGTGTCGTCTATTTAGCTTCCTTGCCTCTCCTGTGCTCTCTGAGGACTGAGAGATTAAAAGCCACGTTGGTGGATACTGCAGAAGAGCAGGTGGGGAGGAGAATGGTATGGCAGTGACAGGAAGTGCTGGGAGGCCCAATATGGAGAAGGAGAGGGGTAGTGGGGAAGAGGGAGTGGGATAAAGGGCATGGGGAAGCATGGGGAAGAGGGAGCTTTCTTCTGTGTTTAGACAGTGAGAGGTGCCCATGAGTCAATAAATAAAAGAGGAAAGGAAATTTAATGAGTTGCCATGGACTAAGCACTTCGATTGAGTTACACTGTTTGAAAGATATTAGTAAAGATGGGAACTCACATTTGGACAAGACTTCACTAGAGGAGCACCTTAGGAATTGACCTGTGGATCTCAACTTCGTTAGGGTTAAAAGATTATTTGTTGGGCAAGGGTAGGACCAATAACCTCATTCACAATGCATTCATTGATTCGTTGATTCACAGAGCAAATACTTCTGAACAACTCCTGTGTTTCTGGCACTGTTCTAGGCACCAGTGATATAGGAGCCAACAAGACAGACATGTCACTGCTCTCATGGAGCTGCATTTCAGTGCATGGAGGCAGAAAACAAACAAACAAATAAATAAATAAATAAATAAATAAGATAATTTTTAATAGCAACGTGTCAACATAGTGTGACGGGAAGGAGCATGATGAGACAGAAGGAAGGTTTAAACTGGGAAATCTGAGAAATGGTATGGTTGTATGTGGGTTGGCATTCTTGCATGATGGGAGTGGCCACCTGCTTTCATATTCTGAAGTCAGAGTGTTCCAGACAGAAGAAATAGCAAGTGCCGAGAAGCTGGCATCAGAAAAACAGAGGGGAGATTTGTGTGGCTGCAGCCGAGGGAGACCAGGAAGATCTGCATGGTGGGAAGGACCTGATGATACAGAGGTCTGTAGGCCATGGGAATGGGTTTGGAATTTTATTCAAAGAGCTATGGGAAGTGACTAGAAGGTTTAAAGTTGGGGAAGAGGTTTTGTGTTTCTGTTATATTTGTGTTTTATACAAATTACTCTGGTTGCTGTGTTGATAGGACAGCAGAAGGGTAGGAGCAGGGACACCAGTTAAGTTATTGCAATGGTTAAGGTGAGAGGTGGTGGCTGGGCCTAGGCCTTTTTGGAGTGAACAAGCTATTTGCTTGGCTTCCATGATCCTTCTCCCTCCACTGGAATGGAAGGTACTTGATATTAGAGATTTTTGTCTGTTTCATCACTACTGTAACCCCAATGTCTACAACAGACTCTGGCACATAGAAGACACTTGTTTAATGTTGCTGACTAACTATACTGAGAGAGAAGAATGATGCAGAGCAGATTTAGAGAAAAAGTCAAAGGTTCTGTTTAGCACATGTTAAATTTGAGATACCCATTAGATATTTAAATGGAGATATCAAGCAGGCAAGTTAGAGATATACGTTTTGAGTTCAGTAGCAGATGTACATTTGTTGGGGGCGTGACATTAACATATAACCACTTAGAGTGGACATGCAGTTAGAGAAAAGTCAATGAGCTGGAACCAAGCTGGGAATTCCAACATGTAGAAGTTAAACACAAGAGGAGGAGCCAGCAAAGGAAACAGAAACAGAGCTTCCAGCAGGTGGGGGGCATTTGGAAGAAAACGATGCCATAGAAGCCAAGATGAAATAGACATCAAGGAGAAGGAAGTAGTCAATTGTTTTGAATGCTATGAAGAAAGATAAGAATAGGTAAATAGTCCTTATATTTGATAACAGAGGTCACTAGTGATCTTGATGAGGGGTTTCAATAGAATGGTGGGATTATATACCTCCCTGGATTCAACTGAGGTAAGGAAGGCATACAGAATAGAGACAGGCACTATAAACAGCTCTCATAATTGCATTCTAGCAATTAGCACACTGTCTGATGGGGAGGTGGCTCAATCTTTCTTGCATAACTGAATGAATGAGTAAACTATCTATCCATCCATCTATCCATCCATCCCTCCACCCATCCTTCCCTCCATCCATCCATGGGGTTTGAGCCTTCAAATGTAGAAGGCACAGCCTTATCTAGTGAGAAGACATTTGGATTAGGAGTTAAGAGACAGAATCATACATCCACAGTCACTGTTTAGCTTTCTGAACTTGTCCAAACCAGTGCTTTTCTGGGACTCACTTTCCTTATCTATGAAATGGAGAGGTTAGTTTAGATAACCTCTAAGATCCAGCTTTAAAATTCTTGACTGAAGGCCTAACCTTTAGAAATATCTCGTTAGAGGCCAGACGCGGTGGCTCACGCCTATAATCCCAGTACTTTGGGAGGCCAAGGCAGGCTGATCACGAGGTCAAGAGATTGAGACCATCCTGGCCAACATGATGAAACCCCGTCTCTACTAAAAATACAAAAAAAATAGCCGCGCGTGGTGGCAGGCACCTGTAGTCCCAGCTACTTGGGAGGCTGAGGCAGGAGAATCGCTTGAACCCTGGAGGCGGAGGTTGCAGTGAGCCAAGATTGCGCCACTGCACTCTAGCCTGGGTGACAGAGCAAGACTCTGCCTCAAAAAAAAAAAAAAAACTCTTTAGAAATATACCAAAGTAAATGCAATATCATTTTTGATTTTTACAAACTAGCTTCAAGCAGAAAAGACAAAAGCTTCAGGGGATACCATATGTTCACTCCCCAGGCAAAGCCTATCTGTGTGGGATTAATGACAGCATTGAGTGGGTGGCTGTGTGCCTTGTGGGAGAATACGTTACTAATGGTCACTGGAAGAAAAGGAGTCAGCTTTCTCTTTTCTTATGTCTTTAACGATGCTTAACTCTCCCTTATTTAAAATAAAACACATATTAGATTCTGCATCTGAACCAACATTAACATTCCATTTCTTTCTGCTAAATTAACTTTCTTGGACAACTGGATCATGTTCATGGATAGTGCCTCTCCCATCCACTTTTTCTGGGAATCTTGCTTTCCTTCCATGTTTTGGTCCTTACATACCTCCCTCGTTTCATCCTGCGCCACTTCCCCCCAATCACAGAGGTCCAGTCACACTCGTCTTCTTCAAACATGTCAATTTTGCTCCTGCTTTAGGGCCTTAGGATTTGCCATTTCTTCAGCCTGAAATGTACAATCCCCAGATTTTTTCATGTGTAGCTTCTTATCACATAGGGAGTCCAAACATCACTTTCTCTGTGAGGGCTTTCTCTCCAAAGCACTGTTCTGCGGTCCAACCCTACCACTGTCACTGTCAACTCATACACAGGCATACACATACACAACGCATACACATGATCACTATTCAAAATGACCATTTTCCTTATTTATTGTTTATCATCTACCTCTCCCACCTCGCCACACCTTCCCCCCAAGGCGAAGGTAGGCTTCGTGAAATCTTAACCTTGCCTGTCTTATTCACTGCTGTATTCTGGTATAGCGTCTCCAACATACTTACTGATGAATAAATATCTGTTTAACAAATAAACTCTCTCTCCTCTACTGAAACTATTGTTGGCAGTCACCAAGGACCTATTCAAAACAGAATCTTTGGCCAGGCACTGTGGGTCACGCCTGTAATCCCAGCACTTTGGGAGGCCGAGGTGGGCAGATCACTTGAGGTCGGGAGTTCAAGACCGGCCTGACCAACATGGTGAAACCTCGTCTCTACTAAAAATACAAAATTATCTGGGCATGGTGGCACACGCCTGTAATCCCAGCTACTCGAGAGGCCGAGGCAGGAGAATAGCTTGAACTCGGGAGGCAGAGGTTGCAGTGAGACAAGATTGTGCCACTGCGCTCCAGCCTGGGCAAAAAGAGCAAAACTCTGTCTCAAAAAAAAAAAGAAAGAAAGAAAAAAGCACAGATTCTTTATTTTCCTTGCTTTCCACTTCTTCCTTGCCCTTGACTCCATTGATCACCTCTTTAAAAAGAAAAAGAACTATTTTCCAGAACCTTCGCTTCTGTGACTGCATGACACTACTCTCATGGTTGTTTCCCTACCTTCTTTGTTGACTTCTCATCTTCCTCCTCCCCTAACAGGAGGCACCTTAAAGCCTCATCTCTTGACCCTATTTTGTTTTAATACATATCGTGCATCTCTCGTGAATCTTTAAATGAATCCAGCCTGCCCAGCACAAGTCTATCCAGGGGTGTAAAAACCCAGCTGGAGGGAGTGCACACTGGCTCCTATCTTCTATCCGAACACTGTCCTTTTCGGTGTTTTCAGCATTACCCTTCCATGCCCACTATGGCTATTCTCATCTTCCCTGGCTTCCTAACCCTCTTGGTTCCTCACTTTGGGTGTAAAAGAGCAAGGACTGGAAGTATTAATAATTGTACATTCACATCTCTCTGATCTTCCCTGTTCTTTCTTCGATGATTTGGAAACTGCCCTCCAGCTATACGTGCATCACAGCGGCAGGTCAGAGGGAGTCCTGTCACCTCCCAGCCCCACCAATCCCTCCCTGGCCATCCCAGCACGGCTGCCTGGTGAGGAGGATCACATAAGTCTAATTCCCCTCCCCAGAAAGCTTGGCTATACCTTGCCCTTGAACTAGTACTTCCATGTCAATGATTTTCCTTTTTTTTTTGAGATGGATTCTCGCTCTGTCGCCCAGGCTGGAGTGCAGTGGTGCGATCTCAGCTCACTGCAACCTCCGCCTCCTGGGTTCAAACAATTCTCCTACCTCAGCCTCCCAAGTAGCTGGGATTACAGGCCTGCGCCACTGTGCCCAGTTAATTTTTGTATTTTTAGTAGTGACGGGGGTTCACCATGTTGGCCAAGCTGGTCTCAAACTCCTGACCTCAAGTGATCCTCCTGCCTTGGCCTGCTAAAGTGCTGGGATTACAGGCATGGGCTACTACTCCTGGCCCCATTTCAACAACTATCAAGTCTGTCTGCAGCCGCACCTAGAACGTTCTCTGGGTCTCTTATCTTTGGGTTGATATATATATGTATATGTATGTGTGTGTGTGTGTGTGTGTGTGTGTGTGTGTGTGTGTGTATATCCCTGCTGACTAGATCATCAACAATTTTGTCAAAGTTGAAGTCATCTCATAAAAAATTCACTTCAGAAAATAATTTATGGTTTACCTCACCTTAATCTGACCACTTTCTTTTGAATTTCTTACCACCCAAGTAATTGGAATCTTCTATGATTTAATCACAAATCACTGGACATTTGCATGGTATGAGACTCTGTATGGATTCTATGCTACATTAAAATAAAAAAGAAATTGTAAGTCTTTACTTTGCATAATTCCTACCACCAAAAACGCTGTACTTTATAAAAAATTTAAATTACAGTAGTAATAGATGCCTTGTTTTAACAAGTCAAACAAAGATATATAACTCGACCCTTTCCAGTCCTCTCAGCAGACCTTCTCAACCAATATTGACAGTTTAAGAGATATTCTTAGAATCTTTCATTATGGTACTCATATGCAGACTTTATCAACCAATATTGACAGTTTGAGAGATATTCTTAGAATCTTTCATTATGGTACTCATATATGGGTTGGATCTTATTGCTTTGCTTTTAAAATAAGAGATTATTATACTCTGGTTTCTCTTCAGATCGTATAAATCTCTTGCCCTTTAAAATATGAGATTAAATTATACACACTATTCTGCAGCTTAAAACAATTTTTTACTTCAATACACTGGGGACATCCCTCAGGGTCAATACATACAGAATAACTGAACTGTTTTCCAGTAGCTCCGTAGCACTTCTTTGCATGGCTGTATCATAATTGATTCAATCCTTCCTCTATTGATGGACATTAAGGTTGCTTTCCATTTCTTCCAAGTGAAAAATGTTGTTAAGAGTTTCGCTCTTCTTGCCCAGGCTGGAGTGCAATGGCACAATCTCGGCTCGTCGTCGCAACCTCCGCCCCCCGGGTTCAAGTGATTCTCCTGCCTCAGCCTCCCAAGTAGCTGGGATTACAGGCACGTGCCACCATGTCCGGCTAATTTTCTATTTTTAGTAGAGATGGGGTTTCTCCATGTTGGTCAGGCTGGACTCGAACTCCCGACATCAGGTGATCCGCCCGCCTCAGGCTCCCAAAGTGCTGAGATTACAGGCGTGAAACACTTTCAATATATGTCGTTATATTCTGATGCTTGTATTTCTGTAGGAGAGCTTATCAAAGTAGGCTTGCTGGATAAAAGGGAACGTGAACTAAAAACTTAAATCAACATTTCTGGATTACTTTCAAAAAAGCGGTAGCAATTAAAATTACCCTGAACATTCTGTCATAGTTTCTCAAAAATACTTTAAAATAAAAAAGTAAATGTTTATGTTTCAAATAATTAAATTGAAAACAATCCTGAAAATGTATTATAAAGATTAACTAGACAAGAGCAGTGAAGTCCATTTCTTAGGATTAAAAACATAAAATTTATTAGCATCATAACCTAATGCAGATATCCTCCCAGAATATCAGGACCTTGCCAATTTATTATTGTTAATGCACCAAAAATGTATTCACCACAATTCTTCAGTCACTAAAAACTCATTTTTGTTAATTTTACTATAACATTTATAGTAAAACTTTTTGACTTCATTTGAGGCAACATTCTTTGAAGATTATTTTTACCCTTACACTTGTTTTCATTTAATTAGAGTGTGTTTATTTTAGTTTCAACACAGGCATTTTACCTAAGTTTATTCTAAGTTTCTCTGGACTTTGAACCAAATACTTTTGGGAATGAGAATTCCTTGGGCATTAAAATATCAAGGATTTTTTTAAAGTGATAAAGTTTCTTTTTGAAAACACATTTTCAATCCAATCTATTGCCTTATTTTTAAAATATGTTAATGGCTTTTTCAAATGAATATATGATTCAAAAATTGAAAAGGACTCAGGATCTGAAATGTTATCCTTTCATGAAATTGACATTCATCTAAAATGGATTATGAAATATCTGGTGAAATATTATGGTAAAATTAAAATTAAAGCTAAAAGTAAACCAAATGAAACTAACATTTCAACCACAACAAAATCCTGCAAAACTGTTGAAAGCATTCTAGGTTTATTGCAACAATTTGCAATAAACTTAATTAAATGCTGATATGATATTTTCTTTAAAGTTTAAATTTTGTTTTTTAACCAAGAGCAGCTCAGTCAACCTAATAAAGAAAGTGAAGCCCAAAATCATTCCAAATAGCAAAGGGACAGTGGAGAAATCCAGAAATGACTGCTCATAATGGTCAGTATGATTAGTACCTCAACTTTGATAATATCTCAACTATCAATGCGAAAGTAAATTTGTGAAGGAAGATACCAAAAATTAAATTTCAAAAAATCTGAAAAAGAAGAATTAGTAATTGATAAACTAATAACTAACTAGAGACACTGTAACACTTACTAAATTTTTGCTACAAATTACCATAAATAGCAAGCTAAAGTAGATATGCTTCTTGAGAAATCGACAAAAAATTATCTAAAGATACTAAAAGATTAGCAAAACAGAAAACGCCACAGAAATGATTCTAAAGAAATATTATATAAATTATGATCATAGAAACTAGACATGATTTAAATATCATATAAATTATATTCCCATGTGAAAGGTTGCAATTTTGATAACTGGTGATCAAATATATGTTTTTGCATCTTAAATATATTTATAAGAAAATGGCCAAACTATATCCCTCAATGGTCATCAACTTAGGCATTTCTTTAATGCTGATACAATAACAAAATGAAAACGAATAAACTCAGAGTTACAGAGTCCTCAAAAGCTGTCAAATATGAATTATTTCTTCATGCACTTAATAAGTCCTACTATATGCTGGGCACTCTTCTAGAAGAAAGAGCTATGAAGCAGAGTCCCTGCTCAAGGAGACAGACACAAACTGCAGCAATGTGACATGAAGGCAGGTACAATGAGGAAGACTACGGTGAGTCGGGGGTCAGGGATTGCTGGAGTGGTAGGGTAATAATGGCTACTTTATCAAGGTGTTTGGGTAACACTAAGCAGAGTATTGAATGGCTGCAAATTGTACACATCAAAGCAGTTGTACACATTGAGTAAATGAATTTTCAAAAAATTCAGCAAAAGACAGAAAACAGGAAAAACCAAACCTAAATGTCATTCTGACTGAAGAGCAGAGCCAAGAATCTGCTACTGCTTTCTGTTTTTATTTCCAATTATTTCCCAGAGGGAGAGGCCACTATACTCCGTGTACTGCCCACAAAAGCCACCAACCACTCAGGTGTGGTTTGCAGACCACA
The DNA here is from genome assembly GCF_000001405.40 of Homo sapiens. Classification (NCBI taxonomy): domain Eukaryota; kingdom Metazoa; phylum Chordata; class Mammalia; order Primates; family Hominidae; genus Homo; species Homo sapiens. The sequence goes on from NC_000009.12 coordinate 76,771,860, forward strand.
CCCTAAGTGAGAAAGGAAAAGCCACTCTGGCTTATTTGACAAAAAGCAGAAATGCTCACCTTGTGACAAGGAGGACACTAATGGCGTGGGACTCAGTGGGTTCATGAAGATGCCAAACACAAATCTGCACTACAGCAAATTTGCCTATACGAAGTCCGAGAGCAGAGTATGTGGCTCCACACAAACTACCTTTTAACCCAAGAATCCTGGAATTCCACTCCTGGCTTTAAACCAAGGTGTCAGCTGGGAAAGCCACCCTTCCGCCCTTGTAAGCTGAAGGAAAAGGGCTTTTTGTGTGTTGCTCGTTGTTTTTATCCTATCCTGGCACCAAAATGAACCACTTTTTGAGAAGACACCAGTGCCCACTACAGAGGGAAATAACAGAATGATCATAGCTTCTTAGCTACTGGTATGGTGTGGCTTTCTCAGGGATGGACTCTTCAATAGTTACAATTATTTTGTCAAAAATATTTATTTTAATTTTTTTTTTAAATGGCAATAGTCATTTTGGGGGCTATGCAACCACAGCAATACATAGGTTGGGGCATAACCAATCACTTGCTACGTAGTCTTGAAACTCTGGGAACTGTCTGTCTCCAAGCTCTAAGCAAACTCTTAAAGGAAACCAAAAATAACCTTCTGTAGTTTTGCAAAAGTCTCCTCCCATGGACAAGGTTAACTGCAACTTGTGAACATGGTAAATTATTTTCTTTCTTTTTTTTAGAGACAGGGTCTTGCTTGTCCCCCAGGCTGGAACGTAGTGGTGCAATCACAGTTCACTGTAGCCTTGGCCTCCCAGACTCAAGCAATCCACCCACCTCAGCCTCCCCAGTAGCTGGGACTATAGGCACACACGGCTGTATCCAGCTAATTGTTTAATTTTTTGTAGAGACAGAGCCTCACTATGTTGCCCAGGCTGGTCTCAAACTCCTGGCTTCAAGCAATCCTCCCATCTTGGCCTCCCACAGTGCTGCGATTAACAGGCATGAGCCACTGTACCCAGCCTGACTATGTAAATTATTGACAGACAGTCACACATGGATTTCAAAAAATTAAGTGGCTTTAACAGAAGTTGGGAAGCCCAACCAAGTCACTTTTTGCTCCTTTCCTTCAACAGGAAAAATGTATGTTTCCTCCAAAACCTTGCCACCTGGGAAAAGGAACAATTTGTATTTAGAAACAAAAATCAAATCAACAATATAATTTCTTACATTGAAATTTATAACCTGAGATCCTACCAGCTTCCCCTACTTTATATTACTTTAAGTTCATGCTTATTTCCCAAGTTAAATTTACTTCACCAAAGCGGTCTTTTGTTGTTGTTGGGATTCATCCAGCTTAAGGAAAAACTTTGAATTACTGTGTGCACTGACTGAGAAGGAATGCAATAAACAGGCCATGTTACTTCCAAATCCTTTTCATTGAAGAAATAGAAATTTCTGTAAACCCTGGGAGAATACCAGAATGAAGAATGGGAAGAAAGGTTGATTTATAGCGGACAATCTTTTCTTTATTCATGTTATCTGGCTTCCTGTAATACATTCATCCCGCAGTCACATCACATACACACTAGTACATCTTTTTTTTTTTTTTTTTTTTTTGAGACAGAGTCTCGCTCTTGTCGCCCAGGCTGGAGTGCAGTGGTGCAATCTTGGCTCACTGTAACCTCCACCTCCCGGGTTCAAGGGATTCTCCTGCCTTAGCCTCCTGAGTAGCTGGGATTACAGGCACCTGCCAGCAAGCCAGGCTAATTTTTGTACTTTTAGTACAGGAGGGGTTTTGCCATGTTGGCCAGGCTGGTCTCGAACTCCTGACCTCAGGTGATCCACCTGACTCGGCCTCCCAAAGTGCTGGGATTACAGGCGTGAGCCACCGCACCCGGCCAAGTACATCTTATGTAGGTGCAGTAATGTAAGAATGTTTTTTTCCCTGTTCTATGTTTCAACTGGTAAAGGGAATTCAACAAGGAAACTTACTTAGGAGACCCCATGTGTTAATTTTGGTAAAAATAACCCCACAGAAAAAAGGTGGAAAGTAATTGATGGAATAAAGCAGGTAGAGAAATGAGACTCCTTTATAAAGAGAAGGAGCAAGTGAAAACTAAACGAAATGACTCTTAGAAGACAGTAGATCTATTTTAAGTCTTCAGGGCTAGGAAAGGACAGGTATTTTTAAACTTAATTGGGTCATTTCAAATAATAATTAGATTATTTACTTGAAAACTTGGGCAGAGTAGAGGGAAAAGAATAGGTTTGATTCTTTTTTATTTTTTAATTTTAAAAAAATATTTTTTTGACACAGGGTCTCACTTTATCCCCCAGGCTGGAGTGCAGTGGCACAATCATAGCTCACTGCAGCCTCAACCTCCTAGGCTCAAGCGATCCTCCCACCTGACCCCCCTGAGTAAGTGGGACTACAGGTGTGCACCACCATGCCCAGTTAATTTTTTGTATTTTTTTGTAAAGATGGGGTTTCACCATGTTGCCCAGGCTGGTCTTGAACTCCTGAGCTCAAGCAATCCACCTGCTTTGGCCTCTCAAAGTGTTGGGATTAGAGGCATGAGCCATCGTTCCTGGCCTCCAGTTCAACCCTTTTTTTTTTTTTTTTTTTTTTTTTTTGAGATGGAGTCTCACTTCTTGCCCAGGCTAGAGTGCAGTGGCACGATCTCGGCTCACTGCAACCTCCACCTCCCAGATTCAAGCAATTCTCCTGTCTCAGCCTCCCAGGTAGCTGGGATTACAGGTGTATGTCATCATGCCCAGCTAATTTTTGTGCTTTTAGTAGAGATGGGGTTTCACCATATTGGTCAGGCTGGTCTCGAATTCCCGACCTCAGGTGATCCACCCACCTCGGCCTCCCAAAGTGCTGGGATTACAAGTGTGAGCCACTAGGCCCGACCCAATTCTTTAAACCAGAATAAAATAATGATTTAAAGAAAGTTAAATATGGAGGAAACAGGGGAGCTTTAGCACCTTTGAGTAGTGAAAAGATTGTAGATTTTAGAGACAGAAAAACATGAGTTCAAATTCTGTTACCAGCTATGAATTACTTTTTGTTGCTGAGCTTCTATTTCCTCATCTATGTAATGGGAACACTAATATCTACTACACAGATGAGTTATGAGAAACAAAAATAATTTACATAAAGTTCTGGGCACTCTGTAATCACTCAGTGAATTATAAAACACCATACTTCAAGTCCCAAAGAAGAAAAAAAATTTGCCCTGTTACTTGCTAAGCTGAACCGAATAGGACCAGACAGAAAATCAAGTTTATTTGGTCGGGGGGAAAGAAAGGACTTTTTCACTAACCATCTGTGTGAAACACTGGAGGAGAAACAAGAGTCTTAGAATTTGGGAGTATAAATGAAAACATCCAGCTAGAATGCATCTCTTTGCAATGACAAAGAGGAACAATATTCTCAGAGGACCATTTTGTACTTTGTCTTTTTTTTTTGAGACAAGGTCTCACTCTGTCTCCCAGCCTGGAGTGCAGTTGCACGATCACAGTTCACTGCAGCCTTGACCTTCCAGGCTCAAGCGATCCTCTCACCTTAGCCTCCAGAGTAGCTGGGACTACAGGCATGCACTACCATGCCCAGCTAATTTTTGTGGTTTTTTTTTGTAGAGATGGGATCTCGCTATGCTGCCCAGGCTAGTCACAAACTTCTCAGCTTAAGCAATCTGCCTGCCTCAGCCTCCCAAAGTGTTGGGATTACAGGTGTGAGCTACTCTGCCCAGCCTATTTTGTCATTTTAAAAATCATTTTCTCAGTCTGTCCATATTTCTTCTCTTCAGGTATGCAAGGAATGTTATCTCTTTACATTTGCCCTAGAACTCCTCAAATTTTCTTGGATGTGAAAATAGTTGTACATCATCCCATTTCAGGCAAATTCTCTTGGGCCTTACCTCTCCCAGAAAAAGCACAAGGATTGCTCACCCGGCCTTCATGCCGGCTATGCAGGCCCATTTCTAACACATCCTTCTCTAGCCTTTAGCTCGGACCAACACCAAGTACCACCATTTCTATAACTTCCATTACTCCCCTCCTCCTATGACTACACATCCCTAAACCTAATTCCACTCTTCTCTATTTCCTTCCAAAAAATTCCAGCATTTTCTGGTGTGAGATTTGGGAGGGATAGGAATAAGAAAGAACACTGATACTACTTCTAAGCATCCCTTCTTTATAACTACAAAAGACAATCTCACGTGCACAGAGTAATCAACTCATGAGTAAATATTTAACATTTCAGTAAAGACAGTAAGCACAAATGAAATTTTTTAAATTTTTGTAAATTTTAGGGGGTACAAGTGCAGTTTTGTTACATGGATATTGAGTAGTGGTGAAGTCTGAGCTTTTAGTGTAGCCATCACCTGAATAGCAGACATTGTACCCAATGGGTAATTTTTCATTCCTTACCACCCTCCCGCCTTCCCACCTTTTGGACTCTCCGATGTTATTATTTCACTCTCTGTGTCCATGTGTACACACTGTTTAGCCCCCACTTACAAGTGAGACCATGTGGTATCTGATTTTCCATTTTTGAATTATTTCACATAGGATAATGATCTCCAGTTCCATCCATATTGCTGCAAAAGCTGAGTAGTATATCACGGTATACATTTACACCACATTTTCTTTTTTTTTTTCTTTTTTCTTTTTTTTTTTTTTTTGAGATGAGTCTCGCTCTGTTGCCCAAATTGGAGTGCAGTGCACAATCTCGGCTCACTGCAACATCCGCCTCCCGAGTTCAAGCAATTCTCCTGCCTCAGCCTCCTAAGTAGCTAGGATTACAGGTGCCCGCCACTATGCCTAGCTAGTATTTCTAGTTTTAGTAGAGATGGGGTTTCACCATGTTGGCCAGGCTGATCTCGAACTCCTAACCTCAAATGATCCACCCACCTCAGCCTCCCAAAGTGCTGGGATTAAAAGTTATGAGCCACTGTGTCCAGCCAGCAGTTTTTTTTTTTTTTGTATGTTTGAAGATACATGAAGCTTTCTCTTGAGTTTCTTTCTCATTACCAAAACACATACACACACACACACACACACACACACACACACACACACACACACACACACACAAAGGGCCTGGACCTTTCTTCCACTCAGCGGAGATTCTCGGCACTCCTAAACTGTTCCTCTTGGGTTGGGTTCCCACATCTGCCACTGCACCAATGCCATCAGGGTAGCTTCCTCTTGGGCCCTTCTTTCTCCCCTGCCCCATAGCCCTTGAGGTTGTATATTGCTGAGAGATGATGTTGTTTGAAGGAGAGAAGTGGGGGAGGGCAGAGAAGGGAAGAAATGCAATGACCCAAAGCATGTGAAACTGCTAGGGACAAAGGGTAAGAAAGACCATTCCAGGATTCCACAATGAAGTAGGAGAGGGGTGCCAACCTCAGTTTTAGTAGGGAGGCTTCTCAGACTGCCCTGTTCTCAACAGTGGGGAAAAAGTCTTCTGAGAAAGAATATAATAAGCACAGGAATGGTGGGAAGGCAGAAAATCGAAGTAAGCAGGAGCACTGGCCAGCCATGCCCACCATGCTCTGTAAAATGCTATCCCAGGCACAGAGCTCTGAGCTCAGCACACAGATGTCACTCCATACAGTTTGCTGGCTGACTGAAGAAATGAATTTCAGGGGCAAGGACTCCTTTGCGCCTTCCCAAATGTATTCATTTATTCAATTCAATAAATATTTGTTAGTCCCAATTTATGCAAGGCATTCTTGGGGATACAGTATTAAATAAAACAGACAAAAATCCCTACCCTCGTGAAAGTCACATTTCAATGCTGGTGAAACACAATACATATATAAACAAGTAGACATGTTATATGTCAATGGTTGATGGGGCAGTGCAGAAAAATCAAACAGGATAAGGTGGATAGAGAATATCAGGGGAAAGGGAAGTATTATTTTATATAAGATGGTCAGGGAAGATGTCACCATTTACATGACATTTGAGCAGAGAATTGAAATAAGTTCAGGGGGCTAACTATGCAGGTATCTAGGGAAACTGTTTTCTAGTCAGAGAGGGGACAGCAGGTACAAAGTCCCTGAGGCAAAAGCATGCTTGCTGTGTTCTAGGAAAAGCAAGGAAGACAGCATGTCTATAGCAGTGGGAGGTGGAAGGATAATAAACAGTAGGTGAGGTTAGAGGGGACCAAATCATGTATTTTCCATCCAGAGGTTCCCAACCTTGGCTGCACATTAGATTTATTCTAAGGAGCTTTTAAAAAATACCAATGACTGGGTCCCAGCCTAGAGTGATTAAATCAGAATCTCTGGAGGTAGACTTGAGAATCTGATGTTTGCAAGTTTCCTAGGCAAGTCAAGGCTGAGGAAGACTGCTGCAGGCCATTGTAAGAGCCAGGCGTTGATCTCATTCAACCTTTCCCTCAGCTCTTCTAGAGACAGCCAGCATTCTCTTATGGCACAAATACAGCCTTTCACCCTCACAGAAAGACACAGGACAACAAATTCAATAAATTAATTCACTGGCATGGATGATTTTCTCAGACTAATTGTTTCCAGTTTGATAGGAGACAATTAAAGGCTGGAAGGCACTGGATGCCTGATGATGAAGTGGACTTTCAAACTGGGGCACTACTGAAACGATGGGATGGCCAGAGACACAGGAGATCAGTTGGAGCAAGCTCAATAACAAAGTGGTTCAACGAGGACTTGGAATTGCATGGAGCTGGAGCTGAAGTTTAGCCCAATTGTTTACTAGTTGAGTGAATGTGGATGATTGGATGATCATTTCTCATCTCTGAGCCTCAGGTTCCCCATCCATAAAATGGGATACACAGTATGATCTATAAAGTGGGATATAGTATGATCTACTTCACTGGGTTATTTGAAGGATGAATTGAGATAATTTATTTCAGGTGCCTAGAACAATGCCCAGATTAGTACATTTGGTGGAACTGAGAAATGGCATAACACCAAATTTAATATATGTCAGATGTTACTATGATTATCATTCAATCTCATAGTTTTGTCATGGCCCAATTTATCCTCACTTGTGCCTCAACAAATTGAACTGTTAACAAAGGAATCTCTGGTCCTGGGTAATGGCTGAGCACCACTGAGCATTTCCATTCCAGTTGGCTTCTTGGGTTTGCTAGCTGCATCACTAGTCATCTTAAATAAATGAAGTTTTAACATTTCTCCAGTGATTTTTTTATCTCACCTTTGAAGATACTATGTTATGTGATTAAATAAAGAACTTGAGAAGAACAGGTTTCATTAAACATAAAATCAATGTAGACGCAAATTTTCTGGATGGGCAATACTTATGTTCACAGGAAATGCTTTAAAATATGCAGAAGATAATTAAATGGCAATGGACAAAGTGAAAAACTTAGACTTTTTTTTTTTTTTGGAAGTATCTGGATGTTCCTTAGTCACTTAAAGGAGAACTGAAAAATAGCAGTGAGTTCCACATAATCCAACCTGTGAGATTAAGGCTCTTTGTGGGGAAGGACAAAGATCTGTAAATTTACAGTTTCCTTCCAAAGCCAACGTCGAATTTTGAAACATATCAAAGCTCTTCTTCAAGACAAATAATCTATAGTACATCTTTCTTATGGGATGCACTTATGAAAAATGGTGGCTGTCAACATCTAGTCACTTTAGCTCTCAAAATGGTTCATTTTAAGAGAAAGTTTTAGAATCTCATATTTATTCCTGTGGAAGGACAGCATTGTGGCTTGGACTTTATAAGGTCTTTATTCAACTAAATAGGTAAAGAAACCTCCATGACAGGAATCTGAAACATTGTCCCTGGTGCTCATAAATTCTCCACTGTATTGTCTGAAATGACTTATCTCAGTCCTGACTGTGGGCTCAGATTTACTGTACAGTTCATCAACTTCTCAGCATGATGGATAATGAATGTTTCATTTACATCGCTAATTGCCAAGCCATGGTTCCTGCAACCTTTAACCCGTATGCTTTGTCCCATTATCACCATATGTCAATATAATTGCATTTAACATTCCAAATGATAAACTTTCCTCTATACAGAGAAATATTTTTCACAAAGAAATCGCATAAGGGCTGCTGGTAAAATATAAGTCTATTACAGGAAATGACAGGGATTCAACTAGAAATATAGGAAGATTCTCGTAACTAGTAAAATCCATCGTCAGACAAGGACCCTTGATTTCATATGTAGGAAAAATACTGGTATTTTCTTAAGGATTTGTCTTTGTTGCCTTTTAATTGAACAAATGCATAAAAAGAGATTCCTAAAGTAGTGCAACTAAACTTTCAGGCCTATGTAAGATCCAAGAAGTACATATTTTTTAAAACTGGTTAGCGATAGCTACATGACCCAATTATATTTTCTATATTTATTTGATTATCAGCCAGTAAACTCATAATGAAGCAGCTGCGCACTCCCCCAACAATTGAGAATTGAACAAATTTCCAGAGAGAAGTGAAAAATATCAAAAATTAAAATCCTAAACTTGAAGACAAGTTGAGAGACCATTTAGTCTGGCCACCTGTATCCAAGATTCATTTAAAACCAAGCAGCGGCCAGGCACGATGGCTCACGCCTGTAATCCCAGCACTTTGGGAGGCCGAGGCGGGCGGATCACGAGGCCAGGAGATCAAGACCATCCTGGCTAACACAGTGAAACCCTGTTTCTAATAAAAAAAAATACAAAAAATTAGCCAGGCATGGTGGCGGGTGCCTGTAGTCCCAGCTACTCGGGAGGCTGAGGCAGGAGAATGGCGTGAACCCAGGAGGCAGAGCTTGCAGTGAGCTGAGATCGCCCCACTGCACTCCAGCCTGGGCGACAGAGCAAGACTCCGTCTCAAAAACAAACAAACAAACAAACAAACAAAAACAAGCAGCAAGAGGGTTTTGTTTTTGTTTTTGTTTTTGTTTTCAGATGTGGTAGGTGTTTCCCACAAAGACAGCTACTGAGAACCAATGAGGAGCCAGCTCCTCCATCGTATCGGGAGATGCCCAGGTGGGGATCTGCCCAGGACCACGCAGGCTACGCTGCAACCTAGGGTGTGCCTGCAACCCTCATCCCCGTGTGTTTCCCATCTGAGAAAGTGGTCTAGGACATCCACCAAGTTTTTATGCTACGTACCTGAGAATAATCCATGACATTTTTTCCTCCCTAGTCCCCATAGCCAGTCCATCAACACATCCTATTGGTTATTACTTAAATAAATTAGATATATTAAATATCTATAAAAATGTATCTTGAATTTTTCTACTACATTTTGACTGCCCCCATCCTACTTCAAACCATGGTCACCTCTCCCATGGTCTATGAAGGCAGCCGCTAACCCATCTCTTTATTTGCATTGTTACCTGCTTTCCATTAACTCTTTGCCACATCCCTATCCTTTTTATAATCCTCCAGTGGCTTCCCTTGAACTTAAAATAAAGTCTGAAGTGTTCACTCTGGCCTGGGAGGGCTTGAAGGATCTGATCCCACCACCTCTCCAGCCATGCCACTCCCTCCCCTACACTCACTATGACACATGCAGTTTCTAATGAATTTTCTTTCAGTTTCCTGAATGTGCCGACCTATTTCCCACTTCAGAGCCTTTGCACTGCTGTTCCCTTTGCCTGGAATGCTCTTACCCCTAGTCCTTTCCTGGCCTATATTGTATATGCTTGGTTTATAAACTTAAAAATTACTTTCTTTGGAGAACTTACACACCTCCCTATCTAATGTAAAATAGGTTATATACATTTTCTTATAACAGCATCCAATCATTTTCTTCATAGCACTTAAATTAGTTTGAAATCTACATTTATATGCATGATTACTTGTTTAATGTCTTGCTTCCTGACTAAACTGAAAGCTCCAAGAGGATAAGAATTATGTGTATTTTAGTTCCTTATGTTCCTCGTACCTAGCACATAGCATATAGTGTTGGTGAATGAGTTAACGGTGAATGTCTTGGTATTTCACCTTTCATCCTGCTGGACTCTAATTTCCTATAACCAACGTGTACAGCAAAATGAATGGAGATGTTGGAGTCAGAATACAGGTAGGCAAGGTAATCAGAGACATAGAAAGCATTGGGAAAGCCTGGCCGGGCGCGGTGGCTCACGCCTGTAATCCCAGCACTTTGGGAGGCCGAAGCAGGTGGATCATGAGGTCAGGAGATTGAGACCATCCTGGCTAACACGGTGAAACCCCATCTCTACTAAAAATACAAAAAATTAGCCCAGCGTGGTGGTGGGCACCTGTAGTCCCAGCTACTGGGGAGGCTGAGGCAGGAGAATGGCATGAACCCGGGAGGTGGAGCTTGCAGTGAGCCAAGATGGTGCCACTGCACTCCAGCCTGGGTGACAAAGCGAGACTCCATCTCAAAAAAAGAAAAAAAAGAAAGCATTGGGAAAGCCTAAATGGTCTACAGGCCACTTGGAAGAGAAGTGACACAACTCTCAGAAAGGGAAAGAATGAATGAATGAAAGAATGTGCTTTCTGGGGAGGAACAGTCAGCATTTTTGATAATTTCTGAGAGGCAGGTCAGTGGAGTAGTTAAGACCATGAACGCTAGGGCCAGATTCTGCTTCTTCATATTTTTACAGCCTTGGGAAAGTTATTCTCTCTGTGCCACACTTTGTTTATCTGAAACATGAAGACAACTACAGCATCTTCTTTACAGAGTTCTTCTAAAAATTAAATGAGTTAATTTTTGTAAAATCCTTCAAAGAGTCCCAGCCATATGTTAAGTTCCATGTAAATACTTTGCTAATAAAAATAAAATTTTGGAGTTATAAGCGCAGAGTTTCTTGGATAATACTGTTCTATGTCCTAAGGAATTACAACACATATACTTAGTGTTTCAATGAACACCAAGATAAATAAGTGAAGAGCTAGTCCGCTGTGAGTCTCCTCAGTGACACAGGGCTGGATCACCATCGACGGCACTTTCTGAGTACTCAGTGCAGCAAAGAAAGACTACAGACATCTCAATGGCAGGGGTGAGTTACATGGTAGAACGAAGAATAGACCAGAAGCCAGAAGTGCTGGCCTTTAACCATATACCTGCTATTCGCTAGCTGTGTACCCTCTGCAAATGTCCTGGGTCTTAGATTGGTGTCTATGAATTAGACAATCTTTAAGATCTCTTCTAGCCTCCCCCATGTTACGTGTCATTTTCCTTAGGTTTCTTTTAAAGTGCCCAAAACAGTCCACATAGTAGGTATTGTGGTGATTAAACAGAAAGGCACTGAACCACAAAGCAGACACTTGATTAACATCAGTTGTATCTGACTATGCCTTTTTTTGTTTGTTTGTTTTTTGGAAACAGAGTTCCACTCTGTCGCCCAGGTTCGAGTGCAATGGCACAATTACAGCTCACTGCAACCTCCGCCTCCCATGTTCCAGCAATTCTCCTGCCTCAGCCTCCCAAGTAGCTGGGATTACAGGCATGCACCAGCACGCCCAGCTAATTTTTGTATTTTTAGTAGAGATGGGGTTTCACCATATTGGCCAGGCTGGTCTTGAACTCCTGACCTCAGGTGACCCACCTGCCTCAGCCTCCCAAAGTGCTGGGATTACAGGTGTGAGCCACTGCTCCCCAAGAAGTCATATGACCTGTGGGATCTCTAGAGGGGACCTCAAGAGAATGGTGTGTGTCAGGCACTGCACTAGTGACTTTATGTAGATTGCTTCATTTGTTCCTGCCAACAGCCCACTGAAATAAGTATTAAAATTCTGTGCCCAGTGAAGAAACAGAGAGGGTGTTTGTGATGCTCGGAAACCAATAATATTGTGTGTAGCTCTCAACTCAAGTTCAGGGTATGCTGACACCTTGCCATTTGTCTCCTCAAATGGTCGTATGTATTTCCAGGTGAGAAATAAGAAAGGCTGCTGACTTTACCATCTGAGGCCACACATCTGCTGAAATGGAGATAATTAACATCACTAGAAACAGCAAGATGACAATATAATGTCTAAGTAGTGACATGTTTTTGCACATTTCCAGCCCCTTTAAATATCCACACACACAGGAAGCACAAAAGGAAGCACAGAGGTAAGTGCTTTATAAAGCACTCAATTTCTACTCAGAAATTTTTGATGGCCTTAAGTTCCTCTACTCGTTTCTATCCTTCCTACTCACTGTCCTCCCGGAATCCACTACCGATTTTCTATTTCTTGCCTCGTATTGTCTGACTGGCTCACTTGGATTTATCCTCACGGAGTCTGGATTTTCTACCCGGGCTCACCTCCGTCCCTCCATATTTGTCCTCCACTTTCACAGATCCCTGGGAGAAATGCCCGGCCGCCATCTTGGGTCATCGATGAGCCTCGCCCTGTGCCTGGTCCCGCTTGTGAGGGAAGGACATTAGAAAATGAATTGATGTGTTCCTTAAAGGATGGGCAGGAAAACAGATCCTGTTGTGGATATTTATTTGAACGGGATTACAGATTTGAAATGAAGTCACAAAGTGAGCATTACCAATGAGAGGAAAACAGACGAGAAAATCTTGATGGCTTCACAAGACATGCAACAAACAAAATGGAATACTGTGATGACATGAGGCAGCCAAGCTGGGGAGGAGATAACCACGGGGCAGAGGGTCAGGATTCTGGCCCTGCTGCCTAAACTGTGCGTTCATAACCAAATCATTTCATATTTCTAACCCTCAAAACAAAGCTGTTGTAATATCTGATCTCTACGGTTCCTTCTGGGCCCAACATTCTCCATATATCCAGCCACACTCATTTTTAATATTTAGTTCCCAGATCTGTACTGTGACCTTTCTACACTGTAGAATAACATTACTCATTTTGTTCAAAGACCCTTCGTGTTGCTGCCTAATATGTAGCTGACTGTTTTTCCTAAGGAGTGTTCTGGCCCAGGGGATCTGTGAACAGGCTGGGAAGCATCTCAAGATCTTTCCAGGGTTATACTTACTAGCACACAGCATGATCATTACGGAGTGAATTATCTAATCAACATCATCCTCAGTGTCTTTGCCCATACTGAAATTCATTTCCCACTTTTGTGCCCATTCTCAAGACCTCAAAATGTCATTCCATTAATATCACAGGATTAACTTTTTTTTTTAACCTGGAAGAATTCAATGTTACATGCAGCTATGGGAATTTAATTACATATTTTGTTTTCCAGTGCAAAGATGACTAAGTCCTTTATCCCTCCCCTTTGTTTGATTTTTTTTCCAGTATAAAGTTAAAATGCTTAGCCTTGTACTGAGGCTGTATACAGCCACAGCCTCTCCCCATCCCTCCAGCCTTATCTGTCATCACCATCAACCCCTCCCATGCACCTAAACAAAATCTAACTTGTAATTCCTTGAACATGTCAGGCATACATTATTCCTTCTGCCTGAGAAGCTCTTCCTTGTCTCTTAAATCTAGAATGATGTAAAGTTTTGAATAAGTTGACTATCTTACTTCATGCAAAGAAGGGACACATATGAGATTCATCATCACATGAGACAGCAAATACTAAAAGTGTAATTTGATTATAAGAGTTTAGATAAATATATGAAATGCAAGAGCCACAGAGGGAATGTTTATGGGGCACGTTTGTAAGCCTGGGATGTGAAGCAAAGGCAGGGAACCTCATAGTATCTTATATAATATACTTCATTTCTCTATCTCTATCACAATATCCAACAAGCTTTTCACAGAATTCATGCAGTGCAAATCCCCAAAGGTAACCTTTATCCATTTCATGGTGAGTGCGCTTTAGAATTTTGGCAAATCATACTGGTCACTTATCTCAACTTTGAGATGTGTTTGTCCTTGTAGTTAATTGAAAGAAATAGGGCACTCTTGTGAGCCACTTTAGGGTTCACTCCTGGCAATAAAGAATTTACAAAGAGCTACTCAGGACCAGTTGTTAAGAGCTCTGTGTGTGTGTGTGTGTGTGTGAGTGTACATGCCAAAGTGTGCCTCTCTCTCTTTGACCCATTATTTCAGACTTAAAAACAAGCATGTTTTCAAATGGCACTATGAGCTGCCAATGATGTATCACCACCATATCTCATTATTCTCCAGTAAATGTGATAATAATGTCATCTGTTAACATAAAAAAAGTTTGACTTCACAAAAGCAGCTGGAAATGGACAACCACAATATGCATAAATCTAACTCCTACCATCAGCTACACACTGCTTGACATATATTGTTAGAAGCACCTCGCATTTGTGGGTTCTCTTAAGCAAAATACTTGCATTAGGTCTCAGCTGGGGCTGTGCATCAGGCGGTTTGAGAAATATTCAATTCTCAGCAGAAGCCAGAATTTGAATTCCCTCATCTTTTAGGAATCATTTACCAGGTTTGGAGAGGATTCAGACAGCTCAGGTGCTTTCACTAATGTCTCTGAACTTCTGTCCCTCTTTGTGTTCATGGATAGTCCAATAAATAATGTTATCTTTGAACTGATGCTCATAGGAGAGAATATAAGAACTCTGAGTGATATCAACATTAGGGATTCAAAGAAATATTAGATTTAAGCTCACACTGGTCAAAAGGAACCAAGATACAAAGAACTCTGAGCTGTCATCGTCCCCATCTCTGTGAGCCACAACCAACAGCAGGACCCAACGCATGTCTGAGATCCTTAAATCAAGGAAACCAGTGTCATGAGTTGAATTCTCCTATTATGGATGCTAGCTTCTGGCCATCTCTGGCTCTCCTCTTGACACATATTAGCTTCTAGCCTTTGCTTCCACGACTTTTATCTTTTCTCCAACACATCGCTTACCAATCCTCTCTCTGCTCTGTTGCTTTGGACTTCCCCACAAGAATTTCAACGACTCTCAAGTCTTTTCTTCCATCCCCACCACTAACCTGAATGCCTAGACCCTTATTTTTATTAATTTCCAATAGATGCTGCCTATGGGCTATATTGCTTTAGATGAACATTAGATATTTAAAGCTCAAGAGGTTCAAAATCCAACTCATTATCTTCTCTTTCTTTCACCTCCCTGCTCCTCTCCCTATATTACTGATTGCACTGAACAGCATGGTCCCCAATGTAGCCATGCAAATGAGAAACCCAGTGGCTCCTTGTGGTACATGCATGCAAGACTGCTGAAGCCAGAAGGATGACTGATTACGCCTCATGGGTGGAGGGGACCACTCCTGGGCCTTCGTGATTGTCAGGAGCAAGACCTGAGATGCTCCCTGCCTTCAGTGTCCTCTGCATCTCCCCTTTCTAATGAAGATCCATAGAATTTGCTACATTTGAGAATTCCAATTAGGAACTCACATGTTTTATCTGCCCTATCAATTTTTTAAACTTGCTGAAAATTAAGTTTTTTCAAAATCTGTCCTTGTAAATTACTTTTTCTTACAGTGTCTTGGCATACTATATCAACTTTGATTCTTTGTTACAACTTTTCTTACTCTTTTATCACCAAAGTGGCTTTTATTCTCTTTATTATTATTATTTTCTTTTACTACTATATTACGTTGTTATTATTTTGTTCTCTATAGTATCAATTTATTTGATTTAGTTTCAATTTATTTTTATTGCTGACTTTTAAAATAAGTGATTCGGGGGGTGGGAGAACAGGGGAGGGAGAGCATTAGGACAAATACCTAATGCATGTGGGACTTAAAACCTAGATGATGGGTTGATAGGTGCAGCAAACCACTATGGCACACGTATACCTGTGTAACAAACCTACACATTCTGCACATGTATCCCAGAACGTAAAGTAAAATTTAAAAAAAAGTGATCCTTTGCCATGTTTGTTAGCCTTTTTCTACATACAGTAGTTCACTTTTCCACTTATAAATTTATTTTTTTAAGGTAGAAAATTGCACACATCGCACATGCTCATCCCTTTGTCTCCATAGCCAAAGACACTGCTTTGCTCCAGTCCTGCAGCAGCTTCAACCTGGCCTGTTAATAGCAATGGCCTCCACGATGCTTTCATGGTCACTAGACAGTCCTCTCCAATCCCGCCTCCCACTGCCCACAGGAGAAAGCCCCGTCTAGTTGCACAGTGCCGAAGGCCTTAGAGCCCAGCTCCTCCCGACTTCCTCTCCTGTGACCGCAGCTTCCGGCCCTGTCTGTGCTGCCGCAGCTTCCCACATCTCCATGGTCACCAAGCGTTCCTTCCCACACATGGCCTCGGAACATTCCCTGTCTAGGATGCCTTTTCCCCCTTTCTTCCACCTAGCTTCTCCATCCTTTAAGATTCGGCTCAAGAGTCCCTGACTTCTGAAGCCATTACCAGCAACTAAAGTTCTTTGTGCCCTCACCTGGTTTTCTAATATTTGTCAATAGACTATGAGAGCCTTATAACTCACAGGACCTATTTCTTTGAAAGATTTGTGTCTCCTAAAGACATGGCATTTCCTAGGTAATAATTTCCCTAGTTTTACTGAAGACATAAGAGTCAAAACACCATCAAGCAACCATCAGATGTTAACTCACCAAACAGATATATTCTAGTCGAAAGAAACATCTCTTACCGTGGCTAGAGTTACCACAAGTAAATGATTGTGAATTCAGTTGATAGTTATTATATATACTGGACATTAAACTCACAAACCACTACTTTCCTCTTTGTAAACTTCTTAAGGTGCACTGTAGCACAGTGGTCCCAGGCATGCATTTGGAGCCAGAGTTCCTGGATTGAAAGGCGTCTCTATTCACCAGCCATGTGCCCTTGGGGAAAAGCTCAATCCTGCTCATCTGTAAAATGGGGGTGTTGACAACAATGACAGTGTGTGGCAAGTATTGAATAAATGCACAAAGAGCACTTAAAGCAGTGCTTGACACAACTTAAACATTTGAAATTTGTTCATTATCATCACTATTCCAATTTGACAATGAAGACAACCTGAGTGGGGCCACATCTGGTGACTGGAGATGGCAGAGATCACAAATCTTATAAGAAGAGAGAGAGACTCATATTTGCAAGTAGAGAGAAACTAATTAATTCTTGACACCTGGTTAGCACTCAAAACAGGTCTGGTTCATGGAATTAAATGAGTCAGGTCCCAATCTGTGTCTCTGTTTTATTAATGTGAATCTCAGGAAAGGGTATGTATATAAGCTTCAAGATGGAGTTAAGGTAGCTCTATCCTGGCTGTGCCTTGTTAGGAAGAGCAAGTATCATACAAACTCTCAAGGATCCTTCTCTCCCAGGGAAGACTCGTGGGAGGGAGGGCCTAGTAGGAGCTTGAGGTATTTCCTCATAATTTTCTTCAGCCTCCACCCTCATATTTTCAGATGGACAATAGATATGTTTACATTTTTGTGAAAAGTACTTTGCATGCACAGCTTCAAGACAAGCCCCTTCAAGTATTTATATTGCCATCTTGAGCCAATATAAAAATCAAGAAACTTCACCTTCCAGATAATTCCTCCTGCTTTGATAGTGTTTTACCTGTGACGATGGGCTTCATATCCACTGACCTTTCAAACATCATGACTCTTTGATGTAACCATAGCAATCACTATTATTCCCATTTTACAAAAGAAGAAATGGGGCTTGAAGAGGTTTTGACTTGCTGAAGTTTATGGCACTAGTAGATCATGGAGCCAAGACTCGACTCCCAGACTGTAAATCTCTCATCCAGTGGTCTTCTCACTGTATCCAGGAATCACACCTTCTTTCCAAATAAAAGCTGTTACTCTAGGGGGCTCCAATGTGGAGGCCTCTCCTCTGCAAATAGCACTTGGTGGATCAGCAGCAATATTCAAAACAGAGACGACTACTGGCACATGCAGCTTCCCTAGAAGGCCCTCCATTAGGAGTCGACCAAGGAGCAAGGTAGGAACTCTTCAATTAGATACCACCAAGCATCCCCGCAAGGTTTCCCCACACACTTATGGCTGGGAGACAGGGCTATGGTCAGTGAGGAGAGTTTTCTGCTTCACCATTGATTAACATTCTCCTGCCTGGGCCTCTCCTCTCTCCTCTCACATCCTGAAAGTCCTGGGTGATTGACAACCAGGAATTATTGTCTACGAATCTTCATTAACATCTTGGTGGTCCCTAATGATGCATCAGATATGGAGGGGCTGGGCAGGGGATTCTTCTTAGAGGAGCTCATGGCCCTGGTTCTAAGAATGATGCAAGAAGATCCTCAGATAAATGTGCAACCCCCTCTTTATCATGAACAAGGGTCAAAAAGCAAAGGTAGTAGGGGTGGGGCCACTTCTAAGTTAATTAAGCCTTGGGAAGTTGCAACATGAATTTCCAGATGGGCCAATAAAATGCAGGAACTGATAAAGAGTCCTTGTTCCAAGGGTTTGAATGCTCTTTTTCTCCATGAAGCTTCCTCTGAACCCTCCAGGCTGACTTTGTTCATACTCCAAGTAAGCATGCAGGTTTACTAGAAGGCGGTTTTCTAAAAGCTAGGCTACCTTCTGAGAGCAGCTTGAGGAAAGAGGCCATGTCTTTGTGTCCCAACAATTCCCATGCTAGCACATGGCCCAGTTTGTTGCAATAATGAATTAATCAATAGATTATTTAGTGATATGTCAATTATAGAAAACTACAGCACTTCTAGCCACAGTGACCTCTAGTTAACTAGTTAATGGGGAATTTTCATGCCAGTAAAACATAAGAACATATAATCAGTCACTTCTGACATCTGTATTCTCAAATCTAAGAAGCAGGCCACAATAAAACTGCTACTCTCCCTCTCTCTAGGTACCATTTGATGTAGTTGCCATTTGTTTTGTACCCACCAGCAGTAACCCACTTCCCACCCTGACTCCCAGGAAAGCTGCATTTAATTAAATTAGGATCGGTGCAGGAAAAGCAAAGGAAAAAAGTCCACAATAGATCTTATAAAAATAAGAAGGAGAAAGGTTGTGCTTTCTCATATTCACTGGATGTGGATGTGTGTTTGCCATAAATGAGACCTGCTGTGAGAATGATGCTGGGTTTCCCATCTGGCAAATATCAGATTGAGACACACAACAAGAAATGATGTTTTATTCTTGAATTAATTCCATTCAGTTTATTTGGAGTGTCATCATATTCAATAAGCACTCAAGAAACAACATGATTGGAAATCCAATGAGGCTTCCAAATACAATGGAAGACAGTTAATGACCAAACTTTTTGAAGTCAAGAAAAGCACATTTTACTACTATTTGGAATTCAAGTTTAAAACTGATTCTTTTAGATAAATACTGCATGATCTCACTTATACGTGAAATCTAAAATAGTCAAACTCGTAACAGCAGAGAGCAGAACAGTGACTGCCAGAGGTTGAGGGATTGCAGTTAATGGGGAGATGTTGGTCAAAGGGCACAAACTTTCAGCTATGTGATGAGTAAGTTCTGTGGACCTAATGCACAGAATGGTGACTACATACTGTAATATACTGTATTAATACTACTGTACCATATACTGCACCAATTATCATTGGTACAATAATACTGCACCAATTATCATTGGTACAATAATACTGCACCAATTATCATTGGTACAATAATACTGCACCAATTATCATTGGTACAATAATACTGCACCAATTATCATTGGTACAATAATACTGCACCAATTATCATTGGTACAATAATACTGCACCAATTATCATTGGTACAATAATACTGCACCAATTATCATTGGTACAATAATACTGCACCAATTATCATTGGTACAATAATACTGCACCAATTATCATTGGTACAATAATACTGCACCAATTATCATTGGTACAATAATACTGCACCAATTATCATTGGTACAATAATACTGCACCAATTATCATTGGTACAATAATACTGCACCAATTATCATTGGTACAATAATACTGCACCAATTATTATTGGTACAATAATACTGTACCAATAATACTGACTTCCTGAGTTTTATCTCATCAAAGGAAGACCACGGGGCATCCACTGATCATGGCTGAGGTGATACAACTGCATAGCAGAGAAAGGACTCAAGGAGTACAATGGATTTGGAAGAATAGATAAAGAGCCAGACTACCCTGTCCCCCGACTAGATTCAGAAGCACCTGACTAAGGGAGGGGGAAAGAATCCGAAAGGAAAGCAAGAAAGCTGAGAGGCTGGTGAGGCCTTGGGAGAGATGCTGGTAGGACCTGAGAAAGGGCAGGGGCTGGGGAGAAGGAGGGAGGGAAGGGAACACTTCAGACAGATTTGAGCATGCAGGGGCATGCTCCCAAGGAGGGTCTGAGAAAGTAGACAACATCAGTGTTTCCTGTGCCTTTGTGCGAGGCCAGGGTGGGAGCAGTGTATAAGTGGGGTACTGATATGGTTTGGCTGTATCCCCACCCAAATCTCATTTTGAATTATAGCTGCTATATTTCCCATGTGTGGTGGGAGGGGCCTGGTGGGAGGTAATTGAATCATGGGGGTGGCTCTTTCCCATGCTGTTCTCGTGATAGTAAATAAGTCTCTGATGGTTTTATAAAGGGGAGTTCCCTGCACATGCCCTCTTGCCTGTCACCATGTAAGATGTGACTATGCTCCTCCTTCACCTTCCACCATGATTGTGAGGCCTCCCCAGCCATGTGGAACTGTGAGTCCATTAAACCTCTTTCTTTTATAAACTACCCAATCTCGGGTATGTCCTTATTAGCAGCGTGAGAATGGACTAATACAGGTACTGAGGCAGGTCAGGACTAAAGTCTCACAGAGGACAGAACGAGAGGAATGAGAGGGCTGCAGGATGCTTCTCCACATGCCCCCCAGGTGATATTGTTAGGCAGAGAGAAATAGGCCGGGTCATCAGGATGCAACATTCTCATCTGCATTATTCAAAAAATAAATAATTCTATCAGCAAAACTAACATATTATGGTTTTAATGTACATTTTGTCCACTACTTAAAGATAAATATTTTTTCACAGATTTATTAGCTATTTAAGTCTTTTGTTCTTTTTTAAATGAAAGATTTAGCTATGTTCTTATTAATTTGTAAAGATTCTTCATAAAGATGTTACTATTTGCCAATAATAGCAAATATTTTCTCAACTTTATTTTTATTTTGGTCTTTTAATGTAAACATATTTGTTTCTCTAGATTCAGGCAATATTATGCTAGCTATCTAGCAAATGCTAGTACAGTATTCATGATATGCTAGCAAGGTACTTCATTTTAATTACATTTTCTCTAATGTCCTTGGTGTCCCTGAAAGGGGGGGCTTACTAGTCCATTTTACTGGCAACAAAACTGATGCTTAGGGCTAAAGAATTTGTCCAAAGTTAAAGTGCCAGTATAAGGAATCCAAATCCAAGTCTATTATGCCATGTGGGGTTTGGTACATCTTCTGCAATTATAATATACAGGCAAAGCAGAGTGCAGAAGGAGCTTCCTGACTGTGGCTTCTTATACTGGAGGAAGTGGCAAATTAGTAGAATAAAGGGACACCGTTTCAAACACTGAGAGATATGTATACAAAGAGTTAAGTAAATAATGTAAATAATTCTGCACATAGCAAACAATGAACAATAAATAATAATGAACAATAAACATGATCGTTATTAACCCAAGAGGAGGTTTACAAGCAAAAGTTGTAAATGTGTTCTGTAAAGGGGTGGAGGATTGACGAACATTTGCCTCAATGATTAACAGAATGAAATCGATGTTAGTGAATGAAGTTAATGAATGAAGCTAAGCTAAGGTCCATTATGGCTATCTAGGGGCCATCTCATTAGAGCCACTGATGGCAACAGATACTGTACTGAGAGACCCTGCAGCTGGCTTAGAAGGGTGACTCTCTTACCTTCCACCAGGTTCCATTCAAACCAGAAATAACTGTGAAGGGAGCAGGAACTCTGGGCATCATTTGCTCAACTACATATCACCAGTTTGAATTGGCTTAGACTTAGAATCATAGAAGTTTTTACTCAAGAGGTCACACACATCTAATTTTCAGCCCTGTTCCTACACCCTGCCCATTATTGTTCTTGAAAAAAGGAAAAAGAAAAAAAAAAGGCTCAGAGAGGTTACACAATTATCTTATGTTCACCCAGCTAGTTCATTACAAATCTAGGTCTAGAATCCCAGTCTTTTAATTCCCATTTCATAGTTCTTTGTTCCATACAACATGGTCTATAGCATTTCAGCAAATCTGATATTTCTTCCGGCCTGCTTTTCAAAAAGGCGTGGGCTATAAAGACATTATGAACTTACCCAGTAAGGGCTTGGGCAACCACAGATATCCCTTTGTTTCTTAACAATGCTTTGCTTTGTCTGAAGCCAAGCAGGTTTTTTTTATTGTTTTAATAAGGCCTACTTTAATAAGCCTAGTTACTATTTATTGAGCACTTAATATATATCAGGAACTACTGAGAATTTTACCTACACTAAATCTTAAAAACAATCCTATGAACTAGGTTTTTAAGTATCTTTTTCACCAACGAGATACGGTGCTTCAGAGAAAATAAATAAATATGCTGATATGGCAAATGGCGGAACCAGGATTTCAGACTCAGGCCCTGGGGCTCAGCCTCAGGAGGTATCTGGAGGCAGTAAGGTGGTGGCAAAGAGCGCGGCCTCCGAGCGAGCGCGGTCGCTCACGCCTCTAATCCCAGCACTTTGGGAGTCTGAGGCAGGGGGATCACGAGGTTAAGAGATCGAGGTCATCCTGGCCAACACAGTGAAACCCTGTCTCTACTAAAAATACAAAAATTAGCTGGGCGTAGTGGCCGGCGCCTGTAGTCCCAGCTACTCGGGAGGCTGAGGCAAGAGAATCGCTTGAATCTCGGAGGCAGAGGTTGCAGTGAGCCCAGATCGCACCACTGCACTCCAGCCTGGCGACAAAGAGAGACTCTGTCTCAAAAAAAAAAAAAAAAAGAAAAGAAAAGAAAGAAAGAAAAAGAAAGAGTGCAGCACCTGGAAGGGGAATCCCTGGAAAGAAAGCTTAGTTTCTTCACCATTTAGTAGCTGTCCGACCTCGAGCAAAGTTACATACCTTCTCCAGGCCTCAGTCATCTGCTATATATGTATAATGGGAATGCAAATACCAAGTAACTACCTCATGGAGTGGCCCTAAGAATTAAATAGGACAAATCACATTAAGTTTTAAGCAAAGTGTCCAGAACATACTCAGAATTTGATATGTATTACCAATTATTATAATTATTATTACTTGAATTATCAGTCTGTTGATGTAGACCTACTAGAAGGAAAAAATACCCTCCAATGCTCTTCTGCCTGCCACGAAGGAAGGCAAGAGAAGTTACTGGACTCCCACTGCTCTAACATATGGTCAGAGACAACAGAGAAGCCTTACCTGGGAATGGGGGCCTAATTGAATGACGCTGGCCAGGGTGACTGGGTTCCAGCTGTCGGATGCTGAGAGGAAGCTTTGGCCAATCTCCAGAATGAATATGCATGAACTATTACTCTAGCTAGGTCTCAGTATCATACCCTATCAGTATCTCGGGCACACATGTGTCCAAAGAGCAGATCTGCCTTCTAGATAATGCTACCATCAGTAACACTGGGCTTCAAAGACATCACACCGTCAAAACACCATAACTATGGTCACCAAACTGCGGAGACCCAGACAAACATTGAGAGAAGTCAGGCACTAGACCCAGACCCCTGCCTTTGAGAGGGGTCTTATTTCTGATCCCTCCAATGTCATTCTGTGAATCCCATCTTAGCAGACCCCATTGGATCTTGAAACAGCCCCAGCCCAGAGACAGTTCACAATTCAACTTGTCTTGGTTTGTGATTCAACCTGATTTTGAGTTACTAATAGCCCCTGGGGGGGAGCATGTTCTCCCAAAAGTGATGTGATCATGTTATCTCTGCCTTATGGTTTCTTGTACACGAGCCTAAAAGGGGAAAGAGGGGGCACAGAAAGGGGCAGAGGAAGGAAGGGGAGATAAATGCAAATATTTTGTTCACCGTAAAAATACAGAATTTTATTGACAGGATCCAAATACGGTACTTTTAATGAATCATGTAGTCCACCTTCTATACCTGGTGGTTAGTACATCCCATTAATTCAAAGCCCCAGGTGTACATAAAAATCACACATAACTTTTTTAACAAATGGCCAGAAACCATTTAATATTGAAGTACTTCTGCCTGGACATTGACTTTTCATATTGAGAAAATTTCTGAGAGAATAAGACTCAAACAGATAGATATTGGTATTGGGACTATAAGACTACCGTAAAACAACTGCAGAATCTGATAAATCAAGGGAACTAATTTACTGTTCCAATCACTCACTTCACAGGTGCCTCATTTCAAAGTTTAACCCAGGCTCTAATGTTTAAATCAAGTTTGTGTATAATTTGGGTAAATAAAATGCTTTTCTTTACAAAAGATATATGATCACTCATAAAATTTTGCCAGGTAAATTGCTTAAGAACGCACAGCACTCTTCTATTAGCAACCTAAGATCCAAATCTTGCTAGCTCCAAAGGAATTTTTTAAATAAGCAAGAAGAGGAACTGTAGAAGGGACCACGCAATGGACTGGTTCAATGACAATATCATTAAATGACAAGGGCTGATAAAATAAAGCCTCGCTACGATCATTACCCCAGGGCACAGGAGAAGCACACATGCTTCTCCTCCTGAGGCCCTCATGCCCCAGGAAGGATAGGCAAAGAAACATGCGTGGTGAGAAAGCAGAAATCTGAGAGGATTCTGTAAAAGAACTTGAATCATCAAGATCCTCATTTTGGCACGGCCCCCACCACTTCTTCCCCTGATTGGTGTCACAAGTGTCTGGCATGCACTTTATGCTACTCACACAACCTGTTTTACTATAAAATGGGTAGACTGAAAGAATGCCTCCTTACAGCTGGCATTTATGCATTTCCTAATTGTCATAGTTAATTTTGTATGTGTCAACTTGACTGCCACATGGGATGTCCGGACATTTGGCCAAACATTACATTCTAGGTATGTCTCTGATGGTGTTTCTGCATGAGATTAACACTGGAATTAGCAGACCGGGTAAAGCTGACCACTTTCCCCCGTGTGGGTAGACCCCATCCAATCAACTGAAGACTCAAATAGAACAAGAAGGCTGAGGAAGAGGGAGCCTCTCCTGCAGAACTTCAGTCTTTTCTGGCCTTAGGATGCAAACTGAAACATTCATTCTTCTTGGATCTTGATCCTGCCAGCTTTCAGATCAAAATTAATCTAGACGCTGTTGGCTCTGTCTCTCTGAAGAACCCTGACCAATACACCCATTTACTGAGATTGTTTCCAAAATGAAATCACACACTCACACATACACACACACACAAGCATTTAACAGTGTTACTACTGGGAGAGGAATTGGGGAGAAAAAAGGGTTTACTTTACATTTTGATCACTGTGTACTGTTAAAATTTTCTAACTTTATATATGTATTATTTTTAGTTTAAAAATAGTAATAGGAATTATCAGGTCAGAAAGAATGTATTTCATTAGTTATAGTTTCTCTTTTACGTTCTATATAATTGAAAAAAAATATTTCTATAGGTATAAATATATAAAAATGCACAGAAAAAGAACTGAAAAGGGATATACCAAATTGGCAATTACTTCTGGTTTGAGATTGAGGTGATGATAGTCAAGGGTGAGTTCAGCTGTTTTTGTTTGTTTGTTTGTTTGGTTAGTTTTCTTTTCTTGGTAACATATGCATATTTTACCAGATAATATAATTATATGCTTATTTATTGTTATTCAAGAGAAAGAAAACTAGATAGTTATTATTTTAAAAATTGTTTCCCAAAAGTCTGAAAATTTAGAAGTTACATTCACCAAGCCGTCTTTTTCCTTTGTTTAATAGTTCTACCATACAGTTTATATAGGTGAAATGTGGTTTCCTTTGCAAATGTCAAGGGTTTTTTAACTTGTCTTTTTCATAGATCTTGAACCGCCCCCCACCCTGCCCCCCGCAACCAAGTACACAGGATCACAAGGGGCCTAGCCATTGCCCGCTAAAAAGCAGCAGCAGTTCTGGTGCTATGTTTCTGGAATGGTAGAGAGGGGAAGGGGTTGATGTATCCATCCGGTGTTTTAAACAGAAGTCCTGATATATTCATAAACATACAGGCAGGGTCTGAAGGGGAGTAGGAATGGGTGCTGCCTGGCAACCACCCTCCTCCTTCCTAAGAGCAGACACTCTTTAGCTGCGCTTTTTGTTGGAGCTCACTTTTTAGTTCAAATCTTGCCCTGTTTGTCTTTACAGATTTTACCCATGTGATAAACACATAGGATGAGAAGCACCATCAGAAGGGAATTCCTTTTCTCCCCTCTCCCATGATTAAAGCAACATGGAACTGAATTTCATGAGTTTCAATATAACAACCCTATTTTTTAAATTTCTTATTCTTAATTGTAGTTAAAAAAACATAAAACATAAAATTTACCATCTTAACCATTTGTAGGTATCTAGTTCAGAAGTATTAAGTATATTCACATTGCTGGGCCACCAATGTTTAGAATGTTTTCATCTTGTAAAATGAAACTCAATATCCATTAAATAACATCTGTCCATTTCTTTCTTCACCCAGCACCTGGCAACTACCATACTGGTTCCTGTCTTTATGAATTTGACTACTTTAGGTACCTCAATAAGTGAAATCATACTGTATTTGCCTTTCTGTATCTGGCTTACTTCACTTAGCCTCAAGTCCTCAAGGTTCATCCATGTTCTAGCGCGTGTCAGAATTTCCTTCCTATTTAAGGCTCAGTACTCTCCCATGGTATGTTATACAACATTTTGTTTAACCGTTCATCTGTGAATGGACACTTGAGTTGCTTCCTTGGCTACTGTGTATAGTGCTGCTATGAACATGGATGAACAATCAAATATTTCTAAAGTCATTTTTGAAGTGATTGCCATGAAAAAAAAATGCTAAAAATTAAACAGTGGCATATTCTCAGAGGCCTACACCAGAGCACCTTACATGACCACATAAACCACAAGCCTCCCCCATCTTCTCTATTATTAGAGCGTCCTTAAGCACACAACCAGGCTGCAGATCTAAGAGGAGAAGGGTCCTATACTAAACGGTGTGAGTTGGTCCAGAATCTCTTATTGGATTTGACTTCCCATGACTCTTCTGCATCCTGGAAATAGTAAGATACCAAGGACCAAGATCAGGAGAGGAGGCTTTGAGGAAAAGGGACACAAGTTACTGCCCTGCCTACTGATAACTTTGGAAAAGAACTTTTTGGAGAATTACACTTAAGCCAGTCCAGATCACCCTGGCAGGCTTCTTATGTGGGACAATGTGATCAGAATTTAAGATCAGTGATTTTTGGCCAAACGCGGTGGCTCACGCCTGTAATCCCAGCACTTTGGGAGGCCGAGGTGGGTGAATCGCCTGAGGTCAGGAGTTTGAGACCAGCCTGGCCAACATGGTGAAATCCCATCTCTACTAAAAATACAAAAATTAGTCGGGTGTGGTGGCACATGCCTGTAATCCCAGCTACTCCAAAGGCTGAGGCAGGAGAATTGCTTGAACCCAGGAGGTGGAGGTTGCAGTGGGCCAAAATGGCACCACTGTACTCCAGCCTGGAAAACAAGAGTGAAACTCTGTCTCAAAAAAAAAAAAAAAAAAATCAGTGATTTTCCAATGAGTGTACCATGTGCAATCCATAGGTGTACTGCCAAATCTTGATCAATATGTAAAATTTATTTTTGCCACACTGAGCATACACATTATTACTACAGAGCCTTAATTTAATATTGAACAAGGAAGAATATGATGTTCAGGATGTGTGCATGGTGGGGGAAAGAGGCAGGATCATTTGTCCTAAGTTAAACATAAAAAGTGCCCTGTTACATCATGTTGGGTCCAGAGAAAGAGCATGTGGTTATCAGAACATGAAACAACTTTGATCCATGAGTATATTAAGCCTGGGTTGTCAGGGCAATAAAATTTCTGCTCCAACAAGAAGGCAAACAAAAGAACTGCGTGATCACTGTAGATATCTTTATAGATACCATAAAACTCTGTTTTGTTTAGTAGCAATTGTATTGCAGTTAATACTGACTTGTTTGGTATGGTTTATAGTTTATTGACACTCAAATATGACAGGAACAAAATATTTTTTATTAGGAAGAGTTTAGTGACCACAGAAGAGGCTTAGACCACCTACCCATAGGTGATAGAAAAAGAGGCTGTGAGACCCGCTGCTCAAATGCCTGTTTTCTAGAAATGTCCCCTAGTGGCAAATACCTATCTGGAATGGGCAGCAGCAGTGGCCAAGAGACCAAAGACCCCAGATGAAAATCTCAGCCCTCTCTCTTTCTTTTTTTTTAATTATACTTTAAGTTCTAGGGTACATGTGCACAACGTGCAGGTTTGTTACACATGTATACATGTGCCATGTTGGTGTGCTGCACCCATTAACTCGTCATTTACATTAGGTATTTCTCCTAATGCTATCCCTCCCCCATACCCCCACCCCGCGACAGGCCCCCGTGTGTGATGTTCCCCTTCCTGTGTCCAAGTGTTCTCATTGTTCAATTCCCACCTATGAGTGAGAACATGCGGTGTTTGGTTTTTTGTCCTTGCGATACTTTGCTCAGAATGATGGTTTCCAGCTTCATCCACATCCCTACAAAGGACATGAATTCATCCTTTTTTAATCAGCCCTCTAGCTTTCTATTAGAGACATGATTGAGAATTTATTTGGAAACAGCAAAGCAAAATGTAAATGAGGTTTTTAAAATTGTTATTTATGTGCAATAAAATAATAACAATTTGAAATTTAAAAGATCCAGATTAATTTTCCAACTCTTCTTTTTCACCTTTAATTGTCAGCCCAAAGTGCTGTTTGGTGTTTTGACAATGGATTGCTAATCTCTGTGAGGTTAAATAACTTTTGGATTTTTTGATTTTGTAATTTCCTTCAGAAAAGGAAGACATTGCGCCCTACTCCTCTGGATATAGAATTCACCTCTACAGCGAGCCTCACACCCCTGTTCACCTGGATGGATAGAGAAGCAAGGGCAATTTTCATCTATTGAAGATTACACATAAAATGTTGAATTGTGTGCATACGCTGTCATAGAGTGGAAACAAACACTGAATAACATCTGAATAAATTACAAGATATATTTTATACTTAACATTTTTCAAAAAACACCTCCTGCTGTTAAAGCCCATGTCCCATAAACATCTTCAGTAAAGCAGTGATAAAAGCAAGAATAACAACCTCCAAATGATAAATTGGTCAAATTTAGAGAAGCCTAACTAAGCAGTGTTTTCCTTACCAGTCAAACGCAAAGGTTACACACACATGCTCACCAACTGCCCTCTCCTTGTTTTTTGATTATAAAACAATGACTTCATTTGTGTAGGAACTAAATATGAATAAAAGCTATTAACCAAGGTCTAGTAGTTATCTAACAAATATTTTAATTGAATGATGTTTCTACACATGACAGTATTGCATTAGGACTGCTTGAAAAGAAAATATTCACTGCATGCAATTTAAAAACTTTTTTCTCTCTTTGAAAAGGATAGCCTCAAGTGAAACTGATTAGCAGTAAAGAATATTAGAAGAATATATTTATACCATAGTCTATGTTTGGAATGCAAAATAGATCTAGAAAATTTGGCATGGATACAACAATTCAACATCCCTTAGCAGATTATTAATGAAAAGTAATAGAAAATTAATTGGCATCTCTAATTTTTAAAAATGATTTCTTTAATAAGAGCTATTTCTACTGGGCCTTTTTTTTGAAATGAGCAACTCTTTTTCAAATATATTATCAAAACCATTTGGAATCATTCTGGAATCTAATCTAAAAACGAACATACCTATCTCTTAAATCTTACCAGGTTATAATTTATTAATTTCCACTTATTGTTAAAAAAAAGTTTAAAGGTAAACTCTGGTAGCGACTACCTTGTGGATATAATAATAAGTAATATTAAATAGTTTCATATAATACAGAGCATTCTCTGCTATTTTCTATAATGGTAAATGTGGTAAGAGTAACTTGAGAAGGAAGTAAAGCAGCAAAGCTCCTTGGTTAGTCAAAGCCATCAGTGCTGCGTACAGACAATGTTCAGAATCTGACCTAGGGCATCAATAAAACAACTAAGACAGGGACTCTTTCAATGACACAAAAGCGTTATGTCATTAATGGAGCTTGGATTGTAGCAATGTATTCTTATAAGGTGACAAATTAACCATATGGCTACCTCGTAGACAACAAAACTAAAATATATTAAACTCTGTGGGGTAAATACACCCACAGGCAAATCTAACATACTGACATTTTTAATACTAATTGAAGCTGATTGATTTACGTATTTTACGTTCTCAACTCTCCAAAATGATGTATTTAATGTTTTATTTTTAAACACAATTAAAAAATAATATATAAATATATACATACTGCAAATGTAATACAGATAACAAATTCATTTAAGCCCATTTATGCACATTAGTAACACACCATGTGGCAGAAAGACTAGGACTACAAGAAGACCCCTTGGCGATTTATTTTATATTAAATCCCTAATGGCCTCTCCTTATCTTTGCAAAAATATGCACGAAAGTCCAGACTATGCAGCCATTGAAATGAATGGTTATTTATTTGCTAAACGAGAACCCTATGTTTAATGTTCCTTAGACATAAGGTAGTCTGGAAAAGTCGCATTCCTACAGCTCCATACATCATTTATTTTACATACCCTAACTTCTCACAACAGGCAGCGGAAAAATATCTCTGAACAGCATTGTAAGTTGCTGAGATTTTTGTTTCCAATTCCATTACTGGAAGATTAAATGTTAACATGTTTACTTGCTTCTTTAGCAACAAAAACAAATTCATGTACCATCTTGGTGCCTGACACATACATGAATATAAAATGGGAGAAAGTTTGCAAATATCCAAAACTAAAATCAAACAATGGATGAGTATCAAAAGTTCGAACTTACAAATTAATCTCAATTAAATACCAGAGAGAAAGCTTCATGCACTTTAAATTTGTCTACAAAAAAAAAGTACTAATAATTGGAAAGTTCTAAGAGTGTGTTCTTGCTCTTTCAAAGAGTAAAGGTTGTTTTCCCCCTTTGTATAACATGCTTAAAATATGCCACAAAACTCAGCCCTGGACATATTGGTTTTTAATATTCATGCTGACATCGACACACTTTGTTGTCAAGTGATTTTCTATTAAATCACTTGATTTTGGTTCACACAACCAAAATGTTTCAGTTCCAGAGATATCCAATATCTGTAGGTGATAGGAACATAAGCAAACCCACATTGTTCGCTCTTTCCCTCAATGCCTCTCCATCTAACTTCTGACAGCCTCAGATAGTCAAAATCAAGAAGGTTTTCAAGGAGAAATGCCTTCTAAGATGGTGAGAGATGTAAAAGCAGCGTAATGAGATTTCATCTACTTCTTTGAAAATGTTGTGATATCATGGTCTCACACACCACTTTGGGAAGGGTGGTGATACATTGCCTTGGTGCTTCAACTAAACCTTCTAACAGAAGCATTTACAAAGACGCAAATACCTAGCATGGAAGAATGTGTGGAATGTGAAAAGGGACAAGACCACCTTCCTTATCTTGGAGGAAGCAGTAACCTATTTTTCTCTATAGGACATATACAGATAAGCAGAACAAGCAGTACTTGTAAGTTGCATTTGCAGGGTCCTGCTTGGGGCTAATTCTTGCCCTGATCCTAGGTAAAAACTCAGCCAATCCCCATGATTTTTTCTAGAAACTCTTAGTTAACATAACTCCCCAGGCATTTCAGTTCACAATAGGAGTCTCAATTTCATAATCAAAATGTTCAACCCCGTGTCGTAGTCAAAACTGCAATCTCAGAGAGGGTTCAGCCTCTCCCCTGCCCCAGCTAGGCTGGCTGCTGGTGGAAGGGGATGTGGTCTCTCTCCCTTTCCTTCTTTCCCCACCTGTTCCTTCTATCCCTCATTTATCTTCCTAGCTGTAGATTCCTGACCCACTTGGGTTGGTGCACAAGGAAGCAAGATGAGGTAAGAGGGGTAGAAAACTTAGCACTTCGCTGTTACTTTCCGGAGTCTGTAAATATTAGACTGTCTGTTCTTCGCAGGTGTTTATACTGACACTTTGTCTCATGGGTCACCTGTGGATCTGTCAGAGCTCCTATCTTCCGTCTCCCCTGGGGCCCTAGACAACTGGAATGCATTTCTATTCCTCATTTCCTAGCGCTTGGGAAGCTGGCTCTGCCTCTCACATCTCTCCGCCGAGAACTGCATTGTGTTCACTCTAAGTCAGGCCTCTTGGATGAGATCTAAGAAAAATGCACACTGCCTCTCTCACACATGGCCCAGATCAGCCTGTCTACTAGTCTGACAATTTTTCCAGGGTGCAGGCTGCTCAGGACAGCCACCTATTCTACACCCCACTGTGACGCCAGCTAGTCAGCACATTTTTTTCACTTTAGATTTCCACAAGTGAGGTACATGCCCACTGTGTCCCCCAAACTGCACGGGGCACACGGGCCTCTCTTTGGCGGGCTTTCCAAACTATTGCCCAGGCTTCGGTTGACCGATTGATGCCCCCGCCCCCTTCCTCACAGGGAACCCATGTGTTTCAAAATTTCTTCTCTTTTCTATTTCCAAATTCCAGTCCTTTCATTCCCTCTAAGAGGGTGAGAGGTTTAAAAGCAGTGTACTGAGATTTCATCTACTTCTTTCAAAATGTGTCATGGTCCCATATCACTTTGGGAAGAGTGAGCTATCATCTTGGTGCTTCAACATAACCTTCTAACAGAATGTTTCTCTGCAAGGTGTCTTCCATGTGCCCTCCAGAGCCAGGCTTTACCTTCCTCCACCCTGTTCTCTGTGACAGCACAGCGACTTTATGGACAGCATTGAGTTTCTTCTGGCTGCTGACTTCCTGTTAGTTTCAGCCAACAGAAAGCCCCAGTGGGTGCTGGGAAGGAGAAAGAGAGTGGGGGCAGCGTGCTTGTTCCTACATTTCCTTTTGGTTGGGGTCAGCATGAACTTGGCCATTCCTTGACCAAAAGGCCCTCTAGAGGTGATCCTTTCTTTTCAACCATTTCCTCCAAGTTTTTTGAAAACTTCTCTCTTCCTCTTCCTTTCAGGCTTAAGGTGGTAACTTCCAGGATGCCACCCTGTTCCTTGCAGTATTCCTCACACTGTCTTCATTTAATAAAATGGGCTGGATACAGTGGCTCACGCCTGTAATTCCAGCACTTTGGGAGGCCAGTCTCCTTCCTCACTCTTTGACTGGCTCCATGACTTCCTTTAACAGATAGAATGTGGCATGATCTTGTGGGACATCTGAGTCTCAGCCCCCAAAGTTCTCACTTCTGACATCTTCGAAGGTTTCTGTTCCCACATAAGAAGCCTGGGATGAAAGACCACATGGGGAGAGAGGCCCAGCTGCCCCCGCATTTGTTCCAGCCTTCCCAGCTGAGGCCCCCCACCGCATGCAAGTGAGGCCACCCTGCATCAGCCAGTCCTAGCCTGTCCTAGCCCGACTCCTACCACGAGTCAGCTCAGGCAAGACCAGCAGAATCATGAGAATACTACATTGTTTTAGTAAGTTGTGGTGTGGCTGCGCACGGTGGCTCACACTCGTAATCCCAGCAGTTTGAGAGGCTGAAGTGGGAGGATCACTTGAGGTCAGGAGTTCAACAGCAGCGTGGGCAACATAGGGAGACCTCATCCCTACAAATAATTTTTTTTTAATTAGCTGCTACTCAGAAGGTTGAGGTGGGAAGATCGTCTGAGCCTGGGAGGTCAAGGCTGCAGTGCGCCATGATAGTATCACTGCACTGGAGCCTGTGTGACAGCGAAAGACTCCGTCTCAAAACAAAATAAAAAATAAAACATAAAAATTCTGGTGTGCTATTGTACAGCAGTAGCTAAAGAAACACGGGCTTTCCTGTTTCTGACACCAGAACTACTAAATTGTGTCCACAGCTGGCTAATTTGTCCAGGCAGTTCCAGACTACTATGGACTAGGTAATCATCAATGGTAACAATTAATTGATTCTTCTGTGACCTAACATAGAATAATGAAGTAAGAACAGGACTTTTGAATCAGATGTCCCTGGACTGGAATGCCACTTTCTGGTTTCAGGTAGAGTATTTTCTCTCTCTGAGTCTTCATCACCTATAAAATAGATATAATCACCTATGTCATTAGAAGGGTGTCAGAATTTTAGAAGATAATTCATGTAAAGCACCTACCACTGTACTGGGAACATAGTAGGTACTCAATGAAGGGGAGCTCCCTTCCTCAGTATCTGTGTATATGCATGCATCCAAAAGTTGAAACCTGAATCAACTCTCTCTAAACCAGTGGTTCAAAGTGCGGTCTCTGAACCAGCGGCATCAGCATCACCAGAGAACTTACTAGAAATATAAATTCTCAGGCCCCAACCCAGACCTACTGAGTCAGAAACTGTAAGAGTGGGAGAGTGGGGCCTGGGAAATTTGTGTTCTACCAAGCCCTCCAGATGACTCCTATGCAAACTAGACTTTAAAAACCACTACTCTAGGCTAAGAGAAATCAGGATAAAAGCAAGTAACAATTTGGATGTTTCTTCAGTTTGCACTTGAAAAATGCTTTCGGATACACTGTTATGGTGTTACTGGACTCCGTGCAGAAAGACTCTAAGGTTTTCTGTCTGTAAACATTTTGGGGATAGGCAGTTTCAAATAATTGCTTTATTTAATTTAACACTTATGAGGGGCTTACCATGTGTCAGGCACCATTCTTTTTTTTTTTTTTTTTGAGACGGAGTTTCGCCCTGTCGCCCAGGCTGGAGTGCAGGGGTGCCATCTCTGCTCACTGCAAGCTCCGCCTCCCGGGTTCACGCCATTCTCCTGCCTCAGCCTCCTGAGTAGCTGGGACTACAGGTGCCCACCAACACGCCCGGCTAATTTTTTTTTTTTTTTTTGTATTTTTAGTAGAGACAGGGTTTCACCGTGTTAGCCAGGATGGTCTCAATCTCCTGACCTCGTGATCTGCCTGCCTTAGCCTCCCAAAGTGCTGGGATTACAGGCGTGAGCCACCGCACCCGGCCTCAGGCACCACTCTAAGCTTTTTGCAAATATTAACCCATTTAATCCTCAGGGTAATCCTTGGAAGTAGTTACTAGTATGATGCCATTTCAAAGACGGAACACACTGAGGTTAAGTAACTGGTGGAGGATCAGAAGCCGGTATGTGTCAGAGCGAAGACTCCAACCCAAGTAGATTCCATACCTTTAACCACTACCTCATACAATGTGTGTGTGTGTGTGTGTGTGTGTGTGTGTGCGCGCGCGCGTGTGTCTGTCTCTCTCTCTTAGACAGGGTCTTGCTTTGTTGCCCAGGGTGGAGTGCTGGAGTGCAATGGCATACCACAGCTCCTGCAGCCTTAAACTCCTGGGCTCAAGCCATCCTCCCACCTCAGCCAGCCTCCAAAGTAGCTAGCACCACCATGTCTGGCTAATTTAAAAAAAAAAAAAATTTCTTTTGGTAGAGATAAGAATCTCCCTATGTTCCCAGGATGGTCTCGAACTCCTGGTCTCAAGTGATCCTTCCACCTCGGACTCCCAAAGTTCTGGGATTATAGGCATGAGCCACAATGCCTGGCCTCGACCTCCCTGTACTATGATCTTTGCTTTCTGTCAAGGAAGGGTCAGCAATTTGCAACACTTCACAAATTCCCTGGTGGTCAGCAGCTACTCAGTATTTCACACCATGATATAATAAAGAGGTAATTATACAAATTATACACAATAATATCATATATGGGGAACTAGAATTTATCTTTTACTTGAAGATTCAAACAGCAGAGTGGTAAAAATGGATTAATGCTCTCTCTTGAGCATCCATTTCATGTTTAATCCTGAGAAACACCCAAGATAGACACAGGGAGAGAGGAGGGACCAGTGTGATGTTCATGGCATTTTCACAGACTGAGAAAACCCAGAGCTGGGACCAGGAAAGGGCCTTAGGAATTCTTGTTTTGCAGCTAGAGGGAGATTCCCTTTACAATTAGGGAGAATTAACTAAAGCTCTCGTCCCACTGGAAGCTGGGTAGCAGAACAAAATTATAAAACAATCGAGCACATACTGATGTCTGTCTGTCATTTTCTCCATTAGAAAGAACTTACAGGCCAGGTGTGGTGGCTCACGCCTGTAATCCCTTCACTTTGGGAGGCTGAGGCGGGTGGATCACCTGAGGTCAGGAGTTCGAGACCAGCCTGGCCAATATGGTGAAACCCCGTCTCTACTAAAAATACAAAAATGAGCTTGGTGTGGCGGCAGGTGCCTGTAATCCCAGCTACTCGGGAGGCTGAGGCAGGAGAATCACTTGAACCTGGGAGGCAGAGGTTGCAGTGAGCCGAGATCATGCCACTGCACTCCAGCCTGGGCAACAGAGTAAGCGAAACTCTGTGTCAAAAAACAAAAACAAAAACACCTTCCAGCTTTTTTGCTTTGCTTTGTTTTAAATTTCTAACTTGATGAAAGGTATGTGATGCTTGTGTTGTCTCTGTCACCAAACAAAAAGGACTGTTGACTTGGTTTCAAAGTTTCAAAAGTTAAGAGGCTCATTTTCTGTAACCTCATATTTCACATTGTATCACGTTAGGATATTGTGTGGGGATATCCCAACAAGTGCCTTTTGGGTTTGCACATGTCCTTCCCATCTCTTTTGCCCAATCTGAGTCCGGTTGTGCCTCTGGGGCTCCTCCCAATGGTTCAAGGGATTTTAAACTTGATCTACATTTGAAGCTCTCAGCCTATTTTCCAGATCCTCTGATACTCAAACATTATTCTTGCTCCCCTCTCATCACCCAGCCTTCTCCATCTCCTACACACTCTGAAATAATCTGTCAGAAGATCCTCATCCTGCCGTGCTGGCTTACTCTGGATCAAGAGACAAAGACTCCAGCTCTATCTCTGATGGACCGAGTAGGAAGAATCAGGCAAGTGCTTCACTAATTAACTGGATTACACGGTCCCCCCACCACCCATCAGCCAAAGGCAGGCATCCCAGTCTCTGTTGTCACCCTCACAGTCCTCAATGCACGCCTGCCACAGCCTGTCGTACATTGCTCATTATTCTCCCATTTGCATTCTTTCCTGTCTTTGTACAGCATGAGTCAACCCACCAGGTTTCCCAGAGCTTAATCCAGAAGGGACCCAAACACTAGGGGTAAGTCCATTTCACTGCTGCTTTTAACTCAACATCAATAACCATGCTCTCTCTCCTCCCTCCTAGTTCATATTCTTCTCTGTGCCTGGAATGTTTTTCCTTTGCCACCCACCTTCTACCACCCCCTCCTTCACAACAAACCTCATTTACGTGGCCAACTTCTGCATGTCCTTTACATTTAGTTTCAACATCATCTTCTCAAGGGAGCACTTTCTGATCTACCTCCCCTTCCCAAATTAGGCTATGTGCTTCTTTCGTATAGGTAGTGGCCCATTAGAGCCAATTATAATTGCCAATCATCCGTAAGCTTAGGGAAGACAGAAACCATTGCACTGCAATATTTAACCTCTATTTCAGGGACATAATAGCTACTCAATAATTTTTTTATTGAAGGGATTGGGAGGGGGAGCTGCATGATGAGAAATTACTTAATTGGTACAATGTATGTCATTTGGGTGATGAATTAAAAGCCCAGGGTTGGGCGCAGTGGCTCACGCCTGTAATCCTAGCACTTTCAGAGGCTGAGGTGGGTGGATCATGAGGTCAAGAAATCGAGACCATCCTGGCCAACATGGTGAAACCCCGTCTTTACTAAAAATTCAAAAATTAGCTGGACGTGGTCGCGCGCACCTATAGTCCCAGCTACTCTGGAGGCTAAGGCAGGAGAATCACTTGAACCAGGGAGGCAGAGGTTGCAGTGAGCTGAGATCGTGCCACTGCACTCCAGCCTGGTGACAGAGTGAGACTCCATCAAAACAAACAAACAAACAAAAAATCCTGATATGACCACTATGCAATCTATGAATGTAACAAAATTGCACTTGTAACCCATAAATTCATACATATAAAAAAGGATTTAAAAATAAAATAAATGTTTGATGACAAATGACCACGTTAATGGGTGATTAAGTGGATGGATAAAGTGAGTACATGCATTCAAGCCCTCCTTGTCAACCCTGGTGTCCCAAGGACACATCAACTGGTCAGATTGGCTGTAGACTGAGCTGGTGGTGTCAATGACTATAGTGTAGGTTGAGAGCTTCATTGTTTGGGCTTCACGGGCAGGAAGGTTCAACATGACTGTTTCCCTTTTGGTTTGGGATAAAAAGCAAGCACTGTTAAGTGCCAGAACAATGGAGCATCATCCACAGGTGCGCCTGGCATACGCATTTGCAGAGAAACTGAAAACTAGATTACATCATGGTATCATGAAAAGAATGTTAATCTAAAATGTTGAGGGGCAAAACATAGACACAAATCTTCACTGTCATGAACCACCTTTTCTAGAAGAGTCTTCTAAAGTTCATTTATAACATGAAAATAATAACAGACCTATTTCAAAGGGTAGTCATGGAGGTTCAATGAGAAAATAAAAATCAAATGTAAGGTATATACACTCAAAAAAGGTATGATAGACATTCAATGAGTGTTGGCTACTATTATGTTCATTTGCTAAAATTCAAATTATTCAAGGTATTGACTAGCACCATGCTATGAATACAATAAGCATCAAGTTATCCTTTTGAAGGAATACAAGAAGACAATAATAAACAACCAAAGCTTAGTTGTAGCATCTTACCTGTTTTCCTGTTTCCACCACTAGGCGACACCACTGACCTGTAATAATCCACTCTTCTCCAACAGGCTCAGCACAGCCATCCTTAGCAATCATGTCAATTAAGCAACAGTAAAAGAGATGTCTATCCTACACAGTAACTATCCTAAATTATTCCTTTGTTTGACTCTCCTTATTTCTCTGAGTTGCCACTGGCTATGTGGTATAAATTTGTTTTTTCATTTTAGCGTGTACTAAAAAAAAAGTCTTTGTTACTTAGGGAACCAATTCAGTATTGACCATGGATGGGAAACAGGCACTCTAACACAAATGTAGTCCACTGTTTCACTTTTATATAGATTTCTCTGTCACAAGAAAAGGGAACAATTTTCCTCTAGTTTCACAGCCTGCTTTTCTATGACAGGTTGATACAATGTAGTAATTAACCATTAAAATATTGCATATGATTCTCAGGAGCGTTACAGACAAACTAATTTAAACCAAGGTCAGGTCCCCAAATCAGCAAAATAACTCTGAAGGGAGGGGAGAGAGAATATAAATGAGAAGAAGTAAGCAACAGCTGCTATTAAAAGTAACACTAGGCAGCTAAAACTGGTCTGAGCACATTCCTAAAAATGTAATTAGCCAAATCCTTCCAGAAATTAAACCATCAAAATGACATTATAGTACACTTTAAAAATGTATTTACAGAGTGAAAGAGCAGTCATCCTAGCATATCACTATGTCCTGAGGGTTTCCCTTCTCATAAAGAAAAATGTAGACAGAATTAGATATTGTGCTATGAAGAAAGTTCCAAGTGTCACATATATTTTGTAAAAAGCTACGTCTTAATTCCCTCAGCAGTGCTAAAGTTGAGAATGAATTAAATCAATAGGCTGGTTTCTGGTTTCTTTGCCCAATTATGGGATGACTAAAATGACTAGAACAAAAGTCTACCAATGACTTTTCCAGATACCAACAGTTATTGGTATCTGGTATCAAAGGCAATGAATGAAGATAGAGGTGCTGAACTCTGCCAGTGTCGTGGAGCTTGTTTCTCAGAAAGCCAGACATTGAGACCTCATTTCCTTCATGAGTAAAAGGCCAACTTATCTCCTCCTGCTCAAGGATTTCAATTTCTAGACTTTCTGAAGGTCTAGAAACATACAAATTTTATTTATATAAGGTGCAGTGATGCATAAATTTATTCAAAAATGCTTTCTGACAATACGCCCATGCCCTCAAAGGTGACTGTGAACTTAAAAGAGAAGTCTTAAATAAGGAGCCAGAGGTGCCAGAAATACCCAATTTAAAGGGAAAGCCTTAGGCATTTTGGTGACATATGGAAAGACTTTTTCATAGCTTTTTAACCTGCATTACGAAGTTACTAGAAGGCAGTACAGTACTACCTAGGCAGAAGAAGTAGCCGTGAAGAATGGCGCTGTAGTTGCTGAAAAGGAGCATGTGGACATACGGAAGAGGAAAAAGCTGTGCAAAGTGTACTAAGAAAAGGAAAGAGGGGAAGTGATCAAACTGACATGGAAAATCCATGATGTTGTCCAGATGGTATTATCAGAACTCACGGGTATAGTCCAGGATGGTGAAAGCTCGGGAGGAAAATGATAATCCAGGATGCATCATTGCAGAGAGCAAGCTCTGTGTCTCTAGCCGAATAGAAGAGAGCAGAGAGCTGGGAAGACAGGGCTTCCAAGGCATGAGCCTAAGTCCCCAGCATGCATGATGACCAACAAAGGGAGGCTATGGTGGCTGTGATGTTTTGTGTCCAAAAAGAAAAGAATCTAAAGACTAATTATTTAATTTTATTTGTCCTTTAAACACAACCTGTTATCTTAGCTGCAGGGTGGCCCTACTTTCTCTTAATCTGAATTAAAATGGTTAACTATTGGAATACAATACCATTGGCCAAAGTACATGAAACCAACTAAGTAAATTATGAATCAGAAATCAAGGTTCTACTTTCTTCTTGATTGTTAAATAAATCACAATTCCTTTGTTTTGCATTTTAAAAAAAACTATGAGCACTTCTACTACGATATCTCACAAAGAGATATACTTCGACTACACACAAATGATTGGCATGCTAAAATTCTAGCGACCTTATGCTTATGCCCAACACCACATAAATTGTACACTAACAGCCCCTGTATATGCCAGACTGTGGTAGGCAAATAACAGAAGGATTTATAGAAGAGAATGTGACCGGAAGCAATTTTCTCTTGATGGCCACCTTCAGCTCCATCCCTCCCCAGATGCACATGTGTCTCTGCACAGCAAGAACTGGAGTCTAATTTCGCAGTGCTGTGCCGGAGCTGACGTGTAACTGTTGGCAAGAGCTGACTGTTAAATTTTCAGGCAATTTGCAAACCCGTTATTTGCAAGTTAAACACAGTCATTATAAAAATTAAATTACATAATTTGTGTTAAGTAAATTATGTTAAAAGCAAAAGTAATACATTCTCAAAACTCACCCCTTCTTAATCGTGCCATTATATCTACTGTTATCAATGTTCTTGGGGTCATTTACATCTGTACAGTAGAAAGGCTATATAATGATATACTTCTGCACATCTCTTCCCAAATCTGTTTTGATGATGTCTTGTTGGTATTTTGAAATTGGCCATGGTAAGAGCATTTACGCTATGGAAATTGGAAAATACTACAAATCAGAGCTTGTTTTATTGGTTTATTGATTGTCATGACCAGGTGTTGGCAAGCTCTGGCCCACAGACCAGTTCAGCTCACTGCCTATTTATGAACAGCCCATGCACTAAACACATTCAAATAGTTGTTAAGTTCCTCCATAATATCCTCAGTTTGGGCTCCTGGAATGCAAAGCCTAAAATATCTACTATCTGGCCCTTTTCAGAAAAGAATTGCTGACCCCTTGTCTAGACTCGAGAAAGTCATGGAGAAAAACTATACTAAAGATAAAACATAAAAGTGTGTTGTGTCTCTAGTCATCACATTGTGACTAGCATACACACACACACAAATAAGGAAATATTCTTCCAGTATTTGAAAACTATTCTTTAATTCAGCAAAGAAGTCACTTATATTGTTGACAAACAAATGAAGTTCAAGCATATTTCTTCATTGTTTCAGTTTCTTGTAAAGGGAGAATCAAAAACATCAACTACATTTTTGTTGCAATTACACTCATTCATCGATTGCAATGCAAGAGTTACACAAAAATTAACTAGTTCATTCTATGAGAATTAATTGGTCTTACGAAATTTACAATAAAAGAATAAAGAGTATACATTGTATACTATATATGATATATTGTGTATATCATATATATCCTTTATGTATTTATATGAGACAGAGTCTCTCTCTGTCACCCAGGCTGGAGTGCAATGGCACAATCTTGGCTCACAGCAACCTCCGTCTCCTGGGTTCAAGCAATTCTCCTGCCTCAGCCCCCCAAGTAGCTGGGATTACAGGCACCCACCACCACACCTGGCTAATTGTATTTTTAGTAGAGACGGGGTTTCACCATGTTGGCCAGGCTGGTCTCTAACTCCCAGCCTCAGGTGATCCACCCGCCTCGGCCTCCCAAAGTGAAGGGATTACAGGCGTGAGCCACTGCTCCCGGCCATGTATCATATATATCCTTCATATCAGTAATATGTAAGAGTGGGTTTTTTTGAGAACCTGTTGTTAAACATTTACTAGCATACCACTGCTGATTCCCCTTATAATCAATCTGGGCTGGTCTTCGGGACTCACATGAATAACAGAATATGCTGGTAGTGATATTCTGAGACACCTGAGGTTAGGTCACAAGAAGAATTGCAGCTTCCATCTGAGTCTCTTAGAAAACATGTGGCACTCTCTTGTGGCACTCTTTTAGAACCTAAGTGTTATGCTCTGAGGAGCCCAAGCCAGGTGACAAGTACCAATTGAGTTCCCAGTTGACAACCATCTGAACACAACTGCAGGAGACACTCTGAGCAAGAACCCCTCAGCCAAGCCCCCTAAAAACCCATAAAACTATGAGAGATAATGATATGTGGTTTTAAGCCTCTAGGTTTTGGGGGTGACCTGCTACACAGCAATAGATAACTGAAACACCATTTTATTCTGGGGAGGAGACAGTGAAGGGGTAGCTAATTGGGCCCATTGCATCAAGATCCCAGGAATCCAAGGTTGGGGTATTGCAGTCCTGGTTTATTCCATGCCTTTAGTGCAAAAACACACATGCAGGCATGTTGGGGGTGGGGGACTTAATGAAAAGGGAAATGGTTATGAATAATATATGTCCACATTTGCATATAAATCTGCATCACCTAACACTTTTCTTTACATGTATCAAATAAAATACCACCTAATGAAACACTAACTGTACCTATTTCACTCACTACGAGTCAACCGTATTTGGGCTTCCTAAAATGGCATGCATCTCCTCCCATAGTTTTCCTCCTTTCTAGATCAAGCCAAATAACTGTATTTGTGGCTAGAGTCACTAAAGTTCCCTGCAGCCTGTTGATGAAGTCGTATCCTCATCATACCTTATTTCACTGTTTCATTCCCATTTCACAGTTGCCAAGGAGAGTCAGTGGAGATTTCTGGGACCTGAAGAGGGTTTATATCTGGGGAGGATCTATGTTTCATATACCCCCGCCCCAATCTTCTCTACCTGCTCTGTGTGAATACATTTTTATCAGAGTGTTTCAGGAGAGGAGGAAGATCCAGAGCACCACCCTATGCCAAAGAAAGCATGAATGCAGAATGTGTAACTTCATGATGGCTAAACCTTGGATCCCTGCTTGTCTGAGTCCATACAGGCTGCAATAACAAAACACCTTAGACTGGGTAATGTATAAGTAATAGACATTTATTTCTTATAGTTCTAGAGGCTGGGAGAAATCCAAGATCAAGGAGCCGGTGGAACTGGTGTCTGGTGAGAGCCTGTTCCTCATAAATGGCACCTTCTCACCGCATATTCACATGGCAAAAGGGACAAACATGTCCCCGCAAGCCGTTTTATAAAGGCACTCATGCATTCATGAGAGCAGAATGCTCATGATCCAATCACCTCCCTAGTCCCCTACCTCTTAGTACTACTTCATTGGGGATTAAATTTCAACATATACATTTTGGAGGGGCACAAACATTCACACTACAGCAGTGTTTATATAATCCCTGTTGCAAAATCATAGCTAGAAAAAGTACTCAGGTATTTTGCACCACTTAGGGAAATACTGTTTATTTACAGAGAATCATAACTAGATAGACCAAGTTTTGTGATTCATTTAAGTCCATTTGAAACTGACCAATAGGTAAAGCAGAGAAAAGTTGTCAACAGAAACATCAAGTTGTCTCCAACTTGAGTTTAGCTGGAGATACAAAATAAGAATTCTGCCAGGTGCGGTGGCTCACGCCTGTAATCCCAACGTTTTAAGAGGTTGAGGCGGGTGGATCACCTGAGTTCAGGAGTTTGAGACCAGCCTGGCCAACATGATGAAACCCCATCTCTACTAAAAATACAAAAAATTAGCTGGTCGTGGTGGCGGGCACCTGTAATCCCAGCTACTCAGGAGGCTGAGGCAGGAGAATCACTTAAACCTGGGAGGCAGAGGTTGCAGTGAGCCGAGATTGTGCCACTGTACTCCAGCCTGGGCAACAAGAGCAAAACTCCATCTCCAAAAAAAAAAAAAAAAAGAATTATATTATAAGCATTTCTAGGTAAAGAGATTTTACAGACTATTTTTGGACATCTGTAGAAGGCACTACCTACATACAAATTGTAAATATTCTAAATATTATCAGCTTCAGCCACTTAGTACAATTTTCCAAAGACAAAGTGCTGTTGCTGCTGATATGATAAACCATTCTTTACACAGGGATTTTTTATTCTTTCATCTCGGTTACATCTCATTACCAAGAACCACTCATAGCTCAATAGGAACGAAAGTCCACTTTTCTGGGTCCATGTTTCACTCTTTTATCCTGCTAATGTCCTCAAGAAGCTAGGAATTATCCGTTCTAAATTAGTTTAAAATTGTAATTCACACTTCAAATGCCTCACACCGACTGACTGTTAAATCCACACAATCAAAGTTACCTAACTGTATTTGTCATTTGCTTTAAGTGCTTTTGGAATTTTCGACAAAATATGAACTAAGAACTCCTAATTCCCCAGCTACTCGGAGTTTGGTTATTTGGAGTTACTATAGTGCTCAAAAGTAATGCTGTTTTCATTTCAGTAAAAAATCTCTACCA
Organism: Homo sapiens; assembly: GCF_000001405.40. Taxonomy (NCBI): domain Eukaryota; kingdom Metazoa; phylum Chordata; class Mammalia; order Primates; family Hominidae; genus Homo; species Homo sapiens. The sequence continues at coordinate 76,816,742 of NC_000009.12, forward strand.
TTAAAATTTTTCACTAACTGACTGGGATGCTCTATATTTTGAACACAAATTTGAAAAGGCTAAATCACAGCAAGAAAAACCAGAACACCCACATCCTTGAATTCTAGAGACAGTCTGAGAAAAAAACAGACTTTTTCCTTCCTACACGATCTGTCCTATCCAATCCTTCTTTCCATAATCCTTTTTCCTATTACTTTTATCTACTTGACTTATCTTGCCAAATCTTCTCTGTATCAGGCACCAATAATTAGCTTCACAATGAGCACCTAGAACTTGGATTATGTTTATAGTTCAAAAATTAAAATGATTTTTTCAGGAAGCAAAGGTGTGAAGACTAAGAGGAAGAAAGTTTGGTACAAAGAGTAGGGAAAGAAGAATGCTAACCAAGGATTGCTTAAGGATGTCTAGGCTGTCTGACACCCTGAGTTTGGGGCAATGACTGATAGCTGATGACTTACTAGTGAACCCCTGAGTGGGCTCAAATTCTAATTAGTCTTGCATGCTGGCACCATGACCCAAGCAGTATACACAGGGCTAGAATAGGACTGGCCTGGGATTTGGGTCCTGGCTCTACAGATTAGAAAAATGATTTAACCTCTTTAGATTCCAATGTCCTTACCTCTAAGATAGAGATTATGGCAGACACTGGCTAATTATTTTCCAAATTGGTTCCTTTTCATGGGCACATCTATTTGATGACATTTTTCAGCCTCCCTCCAGTTACATGTGACCATGTGACTGAGCCAATGAAATATGAGCAGAAGTGATGAGTGTCACAACCAGACCAGATCCATAAAAAACTCCACCCTTGGCCCTCCAAGCTCTTCTCCCTGTTGACAGATAAACTGGAGATGTCCTCCTGAGCAACCTTGGAAACCACATATTGAAGATGGTCTCTGAATCACCCCTGGCCACCTGACTGGGAACACCAAATAGGATTGCTACATGAGTGAAAAATAAACAATTTCTGGGCTGAGTCACTGAGACTTGTTTATCTGTTCCAGCTGCTGGAGCTACCTTCACCAATACAGGGGTAATCATAGTACCTTTTACTGGGAGGATTAAGTGAGATAATGCTTACTCAACTGCCAGGTACACGGTAAGCACTCACCATCATCAACTTTTACTGTAGCAAGGAAGAGTTTACAGACCTGAACCCAGAAAGAAATGGATGCACTCAGGATTTAGAACCTAGAGGAGAGTTTTCACATATTTCTATTAGTTGGGCAAAATGGCTTTGAAAAGTCATCTTTTCAAAATATTTCAATATGCAAATCATATGCTCACCAATATGCTAAGCAATATGCTAAAGATTTACTAGTGATTTGCTGACCAAAATCAAATCATTCACATATTTTGAAAAGGTGAACTGGTTCAAGACCAGTTCAAAACTAACATATGCTCCCCCAAGAAACGCTATGCACTCTTTCACAAAATAAGAGAGTTAAATACTCTACAGGTACTTTCATCTTGGCCACCAACAAACTCCAAGCTCAATGAGAAATCATATTGTGTGCATAAAATTGGTAAACCAGATTTCAGACTGGTGCGCTGAGTCTCAAATCCTTGGTTACAGTGGCTCACTTATGCTTCACTGAGGCCTGAGTAAACGTTCCCTTTTGTCAGGAAGGAGTTTAGCAGTGATCTTGGGAATTCATTCTGGTCTGTGCTTTGAATGCTAATGGAAAACATTAGTATTTTCCCCTGGGCAGTACTCCAAGGTGCAGTATGGCTGGTAATCTCTGTGCAGGGCAGAATGAGTCAGCGGCCTCTGAGTCACTTTACCAGGATGCATCCCAGGCTTCACACAGCAGAGTGGCTGGTCATGAGGAGGTCTGAGGCCCAGAGCACAGCAGAACAGCCCAGAAAGAAAGAGAGAAAACGGCCCTGAACAATTCCCTCAGACTCCAGTTCTGAAGAAAGGAGATAAAATGCCAACAGCTGAAAGTCCTCACCGTTCCTCATTTAAAGGAAATTGATATGAAATAAAAATGTGGGAGCAACAGATGAAATATGCTTACCAGGCAGCAGGTTCATACAGGCAATCTTAAAATTTTAAGTTTTATTCTTTTAAGTTGTCTGAAAAATGACTACTGTCACAGTAGTATACATTAGGGGTTGAATTTTGTCCCACAAAAACTTTTATGTTGAAGTCCTAACTCTCAGCACCTCAAAATGTGACCTTATTTGGAAATAGGGTTGTTGTAGACATAGTAAACTAAGATGAGGCCAGGCGCCATGGCTCATGCCTGTAATCCCAGCACTTTGAGAGGCTGAGGCGAGTTGATCGTTTGAGCCCAAGAGTTTGAGACCAGCCTTGGGCAACATGGCAAACCCCATCTTTACAAAAAATGCAAAAATTAGCTAGGTGTGGTGTGCACACCTGTAGTCCCAGCTACTCAGGAGGATGAGGTGGGAGGATCCCTTGAGCCCGGGAGGTGGAAGTTGCAGTGAGCCTTGACTATGCCACCGCACTACAGCCTGGGCAACAGGGCAAGACGCTGTCTCAAAAAAATAAATAAATAAACTAAGATAAGATTACTAGATGGGTCCTAATCTATTATGTATCCTTATGAAAAGGGGAAATTTGAACACAGAGACATGCATAGAGGGAAGGTGATGTGAAGATGAAGGCAGAGATCCAGGTGATGCTTCTATGCACCAAGAACACTACAGATTACCAGCAAACCATCAGAAGCTAGGGGACAGGCATGGAGCAGATTCTCTCCCACAGCTCTTGGAAGGAACTTATCCTACCAACGCCTTGATCATGGACTTCTAGCCTCTAGAGCTGTGAGACAATAAATTTCTATTGTTTAAGACGTCTAGTTTGTGGTTCTTTGTTATGCCAGCTCTAGCACACTGATACAGCACATACACAAGAATAAATCATACTGCAATTGATCATAATAAAAAGTGATCAAGTCAGTGCATGGCTATTGTCCTTCCTGAGTAAAGACGCTAATAATGACTAACAGTCTTTTGGGAGATGCTTAAAGAAGATGTAATAACATTTGGTGTCAGCAAGGGAACCATTAATGTACTGCCGTGAGCAACCTTGCTTCAGTGGCACTTCATTAGAATGAAAAGATGTTTCTTCCCCTTAACGTTTTAATATACTGCTTTACTAGGGAGTAAACTAGGCCCAAGAAGTATAATCATTACCAGTTCTGCTGGCAAGGGAATAAAGGCAACGTTTGCTCTTTGATATCCATAAATTCTCTTCTGATGATCAAATCAACAAGCAACAAAAAGGCCACAAAGGATCAGGTGTAACAATAATCAACAAAGGGGATTCCAATATGTCATGTGCATTCCCCCACAAGACGCATGCTACTTTCACACTTGGAATGGCTTGGAGGCTGAGCGAAATGAGACTGCAGTTATCTTTTCCCACAGTCCCCTTATTAAGAAGAGCTGCCCCTCTGGCCATGCCTCTGATAAGGCCATTTCTACACACCGCCCCTCAAAATCTCATCCATTCTGACTTCCTGTACTGAGCAAAGCATTGAAACTCTATTATTGTAATTACTTGCTTTTTATGTATTTCATTCAGTAACTTATATAACAATGAATATTTGTGAGATAACTACAATAAAAATGAGAGACAAGGGGTTTAGAAGCTTTCTTCTTATCAGAGTGCCAGATAACCTATAACTATTGAAGGCAGTGGTTTCTACCTCCCAAACTCAATGGTTCCCTCTGAAGAGCATGCTGTGTAAGTTACAGGGAGATAAATCTTTCTAATTTTCTGAATACTTCTACCCAAGAAAATTAACTGGGTCATCAGCCGTATAAAGGCCATGACTTACACAACGGTAGAATTACAGCATTGCAAAGAACCATTGAAAATGCAAGGAATCTTCATTCCCATATCCCCGACATGCTGCAGAACCTATAGTTGATTTCTGCCAGTGACAACAGCTAACGACTTTGCAAAGCCTCCCACTCCGTTTTTGGAGAGCGGGATAAGCATACTTTCTATAAATATGTGGGCCATTTTTCATCTGCTTGATGTTATCCTTCAACCATAGTTGTCTGGAAGAAACTGGTTGGGAGAGGAAAAAGTAGGCTGCTTTGGATGCCTAGCTAAGTGGCTTTGCTTTCCTAGCTGATTTATTTAAATCCAAAAGGAAATATAAATCAGATAGCAAAGGGGCGAACTGCAAACACCCATAAGTATTAACTAAATATTTGCATTTACTAAGCATCTACTATGTGCCATCACTGTTACAGAAAACTGAAGAGAGAGAGAAGTCAGATACCATCAGTACCCTCAATTAATTTAAAATACTATCAGACCATGATTAGAAATATTAAACAAATTCAAAAGCAACGGAAGATCTAATGTAAAGAGTGAAGTCCTAAGTTGGTCACCTAGACTACATTTAGCTAGAGTTCAGAGGGTGGTAATAAAAAATAGTGAATCTGTAAGAGTTATCATGATGCACCTTGGTTGACCATGCTTTGGAGGATGAGCAAGATTCGGAAAGTCATAGGAACTAAGAAGGTTTCTTTGAGAATACACCTAGATTCAAAGAGCAATTATATAACTGTTCCAAAATCCACAAAATAAGATTGTGAGGATTCTGTCAATATTTTTTAAAGTGAGGTTAATGGGAATGAGAAAGGAATGCTGAAATATAATCAAATATGAGTAGGGATTGGGAAAATACCACTGCATCACAGGACAATCTACAGAGAAAATTAAACTCTGACATTAACTTGGGAATTTTTCCAGCAGACAGATTGGATAACTGATTTGCATTTTTTCTTTCAAGGAAGATACAGGATGTTACTAAGGAGGTTTTTTTTTTCCACTTCTCAGTCATCTTTAATATCCCCATTATGCAAAAGTGAAAAGTTCTCATTCAGCCTATAAGAGTTTAAACTGTGTACCCTTCTTTATTATACACAAATGTCCTCCTTTCCTCCAAGATCATATAACACTTTCAGAGATGTGCTTAACCACCTGATTAATTACTGGACCTCTGTAAATTACTTTCAAGATTAAGATGATTATTTTATCACTTATTCTGCTTGATAGACATTTACAGTTTAACACATCTGACAAAGCCATTTGCATACCCCTATAATATAAATTGAGGTACATTAAAGCTACAGTAAGTCTGTAATATGAATAGCCTTAAAATAATTTGCTAATTACAGACAGTTCCCTAAGCAATTACAAGACATTCTATGTTAATTTAGGAAGGAATTCCAAACAAGGCATTTAAAACCTAATAAGATGCCATTAAATGAAGGAAGACAGAGGAGAGGGGAACAGAGAAAGAAAACCCTAAGGCTTGAACTAGTAGAAATGATTCTTAGAGCTACTGACCCTTGCAAGATCCATGTTTTCCTTGGGTTCTTAGGCACAAAGCAGAGTTCTAATTGATGGTGATTATATAGTTACTACCTCACAAATTGAATATATTTGTTGAATTGATTCACATCAATAACTAGTCATATGGAGCACTTATCAATCTGAAAGTCCATAGAAACAGTTGAGTCAATTTATCAAGTGCATACAATGAGAACATGCTCTGTAAACTGTGAGGTGCCACCAAACATCACAGTTTGCCTCCTAGTTTTCATACAGATTTATAAGCTGAATTATAATGCGTATGAACTGGAAATAAATTTGACAAAAAGATCACGAAAAGAAAGCACCTGGCTTGCTCTTGGGTTTTCTGAGGATGTAGACACCAATATGAGTGCCTGCTATTCCAGAGAAATATACACATTGATATAGTCAACATCACCATGAGAAAAAGAAGAATAGGTCGGGTGTGGTGGCTCACGCCAGTAATCCCAGCACTTTGGGAGGCCAAGGCAGGCAGATCATTTGAGGTCAGGAGTTCAAGACCAGCCTCACCAATATGGTGAAACCCTGTCTCTACTAAAATACAAAAATTAGCCAGGAGTGGTGGCGGGCGCCTTTAATCCCAGCTACTCAGGAGGCTGAGGCAGGAGAATCACTTGAACCCAGGAGGTGGAGGTTGCAGTGAGCTGAGATGGTGCCACTGCACTCCAGCCTGGGTGACAGAGCAAGACTCCACCTCAAAGAAAAAGAAAAAAAAAAGAATGGCAACACACAATTCTAAAAACCAAAACACAAATTCCTATAGAGCATATTTCATCTCCATAAACTCGACCTAAGAGCTAAGTGCCCAACCAAATGTAGATAACCTGGTAAAGACAATACAACAGTAAAGAAATACACAGACTTCTACAAATGCACAAATGTGCCTCTGTAAAATATAGTTCCCATTAGTTAGGTTAATTAAGATTAACATATAAGTCATTGAAAACTCCCAAAGTAGACAAAAGATAACTCACCAAGGAAACACACAAAGACAAAAGTAGCATTCGCTCTGAGCCATTCAGTTAACAGTTTGGAAGGAGGTTCCTTGTTAAGTAATACTTGAGTTGTCACCACTGATTACCAAAATGGCATGCATTCAAATAGTTTTGAAGATCAAAAGACAACTTGCTTTTTTTTCTTTTTTCTTTTTTTTTTTTAAGAAAAGTTCTATGAACAATACAGGGTGGTACACAGAAAATATGGAAGTGAACCTAATCACACATATCATAATTGCTATTAAACAGGTTAAATATACACCCACATCTGAGTGTTTGTTTTAGGCTTTGTTTTACTGAGATGAATGAAAGAGCATTCATCTTGAGAATCCAGGTTTGGCATTTTTCATTGACTTAGCATAGTGTTTTCACCCAAATAATAACCTGCCACTATATTCCAAGTCAAATGTATCACAAAGAAGCAAAGGACTATCATGGACTTATCCAATGGAGAGAGTTACATTCCAGTTGCTCAGACTGCAATTGTGGGAAATCAATCAATGCTAAAAAAGCATTCCCACCCTTACCTCAAGGTTCATGCTCACAGTACTAATGGCCACTTTTATTTCTCCATCTGACAGCTCCTTTAGATCTTTCAACATTGTCTGTTCAATACTTAAACCTGTGGATGACAGGAAAAAAAAACATTATGTTATACTTGAGGGATTTTTTTTTTGTAATATCAAGCGATGTTTTGAAGAATTTACTCTGTAAATTTCATTCTTTGCCCCTCAAATGTCACTTTTATCCACAATAAACACACACACACACACTAAGGCAATAATCACATCACGTCTGCATCAGTTAGGATCCCAATAGGAAAAATGCACCTCTTTTGCTGCAAAAGAAGATGTGTTAATGGCAGGACACTTACAGAGATGTGGGCTGGGTGAGAAAGTGAATAAAAGATGATGAGGCATCCAGAGACTAGCAAAGGGACCCAGAAAGAAAACAGAGATCTGTAACTTGAGAAGACTGGCTGCAGAAACTTCCACCTAAGCAGGAAGAAGGCAAGGAAGATCCACTACAGTCTCATTCTTCTCCTCGCCTCCATCCCTACCTGTTCCTAACTCTTCCTATTGGTCAAACCCAACCAGAAGCCAGTGTTGTGGGAGCCCATAAGATTAAATACTTAGGGGTCCACCTCTGGAGCCCCAGAGCAGACAAAGGCAGGGAATAAAAGGGTGGCGGTGGACAAATGAAGAAAAATTAACATCACCATGCAAACTAGTTAAGTAACACCAAAGAAAGCCAAAACTGGCTTTCAGGCTGCATTTAGGTAAGCCCCCATGTTTTCTAGTATAATTTCATTCAAAATGCACTTTACAAATGTGACTCGTAAGACTATCTTAATTAAGTTGCTTACCCTCGTAATAGGCTCTGACAATAAGAGTTATTAAATTCCCTAATTAATGGGAGTAATAATCCAGAATGGCTAAATTATCCAGAACTGCATAGTTGTAGTCAGTTGACCAATGGAACTCAATGAAATCTATCACAGTAAAGCAGCAAAGGATCTGGCTCGACATTTAATTCTCGCGCTACATTATTACGTCTGATTAGGCCTACTCTCTTGGGAGGAAGATCTATAATAAAGCCTGGTAAAGCACTGCACCCTTCCCAGACGTATGTTAAGGCTTCAGAGACCACTGCTTGCACTACCTACTTACAATGCTCTGTCAATCACATGAGGAAACAGACAGGCACTAAATATTTTTCTTTGACTCAAAAATTGAAAAGCCACAATCTTTCACAATGCAGCGTAAAATGATTCATTGAAGACATTGTGACATTAAAAGTTTGGTGTCATTGTGAAAATGAATGACAAAACACATTCCCTTGTGCAGCATACACACAAGGACATGCACATCTATGCATAGGTAACAGAAGGTGCAATGGACGCTGCAAAGGCCCCACCCCATTTCCTCAAACTTTCCCATCCCAGTGCACCCAGCATGATGCTCCACCACCAGCACCTGCCTCTCTTTTCCTGAGGGCTTTCCTTGGCCACCAGAGCCTACACTGGAGAATTAAGGCCCCCTGGGTCTGAGTAGCCCACACTCTTCCAGTGGTCTGCTGGTAAATGTTTAACGGCCAGTAACAAATCCTGATTTGTAGTGTTTGTCAATTTCAGGGATCTAAATACTCCTACCATGGCTGATCTCAAGCTACCAATCATCACTCAACTCACAAAATTCCTGAACATTTAACCATCAGCTCCTGGAGCCGAGATGAGCACACCACTGCATCCCTCAGGTGGGACAGAGTTTACACTCTTTCTCATGGTCTCTGGTGGGATTAAGCTCTGGTTTCCCATGGAGCCAACTTGCTTGCTGAAGCATTCCATTCCCCTATCAGTGTTGACTGGAACCACCTCCCACATAAACCACTTTGCCTCAGGCTCTGCCCCCTCCTGCCCCTGGGGATGGGGTTCCTGAACTAAGAGAGAAAGTTATGTAATTTAGTGTTTACATCTTAAAGACATATAGGCTGGGTTTAGGCCTTGCCTGGCCACCTGCCTGCTATGTGTGTTTGATGTTGGGAAAGCAATGAAGGCTTTCTGCACTTCAGTGTCCTCCCTCACCTGCAGACTGGGACGTCAAAGCACTGACTCTTGGGGTTGTCATGAGGAGGATTCAGCAAGAACATCCTTGCCAAGCTATGCCATCAAAACCTGTATACAGTAGGTATCCAGTGAATTATAGCCTTTTGTTATTGTAAAACAGTTGATCCAGGAAATTCACTGTCCTGACAAAGCCTAGACTCTGACAACAGTTTCTTCAACATAGCCATCTTCTCACTCATTTCCTTCTCAAATTAACTGATTTATGAAATCCCATTGTGCTTGATATTGCTCCTTCCATCTTCTCAAAATAGAATCCTATCAGCATAAGGATTGCATGTAATAATGCACCTGAGATATGCACTAGAGACATGAATTAACCACACATCCAGACACAAAGGCCTCGGAGGAGAGGCCACAGTACAAGCTGTCTATTTGCAGGGGAGTCAACATTATGTGCCTGAAAACCTTCCACCAGCACAAGCAATAGGAAGAAGGTGAAACACATTCAAATGTACCTTCTCAGCTGGGCATGGTGGCTCACACCTGTAATCCCAGCACTTTGGGAGGCCGATGCAGGTGGATGACTTGAGGCCAGGAGTTCGAGACCAGCCTGGCCAACATGGTCAAGCCCTGCCTCTACTAAAAATGCCAAAAATTAGCTGACTGTCATGGTGCATGCCTGTAATCCCAGCTACTTGGGAGACAGGCATGAGAATCACCTGAACCCGGGAGGTCGAGGTTGCAGTGAGCTGAGATCATGTTACTGCACTCCAGCCTGGGGGATAGAGTGAGACTCTGTATAAAAAACAAACAAAGAAACAAATATACCTTCTCAGGTCTGATGATGCTCCATGCCACAAACCATCCCTACTCGGGAGGGACAAGAGAGCTGGGGACAGAGTCACTCACCCTGAGCACTGAACTGGGTCTCCTGTAGGACGTTGATGATGTCCTCTCTTGGAGGCAAGTTAGGAAATTTTTCTTCCAGGATAGAAAGAATTTCCTCCTGCTTCTCTGAGATCTTCTCTGATTCCATGGTCATCCACTTGAAAAGAATGCTACCTGAAAGGTATGAATAAAAATGCTCTTAAAGCTTTCCAGCCAAGCCAGAACAGGGGCCAAGAAAATCAGTGTTTCCTGGCCTCTCAATCTAAGCTTTCCATTTCTGTCTCTCACCTGGACCAGAGTCCTCCACACGTAACATTCAAGAGCCAATTTTTAGAAAACAATTGAACCATCATCCAGCTTCATTATTCTCCAAGTACTGCTCTCTACAACTTAACTGACCCTAGCATACTCTATGGTACAGAATTCACAGATAAAGGAAAAAAATGTGTATATTCCCCCAACCCCACACAAACACACAAAAAGATATGCATTGGTCTTAAATGATTTCAAAAAGGAAGTTAGTGGTAAACTATTTAAAAGTCTAATCAGCCTTATTTCCTTTAAAGGACCAGAAAGAATACTGTTTCCACTCATTATATTATTAATTTTACATACAAACTTCTTCCTTTTCACACTAAATGAATGTATAATCCCACGGTCAACAGCTGAGGAATCTGACAAGGTGGCTAACCTGACGTCCATTTCTGATCTCCCAAGCATCATACACAGTTTTAAAGTCATTTACAATTATCTAATTATAAGGACTCACAAGCTGGGTCTAAATCACAGGTTTAAATTACAAAGTAATTTTCCAGTGTGAAGGACCTTGCACAAACTCCTGTGACTTCTGTGGATAATCTCATCTTGAAAGGGAGGAGTTAGCACCCCATACGTACTCTTACTCTTCCCTGCATTCCAAGCCCAGATTAACACAGAGTCACCATGGGAGAGAGAAGTTTCGCTTAATGACAAATGATTAAGCTCTCTAAAAATCCCCAAATCTGTTGACTAATCAAAGTACTACCGTCTCTGTTTCAGTGTAGCCTTAACGCCAGTCATGGGGGAGGGAAAATGGAAAATAAATAAAAGAGGAAAGAAGGTAAAAGGGGAAATAAAGCATCCAGTGAGGGAAAACTATGGTACCCAATCCAAACACATGGCCTGAGACCTACAGAACCTAGAGATGAGGTCTACATTTACCATCAAACATGCTGGAAAGTCCCAAGCAAGTCGTCTGGCCTCCGTTTCCAGTTTCCCATTTTTAAAACAGGAATAATACTGCTTTCCCAGCTCACAGTGTTATACTAAGCATCAAATGAATGTAAACATCATAAAGAAAAGTAAATATTGCTAAATATATTTAAAGCATTTCATCCATTCATTCCCTCACAAACAATTACTGAGTGCCTTTTATCGGCCAGGCAGGGCTCTATGCTAACGATTCAAGATTAGGCTAGAGATAACCTTGCCTCTTGAAGCTCACGGGAGATTAGAGGTTACAAATAAGTAAGCACAGACATTTTCAATAGCAGAGAATAAGAAATATTATGGGTGAAATACATAGTACTCTGAATCTAGGCCAAAATCTAGGGTTCAGAGGAGTCTTCCTAGAGAAAGTTAACCTAAGCTGAGCTTGAAGGATAACTAGGGACTTAAGGCAAAGACAAGAGGGAGGTCATGATCCAGAAAGAGCCTGTGCAAAGGCACTGAGGTGGGAGGGAATTGGGCCAGTTCAAGGAACAGAAAGCAATTAATTACAGGTAGATGGTATGATTTTAGCAAGGGAAATGTTGAAAAATTAGGTTGGAGAGATAGAGATAGATAGCGGGACCATGAAGGGCCTTACAAGCCGCCTTAAAGTTTGTCTTTTATATTTTAAGAGGGATGAGGAATCTTTCAAGAGTTTTAAGTAGGGAAAGTAACATGCTCACATTTATGTTTTATAAGAATCACTCTGGCTATCATGCAGAGAAAAATTTAGATAAGGAATATGGGGAGAATCAGTAAGGAGGCTGTTTTGGATAAGAAAAAAGGAAAGAACAGTCAGCACACAGAACTAAACAGATTCCATTTCAACAGTCATTTGAAGGTGGAGGGCAGCCAGCTGGATTTTGTGTATACCCTGTGGTCTGTCAATCTCTGACATAAAACTCATACTATAAAGATTATTTTTCCAGCCGGGCGCAGCGGCTCATGCCTGTAATCCCAGCACTTTGGGAGGCCAAGGCTGGTGGATCACCTGAGGTCAGGAGTTTAAGACCAGCCTGCCCAACATGACAAAACCCCATCTCTACTAAAAATACAAAAAATGAGCCAGGAGCGGTGGCGGGTGCCTGTAATCCCAGCTACTCGGGAGGCTGAGGCGGGAGAATTGCTTGAATCTGGGAGGCGGAGGTTGCAGTGAGCTAAGATCACGCCACTTCACTCCAGCCTAGGAGACAGAGTCTCACTCTGTCTCAAAAAAAAAAAAAAAAAAAATTCCCCTCTTTATTAAGGCAATGGTAAATATGAATTTCAGAAAAGATCTTCATCTGCCTCTCGCTCTGATAGACTGCTTGTACTAAGAACAAGGATAAAAGCTAAATCAAGTTTTTAAAAATCTGTGAAAGTATCACAGAGTTACCCAAGTAACTGTCTTGGAAGCTAAGGTCCTGGAGAGAGGGTAAGTGCACAGAAGTGAGCCCAACATTTGGTGTTGCTTTTCCTCTTAGGATATTTGCTAATTCATAAGTGATAAAATAAGCCAATAGGCTGAAAAAATTAGCAAATCTAACAGAAGTTTAACAGCCTATGGAGACAAAAACTAAAGTTTAGGGCCCTCTACAGAAAAGGAGTTTTAGTTAAGTAACCCGGTTTTGAAACAGGACCCCTAGAGAGTTATATCCTAGGACAAGGGTTGGAAAACTACAGTCTGGAGATAAAATCTGGCTAATTGTCTGTTTCTATAAATGAAGTTTTATTGGAACACAGCCATGTTCATTAATTCGCATATTGTTTATAGATGCTTTTGTACTATATTGACAGAGTTGAGTAGTTTCAACAGAGACTGCAGACACACAAACCCTAAGATATTTACTATCTGGACCTATACCAACCCCTGCCTAGGGAGAAGGGTGAAGCAAAAATGGATCAGTCTTCCTGAGGACCGAAATCCTGATTTGAATTGGCTTAAGCAGAGAATAGTTTTGTTTTGTTTTTTTTTTTTTAATCTGCCACTCTTCAAACTGCCTTTGGGGTTCAAAAGTAAATCCTCTTGAGAGCAAAATAATTTTGTCATCTTTAGTCTCATCATCTCCACATTTTTCATATACACTATTCAGCCATCCATAACAAATTGCCAATCACAAAGGAAATAGAAGAAATGACTGGAAACTCTAGAAGAATAAACTCATGAGGAAAAGAATAGAAACAGAATCAGAGGGGATTTTAAAAATAGCTGAAGAATTACAATAGAGAATTAGAATCTGTAAGTAAAATAATCAAATGAAATTTTAAAACTGTCAATTTAATAACTTAATTTCGAACTCAAATGTTTTTACAGCAGATTAGATGCATGGGGGAAAAGATTAGTGAATTAGAAAATAGGTCAGAAGAAAACAACCATACTGAAGCATGGAGAGAAAAAGCGATGAAAAATACAGAGATGAGCTTAAGAGAGATGGAGAAATGGAGCAAAGTCTAACAGATAGGCAGTAGTTCCCCTTGGAAAGGAGAGAATGGAGCTGTAGCAATATTTGAAAAGGCAATTGGTATACTAATTTTTCAAAATTAATGAAAGAAAGACATTATTCAAACGTTAAAGAAAAACTGTGGGTTGGGCACGGTGGCTCACACCTGTAATCCCAGCACTTTGGAGGTGGAGGTGGGTAGATCATTTGACATCAGGAGTTTGAGACCAGCCTGGCCAACATGGTGAAACTCCATCTCTACTAAAAATATAAAAACTAGCTGGGCATGATGGTGGGTGCCTGCAATCCCAGCTACTCTGGAGGCTGACACACAAGAATCACTTGAACCTGGGAGGCAGAAGTTGCAGTGAGCTGAGATCATGCCACTGCACTCCAGCCTGAGCGATACAGCAAGACTCAGTCTCAAAAACAAAAAAAGAAAAAAAAAAAAAGAAAAAGAAAAACTATGAGCCCAAATCAGGATAAAGACAAAGACAAACACCTCTAGGTGCCTGATAGTAAAACTGCTAAAAAAATTATGGAGAGAAAAAATAAAAATTAAACCAATCAGAGTAAAAAGGGCATTAAAAGTATGACTGACTTCTCAACTAAAATGATGAAAGTCTAAAGACAATGGAATTACATCTTCAAAGGGCTAATATAAAACAATTGCCCATCTAGAATTCCATACTGAGTGAAAACAATTTTTTTTTTTTTTTTTGAGACGGAGTCCTGCTCTGTTGCCCAGGCTGGAGTGCAGTTGCGTGATCTCGGCTCTCTGCAAGCTCCACCTCCCGGGTTCACACCATTCTCCTGCCTCAGTCTCCCAAGTAGCTGGGACTACAGGCACCCGCCACCACGCCCAGCTAATTTTTTGTATTTTTAGTAGAGATGGGGTTTCACCATGTTAGCCAGCATGGTCTCGATCTCCTGACCTTGTGATCCGCCCACCTCGGCCTCCCAAAGTGCTGGGATTACAGGCTTGAGCCACCGCACCCAGCCAACAAATTCTAAAAGAAGGCAAAATAAAGGCATTTCAGAAAAAAATGAAAGAAGTCTGAAAGTATGCGTCACAAGATCTACACCAAAAGAAACAGTAAAGGCAGAAAAAAATTATCTCATAAGGAAGCAAAGAAATGCAGGAAGAAAAGAAAAACATTGGACAATGTAAATATGTGGGTAAGAATAAATTCAATATTCACTGTATAAAACAATTATAGTAATATTTTAAAGAGTTTAGAATTATAGTAATATTTTAAAGTTTAAAATATTATATATGGATAATTAAAATACATTTTAATAGTAACAAACTGAGGAGAGGCTAAGTAGAGAGAAGCTGTTTTAGGTTCTAAGATTGTCAGGGAAATGATAAAATTATCAATTTATATGATATTTTAACTGTATGTTGTAATTGCTATCATAACCACTAAAAGAATATCAAAAACACTTATTTAGTATACAGCAGTAAAGAAATGAGAGGAAAAGAAGAAAATGTGTGACAAGTAGGAAACAAACATCAAAATAATAAATTTAAACCAGATGTAACAGCAATTACATTAAACACAGAGACAAAGCACTTCGATTCAAAGACAAATATCATCAAACTGAATTTTAGAAACCAAAATGACAATATACTGCTTACCAGAGCACACCTTAAATATAATCATCGGAAGGTTGAAGGTAAAAGGATAGAAAAACATAAACATGCGAACACCAATCACAAGAAAGTTGGTGTAATATGCTAATATCAAACAAAACGGACTACAAAACAAGAAGAATTACATGAGATTAAGATAAATATTTCTATATTAATAAGGGGTCAATCCTCTGGAAGATACATCAATTCTAAATTTGTATGCACTAATAGCATAGCTTCTAAATATATAAAGCAAAAACTGAAAAGACTAGATGAAAAATGAGATAAATACACAGTCACAGTGGAAAATTTTAACACATCTCTCGCAGCAACTCTAAGAACCAGCAGGAAAAAGTATGCAAAAATATAGAACGTTTGACCACCATGAGTAACAAACTTGACCTAATTAACATATATTAAATTGTTACCAACAGTGGTGGACTATACTTTCTTTTCTAGTACAAATGAAACATTTACCAAAATTGACCATCTGTTGAAGCAGAGTTTAAGTTCTAATAAATTTCAAAAGGTGGCCACTATAGAGTTATAGTCTGTGGTTACTTGAAAAATAGTCTAAAAACAATAACAAAGTAAAAACAATGCACTTCTATATAACTCATGGTAAAAGAAGAAATCACAATGTAAATCAGAATATATAATACTTTTAACTAAATGAGAATGAAAATATGACACTTTAAATTGTGAGATTCAACTCAAGTTGTGCTCTAAGGAAATTTTATACCCTTAAAAGCGTTAAGTGTTAAAAAAAATACACACACATTAAATTCACCTAAAAAAAAGGTAGAAGGACAAATATAATAAACACAAGGCCAAAGTTAAAGATGAAGGAAACAAAC
The DNA here is from genome assembly GCF_000001405.40 of Homo sapiens. Classification (NCBI taxonomy): domain Eukaryota; kingdom Metazoa; phylum Chordata; class Mammalia; order Primates; family Hominidae; genus Homo; species Homo sapiens. The sequence goes on from NC_000009.12 coordinate 76,832,720, forward strand.
ACATATGGAAGAAATCAATAAAACAAAACTTGGATTTCTGGAAAAAACTAATATAAGGAGTTTTGAAAACAATTCAAGAAAAAAAGAGACAGGAGAGAAAGAAGACATAGTTTACCAATATTAATAATGAAATCGTGACATAACTAGATTCTACGGACATTAAAAGATACTAACAACTTGGTTTTAATAAGTTTTAAATTTTAGAAGACATGGACACCACTAGGAAAATTCAACTTGCCAAAATTGGCAGAAAAAGAAATAAAAAACTAGACTAGTTTTGTATCTATTTAAAAATGAATCCATAGTTAAGTCCATAATTCCAAATATTTAAGAAATGTTAATTTTACACAAATTATCCCAAAGAATAGAAAATGAGAGATTTCCCAAAAGTCTAAAGACAATGGAATTATATCTTCATTTTATGAATTTTATGAATCTAGCAAAACCTTAATACCAATTAAACTAATACTAGTTTTTAAAACTAGTCCCAAGTCAAATTCAACAATTTATAATAGGATATTGCATAGCCACCAAGTAGGGCTCCCCCAAGAATCAAAGTACAAATTAACATTCAAAAAGCAATCAGTTATAATTGATCATATTAATAAAGAGGAAAAATCCTATGATCACCTAGATAGACAGATATCAAGTAGTAAAACTACTTCAGAAAATCCCAAAGTTAATCATTATGTGAAATCTTAGTCAAGTAGAAATAGAAGACAACTTCCTTATTTGATGAATGGCATTTATAAAAACCAAATACAGGCCGGGCGTGGTGGCTCATGCCTGTAATCCCCGCACTTTGGGAGGCTGAGGTGGGCGGATCACGAAGTCAGGAGATCGAGACCATCCTGGCTAACACGGTGAAACCCCGTCTCTACTTAAAATACAAAAAGTTAGCCGGGCCTGGTGGCAGGCGCCTCTAGTCCCAGCTACTTGGGAGGCTGAGGCAGGAGAATGGGGTGAACCCGGGAGGCGGAGCTTGCAGTGAGCCGAGATTGCGCCACTGCACTCCAGCCTGGGCGACAGAGCAAGACTCCATAAAAAAAAATAAATAAATAAAAAATTTAAAAAAAAATACAGAAAGCAGACGTCACAGTTAATTGTGGAATACTGAAAGACTTCCACTTCAAATCAGGAATGAGACCAAGATGCCGGGTTTTTTTGTTTTTTTTTTTTTAAGATGGAGTCTTGCTTGGTCGCCCAGGCCGGAGTGCAGTGGCTGCAATCTTGGCTCACTGCAACTTCCGCCTCCCAAGTTCAAGCGATTCTCCTGCCTCAGCCTCCCGAGTAGCTAGGATTACAGGCATGTGCCACCACACCTGGCTAATTTTTGTATTTTTAGGAGAGACGGGGTTTCACCATGTTGGCCAGTCTGGTCTCAAACCCCTGACCTCAGGTGATCCGCCCACCTCAGCCTCCCAAGGTGCTGGGATAACAGGTGTGAGCCACCGTGCCCGGCCCCAAGATGCCTATTATTCTTATTCTTACTCAACACCACACTGAATCCTAACCAGAGTGCAATAAGGCAAGCAAAAGAAGTAGAAAGTATAAATAAAGGAAAATAAAGAATAAACACTGTCTTTCCTCATAGATGACACAATTATGTGTGCAAAAAAAGCTCAAAGAATCTACAAATGAACTCAGGATAGTCAGTAAATTTAGCAAGTTTGCTGCATTAAGGTCAATAATACAAAATTACCTGTATTTCCATAAATAATCACAATTAAAAATCAAAAATTTAGAAATGCAATAGAATCAAAATATTAAATACTTAATGTGCCCTGGCTTACAGTCAAACCAAGAATCCAGTTTCTTTGATTTGGGGATCTTATTTTTTAAAGACATAAAATGGAAAGGCAGTATTAAGAAATTAACCTAACAGATATTACATTAAACAGAGACCTATGGAATAATTTAGTGAAAACAGACATCTGATATTGGCTTATAGTTAAGTTTGATATGACTATTACAAAGGAGATGATATACTGATAAAAGTATGAAAACTAACTCAGAAAAATGCTCATGATACTCTGAGCTATTTTGACTGCACAAAAACAGCTACAGCCCAACTTTATCCCAGGAACTCATCTTTGGCAAATTTTTCTACCTTACATTAGAAACCCATTTAGTTACAAACTTATTTTTCTGTATCATGACTTACAGCAGCCAGAGACACCTCTCAGCAAATTGAAACCTATTTTTGTAGCAAGCACTGACCTAACTTACAGCAAATTTTGCAGAATGAAAGAAATACTGAAATCCATAAGGACGTACCCCAAAGTATCTTAGCTATTCATAGGCAGGGTAGAGGGAAGGAGCGATTAACAGCAAGCAACAAAGAAAGCAATTATGAGGAAATAGTAACAAACACTTCATTCCATTAGAAAAGAAAGCAAACACAATATTCTTTGCTCAAAAGAATGGAGAAGTGAAGGACCTCTTGCCAAAAGCAATTGCAGTGCATTAATATTAAATATGATCTAATGAAGTCAGAAATTGTTTGGGGAAAACATTCAACACAGTAAAGGCGTATTCTGCATGACAAATTCTTAACAGAAAAGAAGGGTCTTAAATCTTTTTTTCTTTTACATAGGATTGATTTTTTTCATATTGAAAAAAAAGTAAGGAATGAATAACAGAGAGAAAGAGGGAGGAGGAAAATGGAAGGAGGAAAAAGAAATACAACTTAGTTTACGTTTTTGTCTGAAGAGGTATAAAAAGAAGCCTCTTTTTATACTGCCTACTATTTTATTAACTGCCTACTATTTTCATAACTTTAAAATGTCTGAATTTAAGAATAAAGATTATCTTTGTGTGACAGAAGAAATAGTGAACACTCTGAGGTTGAGGAATCATTTTGGTTTTATAACTAGCAGAAACAATCACTTCTTCCCCCTACCCCTAGTATCTTCTTCCTAAGTGAAACAGCCCTCCGTCTTCGTAAGCAAAACAGGCAATGTAATTCCCTCTGGATTTTGTAACCATTTCAGGAGAGAGATGATTCACTCTTTGGGCAAGAGAGAGAGAGAGAAAAAAAATATCTGGCTCTGTTCCTTTCCTATTTGACCTCCTTAAAAGGATCTTTTTGAAGCTGTTAATCCAGGCTACTAAAATAGCAAGCAACTATTCTTTATTAAAGGTCAAATGAAACTACCAATAGGAAGGAGAGAGTTTGTTTAAATTTTAAAAACCTGGGATATTAGTTTTTCACTTAGTCCTAGGCTAAGAACAGTCGCTTTTCTTTCTCTCTTTGTCTTGTGGCTCCTGTCAAGGCCTTACACAAATAAAAGTGAAAGGCCATTTGGGTAAAGTGTGGTCTTGATCTAAGCATGCCTGGTAATCAGTGGCTGAAACCTCATTGCCAGCTGGTTCCCAGAAACACACACGCACACAAATACAAATGTGCACGCATACAATCCCCAATGTGATGATTCAGCAATTTAATGGATCTTAAATTTGGCAGTAGTCCTCTAGCACACATCTCTGGAGAAATAAACGAATACAGGTGAGGACTCTGGCGGGTCTGTAACTGTTCACTTTTGGCACAAACCCAGGGCATAACTAAGCACCAACTTTAGCCACCATGACTGTATGATGTGACTTTATGGAACATTCATGCCTTGGAAAATGAACACAAAAAAATCTTAGAATCAGATAGGGGGAGGGAGAAGCCCAAGAACAGGAGAAGGAGAAAAGAGAGAAGAGAAAGAAAGCAAAGAAACAAAGAAGAACCTCAGCAAAAATAGGTGGGCAAGGAAGGGGAGAAGCTAAAAGATTTTCTTTCCAAAACTCAGGGCCATTTATGATCTCATCTTTATGAGCACGTTCCCTTCTTACACAAATAATTAGAAAGTAATGCTACATAAGTACGTGCCTTTCCAAATGAAAGTGGATACTAATGATTTGTTTCCTGAAATTTCTAAGTTTGGGGGTATATCCTACTAAAAGGCAACAGCAAGACCTAGCTATTGTAAGAAGTATTAATTTTGAAAAGTGCAAATTATTTCTATTTTGTTAAATCCCCCACAAAGCCTGAACACATTTTGGTCATAGATGAGTCACCTGTTGACATTTATCCATGACTGTCCTGCTAGGGCCCAAAGCAGAGTGACGGGGGACATTATTAGAAAAACACAAGCACGTTATTTCTATGCTGGCAACATGACACATACCTCTAATTAGTATACAAATGATCTTTTTAACGACATCCGTAATAATCAAGTTCTACCTCAATGTTTGAATAAAATAATATACCATAATGCAAACATTGATATGTAGCTACAGCTGTGTATAAGACTAAAAAGATTCAAATATGATTGAATTTAAATATGTATTTTTTAGATTTAGAGAAAAACATCAGCATGCATAGAAAAGAAATTTGGAGCAGAAAATGAGGTTGCTAGACTAAAGGTAAAGCTGATTAAAAAAATGAAGTTATTGGCCGGGCACAGTGGCTCTCTGCTGTAATCCCAGAACTTTGGGAGGCCAAGGCGGGCGGATCACAAGGTGAAGCGATTGAGACCATCCTGGCCAACATGGTGAAACCCCGTCTCTACTAAAAATACAAAAATTAGCCAGGCGTGGTGGCGGGCACCTGCAGTCCCAACTACTCGGGAGGCTGAGGCAGGAGAATTGCTTGAACCCGGGAGGCAGAGATTGCAGTGAGCCAAGATTGTGCCATTGCACTCCGGCCTGGCGACACAGTGAGACTCTGTCTCAAATAATAATAATAATAATAATAATAATAATAATAATGCTATTAAAGCAATCCCATACACTGATTGAGGAGCAGGAAGTATCTGACATGCTGTGCACAATTCCTGTATATGCCCCCACTGCATGTGGAAAAGGATAGAGCAGGGGTATTTCTATGGCATTATCAGGTGTCTTTTCAAGACTGATACAAAAAAAAATTTAGACTTAGTTGTATCTTTTTAAAATGAGAAACTAGTATATGTGTTTATTTCAGTAAAAATGATTATAATTAATCATATTTTAATTTTTTCATTGGCTCCAGGAAGCTCGTATCCAAAGTTTCAAACCAAATACTATTTTTTTTTTTTTTTTGAGACGGAGTCTTGCTCTGTCGCCCAGGCTGGAGTGCAGTGGCGCAATCTCGGCTCACTGCAAGCTCTGCCTCCTGGGTTCACGCCATTCTCCTGCCTCAGCCTCCTGAGTAGCTGGGACTACAGGCGCCTGCCACCACGCCCAGCTAATTTTTTGTATTTTTAGTAGAGACGGGGTTTCACCGTGTTAGCCAGGATGGTCTCGATCTCCTGACCTCGTGATCTGCCCGCCTCAGCCTCCCAAAATGCTGGGATTACAGGTGTGAGCCACTGTGCCCAGCCACCAAATACTATTTTTATTCCTCCAAATTTATAATTGTATCTGATCCTATTCCTTTCTGTACTAGTTTTTATTTTTCCTGATCTTGACCTTTTTTTTTCTCTTTTATTATACTGCATGCATTTTTGTAAGCCTCCTCAAATATTTTATGGAAGAAGGAAGGGCAAACATAATAAAATAGATAGATAAACCTAGACAAGTAGATTCTCCATTTAATACAAAGGTAGAGATCTAAAAACAATGAGTAATATATACTGTATGATGCCATTTATATATCATACAAATGCAGGCAGAGGCTGGGCATGGTGGCTCATGTCTGTAATCCCAACACTTTGGGGGGCCGAGGCAGGTGGATCACTTGAGGCCAGGAGTTCAAGACCAGCCTGACCAATATGGCAAAACCCCATCTCTACTAAAAACACAAAAATTAGTGGGGCATGGTGGCAGATGCCTGTAATCCCAGCCACTTGGGAGGCTGAGGCAGGAGAATTGCTTGAACCTAGAAGGCGGAGGTTGCAGTGAGCTGAGATTGCGCCATTGCACTCCAGCCTGGGCAACAAGAGCGAAACTCTGTCTCAAAAAAAAAAAAAAAAAAAAAAAACAAATACAGCCAGAACCCATCTGTACTGCTATGGGGTACACACAGTGATGTTAAAACTATAAAGAAAAGCAAAGAAGAGTATACCACAAAAATGGGAATACCAGTTAACGCTAGTTAGGGAGGGAGTGAGCAGTGGTGGGAAGGAGCACCAAAAGGTCTTTCTCTTTACCTGGATAATTGTTAAAAGGGTGCTCGCTTTGTGATAATTCCTTGAACTGTTTACATGTCCTTTTATACACATGTTTTGCATTCTTTTTGGTGCAAAGTATTATACTCCACAAGAGGGCTAAAATACATTTATTTATTTACTTATTTATTTATATAACCAAATGGTGAAAATAAAAAGAAATGCTTGCAAAACACTAGGATTTCTTAAAGCTAAAAATAGGAGTTTGTTTGTTTTTTTTTAAACTAGAAGGAACAACGTCCAAATTTTACACATTAAGAATGTTAGAAGGATGGACTGAAGGGGACGGAAATTAAAGTATTATAGCATTAACTGAATCAATACAGTCATAAAAATAGAGAGCACATAAACAATGTTGCAAAATTCCTTTTATGACAGTGTTTATCGAGGGCCTACTCTGTGCCAGGTACTGTTCTAGGTACCAGAGACACAACAGTGAAGCAGTGCACACAACACAGAAAGTCTCTTTTCTCATGAAGTTACATCCTGGAGTGAGGAAGCAAGAGGGAAGAGGAGGCTCCTGATAGGCAGAAAGAGAGATGACGAGATACTATAGATGAAACAAGCATTCCAGAAGGAGGGAACGGCTTATGTAAATCATCAAGAGTGGAAAGAGTTTGGCATATTTGAAAAGCTGAAAGGCTCTTGTGTCTGCAACACAGTGGGAAAAGGGGGAAATCTTACCAAGGGATGTGAGAATAGGCAGAGGAGAGATGACGTGGTGGTCTCTAGGGGTAGAGGTAGGATGCTTGGATTTTGAGTGAGACAGGTTTGAAGCCGGAGGTTGAAATGGCCTGACTTACAATTTACAAGGTCATTCTGAAGACTTCATGGCAATAGGTTTTATGGAGGAGATAGGGCAACAGTCAGGCAGCTAAGACAGTAGTCAAAGAGAGGCAGAATGGAGGCTTGAACTGAGTCACTAGCAGTGATCATGGAAAATGTAGAGGGAGTCATGTTATGTTCTAGATGGAGGGTCAGCAGGACTGCTGATGGATTTGCAGAAGGCAAAGGAAAGAATCATGTATAACTCCTAGATGATGGCTTTTAAGCAATTGGGTGGTTTACTGAAATGAAGAAATTGGAATAAAAGCAGGTTTGGAGGTACAAGAAACTAAAAGGTTCTACTGCAGCCGTGTTAAGGATGTGGTACTAATTAGACAAGCATGTGAAGATGTAACGTGGGCTTGGATATAAATCTGGAATTCTAAAAAGAGGTCACAGTTGGAGATACAGGCAGTCATCAGCCTGTGTATAATATTTAAAGTCTTGGAACTAAACAAAGTCACTTAAAGATAGCAAAAAAAGAGAAAAAGGACAAGTTTTAGGCACCCAACACTTAGCAACTGAGCAGAGGAAAAGGAGCTAACAAGTAAGATGAAGGAAGAGTAGGCCCAACTTTTTGCATATCAAGGAACACATTGAAAGTGACCTTTTTTTACTTTTGAGCACAGTGGGCTCAGAGCCATACACAGGGCCTTCTCCAAGAACCAAAGGAATCAATATCTTGGCCCACCTGAAATCCATTTACAGCACACCAGCATGCCCAAGCATGATGCATTCTAGGATACAGCCACGGGGATGAAAAGCAAAGTACAATCAAATTGATGAAGTACTTAGCTCATAGAAAATGTAGAGTTTTTTGGTACAATGTTTATACTAATATATTGTCCACTGAGGTCTAATTATGATGCTTTTAAAGACTCTTTCAAGTCTCAGCCATAAATATCTAGTCTCATGACATCTGGAAACAGACATTTGCTAACATTTCTTATGGCAAAGATGTGCATAAAATATCGGCATTCTTTCAAGACCTAGAAGAATACATAAAAATTTGTTCTAGGCTGGGAGTGGTGGCTCAGGCCTGTAATCCCAGCACTTTGGGAGGCTGAGGCGGGCAGATCACCTGAGGTCAGGAGTTCAAGACCAGCCTGGCCAACATGGCGAAACCCAGTCTCTGCTAAAAACACAAAAATTAGCCGGGCTTTGTGGCAGGCACCTGTAATCCCAGCTACTTGAGAGGCTGACGCAGGAGAATCGCTTGAACCCGAGAGGCGGAGGTTGCAGTGAGCCAAGATTGCGCCACTGCACTCCAACCTGGGCAACAAGCGCGAGACTTCCTCTCAAAAAAAAAAAAAAGATTGTCCCTAGGTGGCTGGCAAGATGATCAAATAGGAACAGCTCCGGTCTGCAGCTCCCAACAAGATCAATGCAGAAGGGGGGTGATGTCTGCATTTCCAACTGAGGTACCTGGCTCATCTCATTGGGACTGGTTAGACATTGGGACTGGTCAGCCCAGCCATGGAGGGTGAGCCAAAGCAGGGTGGGGTATCGCCTCACCCAGGAAGCACAAGGGGTCGGGGAACTCCCTCCCCTAGCCAAGGGAAGCCATGAGGGACCATGCCATGAGGAACGGGGCATTCCAGCCCAAATACTATGCTTTTGCCATGTTCTTTGCAACTCACAGACCAGGAGATTCCCTTGGATGCCTACACCACCAAGGCCCTGGGTTTCAAGTGCAAAACTGAGTGGCCATTTGGGCAGACACTGAGCTAGCTGAAGGAGTTTTGTTTTCATACCCCAGTGGCGCCTGGAACGCCAGTGAGACAGAACTGTTCACTCCCCTGGAAAGGGGGCTGAAGCCAAGAAGCCAAGTGGTCTAGCTCAGTGGATCCCACCCCATGGAGCCCAGCAAGCTAAGATCCACTGGCTTGAAATTCTCGCTGCCAGCACAGCAGTCTGAAGTCAACCTGGGATGCTTGAGTCCGCCATTACTGAGGCTTGAGTAGGTGGTTTTCCCCTCATAGTGTAAACAAAGCTGCAGGGAAGTTCAGACTGGGCAGAGCCCACCACAGCACTGCAAAGCCGCTGTAGCCAGACTACCTCTCTAGATTCCTCCTCTCTGCACAGGGCATCTCTCAAAGAAAGGCAGCAACCCCAGTCAGGGGCTTATAGATAAAATTCCCATCTCCCTGGGACAGAGCACTTGGGGGAAGGGGCGGCTGTGGGAGCAGCTTCAGCAGATTTAAACGTTCCTGCCTGCTGGCTCTATCCCCATTGAATCTGCTATCCCTATTGAATCCCCACCTGAGAAGAAAGCTACCACTGACTTTCTTCACAAAATTCAAAAAAACTACTTTAAATTTCATATGGAACCAAAAAAGAACCCGTATAGCCAAGACAATCCTAAGCAAAAAGAACAAAATGGAGGTATCACGCTACCTGACTTCAAACTATACTACAAGGCTACAGTAACCAAACAGCCTGGTACTGGTACCAAAACAGACATAGACCAATGGAACAGAACAGAGCCCTCAGAAATAATGCCACACATCTACAACCATCTGATTTTTGACAAACCTGACAAAAACAAGCAATGGGGAAAGGATTCCCTATTTAATAAATGGTGTTGGGAAAACTGGCTAGCCATATGCAGAAAACTGAAACTGGACCCTTTCCTTACACCTTACAAAAATTAACTCAAGATGGATTAAAGACTTAAACATAAGACCTAAAACCATAATAACCCTAGAAGAAAACCTAGGCAATATCATTCAGGACACAGGCATGGGCAAAGACTTTATGACTAAAAAACCAAAAGCAATGGCAACAAAAGCCAAAATTGACAAATAAGATCTAATTAAAGAGCTTCTGCACAGCAAAAGAAACTATCATCAGAATGAACAGGCAACCTACAGAGTGGGAGAAAAATTTTGCAATCTATCCACCTGACAAAGGGCTAATATCCAGAATCTACAAGGAACTTAAACAAATTTACAAGAATAAAACAAACAACCCCAACAAAAACTAGGCAAAGGATATGAAGAGACACTTCTCAAAAGAAGTGGCCAACAAACATATGGAAAAAAAGCTCATCATCACTCATCATTAGAGAAATGCAAATCAAAACCACAATGAGATATCATCTCATGCCAGTTAGAATGGCAATCATTAAAAAGCCAGGTAACAACAGATGCTGGAGGGGATGTGGAGAAATAGGAACACTTTTACACTGTTGGTGGGAGTGTAAATTAGTTCCAGCATTGTGGAAGACAGTGTGGCGATTCCTCAGGGATCTAGAACAAGAAATACCATTTGATCCAGCAATCCCATTACTGGATATATACCCAAAGGATTATAAATCATTCTATCATAAAGACACATGCACACATACACTTATTGCCGCACTATTCACAAAGACTTGGAACCAACCCAAATGCCCATCAATGATAGACTGGATAAAGAAAATGTGGCACATATACACCATGGAATACTATGCAGCCAAAAAAATAAAGGATGAGCTCATGTCCTTTGCAGGGACACTGATGAGGCTGGAAACCACCATTTCTCAGCAAACTAACACGGGAACAGAAAACCAAACACCACATGTTCTCACTCATAAGTGGGAGCTGAACAATGAGAACACATGGACACAGGGTGGGGAATATCACACACCGGGGCCTGTTGGGGATGGGGGCTAGGGGAGGGAGAGCATTAGGAGAAATACCTAATGTAGGTGATGGATTGATGGGTGCAGCAAACCACCATGGCACGTGTATACCTATGTAACAAACCTGCATGTTCTGCACATGTATCCCAGAACTTAAGGTATAATTTTAAAAAAGTTCTAAAAATGTGCATCAAAGTGATGATTATTTACAGCACCCAAAAATCCAAAGTAACATGGTAGCTGCTTATAAAGAGAACCCTTTCTAAAGAGAACTGCCCATATTATGAAAATAATGCTAAAGTTATTTTATAGGAACAGAGAAAACAAGTCCTTTTAGGTTTGATGTTACTACATAACTGGAAAACCATAAATTCTAAGTTTGAATTCAGTGATGACAGCAAAATTTGACTTGATTCCTCTTTTTTTTTTTTTTTTTTTTGAGATGGAGTTTCACCCTTGTGCCTCAGGCTGGAGTGCAATGGTGAGATCTCGGCTCACTGCAACCTTCGCTTCCTGGGTTCAAGCAATTCTCCCGCCTCAGCCTCCCAAGTAGCTGGGATTACAGGCGTCCGCCACCACACCGGCTAATTTTTGTATTTTTAGTAGAGACGAGGTTTCACCATGTTGGCCAGGCTGGTCTCAAACTCCTGACCTTAAGTGATCTGCCCTCCTCAGCCTCCCAAAGTGCTAGGATTACAGGCGTGAGCCACCACGCCCAGCCTACTTGATTTCTTTTTTGTATTTACTAACAATTCAGGAGCTTTTAAAAATTGACCTATTACTCCAACATAGTTTTTACCTCTGAACATTTGAGGTACCTCTTTAAAAGGCAGATTCCCTATTTAACCATCCTTTAGTTCCGTGATATGGTTTGGATGTGTGTCCCCTCCAAATCTCATGTTGAAATGTGATCTCCAATGTTGGAGGTGGGGCCTGGTGAGAGGTGTTTGAGTCAGGGGGGCCAATCCCTCATGAATGGCTTGGTACCCTCCCTGTAGTAATGAGTTCACCTGAGATCTGGTTGTTAAAAAAGGTCTGGGACCTCCCCAGTCTCTTGCTCCCTCCCTTCCCATGTCATATGCCAGCTCCTCCTTTGCTTCCTGCCATGCATGGAAGTTTCCTGAGGTCCTCACTAGAAGCAGATGCCAGCACTATGCTTTTCCTACAGCCTACAGAAGCATGAGTGAAATAAACCTCTTTCTAAATTACCCGATCTCAGATATTCCTTTACAGCAACACAAAACAGACTAATATAGTCCTTCTTGCCAAAGCTATTTAGAGAGTGTTCCATCTCCCCTCCACATACATACACACACATATGCATTGGCAAAAGGTCTCCAGAGCCCTCTTTCCACCATAAGAAGCCCCCTATGTCTTCTACCTCCCAGGGTTTAATGACTCTGGCTCTTTTATGACAGTAACAGTATTGGCAGGCTTCACAGGTAGAAGCTCTTCATCCTCTCACATTCCAGTTTCCAAGAGATAAGGAAGTGATGCCCACATTCTGCCAGCTTCCCAATGCCACTTCAAGCCTAACCTCAAGAAAAACATCTGATGTTAAGAAAAGCAAAATCCAGCCAGGTGCAGTAGCTCGCACCTTTAATTACAGCACTTTGGGAGACTGAAGCCGGTGGATGGCTTGAGCCCAGGAGTTCAAGACTAGCCTGGGCAATATGGTGAGACCCCCCTCTCTTAAAAAAAAAAAAAAAAAAAAAAAAAAGCAAAAAAATTTAAAGAGAAAGAAGCAAAATCTTTTACCATTGTTCATTTTTTGGTAGCTCTGCAAACTAAAACCAAGATAATTAACAAAAGGGTCTGCATTCCTTCTAATTCCCTAAATCTGAATATCATTGTTATCACTACCAATAACAGTCATATCTTTGTGCCAATGTATTTGTTTCATATTATTTTACTATTTGTAGAAAATTATGATAATGAGCTGCTTACTGACTACATTTCTTTTCTACTAAATAACGCATGTATTTTCACAACAATTAACCAAACTTCTTAGTTTACAAGATATTTAAACAAAATATTCTCTAGTGCTTGGCTGCACCACACATTTGTGCTGTTGAACAACTTTCCTCTTGGCTGAGATCCCCAATTACCTTCATTTTCCTTCTGCTCTGTCACAAAGATAAATGGTTGTGCTTACTTAGTTTAGTTGAGGGCACAGTTTCCCATAGAGCGTTTTTACCGACATTCATTGCCAGGAAAATATTTAAGGCAGGTTTACGAAGGCCATCAGTTCTAAACCTTTACAAGAATTATACACTTCTTGGACCTTTTCCCCTCCAAACTGTGGAAGAGACAGAGGAATTGAAGGACAGAGTCCTTAAAAGAGTTGAGTCAACATACTTTTGGTCTTCTTTTAGAATTATTTCAATCTGTTCATCACTGTTTTTCACTTTCCTGTGTTAAATACTTTTGAGAAAATTCTCTGTCTACCGTGTTCAAAATGGATTGGTGGTGCGGGGAGGGAAATGCTTTATACAAAAACCAGAACAGTGTCCTCTGTAAGTCAATAATGGAATTTCTGTGGTAATTTTGTGGTTCCAAAGTCGACTGACAATTTCTAGCTTGAAAACCACTCTTTGGAAGCAGGTGGCTCCACTGATCGAGATGAAAGAGAGATTACTAGAGTAACTGATGATGGTGTGTTCAGGACCCCAGGGCTTGAAACAGTTTGAGTGAAGACAGAATATGTTACAAGACAGGGGAGCAAAGGAGGTGACATCTGACTATAAAAGCCCTGACACAGTATCACCAAAATGAAGGGTACGTATTTTGCCATCCAAACAGTATGGTATAAACCAAGCATGGAAGAGTATCAGCAGATATTTCAACCTGGGAACTTGGCATTCTCGTCCCTATCATGCTGTCTTGGGGCAAGAATCACCTCTGGTAGTGATTAAAATTGCCAGAGGTGCTATTCCAGCTCCCTAACAGAGGTGCAGCAGTTCCATTTAATATTCTTGTCTAGTGAAACAGCAAAGGCCCCTCATGCCTATTTTTAAATGCACATTTTTAATATTCAGTATAATGCTACTCTTTAACAAACTCTTTACTCCCTGCCTCTCTGATGAAGCTTCCCGTGGTCTTTAAAGAGATTGTTAACCCAAGAATGGATCGCATTCTTTCTACATGAGCAGGCTGGGAGACACTCCATTAAGCCTTCCAGTATTTAATAGGAAGAGCCATCTCTCACCTCTGAGGCGATGAGCCAGTTGCTCGGTGATGAGCTCAGGAGCCTCTTGGAGAATCTCCTTTAGCACGAGAGAAGAGGAAGACTCTCGGAACTCAACGTTGGCATCGCTCTGCTCAACCGGATTAATGACTTTGACAACTGCTGATTCTAAAGTTTTGTCTTCACTGTAAAGCAAATGGAGGGGAGGAAGAGAAAGGGATATGGCATGTCTTATTACTTTTTGGAATGTTTAAATCTCTGCTCTCACACAAATGGCTTCCTCTCAATGACCAAAAATATGAGGGAACTCACATGACTCAGAAGACGGGAGCCTTATTCTACGTATTTTCACATTTCATTAAAACTATTTACTTTCCCCAAATTCTTAAAATACGTACATACCTTCCCAGCTTTATCCTGTGCTGTGCTCTTGGAAAATAATAGTAACTAACACTATTGGGCTTCCACCACAGGCCGGATACTATTATAAATACTTTAGGTGTATTATCATATTTTATACTAGAAAATAACACTATAAAATGAATTCTACAGGCTGGGCGCGGTGGCTCACAACTGTAATCTCAGCACTTTGGGAGGCCGAAGCAGGCGAATCATGAGGTCAGGAGTTTACGACCAGCCTGGCCAACATGGTGAAACCTCGTCTCTACTAAAAATACAAAAAATTAGCCTGACGTGGTGGCAGCTGCCTGTAATCCCAGCTACCTGGGAGGCTGAGGCAGGAGAATCACTTGAACCATGGAGGCTGAGGTTGCAGTGAGCCAAGACCGTGCCACTGCACTCCAGCCTGGGCAATAGAGCGAGAATCTGTCTCAGGGAAAAAAAAAAAAAAGAGTTCTATAAAATGTATAAAATGCACTAAAAATGACACTAGAAAATGACACTAGAAAAATCCCCATTGTATAAGTTTTTTTTAATACAATTTATACATTGTATAATACTTTTAAAAAGTATTTAAAAAAAAAACTGAGGCACAAAGAGGTTAAGAAATTTGTGCAACGTCACACATTTAGTGAGTAGACTAGCTGGTAGACTAGTGAGTAGACTAGCCAATAACCTGGCTCCAAAGCTTGCAAATCCAGTCACCGTGGTGTAGAGAAAACACTACTGGGCCTATTTTCCTTCCACCATTATTCTTCATACATGAGACAGAGCTGGCTTTTAGCAAAGGCAGGAAGAAAAGTTTGGATCAATCCAACTTTATTCTTTCTGCCTGTCAAAAAATAAGTGAATGGCAATGAAAGAAATAAAGATTTCTATTTATTTTTGAAAAGCATTCTATTTCATAAACAATTCTAGAGCTAGAGTTCACAATCCCAGCCTCAAAATCAGTCTAAATTTTTCCATTTTAATTGGTAACAAAACTATTCCTCAGATTTTGATTGACACACACTCGTTCCACAATTCACATTCCAATTGATTGTATTTATCTGTGTCTCTTTGTATTTGCTGGTTTCAAAAAGTTAATATGGCTGGGCATGGTGGCTCACGCCTGTAATCCCAGCACTTTGGGAGGCTGAGGCAGGCGGGTCACCTGAGGTCAGGAGTTTGAAACCAGCCTGGCCAACACGGTGAAACCCCGTCTCTACTAAAAATACAAAAATTAGCTGGGTGTGGTGGCAGATGCCTGTAATCCTAGCTACTCAGGAGGCCGAGGCAAGAGAATCGCCTGAACCTCGGAGATGGAGGCTGCAGTGAGCTGAGATCGTGCCACTGCACTCCAGCCTGGGTGACAGAGCAAGAATCCATCTCAAAAAAAGAAAAAAGAAATAGTTAACATGTAAATTTAGTCAAGCATATGATTTCCTGAATACCAATAATTGAAGTCAGTCAAATAAACTACCCGGAACTTTTAGCCACGTGTCAATGATTGATAAATATTATTCAAAAAAATTTCATTTGTTTCAAACAGCATGAAGATAAAAGCAGCCACACATGGGCAGGTTATTTTCAAAACTCCTCATAAGTAAATGAATTGCATAATAGATATCACAATACATTCATACCTAAATATGCTTCCTAAAAAGTTAAATACAAAATTATTAAACAGAAAAGGTTTTATTTCATGTATGCTAAGGTCAGTGTCCACTGGTTAAGGTTATCAACAACTTGCAAATTGCCAAACTGTGAAAAACTAACATTTTAAACTACTGAAGTGCTTAGCTGGTGAACCTTCATTCAGTAGCAGTGGAAAGCTTATCAAAAGGACATCTTCATAAAGTCTTTGATGGCAGAGAATTTGTCTTATTCCTCCTTAGGCACCTGTAGATTCTTGCATGAGTTAGCAATGCTTAAGTATTTATTGAAAGAGTCAGAAGATACAAGTTCTAATCCCCACTCTTCTACTAACTACATATGGTTCTTTGTTTTTATTGTTGTTGTTTGTTCTGTTTTGTTTTTTGAGGCAGGGTCTCGCTCTGTCATCTAGGCTGGAGGGCAGTGGTGTAATCACAGCTCAACCATGAGATGACATTGCAGCCTCAACCTCCCAGGCTCAATTGATCCTTTCACCTCAGCCTCCTGAGTAGCTGGGACCACAGGTACATACCACTATGGCCAGCTAATTTCTTTGTATTTTTTGTGGAGACAGGGTCTCACCATGTTTCCCAGGCTGATCTCAAACTCCTGGGCTCAAGTGAACCTCCTGCCTTGGCCTCCCAAAATGCTGGAATTACAGGCATGAGCCACCATGTCAAGCCTGCATGTGGTTCTTTGGACAAGTCGTTTGTGACACTGAGTTTCAAGTTTCTTGTCCGTAAAATAAAAAGTTTGAGCTACATGAATATTCAAAAAAAATCAATCCTTCTCTTGTAGTATAACATGCTATGAATGAATAAATCAATAATCAAATGACCTTCATAGCCCATCTCTATGTATTTTTCCATTTCACTACTGAGATTTCTTTCCTAAGAACCATTCAGTTTTATCCAGTGTTTAATTTCAATTTTTAATACACATGTTTGGCATCAATACATAAGACTATTGTATTGCTATAAGAAAGTGTTTGAAATGGTTCAAAAACTATAATTTTAGGCCAGGTGTGATGGCTCACACCTGTAATCCCAGCACTTTGGGAGGCTGAGGTGGACGGATCACTTGAGGTCAGGAGTTCAAGACCAGCCTGGCCAACATGGTGAAACCCCATCTCTACTAAAACTACAAAAATCAGCCAGGCGTGGTGGTGAGTGCCTGTAATCCTAGCTACTCAGGAGGCTGAGGCAAGAGAATCGCTTGAACCTGGGAGGTGGAGGCTGCAGTGAGCCGAGATGGAGCCAATGCACGCCAGCCTGGGCGAGAGATCGAGACTCTGTCTCAAAAAAACAAAACAAAACAAAACAAAACAAAAAACCCCCTATAATTTGGTCAATTTTATAAGAACTTTACACTTAAAGATTTCATATCTGAAATGCAAAAGTAAAAATGAAGGATTAGCATGACCCAAATTTTGCCATAAGAGAAGAAAAAGATATTCCCTTTTCTCTGCATGTCCTCTGCCTTGCCGTTGTTGTGTTGTTGTTGTTGTTTTGGGATTTTGGGGTTTGTTTGTTGTTTTTTTTGAAACAGTCTCACTCTTTCATCCAGGCTGGAGTGCAGTGGTGCGATCTCGGCTCACTATAACCTCTGCCTCCCGGGTTCAGGCAATTCTCGTGCCTCAGCCTCCAAGTAGCTGGGATTACAGGCATGCACCACCACCCTAGCTCATTTTCGTATTTTTAGTAGAGACAAGGTTTCACCATGTTGGTCAGGCTGGTCTCGAACTCCTGGCCTCAAGTGATCCGCCCACCTTGGCCTCCCAAAGTGCTGGGATTATAGGCGTGAGCCACCATGACCAGCATGTCCTCTGCTTTTAATACATCTGCCTAAACCACAAAAGTCCTGAGTAAAGTGACACTTTGCCCAGTAGAACCTTCATTGAGGGATTAAACCTCAGAGCTTCACAGTGGATCTTACCTCGCCAGCACACTGCTGCCAACAAGTGTTATCGATAACTTCCCTTCATCATTTAGCTGATGCAGGTTAATTTCATCCCGGAATATGTGGAATGATTCGGAAATATTTAGCTCTTCTAAAATAAACCTCGTCTCGGTGAAGTAGTTGAATTCAGTTCTTGGTATGTTCAGCACTGGTAAACACAGAACCCCTGGTGGACTGACCTACCAAGAAAAAAGTTGACTGAATTACTGAAAATAGCAGGAGGAAAGAATACAATTACATTTTCTCCAGCCTGGGGGTAACTGGTAAAAGGAATAGGAGTCTTCTGGCCTCACTAAACCACTTGGCATTCATAATCAAATTTTCCTGAACCCAATTAATAGAGTATTTTCCTCTGAGTGGCCCCTAACATTTTTTAACCTCTTGTTACCCTACTTGAAACATCTCATGCTTTATTTTATGTCTCATTTTAGACCCTGCACCATTTGTATATATAAATATATACTACATATGATTAAAATTTAAATAGATAACATTTGTATATAAATTTAAATATATGCATATATATAAATTGTGCAGGGGCTAAAATGTAAATAAATACATTTATATATAATACACATTCTCTTCTTTAAGAGTAACAAACTCACATATCTTTATAAGATTGGCAGAAAATTAGGACAATTGAGGCAGGGTGGGTGGGGACTGTGGGGACAGGGGAAGGCACATACATTGCATCTAAATGAGATGCCTGTCACTCAGCTCCAGCCAATGGTTCACATGTAAAAATTCAGGCCCAGTGTAGTTAAAACTTTAAATTAACGGGCTGGGTGCGATGGTTCATGCCCGTAATCCCAGCACTTTGGGAGGCCAAGGCGGGCAGATCACGAGGTCAGGAGATCGAGACCATCCTGGCTAACACGGTGAAACCCCATCTCTACTAAAAATACAAAAAAATTAGCCGGGCATGGTGGCAGGTATCTGTAGTCCCAGCTACTTGGGAGGCTGAGGCAGGAGAATGGTGTGAACCCGGGAGGCGGAGCTTGCAGTGAGCCAAGATCGTGCCACTGCACTGCAGCATGGGGGACAGAGCAAGACTCTGTCTCGGAAAAAAAAAAAACACACACACACACTTTTAATTACCCAAGAGCAGCTATAAATCTAGATTTGGGGTATTATTTGTGAAATTTAATTATTACAATTCATTTTTAAAAATTCAGAACGTCAGTCAGTAGAAATTCATTTACAAGCCAGCTTCAGCCTACAGACTATCAGATCGTGATCTCTATTGATTTCTTAAATCATAAAAAACATTTTTTATTAACAAGTCTCTTAGAAAACAGATCTGTGGCAACCAGAGAAAACAGGAGATAGGAGAGAGGTAGAGAATTGTAGTCACAATAATAAACTTGTTTTTGTACGGGAATGTTAAAAATAAAGGTGCTTTAAAAATTACTGTGAATGTACAGCAATAATCCTAACTATCAATGAGAGAATGTGGGGTTCAGTGACATGGAATTTGTGCATAACATAAATGGCCTTTACTCTCACACCATCACCAGCTTGTCACAGTTTTAACACCTTAATCATCTGTCTCCCCTTTCTAGCATTAAGAAGGCAGGGCTTTTTGATGGTTTTGTTCAGTTATGTTTCCAGTGTATAAACCAGTCTGGCACATAGTAAACATTTAGTACATATTTGTTGAATGAAAGAAAGGAATCAGCCACTGCTATAGCATACAAAGCACAAAGCCACTCCAACAAAGTGGGTTTTCTCCCTCCTGTCACGCTAATACCGAACCACAATTGCATAATAAGTGTTAACAACTTATGTATGGCAAGTTATTTTTCCTAATGAATGGAGGGTTCTATCTAACTCCTGATATTGAAACTTGAGTGGGGAAGAATCAATATGTAAATCAGGCATGTGGCCTGGGCCTCTCCTGGCAGGACCTGTTCTGAAGTTGATGTCACAAGAACTAGGTTCCAGCCCCAGTCTCTACCACGTAACTTTGAGAAAGCCAGTTTCCTCTCTGAGACTCTGTGTTCCCCATCTGAAAATGCGGCTCACTTACCAGAGTGAGAAGGATTTAAATGGGGTCACACGCATGAGGCAGAAAAGCTCTTTGCTTATCCTACATGTTCATACTCTGAGAGGGAGTAGTTGGGTTTTGAAAATTTAAATGGAGACACAGACCACTAGCAGGGGGCCCAGTAAACTACGAGAAAGGCAGAGAAATATAACCAAATTCTTAGTATGAGACCTTTCAGTAATTCCACATTCATCTCCATGCTTACTGGCAAACCTTTGAAGAAGAAGAGAATCCACATGTCTTTTTATTTTTATCTAGCCATCTGTCTGTCTGTCTATCTATCTATCTATCTATCTATCTATCTATCTATCTATCCATGTGTTTTATCTATCACAATTACTTTTTCTACCCCTTTTATTGGATGTCAAGACATTGTTGTAGGTGGTAGTGGTGGTATTATTGTTATATCATTTTGAAGTCCACGCCACTATCACTCTAAACATCAGTCTGGTTTTGTCAACTCTATGTTCTCTAGATAAGTGACATTTTCTTCTAGGAGTCAAAATACCAGTTAACAAAATTAGTGTTAATATGCATGTCTTAACAGAGGCACATTTATCTCCTCATACCAATTAATCTCCCTTGTAAAGTTCAACAAATTTTAAGATAAATTTGATATAAAGCCCACATGTAGAGATCAGAATATTTTACCCAGCATTTTTATCAGCTTCTGCCCTAGAGCAGTTCTTGCCACCCACAGCTCATTCTGGAAGACTAGCATTCGTGTGAATTTAAATCACTTTAGACCAGCTCTGCCTACTGTCAGGGGCCAAGGATCCAAACAAAATTGCAACAAAACAAATCAGATTCTGAAAAATTAAAAATTGTGTGACATTGAAAATAACACCTAGACACTCATAACATACATTTTTAGGCTTTACGTTAATAAAAAGCCCATTATCATGAGCTCATGAATTTTATAGATTTCAAGTTTTAAAGCAATTTGTTGAAAGGTATTTTCCACTTCCACAGGGGCATCATATGCTTCACAGAATAGAAAGAGTCTTCCTCAAGGGAGATGATCACTAACTAAGGATGATCTCGCTGTACAAAATCAGGGATACAAGGCAAAACCAAACAAGGACCTACAGGATGTAGATTTGACATGTAATACTCGTCACTGAAAACTCTAGCCAATGTGCTCTGCCATTTATGTACTGTTCACACAAGTTATTCTGCACGTATTTTTCTGCTCCCAAGGGCAGGACTATCAGCAAGGATGACAAAGGAAAACAAGAAATCTGATTCTTACTTTTATTAGTTCTATGAATTTCCATAAAATTAATCAACTATTATGAACACTTTAAATGTTTTATTTGAAAACATTGACCTTATTGAAATAATGTTTTATAAGGAGAGTTGGTAAGAAATAGCTAGAACAATGCCTAACATATAGTAGGTGCCCAATAAATATTTGTTGATTCATGGATGATAATACTTTATACTCTGCAACAATATATCAGAACATTAAAAATTAAGTTAATAGGTTCCTTTGTTTAGAGAAAATGTTTATTCTTAAAAGTTACATAATAATTCAAAATATAAGGAGTATTACCCTTTTTTCCCTCACCTTGTCTAGAAAGTAAGCATATGTGAAGGTAGAAATGAGAGAATCCAAGTCACACGATTTAGGCCCAATAACCACATGGACCTTCTCCAAGCGTTTGCTTCGATTCTGAAACAAATTCAAAGGAAACATCACAATTTAACAGGTGACAGATTAATATAAACATATTTTTAATATTTTAAAAAAGTATGCCTTATCCATATTGATACACAATGGCAGAGAATCATAAATTTATCATGAAGTTTTACATGAGAACATAAAAATTGTACAAAGTGTTTAACACTCTGAAATATTCACTCAAACTCTAGTAAACTTTCTGGAAGAGAAAATGTGGTTTTATTAAGATTACACATAATTTAACTTCATATGAACTGTATCTCTGAGTCGTAATTTTTTTAGTAAGTATCATTTTGTTCTAAGGGGCATAGTATTCTATATCATTTCTTTATATAAGATGTTCTTAATTTAAGAAACAAACAAAATGACTTTTTTCATATGTGTCTGGCATGCAACATAAGCAAACAGACACAGAGTTTGGTAAGGATTTATTTTTTTATGTCACATTTTGGGTAACAAGATAGGTTCTCTCTGTATTCTATTCTATAATTTAGTAAATGAAACTTGTAACACTTTTGTCTGTCAGAAAATAAAAATTAATTGTTCTTAAAAGGTGTATATAGTCAGCCGGGCGTGGTGGCTCACGCCTGTAATCCCAGCACTTTAGGAGGCTGAGGCAGGTGGATCATGAGGTCAGGAGATCGAGATCATCTTGGCCAATATGGTGAAACCCCATGTCTACTAAAAAATAAAAAAAAATTAGCCAGGTGTGGTGGCACGTGCCTGTAGTTCCAGCTATTCAGGAGGCTGAGGTAGAGGAATCACTTAAACCCAGGAGGCGGAGGTTGCAGTGAGCCGAGATTGCACCACTGCACTCCAGCCTGGCCACAGAGCAAGACTCCATCTCAAAAAAAAAAAAAAAAAAATATATATATATATATATATAGTCACCCCTCTGGAAGAGAAGACTTGCTATTTCATTTTCTGGTTAACTAAATAGTTATTTGAAAATTCCTTTGTGGAAGGCTGACATTCTTTTGCAACTTCCAAAGAACCAACTGCTTCTAGTAAATGTCATAGCAAAACTATCCAATACAGATAATTGTCATATAAATTAACAACTTTACGGTATGTCAGAGATGACATATGTACATACTTTCCCCACTTTTCATCACTTGTTTTAACTTCTCATTTTAGAACTACCTAGAAAGCCAACTTAGTTGTAATACTGTTCCAAAGGCTATATAAAAGGTTAGATTGCTCATGACTATTTTAATTAAAAAAAAAAGTGTTTATATGCAGAACAAAGATGAAGTATTATTTAGTTATCTACTACATATTTTACAAATGAATCTAAAAATTTGTCAGTGTTTATATGGAACTGCTGGTATCAGAGTCAAACGCAATAGGTTGTGGCTCAATAAATATAACAAACCAAATCTTGGAGGGGGCTAGGTTAGTCTATCATTATAGACAATGAAAGCAGTATCAATTTTGCAGATATAATCCAATATGTAACATTGCTAAATTAAAATAAATTTTTTTTCAAAATTGAGATATTGATCCTTGGCAAAACAGCATGATTTAAAAGTATGATATAAACTCTCTGAAGATAATTACAATCCCCTCCCTTGTCACTACCAAATCTAGCTTCCATTTCTTCCTCTCCCAGTTTCCTTCCCCTACACTCATAAATTTATAGTTGGCTCACTTGGCTAAATGTGCTTTAAGGGTTCTAGTCTAGGTCCAGTTCTCACTCTCAATGTCAGACTGCTTCCCCTGTGCAACACAGTCAAATATTCTAGAAGCTCCTAAAGAAAGGTAGGTAAATGGAATTACAGTCTATTACAACACAAACAAACACATTAGGAAATCATATTACTGCAGAATGCTATTCTTCCGAGAAGCTCAAAGATCTAAGTAGACATTACCTCATTTCTCTTCCCAAATCTTATAAGGCAGACAGTAAGAAGATTAGCAGCACTTTTTATAGGTCAGAGGAGTCTGTGATGGACCAGGGTGGTTCCCAGAATCCCACAGCACAGTGCAGTGAGCCCCATCTCCTCTGCCCTGTATTAATGCCATAATGACTTCTCAACACTATGAGGATCTCAGCGTCCACACAAGTGAGCACGGAATTCAGGGAGAAGAGAGAATGAAATACAGCAAGACTTCAGACATTTGTGAGATCAAAATTACCCCCAAAGCTGACCTATTTGCTTCTTGTCTAGGCTTGATCATTCCCTGACATAGCTTTGTGTTCCACCCTCAACTTACAGGAAAGAAGACATGGGGAGTGTAGCAAGATTTGTGTGCCGATTCATTACCAAGCCCAAAACCAATTATACTTAAGGAAGAAAAGGTGCTAAATGAAGACTGCAACCCCAAAGCATGCTACACGAACTCTCACAACTCAGGAACCCTGTAAGATAATTATAAGGTTAATTTACATGGATTGAATGTAAATGAATTAATCTTTCCTTGCTGACATATCTCTTTCCATTTAAAGAGAAAAAGGTATAACGGGTAAGGACCATAGCATACCCCACTGCAAAATTTTGAGGGTTCTCCTTGGTGTCATATGCCTCTCTTTTCTTTTTCTTTTTTTTTTTCCAAGATGGAGTCTCGCTCTGTCACCCAGGCTGGAGTGTAATGGCGTGATCTTGGCTCACTGCAACCTCCGCCTCCCAGGTTCAAGCGATTCTCCTTCCTCAGCCTTCTGAGTAGCTGGGATTACAGGTGCCCGCTACCACATCCAGCTAATTTTTGTATTTTTAGTAGAGACGGAGTTTCACCATGTTGGCCAGGCTGGTCTCAAACTCCTGACCTCAGGTAATCCACCCGCCTTTGCCTCCCAAAGTACTGGGATTACAGGCGTGAGCCACCGCGCCTGGCCAACATGTCTCTTTTTTCATGGTCTCTCATTTCTCTCCTCACTTTCCTTCATCCTATGCATCAAGTTCCTTCATGGTCATGGCCTCTTCCAATGCCATTTACCCATATTTGCCATCCCCAGCGCATATACAGTTTCCAGGCTTCAGCACTCTCTTTCCCCCTCCACCCCCATCCATCAAAATGTACCATCTTGGTGCCCAGGCTCTCAAGGACCCACTGCTCCTCCACCAGCAACTCCAATGAAGAATATATGCCAATGAGTACTCCTGAGTTAACGTGTCACCAATGTAATATGCTCTCATTGTAAAGAGACCCTCCAGAAATCATGCCATAATCCAAAAAGATGACTGGAAAAAAAAAAGATGACCCAGCTTAGAATGGTGGACCAGACAGAAAGGGACAGCCCAACCAGAAGGTACCTTTTGTGCCACCAGTAAGCCCTGAAAGAGATAGGCTTGGCCTCAGAATATCTCAGATGTTCCTAAGTGCCCAATTCCTACCAGTAACCACTGATAAGATAGAATTGCAGGGCAGCAAAGGGTAACCATGCTCAAACTCCTGCCTGCTTGGAGGAATAAAACATAAAATTAGTCATGTAGACTCACCCTGTACGTGAGCTCAATCTCTTCAAATTGGAATTAAGAACCAGAGAATACAGGGCCCACTCTTGAGCTTCCCCCCACAAATGACCTTGGTTGTGCAAACAGAGCAAACACAGGGGTCAAGCCAAGGCAGAAAATTCTGAGGACTGATTTCAGGTGTCTGGGGCAGGTAATGGGAGGTCCCCACGGTTCTGGTGCACCCTGAGGGAATGGGCCCATCTATAGGGGCTGCAACTAGTTCACGGAACCCAAAAGAGACTCCTGACCCCAAAGATCGTCTGCACTGCTCACTGAAGGTCTGTAGGCCCCTTCCTATCTCACATATCCACATATTCAGAGACTCTCAGGTGCCCAATCTTAATACTGATGTCCCTTGATACAGTTCAAATTGTGCTATGGATGATTCACAAACAGACAAATCATGCCCAAATAAAAGGGACAATAATAATGATAAATGTACAGTTTCATCAATTTGATTTACTATTGTCACCCCAACAATAAAAATCTGCTTGTGCCAGGCACTGTTCTAGGCTCTAAGGATATAGCAATAAACCAAATGGACAAAAATCCCATCCCTCACTGCACTTGCAATTTAGTGCATGGTGAACTGATGAACCAAATAATCAGATAATTTAAATGGAGAAGATGAAATCATAAAACGGGGATGGGATATGCTGAGGTGAGGTTCATTAGAAAGTGGCATTTGATGCCCATCAATGATCAACTGGGTAAAGAAAATGTGGCACATATACACCATGGAATACTATGCAGCCATAAAAAAGGATGAGTTCATGTTCTTTGCAGGGACATGGATGAAGCTGGAAACCATCATTCTCAGCAAACTAATACAGGAACAGAAAACCAGACACTGCATGTTCTCACTCATAAGTGGGAGTTGAGCAATGAGAACACATAGACACAGGGAGGGCAACATCACACACTGGGGCCTGTCAAGGGGTCGAAAGCAAGGGAAGGGATAGCATTAGGAGAAATACCTAATGTAGATGACAGGTTGATGGATGCAGCAAACCACCATGGCACGTGTATACCTATGTAACAAACCTGCATGTTCTGCACATGTATCCCAGAACTTAAGGTATAATTAAAAAAAAAAAAAAGAAAGAAAAAAAAAGAAAGTGGCATTTGAGTAAAGGTCTGTAGGTTAGGTAAGTGGGACTAAAGGGTGTCTCAGGCTAAGGAAAGAACAGGTACCAAGGCCCTGAGGTGAGAGCAGGCCCAGCATGTTCAGCAAATAATTATTGCCTAATGTATACATTTTCCAAATGTGACTCTGTAAACTCCTAGGTTGGAGGGACCCAGTCTGCTGAGTAAATATCCATTCCCTAATATCAACCTACACAAGCACACCAAGCATCAAGGAATCTCAAAAGACAGGCAACCCTTTGCGAATGCCTAAACCCAGTGCTCCCCAAACCCAATACAAAATGGAATATGATAATGGATTGAAAGAGATACTACACTGCTTTGTCATCTAGATACACTTCCAAAATAGATGGACAGAATCTTTTCATAATCAATGTAAAAAAGAAAGTATATTGACTATGCCAGGATTCCAAATCACTTTAATATGCTTTCAAAGTGTAATCCTATATACCGCTAAAATGAGACTTCTTAACTTCTTATCTCTTTTTAAAAGCCTACAAAATGCCTACATATTCAGATTCAATGGCCCATTAAATGAAGCTGCACTTGTTAGGCAAAAGCACTTTCAAGCCACCCAGAAGAATTGACCAGAAAGAGGGCTTCCTGGGCCCTCCTATAAGCCTAGGCCCCTCCATTTGCTCTTTCCTTCCTCCACAGGCTTAGAAGCAAGGTTGCTGCTGCCATAAACCTTTTAATAAAATGTCCCAATCCTATGGATTCTTCTTGCCCACTGCCCAGAAAAACCAATGCACCGAGAATAGCAAATATATCAGCCATGAAAGAGTTTAATCATCACAGGGCCAGCCAAGTGGGAGGTCAGGAGGTAGTTCTCAAATCTGCTTCCCCAAGAATTCAGAGGCTAGGGTGCTTGTTTGTTTGTTTGTTTGTTTGTTTGTTTGTTTGTTTTGAGACAGAGTTTCACTCTTGTTGCCTAGGCTGGAGTGCAATGGCATGATTTCGGCTCACTGCAACCTCCCGGGTTCAAGCAATTCTCCTGCCTCAGTTTCCCAAGTAGCTGGGATTACAAGTGCCCGCCACCATGCCCAGCTAATTTTTCTTTTTAGTAGAGATGGGGTTTCACCATGTTGGCCAGGCTGGTCTCAAACTCCTTACCTCAGGCAATCCACCTGCCTAGGCCTCCCAAAGTACTGGGATTACAAGCATGAGCCACCACGCCCGGCCTGAAGCCAGGGTTTTTCAGGGTACTTTAGTGGGCAGGGGCTGGAAAGCTGAAACAATTGATTGGCTGGGGATGAACTCACAGGGGTGTCTAAACTGTCTTTGCATAGCTGAGTCAGTTTCCGGGAGGGAGTCTCAGGACCAGGGGGTGTTTCTCAGCCTGCCAAAATGCCAAATCTGAAACATATCTCAAAGACCAGTTACTTAGGTTTTACAATAGTGATGTTATCTGTAGGAGTAGTTGGGGAAGTTATCGATCTTGTGACTCCCTTAATTGCTGAGGCAGTAAGCAATTAATACGAAAACAACAGCAGTATGTCTATTCCTTAGCAAAGTTCAAGCCCTTCCCGTAACTCTAACCTTGTGAATTTTTGTTAGTATTTACAAGTACAGTTTCCATTTTTTAACAAGGAGGGGATTAGTTCAAGGAAATGACTTACTGCCTTAAAACAAGTATGAGCAAAAGCAGTTCAGCCTGGTAGAAGCAAGATGGAGTCAGTTGGCAGATTTCCGTTACTGTTATCATTTCTGCAACGGTGGTTTCACAAGGAGCCCTTGCAATACAGTTATAAGATGACTTTTCAATACTCATGCTCAAATATCCCCAAATCTTTTTTCTGAAAATTTTTGGAACACTTTTTTCAAAAATAATTAATTGAAACGAATTTTGTTTTAAAAATATTTCAGACAAAACCCACAGAAGTTGGAGATTCACTTTCCACACACACTAAAGTGGGGGCACATTTCTTGGTCCCTCATTTCTAACCAAAAAAATGAAGAAACAAGAGAGAAATAAACCTCCTGAAACTGTAGGATGGTGTCTCCAAAGAAAACCAGAAAGAAGGTGGCCTTTGAACCAGTGAG
Source organism: Homo sapiens (assembly GCF_000001405.40). Lineage (NCBI taxonomy): Eukaryota > Metazoa > Chordata > Mammalia > Primates > Hominidae > Homo > Homo sapiens. The sequence goes on from NC_000009.12 coordinate 76,860,862, forward strand.
TCCCTTGACTACTTACTAGCTCCAAGTCAACCAGGGTGTCTTCCTCCCAGAAGACTGGCTGCAGGGTGATGCGGAAAGGGCCCAGCCCCTCCCCAGGAGACCCCAAACACCTGTGGCTGCCACGATTCTAAGTAAGAAGACTTCCAAGGATGGGAAGGAGGAGACCTAACGTGCTGCTCACAACCCTACAGGTCCCTAACTCAAACCCAGTCACAGCCTCCAAGGAAGCCAGGTGGGAGGGGCAGCAGATGGTACCATGGCCAAGTGAGCAGCAGGGGCCACAGGGAGGCCTGGAGATGTCCAGAGGCGAGGCAAACACCCCCTCTGCAGCTCTGCTGTGCAGGGATAAAGTCACATTCTTTGCTGGTTTGGTAAATAAACGAGATGCCTCTTGATACTGGCCCTGGGTTTGAGATGATTTTGAGAACTCCTGACCTCCTCCTGAATTTCTCTTTGTTCTTTGTTTCCAACACCATTCTCTCCCTCCGGGTCTCAAATGTTCTCCAGGTAATGATGTAATTATGAGAAATTTAAAATCTGTTATTCGAGAAAGAGAGGAGACAGGCATCAGTGTGAACAAATTCAGCTATAAACTGTTCAGGCCGTGTGCATTTGGGCCTTCTTCTGTGTTCTCATATGTAAGAGGCCATTGTGGGTAGGCGATGGGGGAGGCAAAACCTAAACCCAAAGCCTCAGTTCCCCCCGGTCAGGCTTCTTGAAGCCTGGAGCACTGGACATCAACTAATCCACTTTTTTAACTTCTCAGCTTAATCCATTCTTCCTTAGCCTGTTTGCTGCCCATCTTGAAAACAAAGTTTTCTCAAATCGAGTGACCTCAAATATCATTTATATACTTCTGGATATAGTTTATATCTTCTGGATCATAAAAACGATGTGGCCAAGAAGTATTATTTTATTTACAGCATTTTTTTTTTTTTTTTGTATTTTTGTTCAGGATCCTCGCTCTGACGATGGCTTCAAAGGACAGTTTTGGAAGCAGCACCATTATTTTTCTTCCATCACAAAAAGTTAGGGATGAGCCCCGCAAATCTTTAACTTCCCTGAAGGGCTCCTAAGGGAATTGTCCTGCATAGCCTCCTGAGATGTTTTCATTTTCCAGTCATCCCACTGTTGTGGGGAGATGCATGCTTTTATTACCCACTGGTTCCTTCTAGCTGAAACAGGTGCCCTATTCTAGGAGTTTGACCTCCATGGTTTCACAGATCTTTATAATCTCTTCACCTTTCCTTTTTCAGCCTCAAGAACTGCAGTCTTGGCCAGGCACGGTGGCTCACGCCTGTAATCCCGGCACTTTGGGAGGCCGAGGCAGGCAGATCACCTGAGGTCAGGAGTTCGAGACCAGCCTGACCAACATGGTGAAACCCCATCTCTACTAAAAATACAAAATTAGCCAGGCATGGTTGGCACATGCCTGTAATCCCAGCTACTTGGGAGGCTGAGACAGGAGAATCGCTTGAACCCAGGAGGCAGAAAAAAGAAAAAAGAGAGAGCTGCAGTCTTTTTCATTTAGCCTCCTATGAACATATGTCTAGGTCACAAATCCTTTCCTTGTATCCTCTGACCTTGTGGCGTCCTGTGTCCTTTTACTGTGCTCAGGCCTCCAGGTTGGAGTCATGCAAAACCATCTAAGAAACAACTGAGCCTTAGGAAAAGCTAGAAGAGCTTCTTCTACTAAATGATAAACATCAAAGGCAGTCCAAGAGTTTTAAAGCCCAAATGAGAAAGAATGCCCCCGCTACACACACATAGCACCCTACACTCACGTCACCTAAGGTTTATATCTTAATGACTTCATAAAATATGTTCATTATAAAACATTTGTAGAAACTCACAAAAAAAAACCTAATTCCCAGTTAATTACTATATTAAATGTATTCCTTCTCATCTTCTCTCTGTACTTCTATGAGTGTTCTCTTTTGCAATAGTGTGACCCTATTACACATAATATTTTTTAACTTCTCTTTTCAAAATTAACAGCCCTCTAAGCATTCTTTTCAACTTCTAAAATTAAATCTTGTTGTGGCCATAGATGACTTCTGTTTGCTTTTGTAACTCCAGCTGCCAGCCTACTGCTTTGCACACAGTAAGTGTTCAATAACTATTGAAAAAGTGAATGTATGAATGAGTGAATGATGATAACATTTAACAGATATAGTATTTCTTAATACGGATCTTCATACTTTAGTCAATCCTCTATTGTTAGAGATTAAATTTATAATTATTTATTTTTTGTGGTATAAATAAAACTGCAGTGAATACTTCAGAAGATAATTTTTGTATCTATCCCTAGTTATCTCTTCAGGATAAATTCCTGGATCTTAAATTTCTGGGTCAAAGAATATATTTTAATGTTCACCAGAAAGTTATAGAAATTTACCTTCCCATCCATAAAAATACCTAGTTTTCAAACCTTGTGTATTTGAACATTATCATGTTGATCGGTAATGTTGTATAATGCATGTTTATTATGATTATGAGTGCTTTAGATCACTTTTATATATGGACACAAAAACATTACTGTCTTCATATAAACATATTATTTGTGAATTTTTCTCTGTGTATCTTTCAGGATGTTTATCCTATTCTCATTGATGATTAAACTGCTAAAATATTGTTAACATATTCAACTCTGGTAACATCAATAAAAAACTATTTTGTTTTCTGGCCTTGGGCATTATGGAACAACTTGTTCAATAAAGTTGCATTAAGTATGCAATAAGCATGCATTATTTAATATGACATTATCATTTGAGTACTAAACAACAGCAGCACACTCTGTACAATATTTTCCCCAATCTACCTACTTTGCTTCCTGAAAATGTTGCAACAATACACTTCAGACTGAGCTAAGAGCAGCCTAGGTTCCCTAGCTCTTGACTGGACTGCATTTGCTCCTCTGCTTTGCCTCATGTCAAAATGATAATGCAACTTAAAATTAAATCTAAACTGTCACTGTTGGTGGGAATGTAAATTAGTTCAGCCACTGCGGAAAGCAGCTTGGAGATTTCTCAAAGAACTTTAAACAGAACTACCATTCAACCAACAATCCCATTACTAGATATACACCCAAAAGAAAAGAAATCATTCTACCACAAAGACACATGCACTTATATGTTAATCACAGCGCTATTCCCAACAGCAAAGGCATGGAATCAATCTAGGTGCCCATCAAACGTGGATTGGATAAAGAAAATATGGTACAAACACACCATGGAATGCTACACAGACATAAAACAGAACAAAATCAAGTCCTTTGCAGCAAAATGTATGGAGCTGGATGGAGGACATTATCCTAAGCAAATTAACACAGGAACAGAAAACCAAGTACTGTGTGTTCTCACTTATAAGTGGGAGCTAAACATTGACTCTACATGGATGTAAATGTGGGAACAACAGACACTGGGGCCTACCAGAGGGGGTAGCAGGAAGGAGGGTGTAGGCTGAAAAACTACCTATTGGGTACTATGCTCACTACCTGGGTGACAGGACCATCTGTATCCTAAACCTCAGCAGCACCTAATACACCCATGTAACAAACCTGCATATGTATTCCCTGGATCCTAAAGAAATACATAAATAAATAAATATAAATAAATAAACAAATAAATAAAAATCTAAGGTGTCAAACAGTTCATTATCAAATGTCTTTAAAAGTAAGAACATTTTGGTAGGACAATAGCACCAAAAAGAATGATAAAAGGCAAATAACAGAGGGGATGATAATATTTGCATAATAGTTGTACCATTTTGCCATTAAAAGGGCAATATTTCTGACACACAAAGGGTTCCTATATATTGATTTTTAAAAAGACAAACAACCCAATGGAATCATCAGCAGTGGATGTGATCGGGGCAATTAAGAGAATAAGAAATGAATATATGAAAAGATATTCAGTCTCATTAGTAGTCATGGAAATGCAAATTAGACCAACAATAAAATGTCTTCTTTATTTTGGCTCATCAGATGGATAGAAATATTATGACTGATTGTCATGAGCAGCCAGGTCTGGGAACAATTGCCTTAAAGAGGACCCACGATAAGCTCTCAAGGACCATGTGGTCCCTGTCAACTGCAGAATATATCTGCAATTGTTTTTTGAGAAGCACTGCTTGAGTTGCTCTAGATCAAGCACAGTTTCAGAGAATTGCTGTTATGTTATTTAGATTTGCTGAAGTTCAGTGTTAGCAGAGGCCTCAGGATTCACCCAGTTGAAACCCTTCAGTGATTTCCAAAATGAGGTAGTGCACCTCAGTGTTAGAGAAGAAACAATGCAAATGCCTATTTATGTCATCCTTTTACATTTTCTGTTTTTTAAAATATGTTTTACAGCCAGAAATGGTGGCTCATGCCAGTAATCCCAACACTGTGAAAGGCTGAGGCAGGAGGACTGCTTGAGGTCAGGAGTTCGAGACCAGCCTGGGCAACATAGTGAGACCCTGCCGCTACAAAAGTAAAAATAAATAATAAAAAATGTATTACAATGTTCCTTATATTCTAGTACAGTAATACACAGTAGAATTCAGAAATAAATGTATGCATTAAGATAAAGTATTCAAAAGACTATTACTAATCTCACTGTACAATGAACAAGGGTTGGAGACTGGTTTTTACAGCTCAGCCAACTGAGATCCTCAGGCCTTTGTGTCCCCAAGACTTCCTAAGGCAGCGTGCTGCACACAGGAGATGCTCCAATCAATTTTTGTCAGTGAAAATGATAATATCGGATATAATAGTTGGGCAGAAGATAATTTTTAACTTTCTTGTAATGTCTTTGTCATGTTCTTATGAAATAACAGTATCATGGGATAAAACCTTGTTAATAGCACAAAAGTCAAAAGTTATACTATAGGCTGCAAATAATCATTCCTGTCTCAACCTTAACAGGCTCTCATTTCTCTCCCTTCTTTCTCCCTCTCTCTCCCTACACACACACACACACACACACACACACACACACACACACACCAGAGCATTATGACATGTGCATTATGCCCACTTCATGATCTAAAGTTCCAAAACTGAATTAAAATGATTTTATAAAGTAATGGATTTTATGAGTATTAAGTCATCACATATTTTCCTCTTTTCTCTCAAGACAAGATTCTTGACTTCTGAGTTGCTACCACATTCTAATTCATCTATTATTCTGAAGATATAGCAGTTGCAATAATTTCATTTTTAAATATCTCAAGCAGTGTGTACAGGTACACTATTGAACTCTACCAAAACATGACTTGCTATTAGTACATGCACATCCAGCAGGCCCAATCCTGGGGCCTAACATAGATACAGAAACCACCAAATTAGAAGGGCATAATTCTAATTAGCTACCAGGTGTTTCTTAGCTCTGTCCCCAACACTTGCATGATCAATGCATGTCTAGCATAAAGTCACTCTGAAATTCAAGTTTAAATGATTTCAAGACAAAAACTATATCCATTATATTAATAATCAGAGGTACAAGGGTTTTGCCCTTAGGCACTGATTTTACATACAGTGATTTCTAACAAATTCCAAAACTTCATATAGTGTTTTTTGCGATATTTTGTAGTTATTATAGTGTCTCATTCGGTTGACAAAATGTGGGAAATATTTTGTAAAGTTCAAATAACTTCCTACTGCCTATTCATAAGTAGAATGACAACAAGACATACGCCTGCCTTCCCCAAGGGTTGTTAAGTATTCAACTTTAGCCCTTTTTGCAAAACGCTGGCAATTTTTGAAGCTGGGAGATGGGCACGTGGAGTTCTCTTTGGCCTCTCTGCTGACGTATGTTTGAAAACTTAAGTACAAAAAAGGAAGGAAGGAAGGAAGAAAGAAAGGAAAGGAAGGAGGAAGGGAGGAGAGGAAGGAAGGAAGTGGGTAAGAAAGGAGGAAGGGAAAGAAAAGAGAGCGAGAGAAAGAGCGAGAGAGAATGGAAGGAAGAGGAAGAGAGGGAGGGAAGTAGGGAGGAAGTTAAGAGGGAGAGAGGGAGCGGATGGTCAGAAGGGAGGGAGGAGGGAGGGAATGCCCTTTCCGCCCGGTGCTGTGAACAGCCCAGGCCCCTGTGTGCACATTCTTGACAACGGGTCATGTCTTCGGTTTCAATCTGTGGAGGTGAATCAGCACTCAGACTTGTGCCTGGTATTAGTCAACCAAATATTTGCTGAAAGAGTGAATCAAAGCAATAAATAAGAAGCCCAAATTCTGAGTTCCTGGGCAGCTATAGCCTAGGCTGAGATTAGAGTAGCAAAAACAAGGGAATGGGTTGTCTGCCATCCCACGCACCTTTCTCCTCCCCCACCAACTGCTCTGTCCTCTCCCACAACACCATCAACCCCCCGCCCCCGCCCCCGCCAGCAGGTGTTTCATGCTGTTCATGGCTTTCTTTTTTATCTTTTATCTTATGCGGAGAGGGTAGGGGAGAACAACAGTGTGTTTATGACACCATGGGTACCCAACAAAGAAAAAACGAACCGCATCAGACCACGCAAAACGATCACACACCACGCTGACATGATTCAAACACCATCTCCTGTGATATAACTGAACAAGGAAATTGTTCTCAGTGGAGCTAGAATTTAAGGCTACATCAGCAATACTTCCAAGAGCTGTCAGGTTGATTCAGTATCAGAAAAAATGACTGGAGGAAAAGTAAGGACTGAGAGCCCTCACCTTGCTTTGCTTTTTGCAGTTTTGCTCTTTTGTTGTTGTTGTTGTTGTTGAGACGGAGTCTCACTCTGTCCCTAAGGCTGGAGCGCGGTGGCACAATCTCGGCTCACTGCAACCTCCACCTCCTGGGTTCAAGTGATTCTCCTGCCTCAGCCTTCTGAGTAGCTGGGATTACAGGCGCGTGCCACCATGCCCGGCCAATTTTTTTGTGTATTTTTAGTAGAGACAGGGTTTCACCATGTTGGTCAGGTTGGTCTCGAACTCCTGACCTTGTGATCCGCCCACCTCGGCCTTCCAAAGTGCTGGGATTACAGGTGTGAGCCACTGCGCCCGGCCGGTTTTGCTTTTTTCTCTTAATCTTGACAGCCTAATGTTATTCCTAGGCTCTTGTGTACATGTATCTAAATATTTATCCTGGCTACAAATTAAGACAAAAACAATAAGATGTGGAGAAATAGCCCCAAATTCTGGTTCCAATCTTAATTCACTAGAGCACTCAGGGGTGCTTCCTGCTTTTCATGTCATTCCTTTTTCCCGTAGACAGGAAAAAGAAACCCACTCTATATGCGAGGTGGGTGTAGACGAGATTTCTTTATTAACTGTTTCCTGACAATACATCAAGAAAAAACCTCATATGACTCAGTACATACATGACAGGCAGTAAATGGTGGCATAGGACATTTATAGTAACTTATATCAAAAATGGAGAAAAACATCCAAAATAACAAAGCTATGATACCATTCGAAACTCTTCCACCTGTCTTTTTCCACTCTTCCAAACACGTTTCCAAGCCCTCCACTTAGAATACAGAACCTTCTGAAAAACAAACTGTTCATCTTTGCACAGACATGTGCCATGAGGCTGCCTTGCAGGTGTCCACACATACACTCAGGCCTGAGCTGGTTTACTGTGCCCACCATCCCTAGCAATCCCCTGGACAAGGTGCATACGGGAGGACCACGGAAGTTAGTTAACAGCCATTAGGGAATTCTGTAGGATAGAACCCTCCCCTCTCCCCTAATATTTACACAATCACATGTACATGATCATTCACAGCAGTGTCTCTAAGACAAAGGACTTCTGCCCAGGGCAACAGCCAACTCACCTAGCGTCAATATGCAATAGCAATCAGAAAAAATTGTTACGACTTCTCAAATTTGCCCTGAAGACTAGTATCTTAATAATTAAGCAGCCCTAATTTTTGGTAGGAATTTCCCTTCTATTCTAGATTAAAGTATTTTCATTTTATTGAAAAAAATTGTGATTCATAAATAATTTTACTTTAACAGATCCTTGGGGGGTGGGGGGGGGGGCGGGGGGGAAGGAAAGGCTTCTGCCGCTGTACACTAAGTTCCCAGAACTTTCTTTTGTGAGCCTGTGTTAAGATCACGTCCTCTTACCGCGTCGCCCCTTCTGTAGCCTGCTGCTGTGCGGCACAGCTTGCCCCAGATACTTTAATTATTTCTGCTCCTTCGGATTAGAAGGGCTGGAGCTAATTAGTCAGGTCTTCTCCCCCTATGAACAAGCCAAGACGCGCTCGAAGACTTTTCCCAGAAGCTTTGCTTTTCTGCAGTCAGCTTTTTGTTGTCATAAGGAAGATCTATTGCTTTAATACTCACGAGTGTAAATGTCTGCATTTGGAATGGACGTCAGGCCAGTGACACCACACACCTGGCATGTCTGAAACCCACTCAGACATGGCAGTAATGAATAGATAAGCGACTGGAAGTGGGAGGGAGGAGAAGATTGTTTCCAGTACGGTGCAGGTATGCAGGTTCACAGGGAAATGTGCGAGGGATCTGCAGAGCAATTACTGTACTTTGCAAAGACGACAGTTTTTAATGATGCCATTATTTATTACACTGTGTGTTTTTCAGTGACAGAAGAACTCTCACCTTCCAGGTGACCTCTCAGGATCGTTCTCTCTTTCTCTCTCTCTCTCTTTCAAAATATTTTGCAAAATAGAAAACCCTTTTAAAACTAAACAGTATCTGGTGCACAGTAGATATTCAAAAAATGTTTATTAAAATACACATTTTATAGCAGAGAACAGTGCAATAGAAAGTAAATGCAGATGCAGCAAGATATAGAAATGCACGCATATATAAATTCCATATTATTTCACTGATATTTTAAAAGCATAAACATGTTGATATAAACTGAGTATCATGCTCTATTAAGAACAAGCTCTCCCAAAGGAAAGTTTAAAGTATTCTAAGCATCAGAGGCTTCCCACCTTGGGAAAATACGGTTTTATGATTCTAAGTAGTAAATAACCTATTTTTCAGCTGCTCAAACATTTTCCTTTTGTCTTCTCTCTTCTATGAGGAGAACTGACTTGGGTCTCCAGAGCCCCTCAATTGGAAAATTTTTTGATATTATCAATTTGAATTTTATTTTTGTAATTTTAAGGGAGATCATTAACTAAATAGATTATGGAAGGGACCTTTAATACAGAAATGTTTTCTATCTTGATGTTCTAAATAAGTCAGCCACATTAAAAAGAATGCTGTTATAGTAGAAGAATATTTTGTTGCTTTACTTTTTTATTGGACTTTGAATAAAAAAATACATATCCAGAGATTAACACATGAAAAAGATTTTTAAATATTATGAAAACCTTAACAATACATAATAAAAATGCATCGGATCACCCAAATCTTTTGCCATAATAAATAGCTGTAAAATAGGTCCTATTAAATATAAATTCTTGTCAAAAGAAGAGAGCAAGACTCCCTAACTTTTTTTTTTTTTGCAACAAGGAGTAACTTTTTAATACACTCATAATTTAATTCGCTGATAATTTAGTTCCCTCTTTAGAGCCTCAGAGTGGAAAGGAGAGAGAACATGCTAAAAAAAAAATCCTCCGGCCGGGTGCGGTGGCTCCCGCCTGTAATCCCAGCACTTTGGGAGGCCGAGGTGGGTGGATCACAAGGTCAGGAGATCGAGACCATCCTGGCTAACACGGTGAAACCCCGTCTCTACTAAAAATACAAAAAAATTAGCTGGGCGTGGTAGCGGGTGCCTGTGGTCCCACCTACTCGGGAGGCTGAGGCAGGAGAATGGCGTGAACCCGGGAGGCGGAGCTTGCAGTGAGCCAATATTGCGCCACTGCACTCCAGCCTGGGTGACAGAGCGAGATTCTGTCTCAAAAAAAAAAAAAAAAAATCCTCAATGGGTTGGTTTCCAGATGTGGTGGTAGGGGATGTTGACAGTAAGATGTGGAGTGAGGGCAAGAGAAGACAGGCAGGTTTGACATCATCATATCCCCATAACTGAAGCAAATCCCCATAACTGAAGACAGAAACCTAAGTGGCAACAACCAGTTAATAACAATACGGCAGCAAAGAGTACCTCACCATTGCACAACTCCAGGGAGTGCCATTCACATAAAATCCAAAGTGAATGGTGCCTACAAAGCAACTGCTGGGCAGCTACTATGGATCATGTTGTTTTTCTGAGCCTGACATCATTTCACAAAATTCTCAGAACCCTGTGTGGGAATCCTACGTTATCCCTATGTGACAGATAAATTTGGTCCATATAGACTGTAACTGTCCTAGAATGAGGATCACCAAAGCCTGTGCATTTAAGGACCACCTCCCTCTCTGCCAGTCATCCATATCCCTGGGTTCACATTCATGGATTCAACCAACCAGGCATAAAAGACACTCAAAGAAAAACAAAAAAATGGATGGTTGTATCTGTACTGAACATATGCGGACTTTTTTCTTGTCATTATTCCTTCAACAATTTACATAGCATTTACATTGTATTAGGCATTATCAGTAATCTAGAGATGATTTAATGTATACAGGAGGAAGCATGTCGGTTATATGCAAATACTATTTCATTTTATATCAAGGACTTGAGCATCCACAGATTTTGGTATCCAGGGAGGGTCCTGGAACCAGTTCCCTGTGGAAACCAAGAGATAACTGAACTATGTTGGCTAACAGCTGTGTCTAGTGCTTTGGTAATCCTGGGCCTCCAAGGCCCTGCTCAGCCCTTCCTCACTCTATCTGCTAGCCATTTTATATGTGTTTTTAAACTTACAGTGGTCAATCTTGATTATCTTGGGGCAAATATAAATTACTATGACAATTTTTTTAAGACAGAGTCTCACTCTGTTACCTAGGCTGGAGTGCAGGGGCACAACGTCAGCCTACTGCAACCTCCACCTCCTGGTTTCAAGTGATTCTCCTGCCTCAGCCTCCTGAGTAGCTGGGACTACAGGTACATGCCACCCCGCCTGGCCAATTTTTGTATTTTTAGTAGAGATGGGGTTTCACCATGTTGCCCAGACTGGTCTCAAACTCCTGGCCTCAAGCAATCTGCCTGCCTCAGGCTCCCAAAGTGCTGGGATTACAGGTGTGAGCTACCACGTCCAGCCTAGTTACGACAATTTTCTTAAAATTACGCTGTAGATAGTGACATTGTAAAAAATGAAAATAGTCAACATTTATACAGGTGACCACAAACACCTGCATACATAGAAGGCTTCTATTGTTTGGCCCCACCTAGAAACAACAGATACCATGCCAAACCCACAAGAGTCCTTGGCACCTGGAAGGGTAGGCCCTGGAACCCTGTGCCCTCATGGCCAGCAACCTCCACTGAGGGTGCAGCATCTGCAAGCCCCACCTTCCAAGCATCGTCACAGGCACATTCAAACCCTCCCCACCGCATCCCCTCCCTGAGCTCCTCCTCAGCTCTTTGCCCCTCAATGGGCTTCTAGAAACGTCTCTTCTAAGAAGTGGAGGAAGAGAGACAGAGCAACGATGCACAAAAGCCAGTCTTTTTTCACCTCTGCTGCACCCTGCTACAAATACAGTACAATTACTTACGCATTACAAGTCATGGAAGAACAATGTGGGGGCGCAGTGGACAGGAGCCATTAATTGCCCTAAGTGTTGGGAAGGCTTCACAGAGGAGGTGACTTTTGCCTTTCTTCAAGGGAAGAAAGATAAGAGTTTCCCAGGCTGAAAAGTAGCAGGAGCCTCTACTCTTCTTTTCATGATTCTCATTAAGTTAAAAAAACAATTTTACATGATGATTATGGAAAACACACACACACACACACACACACACACACACACACACACACACCCTCACACCTCAAAACTCCCTATTGGTCAGAGATATATACTGAAAAACTTACAGGTAAAATGACATGATGTCTGTGGTTTGTTTTAAAATATCCCAGGAAACAAAAGTGTGTATGTGTGTTAAGGAACGGATGAAACAAGATTAGCAAAACATTGATAATTATTGAAGGTAAGTGTTATGGATTATGTCCTTCCCCAAATACATATGTTGGTGTCCTATCCCCCAGTGCCTCAGAATATAACCTTATTTGGACCTGGGGTCATGCAGATGTAATTAGTTAAGCTGAAATGCTGTCATTAGATGGACCCTTATCTAACATGACTGTGACATTATGAAAAGGGGAAATTTAAACACAGAGACGTGAACAGAGGGAAGGTGATGTGAAGACACAGGGAGAAGCCCATCCACAAACCAAGGATCATCTGAGACCACCAAGAGCTGGGAGAGAGGCCTGGAACAGATCCCTCCTCAGTACCTTCCGAGGAAGCCTGGCCCTGACAACATCTTGATCTTGAACTTCCAGCCTCCAGAGCTGTGAGACAGTAAATTTCTGTTGTTTAAGCCACTCCATTTTTGGTGGTTTGTTATATCAGCCCTAGAAAACTAGTACACTAAGTCATAGGTCCACTGAGGATTAATTACGCAATTTTTTCCACTTTTGTATATGTTTTAGATTTTCCATAATAAAAGTTTTTTTAAAAGAAGCCTTGTATATAGTCTCAGAAATATTAATAATTCAGCTACACTCTGCCACTGTACTTCCCGAGGAAACCACCCAAAAGTGCCAAAGTAACTCTAATATCCAAAAATACAGCTGGTCCCCTCTTCAATCTTTGTGTCTAATTTCACATCTGTAATCCCTTTTCCCTTTTCAAGGGATCGCTGGTAAATCTCCCAAACGAGGCGCCAGAGAGCTCTATTGTGTGCCTCTTGGCTCTTTCGGGCTCCCAACAGCGCGTCTTCCTCTCAAGCATAATTGAAGGCAGCCTCACAGTGCCTTTGAAAACTGCATATGAGGCGAGGAGAGAGAGAACATCCTTGCAGCACAAACCCATGATGAAAGCTTTTGTGAATTTGTGCTCTGGCCAACTATGGACGGGCTACCCGATACACAATATCGATGGCATTTAACACTTGGTAGGCAGGTTAAGGAAAAGTACTCCATAAAGTGCATTAAATAACCTCATAATCACATTTAAAGGCTAAGTGAACTGGGGCCACCGCAAGTACTAAAATACATGATAACAAAAGCAGTCAGCATTTTCCATACCATATGCTTATAAATGTTATTCTGCAGGGAACCAATTAAAACTATGGAATACTTAGAGCACAGACATATGGAACAAAACAGGGCAACTTATCTTGTCACTGCAGTGCTTGCTCAGTACATCTCTTCGGGAGATGTAATACTGAATCATTAGTACAAATAAATGTGATCTTAATCATGAATACCAAAAGGCCACACCAGCACTTAAAGCTTTGGCTTTGGTGGCTCCATTATTGAGGGTTTTAAAAGGAAGGAGAACTGACTGTCTCCCAAAGAGTCACATAAAATACCAGCCATATTAAATATTCAAAAAATATCATTAGTACAGCAAATTTTTAATGAGGCTAAGTCTCTGTTTCCTCACCTGTTACACTGGAAAACAATAATAATGATATCCTGTGAAATTCAGAGGGTTGCTGGTCAAACCATTTAAAAAGTGCACATGAAAGCATGTTGGGGAGTCTAATGCTCTGAATTGGTGTCAGTATTGATTTTGTTACCGATGGAAAGAAGACATGCAGATAACCCAAAAGAAGCAATTATCAAGGCTGATTCTGACAGCCATTAAGTTAAAACTCTAGATGGAGCTTTACTAAGTTGTCTTGACATTAAAAAGAAATGAAAACTTAAAAAAAAATCTGAGATATATTCATAGGTCAGTCTAATAGGAAAAAGACAGTGGACATTTTCCATCCCATCGCTCGAGCTTCATTTGGTATTGCTGCTTAATTTAGAATTAACATTTAAAGGAACCAGACATAAATTTTAATAAGATGGTTCACAAACCTAACAGAAATAATGCTAGGAAATACAGGCTCAAGCATCGCCTCAGAACCAGAGCATGAGAGAAAAATAAAGGAAGAAATTTCTTAAAAGGGTAGAATGAGTTTGCAGCAGACAAAGTATATTAATTATCATGAGATGAGATCAAAAGTGGGCTGAGGTAGTGCTGTAGTGCAGGGGACTACATTAATTAATAATGAGTCAACAATAAAATGTCAGTAACAAATTATAAAACAATAATTTTACTTGCATACAACCTATTTTCTTGTCAATGATCTTTCTGCTATAATCTGCCTCCAAAAATCTATACTTCTGAGGCCTTTTTTTCCAAGCTTTTCTCCCGCTACACACACCCCAGTGTGTTTCAACCATACAGACAGCACCTGTATTCCAGGTCCCAATCTCACACACTTTTCAACCCCCAAGCCTTTGCACCAGCACCTCCCTCTACCTAGACGTCCCTTCCCCATTGTCTGCCCAGAGAACTGTGACTCTTCTTTCAAAACTCTGCTCAAATATCACTTTTTTCTGTGAAATCTACACTGACCTCCCCACCCATACCACCTTCAATACTCTTCAGTACTGGAGATTTCTGGGTTGTAAATAGATGTTATCATATCTATTTGTCCCAAACTGTGAGCAACTTGAGGGCTAGCTCTGTGTTTTTTGTTTGTTTGTTTGTTTGTTTTTTGAGACAATCTTGCTCTGTCGCCCAGGCTGGAGTGCAGCGGCATGATCTCGGCTCACTGCAACCTCCGCCTCCCAGGTTCAAGTGATTCTCCTGCCTCAGCCTCCCGAGTAGCTGGGACTACAGACACGTGCCACCATGCCCGGCCAATTTTTGTATTTTTAGTAGAGACGGGGTTTCACCATATTGGCCAGGCTGGTCTCAAACTCCTGACCTTGTGATCTGCCCGCCTTGGCCTCCCAAAGTGCTGGGATTACAACTGTGAGCCACCATGCCCAGCCGGCTCTGTGTTTTAGCCACCTGTGTGAGTCCAAAGTCTCAAGATGTTCTCTGCACATAGTAAATAGTGACTCAATAAATGTTTATAATAGAATGAATAGGGAATGTGGGCACAGAGGTTCTCTCAACACCCAAGTCATACCACTGCTATCCATCCTTTCTTCCTATCTATGTCCCTTTGACACGTATCTCAAACTTGGGAGAACATCAAAATCATAGGGTGGGTGCAGAAGGCACCAAGAATAACTGTTAAAAACACATAGCCCTGGTCCCATTCTGCTATGTTCTTATCAGGTAGATCTGGAGTGGGGCCCAGTTATCTGTGTTTTGAACAAGCTCCCCAGGTGAATGCAATACGCACAAACATTTAAGAATCATGGCTCTATGGCATACTAGTAGTAGAAATTCCTATTTCCTGTGAGGTAGAGAAAATCATCTCTACAAATCTGCTTGCAAAATCTGTTTCAAGAAAAATGAAGCAACTAGACACAGAGGAACCGTCTTGGATTTTAGAAGAAAACCATTTAAGTAGATAGATGGAAATAAAAATACACAATGAATAAGCAGAACTCAAAATTTCTCTGGATTTGACTCAAGTGAATTACAGAGAATTGTCGAAGCAAGGAATAGCATGTTCTGCTTGGAACACTTCCTGTTTTTCTGCAAGGAAAAGCATTCCATGTCCATGACCCACAATGCTAGAGGCACTGAGGGTTCCTCCTGCTCACAATACTGACCCTTTTTGGGGGCCAGATTCCCCTGGACTTTTCAGAAATTTTCCAAGGCAGGCAATGGGTGATATTGATTCCATGGAGGCACCTACATAAACAAATAGATTTAAAATTTTCTCTTTCTTTCCCTTGACCTATTCCCTCTTTCTGTGCTACTCGGGGCTCCTCCCTCCCACCTAGACATACCTATTACACTTGGTGGCGTTTTTGGGTGGGAATGAGGCCCAACACTGTCCCACCATTTTTAGTGGAATCAACAAAGAGATCATCAGCACCTGCCAGTCATTCTAACTCTTCTGTTTCTAATACCGCTGCTAGCCAAATAAGCTACTTCCCACACTAGTTTTAAAATAACCATTGGATCTTGGAAGTGACTTAAACCCAAGAGGAAATTTTATATATAATTACCCCAGTGCCTGCCATCTCTAGAATTACAGTGACTCTAGAGAAATGCTAATCAAACTGCATTACATGAGATATTTTTAAGCATGGAATATAATACAGGTTGACACATCTGAAAGAAAGTTGTCTCCTCAGGATACCATAAGACACATAAAGCTTTCTGGAAAAGAGGCAGGAGACATAGGATACTGAGCCCAACTCTACTGCTAACTAGCAGTGAGTCTTTGATCTAGATATATGTGTCTTCTCAGCCTCATATCTTCATCTCTAAAATAATGAGACTGGACCAAATGATCATTAAGATTCCCTTCAAGCTTTAATGCTCTAGAACAAGTCTACAAAAGAACATGGGTATAGAAGAGGTATCCCAGGAAGATGTGCATTTTAAAAGAGGACCTATACATTTTTCATTAAAAAAAAAAAATTCAGACCTGGCGCGGTGCCTCATGCCTGTAATCCCAGCACTTTGGTAGGCCAAGACAGACAGATTGTCTAAGCTCAGGAGTTCGAGACCAGCCTGGGCAACATGGCGAAACCCCATCTCTACTAAAAATACAAAAAATTAGCCGGGTGTGGTGGCAGTCACCTGTAGTCCCAGCTAATCGGGAGGCTTGCTTGAACCCAGGAGGCGGAGGTTGCAGTGAGCCAAAATTGTGCCACTTGACTCCAGCCTGGGTGACAGAGTGAGACCCTGTCTCAATTAAAACACACACACACACACACACAAAGGAACAGCTTTCTAATGGTAGAATTTCATGAATTGCTGCACTCAAGACTCTGAGGTGTCCTTCTAGGAACCCCTCCAATCAGACTACCCAAAAGTGATCCCCCCAGCTGCTGAATATCTCTTGAGGTTTGTTTGATTAATACATAAGAAATACTGAGACATTAGAGTACAGTAATCAAGCATCGGTGAATGAATAATCTGCCATTTGAAGAAGGAAAATTTTCTCTGGGTTATAAATAATGCACAGTTAAATGTTTTTACAGGGGCAGGCAACTGCTACCTTTTATAATATCACTTCCAGCCACTAGGGCTTAGAGAGAATACCTGTTTAGTGGACAGATTTGCTCAAGACAGAACATAAAAACTACTTAGGTATAGTGTAAGATACACCATGACCCTAAGCGGTAGAGATGCGGAATCTGGACTTAGCAGGAAGTGGGGATTTAGCAGTGGTAGTGTTATCAATAGATTCCAGAGCTGATCAAGCAAGGCAGAGGTAGGAATCAATAGCTGCATCAGCAAGATGCTGCAGGTCCTGCTGATTTCTCAGAAATTGTGTTCTGCAGAAGACAGGTCAGCACTATGGTGAATCAGATAGTCCTTGAGGCCACTGCAGAGTCAAGGTATTGATGACTCTGGGCACAAGAATGCAGGCTGACCCCAAGGACAGGACAGCCAGTTAGAGAACCAAGCATTCTCTTTGAAGATGGCCAAAGAGAAGGAAAAGGGAAGAGCAGGTGGAAGAGTCCACTCTTAAAGCTCATGGACATGTTCCAAGGTGGGAATTCTTTGTAGGCAGGGAGGGTGTCATGAGCAAGAAGGTGAACCACAGTGCTGTTATGAAGAAGCGATTGCCCTCTTGGCTTCATTTTTCTCATCTAGAGTCAGGTCGCTTCTATCTGTGCAATGAAAAGTTGCTTAGAGAGGACCACAGAAGACCCACTGTCCAGAGAGCTCTTGAATCCTTAGAGAGAAGCTCTGTTGACTATTCACTAAGAGATGTGGGCTAGATCACCAACTTCAGAAAACTTAGAGTTCAGTAAAGATTTCTGAGGAGGGGTAAGAATATTACGTAGTCTTTAGAGATTTTCTTCCTTTATGATCTGTAAAATCTGCAAGGACAAGGTATTCATTCTCCTGGGTTAATTGGTTTTGTGGCAGGTACCATTAGGATTAGAGCATTTCTTAAGCTGTCTTCTAAAACTTAAAAAAATCCTACTACTTTGTCCTGACAACCCCCACCTACTCACCCAAAAGCAATCTGAATTACAAGGAATTACTCTTATTTTAAAGTGTATATTATTAAATACATAATTATACAAAGACTTCCCTTCTAGTCCTTTCCATCACCAAACTGTTTTACCAGCAAACAAAATTAGGAGTTAGAAAGTATTTTTTTGTTTTGTTTTCCACTTGAACTAATGATAAAATCTTACATTGGAATAGCTTTACAGAATATACTAACCAAATCCATAGCTTTTACCCCAGTCGACCCTCACAACCATGATGAAAAGTGAGTCAGGAAGCCTGTGCATAGGAAAGCATTTTCCAAAGTGTGTTCCAGTGAGCACTAGTAAACAGTTTGAAAGATATTGAGTTTAACAATGTTTAAACACATGGCCACATCACAGGCCCTCTCAGATGCTTCATGTTAGTTCACTGTAAATCTCCACGTGTATGTGGTCTGTATGAGAGAGACAGAGAAAGAAAACAGACAGAAAGAGATGTTTTGCAAACTTATTTGATCATAAAACCATTTTTCCATTGCATATCTTATGTAATACATGTTGGGGCCATCTGCACACCCCGATTTTGTTAAGACACAATGAATGTCTACAGCAAACTTTTAGCTATGCTATACTCAACAACATTTGACAAATGTTTACTCAACATCAGTGAACAAATATTTACTGAACACCACAGCAGATATAAAGCAAACCAGGAGATATTAGCAAAATAGATTAAAACCTCTGCTTTTATGTAGCTTATATTCTAATGAGGAACAAGGAAATAAACTAAATAAATGAAATGTGTAACATATCAAATAGAGATGAATATTAAGAAGAAAAAAATAACAGGGAAAAGTAATTGTGTGTGTGTGTGTCTTGGAAAGGGAACAATATTTTCAATAAGGTGACCAAAGAAGCCTCCTTGGAATGATAGTTAAGTAAGGCCCCAAAGGAAGTGCGGGAGGGTTTGTTGCACATTTGGAAGAGAAGCATTCTCAGCAAAGGGTACAGCAAAGACCCTGAGGTGGAGGTATATCAAAAAAGAAGATCTGAAATCTGATTAACACAAGGCCCCGTTTTTTATTTCCACTGTAAAGATTACTCAGTTCTGTAAGAAAGAGGCCTGTCATATATATATATATATATATATATATTTTTTTTTTTTTTTTTTTTTTTTTTTTGAGACGGAGTCTCACTCTGCCACCCAGGCTGGAGTGCAGTGGTGCAATCTCGACTCACTGCAAGCTCCGCCTCTGGTGTTCATGCCATTCTCCTGCCTCAGCCTCCCGAGTAGCTGGGACTACAGGCACGCGCCACCACGCCCGGCTAATTGTTTGTATTTTTAATAGAGACAGAGTTTCACCGTGTTAGCCAGGATGGTCTCGATCTCCTGACCTTGTGATCCGCCCTCCTCGGCCTCCCAAAGTGCTGGGATTACAGGCGTGAGCCACCATGCCTGGCCAGAGGCCTGTCATTTTTTAAAGCCATCCATGTTTTAAGTACACATAATTCACAATTCCTGTACTTCACTGTGAGGAATCAAAGTCCTTCATTTGTGGTCCTCAGACCGCAGGGGGGTCCCTGGGTAACTTTGAGAAGGTCTGTGAAGTCAAATCTATTTTCATGAAAATTAGAAGACACTATTTGCCTTTTTTGCTGTGTAGACATTTGTACTGATGGCTTTTTTGCTGGGTAGACGTCTGCACAAAAGCAGTGGTGAGTAAAACTGCCAGAGCCTTAATCTATCAAATTATGCTAGTAGTCACTGTACTCTTCACAGCTGTGACCTCACAGGACCAAAATTGCTAGTTTCACTTGTGAATTTCCTCAATGAAACATTAAAAAATAAATTAATTTAATTAAATCCCAAACCTTGAGTACACACATATTTTTTAATACTCTGTGATCAAATGGGAAGTACGCATAAAGCATGTCTTTTGCATTTTGAAGACGAAGCATTATCTAGAAGTAAAAGCAATTGTGCGATTATTTGAATTGTGAGCTGAACTAGCTGCTGCTCACTAAGATGTATTTGTTTTGGAAAATATAGTTATTTTAAATAAAATGTTATTTTGTTAACATGAAACATGTTTATGTTATTTTTAACAAATTAAAAAATAAATAATTTTTTCCCATTTTTCATTTCTAATATGGTAAATATTGATAAATATAACACACACAAATAGAAGCTCTGGGACATCCTTGTTAATTTTTTTTTTTTTTTTTTTGAGACGGAGTCTCGCTCTATCGCCCAGGCTGGAGTGCAGTTGTGTGGTCTAGACTCACTGCAACCTCCACCTCCCTCCCCCTGGGTTCAAGCGATTTTTCTTCTTCAGCCTCCCAAGTACCTGGGACTACAGGCGTGCGCCACCATACCCAGCTAATTTTTGTATTTTTAGTAGAGACAGGGTTTCACCATATTGGCCAGGCTGGTCTCGAACTCCTGACCTCGTGATCCACCCGCCTTGGCCTCCCAAAGTGCTGTGATTACAGGCGTGAGCCACCGAGCCTGGCTTCCTCATTAATTTTTAAGAGTGGAAAGGGATCTAAGACCAAAACGTTTGAGAAGCACTATACTAATAAAATAATAAAAATGCCATGCATGGGGTTGTTTATGAGTATATATGAGTAAGTACACACATATATATGTTATTTTTAATTGAAGTGAAATTTACATAACATAAAATTAACCATTTTAAAGTGAACAATTCAATGGAATTTAGTCCATTCACAATATTGGACAACTACCACTCTATCTACTTCTTAAACATTTTTATCATCCAAAAAGACACCCTATACATATTCTCCATTGCCCCAGCAACCACCAATTTACAATCCGTCTCTATAGATTTGCCTTTTCTGGACATTTCTTTTTTTTTTTTTTTCCCCAAGATGGAGTCTCACTCTGTCACCCAGGCTGGAGTGCAGTGGCACGATCTTGGCTCACTGCAACCTCCACCTCCCAGGTTCAAGTGATTCTCCTGCCTCAGCCTCCCGAGTAGCTGGGACTACAGGCATGCACCACCATCCCCAGCTATTTTTTTGTATTTTTAGTAGAGACGAGGTTTCACTACATCGGCCAGGCTGGTCTTGAACTCCTGACCTCGTGATCTGCCCGCCTCGGCCTCCCAAAGTGCTGGGATTACAGGTGTGAGCCACCGCACCTGGCCCTTTTCTGGGCATTTCATATAAAAGGAATTATACAATATGTAATCTTTCATGACTGGCTTCTTTCACTTTGCATAATGTTTTTGAGGTTCAGCAACATTGTACCATGTATCAGTATTTAATTTAATATATTTATTTTTAATTTATTAATCTTCACCTATTCTTTCAAGGGTAAATGTGATTTCTGGTAAGAAAAATCTCTCTAATCTAATGTGGATATATGAGTATGTGTTTATAAGGTAATATTTTTCTCAAAGCATACATAGTATATTTACAGATTTCGTGTACAAATTTATTTTTGATTATAGGGTAAGTCCATGAAAAAATTATGAGGCAACTCCCCCAAATACTAAGGTAAACATTCACCTCATATATGATGATTATAATTACCATTCTCATCACCAAGCATGTAAAGTGCTTAGCTGTAAATGGTAGGAAATATTATTCATTTTGTAACATTTCCTAATAAAATATGTGTTTGCACACTGTATTAGGCCGTTCTTGCATTGCTATGAAAAAACACTTGAGACTGGTAAAGAAGTTTAATTGGCTCACATTTCTGCAGGCTGTACAGGAAGCATGATGCTGGCATCTGCTCAGCTTCCAGGGAGGCCTCAGGAAATTTCTAATCAAGGTGGAAGGCAAGGTGGGTGGAAAGAAAGCGGGGAGCAAAGCGTCTCACATGGTGGGAACAGGAGCAAGAGAGAGAGAGGGGAGGTGCTACAGACTTTAAAAGGACCAAATCTCATGAGAACACACTCACTATCACAGGAGCCGTACCAGGGGATGGTACTAAACCATTCATGAGAAATCTGCCCCCATGATCCAATCACTTCCCACCAGGCACCCCCTCCAACAATGGGGATTACAATTCCACACGAAATTGGTGGGGACACATATCCAAACCAGGTCACGCATGGAGGTAATTTTTGTTTACTTGGGGTTTTTGGTTTAGAGGAAATGAGTAGTTTGGTACAGTGGGAGATAAAAATAATTTAGAGGCAGGAGGGCTGCAACCAAGCCCAGAGCTGCTCTTTATTAGGTATAGTACTTTCAGCAGCTCACTTCCTCTTTCAGGCCTCAGTTTTCTTTCTTTCAGGCCTCAATTTTCTCAACTAGGTGGTTGCCTTTCCAAGCTTTTGTATACGTGACTCCATTTACCAAGAATCATTCACATACCATCTTTGTGGTTTTTGCCCTGGCCATAGATCCCCTGTATTATTTGCTCACATTTTAGTTGACTCACTTTTACATATAGCAAAATTGTTTCACAAAAACTACATTGTCACTATTAAATACAGAAAGCCAGTGTCAGTTGCAAATAGAAAAAACCTCGAGTCGTCCAAGAATCCATCTTACTCCCCACAGTAAAAAAACATCGCACCTTTCGGGTTCAACCTTGAACAACCACTTTCATGAATTAATAAGCTGAGGGATTGATTACTTCTAGAAGTTAAGATTCATTATTTGTTCTCTCTACCTTGGAAAAGCTGGTAGAAATGTCTGCAGCTTTGGATACCAAACTAACCATGTAGCACTTAGCAGAGCTTTGGGATAACAGATAAGTGACATTTAGCCTGGGGCTTGTTTTGAACAGGAGAAACTGGGTAAATTCAGGAAGCACAAAATTCTCCAAATAGTTACAATATGGCTCCTGAGTAGTTCAAACAATGGTACCACATTTCCATTATACTGCCTCTTGGACTCTTTGTAATGAGAGGAATTTCAGACACAAGGAGGCACTTGACTGACGCCTGACTCCCTTTTTCTTGGGTGCAGACGTTATTCCAGGAAAATGCATCATCTTCTCTACTACTTATACTGTGGAGATTTGCAAACTGACAAAAGTGGCCCCACCCTTTATCTGTGCCCCTTCCATGTGACGTTGTTGCTCCTCTCATCAAGAGAAGTCTCTTTCTCCATCCCTTGAATCTAGACTTGCCTTGTGACTTGCTTTGGCCAATGGATGGGAGAGTGGCTCATAGAGTGTCTAAGAAAATTAAAACAGTATATGAGACATGCTTAGCCCAGTGCCTGGCACATAGTAAGTCCTGGTTAAATGGTAGCAATTATCACTGAGAGTGTGTATGCAATAAACAGCAAAGACTAGGAATGCCTTGTCTGTTCCAGGGGCTTTGGTCTCATGTTTGTTTCCCTCTCCCTTCTCTCCTCTCTCCATTTGCCTATTCTGGTTGGGCCCAGATGTAACCAGTTGATGGTTTATCCTGCTGAAAGGCTTGCACAAAGCACACTTGGGTTATAGTTCCTAAGGAAGTGGTGATTAACTGTTCCATCCCTGGTTTCACTGCAACCCAAATAACCCCACCCTAGAGCTAAGGAAATTTACAACATAATCGGGTGGGGGCTCGTTTAATCTAAAATATCCCTTCTGGGTAAATTTAAACCCACACTGAAGAACTAGAAAAATAGCCACAGTGTACTGAGCGTCATTGGCTAAGTGCTTCAAATGCATTTAATCTTCACAACAAACTTCTGAACCCCAAATATGGATTGTATACTATCCTCGTATTTTAACAGATGAGAAAACTAAGACTTGGAGATGTAAATAATATGTCTGATTGACTAAGACTTAGAGATTAAATCATATGCCTTATTGGCCTAATAAACCAAGGACTTTATGTGCACAGTGCTGCAAGAAAAATACATAAGAACTGATTCTTGTTCCCCAACTTTCCACTGCCAGTGATCTCTTTCATTTTCTCCTTTCTCTGTGGACTCCATGTCTTAAAAGTTTTTATTTCCCATTGAACGGCATTACTAGTTTTAAAATATTAAAATGGATCCCTGCATGGGAGATCTCAAAATCCTGGAGTCCCTAGTTTGGAACAGTTGAACTAACACTGCCTCCTTGTTTTGCAATTAAAGAAACAGGATTCCAGAAAAGGCCAGTTATTTGCTAAGGTAACACAGCTCCTACTTAGAAAGGAAAGCACTAAAGCCCACCTCTCATTATTCCCTGGAGCCATTACTTTTTCCATGACATATTTCTGCTTCTGGAACATGGCACCAGCCACAGGGACAATTTGGAACCTAACCACCAGTAAGAGGAAACAGAAACAGAATCACTGAAGAGGTGTGTCTGGTTTTCACAGCGGCCAATCTGTGTGTGCCACACCTTTCACCATAGAGGTTATTTACCCAAAGGGAAGGAGTAAGGAGCTCCCCACTTTGAAACCATGCAGAATAAAGGGGGAAAAAAATCAAATACATTTTTAAAGATAGATGAACTCCAAAGCAGATTTAAAATATGTGTAAAACTCATTCACATATTACTTGACTAGGCGGCTTCATATGAAGACATAATGGTGTGTGCTGAGAGGGACACCAAACTAGGCCATTCTTCCTTTCAATTTAGGGTTTGTTTTATAAGATGACATAATGCCTTCTAGCTTGGTGCTATAAAGGCTGAAAAAGTGAAAGAAAGTTTCATGCAATAAATGAGACAAGGTGAATTTGAGAGTCAGGTGAGATCTTGCCCAGGGAAAATTGGGGCTCAAGATCTCTCACCCCATTCCTAGGCACCCACTAAGTCCTGATTACCTGGGTCTACCAGGACAGCTGAAAGGAAATAGGAAAGGGGAAGGAAAACAACCATTAATGTCTACAGAGCATCTACTTCCTACATGATAAACAGTGGACTAGGATTTAGAAGAAATGAACAGACTTACTCTTCAGAGCGGCAACCCCCGGTGACAGGCTGACTGTGTCAAAGGGCAGCAAAGTACGATGGCTATGCATGTAGACTTTGGAGTTCGACTGCTTGGGTTCAAAACCTGACTCCACCCCTTCCTGCCTTTGTGAGTATAGCTAGTTACTCACCCCTCTCTACCTCAGTTTCCCCATGTGCAAAATGGGGATAACAGTACCTACCAAATAGGGCTTTTATGAAAATAAAATTATTTAGTGAATTTTTTTTTTATTATACTTTAAGTTTTAGGGTAAAGAATCTATGCAATGCGGCCGGGTGCGGCGGTTTACGCCTATAATCCCAGCACTTTGGGAGGCCAAGGTGGCCAGATCACGAGGTCAAGAGATCAAGACCATCCTGGCCAACATGGCGAAACCCCGTCTCTACTAAAAATACAAAAAAAAAAAAATTAGCTGGGCATGGTGGCACACACCTGTAGTCCCAGCTACTTGGGAGGCTGAGTCAGGAGAATCGCTTGAACCCAGGAGGCGGAGGTTGCAGTGACCTGAGATCGTGCCACTGCACTCCAGCCTGGCGACAGAGCGAGACTCCGTCTAAATTAAAAAAAAAAAAAAAAGAACTTATGCAATGCTCTTACACGTGATCATGATGAATAAATATTACATAGCATTACATTTATGAATAAACCAAGACCCAAAGAGGTTAAGGAACATACCCAAGTTCACACAGCTGAGAAGTAACTGAACTTGACATTCTAATTCCACGACCCTTGTTCTTTTCCTTTCACCTTAAGGCTCTCAGGCTCAGCTGATGGGATGTGAAACAAAAACAGTTGTCAGGCCAGAAGCCTCATTATGTTCACTAGTAAACACCCCACACAGCAGTAACCTGCATAGCTTTACCCATTTCTACCAGGACTTGTCCCTTGAAGCCAAGCCACTGACTTCCGGACAGAAGCCTGGAGGCCTCTCCTTTCTGCCCTTGCTTGGAATTTCCCAGCAAACCACACAACTTCCCCACCCAAACAAGCCCCAAATGCACTGTGTTCACCTAATAAACCAAGAACTTTATGTAACATATTTTAAAGGATTTTCACTCCACACAATGACTGAAGCGGGTGAACACACAACCTAAAAATTAATGTCTTTAAGAGAAATTGTGGCTAGTTTTTTCAAGAGGCCAGAAATTTAAGCCCCTACTTTCTGGGTTAATTTTGGTTTTATTTATTTATCTTAATAAATACATTTTTAACTCAGGAACATAAATCTGATTATCTATTGACTCTAAAACTGGTGGTTTGGGGATTCCCAATATGTTTTCCAGGGGTTGAGATATCACAGTAGTAGAAATCATCCTCATCATTAGAGCACTCACTCAAAAATTCTGATTATGTGCCAGACATAGTCTAAGAGCTTTACATATGCTGTCTAACTTTATCTTCAGAATCCCTTATGAAGGAGCGTCTTTTGTTAGTCCCAATTTATATTTCTTAT
This sequence comes from Homo sapiens, assembly GCF_000001405.40. Lineage (NCBI taxonomy): Eukaryota > Metazoa > Chordata > Mammalia > Primates > Hominidae > Homo > Homo sapiens. Next base: position 76,887,082 of record NC_000009.12, read on the forward strand.
ATTGGGAAGAAACTAAAGCACAGAGAATTTAAAAGATCTTCCAGGCAGTCATATTCCATAAATGCTTCCCTGGTGACCTAAAGGAATTCACCTAGCTTCCCCAAACTCCTAACTTGGGACATAGATGCAGCCTGAAGTCATCCCAAATGAAAACAACCCCTGCTCAACCCTCATCTGAAGGCATAAGAGATGACTAAATAGCTACTGGAGATTTTCATTAATTGAAACTGTCCCCCAAATCTCCTATTTTTTAAGGTTTTTAATTGGTCACAATCTACCCATTGATATGGCCATCAACAGAATACAAGTGTGGTTCTGTTCAGTGTCCACCAGATGGTGAATGCTAGCTCTCACCACGTAGCAGATTGCAATATTACTTCTAATTATTAACTTTCCTTCCTGTAAATGACAATAATCCGTCCCTGCACGGTGCCATAAAACTTTCAGTGCCTGCCCATGGGCAGAGTATACTTCCCACCCCACTGCTATTGGGCTTGGCCATGTAACTTGCTTGCTGTGGCTGATGAAGAGAAAGTGGAAGTGGCTCATTCCATTTCTGAGCAGAAGCTTTAAGAACGATTACTGGAGCCTACCAACTCCCTAACTCTCTTCTTCTACCCATGAGAGCAGCATATCCCAGACAGCTGTTGCTCCTTTTGCCTACATTCCAGAATGCAGAAGGCACTTGGAGCCACAGCTAACCCTCAGCAACTTGTAACATGAGCAGGAAATAGACCTTTAATGCTGAAAGCCACCGACATTGGGGATTTTTGCTACCACGGCATAACCTAGTGAAAGACAGTTGATAAAGAACCGCACCTAAAATGATTCCTAAAACCTCTATGATGCCTGCTGACCATCCCCAAGCTAAACAAAGTTCCACAAACCACTCCGGGCTCCCCACTATGTTAAGAGAAACAGAATTCTGTGTTAAGGGAAAAGGAATAGAAAAGCACAAAAGGGCAGTAGGAAATGAAGCATGAACCAAAAACACATCAGAGAAGCACAGTGACTAAGCAACAGCCATGAACAAAGGAAGAAAGGCATGAATAATAAAGGAGGACCATAAATAACTAAGCACCACATGGAACCACGCACCACTAACAATAGGGCCGGTGGGGACAAGAAAGCAAACGCGAAGGCCATCCAGTCACAAGGACTTCTGGGAAGATGGCATCAAATAAAGAGAAGAAACATTTTAAATAATTTAGATATGGCTGGGCACGGTGGCTCACGCCTGTAATCCCAGCACCTTGGGAGGCCAAGGCAGGCAGATCACAGGGTCAAGAGATCAAGACCATCCTGGCCAACATGGTGAAACCTTGTCTTTACTAAAAATACAAAAATTAGCTGGGCGTGGTGGCGCAGGCCTGTAATCCCAGCTACTCAGGAGTCTGAGGCAGGAGAATTGCTTGAACCCGAGAGGTGGAGGTTGCAGTGAGCCGAGGTCGCACCACTGCACTTCAGCCTGGGTGACAGAGTGAGACTCCATCTCAATAATAATAATAATAACTATTATTATTATTATTATTTAGATAAAGAGAGAAAGAGACCAAAAGGTGTTGAGGGGAACTGTGAATGGTTTTGTCTTAAAAGAAAGAAAAGTTTCATTCCAACATTAAGTTTTCTGTAGGGCGAGTGGTGTGCTTTCCTCCTCCTGAGATCATTCAAAGAGCTCAGTCAGAAGCTCTGCACTCCCTAAAAGACTGCCAGTTCCTTCAGTTCTCTTCTACTTCTCCCTCCAGCCTGTTAATGTTTTTTGTTGTTGTTGTTGTTTTTGAGACGGAGTCGCGCTCTGTCACACAGGCTGAAGTGCAGTGGCATGATCTCCACTCACTTCAACCTCCGCCTCCCAGGTTCAAGCGATTCTCCTGCCTCAGCCTCTCAAGTAGCTGGAATTACAGGCATGTGTCACCACACCCAGCTAGTTTTTGTGTTTTTAGTAGAGACGGGGTTTCACCATGTTGGCCAGGCTGGTCTTGAACTCCTGAACTCCTGACCTCAGGTGATCCACCCACCTCAGCCTCCCAAAGTGCTGGGATTTCAGGCATGACCCCACCGTGCCCGGTCGTTTTAACGTATTTATGGTCCTTCCTTGCTGCCAGGCACTGTGAAGTCACAAGGCCCTGTGTTTTGTATGAGAAAAGCATAAGGGATATGAAGAAATTTTAATACATATTAGAAATATGTATTGCATGCAGGGCCTGTTTTATGGGTCATTAGAACCCATGGCTCTCTGCATGGTGGCGTGACTGCAGATTTTTTTTTTTGAGACAGAGTTTAGGCTGGAGTGCAGTGGTATGATCTTGGCTCACTACAACCTCGACCTCCTAGGCTCAAGCAATCCTCTTGCCTCAGCCCCCCAAGTAGCTGAGACTACAGGTGCACACCACTAAGCCCAGCTACTTTTTGATTTTTAGTAGAAACGAGGTCTCGCTAAGTTGACCTGGCTGGTCTCAAACTCCTGTGCTCCAGTGATCTTCCCGCCTCAGCCTCCCGAAGTGTTGGGATTACAGGTGTGACCCACCTCGTCTGGCCAAAAAGATTCTTTTTTCCTCCCAAACCAATGATCTTACCTGAAATACAGTAGCAACAGACGCGGCACATCAGGCGTCTCACCACAATGTGATTGCAGCAAGGCCACACCTCCTCGGGGGGAAGCATGCCACTTCCACTGCAGGGCACCTTCTCCCAGCTGTGCAGCCCCCTCAGATTCTAATGCACCGCTCCTGCCTCCTGGCTCATCAATGCTCTGGACACTCACTACTCAGATTTGTGGGCTCTGGGGGACAGCAGCATTGCCATCTCCTGAGAGCCTGTTAGAAGTGCAAAATCCCGGGTTCTACCCCAAAGTGTACTGAATCAGAGTCCGCCTTTCAGCGAGATTCCCAGGTGACTCCAATAGGCATTAAAGTTTAAAGAGCGCTGCCGGAATGACCACTCTTCCTGAAGTAAGTATATTATGTCCCTGCAGTCTGTTGAAGTGGAAATATAAGCTAAGACTCTCAGGAATGGCATACCAGAAATTTAGCTCCAACATTCATTAGTTGTGTTCCCTAGAGCAAGTTACTTGACCTCTTTGAGCCTCAGTTTCCAGCTCTGCAAACTGGGCATAATGATGCCTGTCTCAGAGGATGACGGTGAAGGTCAAATAACATATGTAGCTGCACAGAAAACACTGATAGATGTTAACTCCCTGGCATGCTGACCAAGAGCAGGCTATGCTGAAGGGGGAGTGATAAGGATAAGAAGTGGTGTAAAGATATTTTGAGGAAATGGGGACAGGAGAGGAGACCCAGCATGGGATACCAGTCATGGTGAGATACTAGCTTAATTTGACTGCTCTTATCTGGCCCTCAATGCTTTCTGCTCTGTCTTTAAAATAAAGCAGAAGTATATTCAGAAAGGAGTTGGACAACTAAAAATTGGGGCATGCAAGGATTTACTTCCAGGACCCCCTGCCCCACAGCATGCTAATTATTTAGCAGGTGTGCACGATTTAACAACTATGCAGATCACATCAGTCTCTCAGAGTCAGTGATTCCACTCCCACCCAACATTTACAAGGAAATATCATCCCAAGTCTACTTCCCTCGGCATATACCGAAGCCTCCCAACACGGGGTCTGTAAAGGAATTATCATACTGTACACAAATCATCCAATTAGACAACAGACTTCTCTAAAAAAAAAATCATATTAAGTTTTCAGGGCAAGTATCAACCCAAAATTCTCACCAATACAGAATTACAAGTCCAAACTAACCTTGACTTCCAGCTGCCTAGATTTTCTTTCAATTATGTTTGCGGTTTTCTTTATTCACCAGCGTGAATTAATCAAATGCTTAAGAAAGATTGGAAAACACAGGCAACCCAGGACCACTCACCAGAGGCCAATGCATCTGATGCATCTTCATCTTTGCGCATATTGGCTTTAGCAATCATGTTGCCTTTGTCATGCTATGGTGATACAAAAGATTGGTAGGGAGATCTATGTGCTTCTTAGAGTTTTGAAAGAGCGGAATTTAGCTTCAGTGATATCAAACTGCACTAAACGAAAATTACTCCCCATTGCATCAGTGTGGGATGCATTTAGGCTTTTGGGCAGTTAATGAATATGATCCAAATGAAGAAACAGCTGAGAATGAGGAGGTTGGAAGAGAGAATTTGACAGAATTACACCTGCTCTGTAGCAGGGAAAGAGTTGATGTTATAGGCAATTAAACTTCTTTCCCACATTACAGAGAACTCTCAGCTGAAATGACTATAAGTGACATCCAGTCACCTGTTGTCCCATTACAGGCATGTCAGGTGATGCCCACAGGCCCTCCAGAGACCCTGCCTCTCAGGTGCCTTCTTTCCATTACAGGTGACACTTAGTCTCCAGAGCCTGTTGGGCTCAGCATGTTTCCACCAGTGACACATTCATTAATCTCACAGTTGCATACTGTACATCAGAGTCCATCACACGAAACTCCAAAGCTTGATGCGTATGTTTTCCTGTGTCAAAGAAAAGCGGCATCAGGATGAATAGATTTCACCGTTGAATAGCCTCCTCTCAGAAAAGTGCCCTGTATTTTCACTCGGACATTTTCTTTTATGTAGATGAATCCAAACCACTATGCTCTCAATGAGACCTTCAAACTATCTTTTGAAAACACAGATCAATTTTTCTTCGCACAGATGCTGGGAATTAGAAGACAGAGAATCTACGCCCACCTCTGCCACTTACTGGCTGTGTGTCTCTGGGCAAGGCTGGACTTAACCTCTCTGGCCTTGTTCTTTTCATTTGTGACATAAATATAATAACATGAACCCTCCTCAAGGTTAATCAAATGAGATCAAGTAGGTGACAACAGTTATGAAGGGCAACACTGTGCTCCGAGTGACCACACCGAGCAGAGCAGCAATAGCTTTACTGTTCCATAAGGCTCAATCTTTTTGAAATAATTGAGAGAGGAAGTGAAAAGACAAAGAGAAAGTAGCCCCCCCAGCCAGATTCTACCTACTGGTCTCATTAGCAGAGTTGTAACTGGTGTGGCACAGTTTCTGTTACGCTTGTCTCAACTCAGCAGGCAGGCCACTTCAGGTTATTTGCTCAGATCCACAATGTATACCATCAGGACACCATTCTCCCTCATACTGCACAAATTCTCTAACGTGTCGGGGTGTAGACTTCAGGGTCAAGAGACCTCAAATCTATGTCTGACTCTGTCACAATGTACTGTGGGACTAGTTAACCTCTCTGAGTCTTGAAATTTGGGAAGAGTTCACCCAGAAGTCAATTTAAAAAGATGTATAAAGAAGCTTAAGAATATTAATATCTTTTTCCCTAATCATTGCATACTGGAAAGCCAGTTTAAAGACATAATTCTAAACAGGAGAAAATGTTTTTATGTGCAAAGATGTTTGTCGTAGTAATTAACAATAGCAAAAAGGAGGGACAATGAAAAGGTTTAACCTCAGTAGGTCTTCTTTATTAAACTGTGCTCCATTATTTAAGATGTTGATTTTGAATACTATGTAATAACTTAGGAAAATAATAAATAATGTTAAGTAAAATAAAAATTGGGGTTGCAAGATATACAAATATCTTAAGTCCTGTGCACAAGGAAGAAAGACTGAGAAAACTACTTGCCAAACTATCACGAAAGGTCATGCTTCAATGAAAGTGGGTGATTTTATTTTTAGTTTTAATTTTTTCTTTTTATGGGTAATTTTTCAGCTTTCCTCTATTTGCCAAATATACCTTATTGCTTGTTTATTATTTTACAAAGAAACTGAGCCTGAAATATAATATGAGGAAACTGAAATAGATGTCTAAAGTCATCTGTTTCAATGCTAAAAATCTGTGATTAGGCTGGGCACAGTGGCTCACACCTCTAATTTCAACATTTTGAGAGGCCTAGGCAGAAGGATCACTTGAGATCCTTCATGACAAAGAACATGACAAAAGTTCGAGACGAGCCTGGGCAACATAATGAGACCTTGTCTCTACAAAATAAAAAACAAAACGTTAGCCAAGGCTTGGTGGCACATGCCTGTAGTCGTAGCTACTTGGGAGGCTGAGGTGGGAGCATCGCTTGAGCCTACAAGTTCAAGGGTTCAGTGAGCCATGATCTTGCCACTGCACTCCAGCCTGCGTAACAGAAGGAGACCCTGGTTCTAAAAACAAAACAAACAACAATAACAAAAAACCCCTATGATTCTATAGTAGTTTCCAGTGTAAAGGTCTGTGATTCTATAATTGTTAAAATAACTCACAGTTACACAACGAGAAATCGTAAATAAAAGATGATGGCCACAGAATGCTGTACTTAAACACAAGGAACCCTGATGGCTGTTTTCCACAGCCCTCCCTGAAGTGATGGGTCAGAGTGTACCCAGGGTGACATGGTGATCAGGGTGGCTGAATATAAATCCTGCTGAAAGCAGAAGTCCAACAAAGGGGCCAATTGTAACAAGTGTGGCTCAGTGTTTATGAGATTCATCAGAGCCATCTACGTAAATGCCAGCCTATGAAACCCTTTGTGTATGAATTGATTTGTACAGAGATGTTGCGCTTGGTCAGGAGGCTATTTTGGCATGAAAGAATTCCACAGAAGTGAGAAATGCATTTGTTCCCCATAAGGCTCAAAGTGATCTAATGGCTTAGAGGGATAATGAATTTTTCAAAACATTTTAAAAGCCAGCTCTGGGATGGCATTTTGATCTGCATCCACCACAGTGAGTTTATGTCTGGGTTTTCTGGAGACTGGAGCCAAGAGTAATGACACTTCAGGCCACGGTCCAGGGGTATCAGCCAAGTGGCAAGCACATGATCAGTCACAGGGCCACGAAAATTGCTTTGCTTCATGGATGGCTTTATTTTAGGGTCTTGCAAAGCAGATTCATAATTAAACAATAGAAGAAAGATTCACCTAGGGAATAAAATGTCTCCCTCTTGTTTATCTTTTTCTGTGACCTATATACATTTCTTAAGACCATGCTTGCAATTTGCCCACCATCTAAAGAGAAAAAACGAGTTCTCTCAATGATCTTGGTAAACACTCAAAAGATAAAACAAAACCTGAATCAAAGTTGTAAATTAATCCACAAGAATCGGCTAAAAGACTGCCCACCCTTCCTTGCAAGAATCCAGTCCTCCAAAAGGAAGCAGCTCCAGAAGTCTCTTTATACTGTAGCCAATGAAGGATGAGAGAATCATACCCCATAGTTTGACCAGGAGGTGTCGCATGAAAAACAAACCAGCTTGCTAAGGGCCAAGGGACATATTTAACTGTAAAGAATCAAGAATGGGGGACAGAACGGGATTTGCCCCTTCTTGCCTCCTTGGAGAGAGGACCAGGGACACTGCCTTCTCAGGGAGCAGCCAGGCACGTGTCCTGTCCTCTCAGACATACCCGTGGCAGGGAGCAGCTGATCTGTCCACATGCTGTGACATTTCTATCTTCTCAGAGCCAGGTGCCGGTCTGGCCAGCACCACTGACCACTTGTTACAGAAAATGTGTCTGAGGAATGTAAAGAGGATCAAAATGCTTCTGCCTCCAGGATGATCTTCTGCCTCTGCTGTTGCTGGAGAGGAGGAAGCCAACATGCACTTTTCTCTTTTTGCACCCTTTCATTAATTTTCTGCAGCAAAAAAAAAAAAAAAGGACCAGCCAGGTACGGTGGCTCACACCTGTAATCCCAGCACTTTGGGAGGCTGAGGTGGGTGGATCACCTGAGGTCAGGAGTTCGAGATCAGCCTGTCCAACATGATGAAACCCCGTCTCTGCTAAAGACACGCACACAAAAATTAGCTGGGCGTGATGGCGCTTGCCTGTAATCCCAGCTACTCAGGAGGTTGAGGCAGGAGAATCTCTTGAACCAGGGAGGTAGAGGTTGCAGTGAGCCAAGATGGCTCCATTGCACTCCAGCCTAGCAACAGAGCAAGACTCCGTCTCAAAAAATAAAAAAAAGGGACCTTAATGAATGGGCTTCCTTAAGAGGGAGAAAAAAAAAGCCACTCATCCTAAAAGTCCTGTTTTTTCAACTGAGGGGAAGAAATAATTTCCATGGGTGGAAACTCTTCCATAAGAACCTTTCAAAGAATTGCAAGGCCATCAGCAGTCTTCTGGTCCCTCACGGGCTTTTCTCAGGGACCTTATTTTATACCTCTGTGGTCATTGCTGTGCCTCCTCTGGAGTCAAGAACCAGATTTAGTTCTCCACTGAGAATGGGAGTGGGGCGCCAGGCTGCTCACATCTTGTACGTGCTGAGGCCTATTTATGCCTCCCCACATCAGACTCACATTTTTGCACCATCACCTTCCATCCTGACTCATGATCACTTGTTATAAACCATGACGTTTCACATATCTGGCTACACTCAAGAACAAGGTCTCCTATGCAAGAGGCTTTGTCAGACAACCGAAGCCTACCCTGCAAGCCACAACTTCTTTTCTATTTTTTTCTATGTTAATTATCTGAGTGGGAAATTTTTCTGAAATCGCTTATGCACCACACCTTTCTTCTTAAACAGGACACTAAATTTAAATGATCTTTTCCCCCTGATTCTTTAGGGTCATTACTATGAGCATCAGATATGTACTTTATGTCAGTGATGTTATGTCTGCCAAGGGCTGTGCAGATATTTGGGATTATTTACCTGACACCAAATGGAATGACACTTACTGGGGGCCCAGATCTGCCTCTATTTTATTTATTTATTTATTTATTTTTGAGACAGAGTCTAGCTCTGTCACCCAGGCTGGAGTGCAGTGGCACCATCTTGGCTCACTGCAACCTCTGCCTCCCGGGTTCAAGTGATTCTCCTGCCTCAGCCTCCTGAGTAGCTGGGACTACAGGTGTGTGCCACCACTAATTTTTGTATTTTTAGTAGAGATGGGGTTTCACCATGTTGGTCAGGCTGGTCTTGAATTCCTGGCCTCAAGATCTGCCCACCTCTGCCTCCCAAAGTGCTGGGATTATTGGCATGAGCCACCACGCCTGCCATCAGGTCTGCTTCTTATAGGTCCTGTTTGATTTTGGTTTTGTTTGTGTAGTTTCCCCATCGTAAGTCATCATCTATTACAGCCTCTGGCAGCCACCTCCCTTTCCATCATCCCCTTCTGAGAAAACAAGGTTGGTGAACACTGTGTCAAAGTGCACATTAAATAATAACCTCAATGATGGTAGCTAGCATTCATGTGTTTTGCTATGCTCCCAGCATTTCTGTGAATGATTTACAAGTATCATCTCGCAAATAGCCTCAGAGATTGCACTTAGGGAATTTTCCTGTGAGAAAAGAACTAACTGATGATAGGTTTTCAATAATCAACTTTAGTTGCCTTTGCCCAATTCCTAGTTTTGGGGTAACTTTGGGTTGGCTGATGTGCCAGGGAAGTGACCGTGGACATAAGAACTGTTGCACTTACAACGCATCCTGTCCTGAATTGTGGAAGGATGTTCATACTTGCTTCCTTCTTGAATCCTTTCATCGCTTTCTTTTCTCCTATTTCCCCTCCAATTCTGCCTCCACCTTCCTTCTTTCCTTTCTTCCCCTTTCCTTCACTTCTGTGTGTATCGTGAGCATAATCAACAGTTTTCTGGGGCGCTGCTAAACCAGCAGACTGGAGAGCCAAAGTGGACTTGACACAACCGAGAGCTGTGTTCTAACCCTGGATCTTCTCCTGCCTAGACCCCCTGACATCGGTCAATCCATCAAAGTGGTATTTAAGGCCACCAATAAGAGAGTGGCAACAGTGAAGAAACTACAAAACCAAATAACCTTGGTGGCAAATAAGAGGCATTTAAACTCTTTTAAAAATGCATTCTTGTTCTTAACATTTCACCAAATGATGCCCATAACATTTCTAATTACTCTAAAAGCTAATCACACACATTCTCCTCCCAATCGTTTATCAGTTAATTTTCTTTCAAATGGGCATGCAGTGAGAACAATCTCACAATGTATTCAACCAAATCTCAGATGGCCTAACACCATGTTTTTCTCATAGCAGGATTTCAGTAACATTGGTTGATATTCTGTTGTCCAAAAGATTTTAACATAAAACAAGCAACACAGAAGAATGAACCCCTCTTGGGTCAGCGTGAACAATATATGTGCAATTTCACTAACTTACCACTCAGCCCTCCTATAAACTTGTCAAGCTGTTCACTTTTAATTTAACAAGAATGAAATGTTCCAGGAGATCTTGGGGGAAGAGGTGCTTATGGTATGAGGAAGAAGGTCCTAGAATTGAAGTCAGGTGATCCGGAAGCAAACTCCAGCTCTACTCTTTGTGGCTATGCAACCTTAGGCAAACCTCTTTTTTTTTTTTTTTTTTTTTTTTTTTTTTTTTTTTTGAGATGGAGTCTCGCTCTGTCATCCAGTCTGGAAGGAGTGCAGAGGCATGATCTCGGCTCACTGCAACCTCCACCTCCCTGGTTCAAGCAATTCCCCTGCCTCAGCCTCCCAAGTAGCTGGGATTATAGATGCACACCACCACGCCCAGTTAATTTTTTTGTATTTTTAGTAGAGATGGGGTTTCACCGTGTTGGCTGGACTGGTCTGGAACTCCTGACCTCAGGCAATCTGCCTGCCTGGGACTTCCAAAGTGCTAGGATTACAGGCATGAGCCACTGCACCTGGCCTGGGCAAACCTCTTAACCTCACTGAGCCTCAGTTTTGGCAACTGCAAAAGGAGATTAGTACCTACCTTACAAGACCATTGTGGGAGTTAAATCAAATTTTAAAAGTATCTCTTAGAGCTAAGACAGATATTCCACAAATTCTAACTGAATTGCAAGACAGCTAAGAATTGTTCCTGTTTCTGTGAAATGTAAATAGGGCTTCCTGGCTCTTGTTTGCTAGTGGCCTTTTCATGTTTTTATTACTGTGCCTGGAGATCACGTCCTCGTCTCAGGGCATACACACATGCAGCAGCCCTGTGAGGCCAGTGCTACTACTGTTCTCATTTACAGATGATGAAACTGAGACCCGGGGAGGCTAAGAAACTAAGATTGTGTGACTAGCAAGTAAAAGTGGCGGGGTTAGGATTTGAAATCAGGCACTGGCTCCACATGATTAGCCGCCCGGCTGTACTGCCTTTAGGGGGCAAGAAGTGGGAAGGAGGACAAAAGTCCTTCTAAGGGTCTCCTAAATCCACAACTCATACTCTAGGAAAATCTCCCAGGATCTGATTTAGGGCAGGCAGCCTCTGCCAGGGACTGCCTCACAGTTCCCCATTTATGGGCTCAGATATAAGGAAGTGTGGCTATTGCTGCTCTCAGGGAGGTCAGCAATCATCAAGGATGGGAACACAGACAATCTTTGGACTGTGTTGATGTTTCCTTTCAGCTACTTATTCTGAAGTCCCACACTATATTCTCCATTACTACAAAAAGCTAATTCTCAAATTTGAGTAGATGAACCCTGAATTAGGCCAGACTGGTCACCAATATATACTCAAGATCATATATATTATTATAAGATGTATTTATTTATTCTTGACAGTAACCAAAAGGATAACCTACTTATAATAAAAGTGCATATACATTAAAGTAAAAAAATTAAAACAACTATAATGAGATTAAAACTAAGTAGTAACAATTAAAAAAACAAAACAAAAAAAACCTTAGTTCGGAAATCCTAGGCTAAGAAAATGAAGCACCAACATAGCTTTAAGCTTCTGGGAAGCCAAAGCAAGAAATATCAAATGCATGGAGCCAAAGATATGCAATTTTCCTAGACATCATCAGTTCAAAAAGACTCTGGCATTACAGGCTAAAACAAATAACCTGGGAAGGTCTGGTCACATCCAGGAGAGTTAGATGAAGTGGAAGACCATGATCACGCTCCACCACAAACAGTCCCACTAGTTGGACGAGAGGTCTGACTCAGGATCATGCATGGGTTTACCCCACACATGAGGTCTGCAGTGCCAGGGCTGGACAGGAAGTCTGGAATGCCTAATCTTTTCTCTCAAGGACTCTGAACAGCTTCCCTGCCAATCTCTCTCATGATATTAGCACTGGTCAAGGGGCAGCAAGAGACTAGGCTGGGCTGACTTGGTACAGTGGTTGGCCTTGGGGGAGCCCAACTTCTAGTCTTTGAGCCACATGGAGGAGAACCTACGGTTCCAATGGTTCCACTGTTGGCTGATCTACCCAATGCAGTTTTGCAGAGGCTTTTAGTGCCCCATTCCTCTCCTCTGCCTCTCTCCATTCATGCTTTAGTTCAACCAATATTTATAGATCCCAAGCAGTCATGCATAAAAATTAGATTTTTATTTTGTCTTAACACTTTGTATTAAGTACTTACTGTGTATGAAGTACAATATGGTGCTCCTTGACTTTAGTGTCCTTCACCTTCTTCTAGCAAACAAATATGGCTTCCTGCCTCCTGACAATAGCCTTTCTTCAGATTCAGACCTCCAAAAATCTAAACCTGGCCCTCCGTTTATTTATTTTTATTGAGCCACTACAAAGTGTCATGCTTTGTGCAGGACTCTTGCCTTTAGGGTTTATTAATTCTAAAACCACTCTTTGAGCATCAGGTACTGCACCAGAACCGGGAGATACAATGGTGAGCAAAATGATACAGACCCTGGTCCCTACTCTCACCAAACTGGCATTAATCGAACAAACATGCCCAATAGAGATATAATGACAAGCGGAAATAAGTGATCTAAAGAATTACCAAAATACCTGACTTAGACTCAAGAAGCAGGTGAGGGGGCTCACTTAGAAGAGTCTTTTCTTTGTCTAACCTAAGAGGCAGGAATTATTTAAGCCAAGGAGAGCTGGAGGAAAAGCCAGAAAGAAGCTGGATAGCAGATCAGGTCATACGAAAAGTGTGTCCATTCTCCTAAGAACAATGGAAAGTGATGAGGAGGTTTTAAGGGAGGGGTAGGAAAGGTGTGAAAGATGCTCTCAAAATGATCTCCCTGGAAGCAGGGTGAAAGCAGTTTGCCAGCCATTGTGGTCATCTGGGTGACTTAAGGATAGGGTGGGTTAGGGAAGAGATGAAGGAAAAGGAAGTTTTCAGCTGGAGAAACTGGATGAATCACAATGCCATTCACTAAGACAAGGAAGTACAGAAGAGGACGGGCTTGGAGGCAAGTGGAAAGACCCACCATTGTTCCAGGTTCTGTGCTAAGGGCTATGAATACATCATTTTGGCTTTGCAACAAACATGCAAAGTAGGCATCACTTATTCCATTTTTCAGATTAAGAAACCAAAGCTGTGTTTATCAGCTTGATTATTCTAACCCAAACTTTGTGGGTCTGATTTTCCAGGGTGATCTAGAGCCCACTAGTCTCATAAGAGCTCTGAAGAAGAAAGACTTCCTTTCCCTGGAAACCAAAGTCCAAAGCCACAGGGCTCAGAAAGAAATGGATTTGGGACAACGCTAGAGATTTTGAGTACGCTAATTTGAGACCCCTAACAGGGTAGCCACGAATGACTGTGCAGGTTGTGTACTATACAAACTCAGAGGGCACTGTTCATATCACCGTCCATAGGAATGCTGCCTCCTGAATACATCAGCCCTCCCCAGTTTCCTTTCAAGAAGACTTCAAACTCCAGGACTCTCCCATAATCCCCAAGGTTCAAGAAAAATCAGTAACTAACGTTGCATCCCCTCTCTCTGGTCCCCTGATATTGTTTCCTCTTTTGCAGCCTTTATCCAGATCCAAGTATTCTTCCCTCATTCTTCTCACTGCTCAGGTAACATTCACGGAGGGGTAGGTTCCCTCTACCCCCTCCCTGGAGGAATAATGCCTCCATCACCAAGCCATTGCTTACAGGAGCTCCCCAGACCAGTTTACCAAACTCAAAATTATGTTAATATCTGCCCAAATAAATGTTACACAGAAACAAACTGGTTATACCAAAGCCATCAGCTGTTTACTTAGTTGACAAAATAGTCCCCATATCACTGCCTAAAGGGTGACCTTGCTCACCTGATCCCATGTCCTCCAAGACCCAAGGTGCTGTCTGAATCACAGGGAGCACCTCTCTTCCTTTGCGACAGACTGATCCACTTGAAGATCTGTTTACACTAAAAAAGTATGGCTCTTCTCCAAAGGTCCCAGGACTGGGACAATCCGCAGCTGTTCATCTGAATGATCTGGCAGTGAGAAATGAAGCTAACTCCAGGACCAAAAAAATCAAGGGTTCATTCCTCATCAGCCCCTAAGCAAGGGGTATCACATTCACGGGAAGTGCTTTGGATTCCTGAGTTTCCTGCTCATAAATGCTCTGGCAAGAGGCATGGTCTCAAGAGCACCTGCCCTGGTTTGCAATGGGGCAGGAGCTGATCCCATGGTCTCTGATCAGAATAAGCTCAGCTCCTGAAATGAAACAGCTCTGCCAGCTTCTTCATCATTACTAGTCCTTACCACAGCAGCCCTTTAAAAGGTATGAAGCATTCACTTTAAATATCCTTTTTATTGATACGCGGAACTTTCTTCCCATGCAAGAGGAAATCAGGAAGAATATATGCCTTCAATTTCCAATCAAGTTGATTATTCTGCAGACATGCTGCCGTCTTTCTTTCTTTTTAAAACCCCATCTCCTGTAATCACTCTAATGCAGTTGTTCATTTAGAGTTTTGAATGTACTTTCTTGTCCCTATGGCACATATCACAGAGTATGAGCTGACATTCAAGTCACCTAGAATTTTTCTTCTGTAGAAGTCCACATATCAACTAATACCTACTGCAGAAATGAGCCCTTCTTCCACAGCTGTCACTGCTGAAGTAGCAGATGCATCCCCTGGACTGCAGTAGTGACTGTCCACCTTCTTGTTGAAAACAGCATTCCTGGGACACTGATGTGCCCTGTATCTTGCTGGTGACAGCTGACAACATCCCCACCCCCGCCACCCAAGGCTGGCTCCTGACCTACATCATAGGGCATGAGGGCTGCGGTGATCTCCACCCATTAACAGCTGCTTGAGTTGCATCACCTGGGGGGGTCTGGGCAGTGAGGGAGGCTCAGCAGCAGAGGCCCAGTGTGGGGAGCCTGGCTTCCTGCCAGCCAGAGCCTCAGAACTCTCTACCCATCCCCAGATGATTCCTCATGTACTTCATTTTTTCCCCCCAAACTTCATGGGAACATGGACCATTTACTGCCATGAGACTGTCCTTGTCCTGAATACTTTCCTGAGCTGACCACTATGAAGTTGAGGGTCATTTCCCAAATCACAGCATAGAGCAGGGAGCCCTCATTCCCTACACTCCTTCAACTTCTCTTACCATAGAAATGATGTAACTAAGAACAGAAAGCATGGCTAAAACTTAAGGACTGATCTGGAATATAGGATTTGATTTCTGCAACTCTGAATGGGCAGGAGAAAAAAGAAAATACGTTTGCACTCTCTCTAGTTTTGGTAGTAAGTATCCAGACCAAAAATATGGCTGGGTTCTCACATCAAGGAAGTGATTTCAACTAGGAAGCGCCACTCTTTGATTACGATCTCAAGCTTGCGGGGCTTGCTCTCAGATTGCTTATCCTACTGTTATTATTGCTTTAACAATCCTCGTGTCAATTCCATATGTGTCATTCCTTGTTTGTCTAGAAGGGAGCATTTCTGGAGACTGCTTGGAAGAAGTAACTACCTCCCTAGCCGTGCCCCACCTCCAACCAAGTTTTTCACAAATATGCTCCAGCCCCCAGCCTGTCCTAACCAGGCAGAAGTCAGGCCCACATGAGAAGCATTTGAGCCCCAGGAGGAGGGATGCCTCTGAGGCCACACCTGGAGTTTACTTTTGCCATTTCTGATAAATACTGAGTATTCTCAGGAGGGAGGGAAAGGTATTAGAAAGGGAGATTTAGGGAAAAGGAGGATGGGATTATGTCAGTGAATCTGCCTCAATTTAAAGAGTAGTAGGGCCAGACTGGGATTAAAAATAGAATTGAGAGTGATCTCCTAACTTATTGGAAATCAGCTCCAAACTACCTGATAAAAATTCAAAATATCCTTTTCTTTCAAAGACTTCTGTTCAACCTAGGGGCCTGGCCTAGAATAGCAGAGTTTCCTCTCTCCTTACAATGACAGATGAATAATAAATGTTCCCAGTCAGAAAAAAAGACACACAATTTTTCCAACATTTTGATTATTGGAGATTATATCTATGGCTAATAGCAATTCCATTTTGCAATTTAAAGTTCTTTTTGCCTATTGGAATTAGCTAGCCCCAATGATGATGAGGTTATGTTAGGACTTTGGAGGAGTCATTAACTATTTCAAACCATTAAAAAATATATATAATGCCCACAGAATAACAAAGCAATTAAGCCAAATAGGAAAAAAAAAAACCAAACTAGTAATTAGGCTTTTTTGTTTGTTTGTTTAGGTATCATATAGCTAAACTTCTAAAGAAAAACATTTAAAACATAGCTCCTACATTCTAATTCTGGTCTAATAAGGCTTAAGTAAAAATCAGCATGGTAAATTTCTTCACCTTAAAATGTTTTCCAAAGGATTGGCTGAATTTTTAAAAATCTTACTATTTTATTTTATTTTATTTTATTTTTGAGACTGAGTCTCGCTCTGTTGCCCAGGCTGGAGTGCAGTGGCACAATCTCGACTCACTGCAACCTCCGCCTCCGAGGTTCAAGTGATTCTCCTGCCTCTGCCCCCCTAGTAGCTGGGATTACAGGCACACGCCACCATGCCTGGCTAACTTTTGTACTTTTAGTAGAGATGAGGTTTCACCATGTTGGCCAGGCTGGTTTCGAACTCCTGACCTCAGGTGATCCACCCGCCTCAGCCTCCCAAAGTGCTGGGATTACAGGCGTGAGCCACCACACCCGGCCAAATCTTACCTTTTTATTATAAATAAATTTCCCACAAGTGAATGACATTGACTTAATTCTTTTTCTCCAAGAAAAAGGTTATCTACCCTCTAAAGGAGAATGTTATCTACTACTATATTTGAGTGTCATACATTAAGTAAAAATCTTATTACCTAGAAAATGTAACTTCTCAGGAAAATATGACACTAAAAGTGACCAACACACCTTTGCTGTGGCTGGATGTGAAAGGTTAATCATGATTTCTAGAAGAAGCTTATTCCAAGAAACGATAAAATTAGCAGTAATTGTTCTGGCTAAGACATGAAACTGGTAACAATATTTCAAACAACCGCTTCTCTTTCCTGTCCTTTTTTTTTTAATGATGTAGAGCAATTGCTCGTCTAATGAAGGGTAAATAAATTACAGATTACTTTCAACTCATTACTCGGAAATAGGGAAACTTCCATTCCAGCAACTGCTCCTCAGAATTGAGACAAACCTCTTGCTCATATCAGACCCCACAGTCTAAATGTTTATTGTGAAAATATTGATAAATAAATGTTATGGGAGTGAAAAACAGATACAGCCCAGAACTCTGTGTTTGTCATTGATTACCATTTTCATACACACACACGCACAGTTGCCAAAATTGTCTTTCATTTTTGAACATTTCTCCTTCATTACTAGGTAAAGAACAGAACATGTACTTATACTATCAGAAATGCCAAATACTTACTTGAGTTTCTGAAATTAGTATTTTCATCCATGTGCTCTAGTAAAACTATAAAAGGGTCAATAAACACAGAGATGATCACAAACTTCCTCAACTCGGAAATCTCCACAAACGTTCAACTCTCTGGGAGGTTTCAGGTAGAAAGTTTTATATAAGCACTTATCAACTTTAATGGTCTTTTACAAGATAGTTACAGTTAGACCATTGTAAGGATCACACTTCCGTCTGCACTCTGAATGGTGGTTCAGGCATCTTTGGGCCCTCCCTTCCTGCACTCCCTTTGTTGTGCGAGGGTAAATGAGTTACAGTAATAACCCTGCAAATATCCTGCCTTGTGATTAAAACATTACCTTAATGCAGACTTTACATTTTGGCTTCTATGAAGGCTTAAAGGTTAAAGGCATCATAAATTATGCATTTCTTTCTATGCCAGGCCTGTAAAAGGTGCTTTTACAGTTCTTTAAAGATATTGCTTCTAAATGAGTACAGGCTTTTCTTTTTTTTTCTGCCAAAACAGAAACATTTCCATTATGTTTATTACTGCTGTGCTGGAGAGCCAAAACAGTTTGGAATTAAGAAACTGCTAGAGTCTGTTGTTTCAGAATGTGTAGCAACTGTTAACATACACAGTGGAGTTGCCCATTCACTGTTTGGACAGTGATATGGTAAACATGGGCTAACACACAGGTCTGCTCCCGGGAGAACGATGATCTGGTAAACTCCAGAACACCAACAGTTAGAGCTTTCCCCTTCTGCCTCCGCCCCAATTTACAGATGTGAACAGGAATTAGCGAGACACAAGACACACTAGAATATCCCTAACTCCTGCAGTGGAGCAAGCTCTATTCTGTGGATTCTCCAGTACCACACATGTCCTTGCTACCCAGCACCCTGACTTCCTCACTTTTGTCACCTCCAGCTGAAGTACAGTTCTAAGGGTCTCTTTTTTTCCTTTTACACTTACACGTAATGCATCTGCAGAAGGCTGGGCTCTTTATCTCAAGGAAGACCACACCCATTTATCCCTTAGCTTTCAGGAGCAAACTGCTGATTTAGGGACCGAAGCTGGACTGAAGCGACCCAACTTCAGCCAGGCCACAACCTCCTTCAGCTCTGCACCTCGTCTGGTTGCGGTGGAGGATTCTGGAGACAGATTGCCAGCTTTAAGAGCCAGAGTTCCTGAGATTTCTTCCAGGAGACAACCCGCACACCCTGATAACTCCGTGGCAAAGTTGTTTCTTCCTCCTCTGCTGCAACACCTTTTCCTCTCCACCTTTCCATTAGCATACGCGCGCGCGCACACACACAGCTTTGCTCACTCAACTTACCAGTTTAGATTTGGCGCGTTGCAAAAATTCTTCCATGTCGTGGCTAGGGGTTTGGAACCCGGGTACTCGGAGGGGCGCAGTGGAAAATCTCGGCCCAAGGAAGACGAGCGGGGTCCCGGGAAAGTGGCCCGCCGGGGCGCAGCGACCGACTGCTCCCTCCTGCCGCTCTGAGGCGGCTGCGGCGGAGGCTGTGCTTGCGCCCTCGACCGTCTCGCCCAGGGCTCCCCGCCCCACCCCTCGCCCGGCCGCCGGCTCTGGGCACCCGACTCTGCCCTAATAAGGAAAGTGGGTGTGCCGCCCAGGAGCCCCGGGGCGCGCCGGGCACGCTCTCTGGCACGCGCCTCGGGCGCCGTGGCGCGTGGGCGGAGGTGCAGGGGTATGGCGAGGGGCTCCTCCGCCAATCGCAGGGCCGTGCTGCGGCCTCCTGACGTGGCGCGCCGAAAGCTGCTGCAACCATGGACAGCGCCCAGAAGTGCGAGCCAAGTGCAAGGGGCTGCTGCAGAGGGAGGCTCTGCCGCAGGCACCGCCGCGGTCAGCGGGGGAAGGTGGGAAGAGGGAGACGGGTCCCAGGAGAGCCCCCGCCTCGCCCAGCGCCTCACTGGCTGGCTGGCGCGTTACGGAGCACTCCGGCGGTCACTTAATGATCTGGTCGGCTGGCCTGGCCGGGGGAGGCACTCAGCTAGATTGGCGTGGGAGGGACGAGGAGAGAAAGAGGGGAGTTACTGCTGAGCTAAAAGCAGTACGACCTTGATGGATAATAATCAGAAGAGCAGGCTAGGAGGTTGGGCGAGGCTGCGTCTTTCCTCCCTACCATGAAAACATGTCCACACAACAATGGGCATCCACAGTTCACCCCAACTAGGTGCCCTTATGTCAGCCCTGGGACTAATGCATAGATACATCCTTCTGCAGTTCCCATCCACTGACATGTACCCTCAGGGAAAGCTGGGGCAATAGAACCTTGCTAAGGTGAGGTGCAGTCTGCAGACCGGCAACATCAGCATCGCTGATCTTATAGAAATGCAGAACCTCAGTCCCCTGCTCCTACTTACCAAATCAGAATCTGTGTGTTTCTATGAGACCCTCAGATGATTTCTATGCTTGTTAAAGTTTAAGAAGTACTACAATGAACAAATGAACTTATATCTACAAACCTTATTTTAAATCATGGGGTTTTGTTGTATGTAGCCTTGTCCGGTCCCCAAACACACTACATCAGGCTTTCTCTGACCTCTGGGCTTTTGCACACCACCTGTAAGATCCTTCCAGCCCTTGTCCTAGCCCCCAGCCTCAGCTGTTCTACAGAAGTAGCCTCAACCCTGACTGCACAGTAAAATCACATCGTAATCACCTGAGACTTGAGAAAGTACTGATACCAGGGCTTTATCCCAGTCCAATTAAATTAATATCTCTGGGCATGGGGCCACAGCATTTCTGTGGAAAGTGACCCAAGTGATTCTAATGTGCAGTTCAGGTGTGATGCTCTGATTCTCGATGAACTTTACATGTATCTAAATCACTTAGAGGGCTTGATGAAACACAGATTTCCGTGCCCCATCCTTAGAATTTTAGCCCTAATAGGTGTGGCTTAATGGGCCTGAGAATGTCCATGTATACAATCTCCCAGGGTTTGCCGATGCTGCTGATCCAAAAACCACACTTTGACAGTGAGTGGCGTAGAAGTTCTCTTTCTCCAGAAAGCCTCCCCAACACACTTTTCCCTTCCCATCCCCAGACTGAGTTGGTTGCCCCTTCTGTATTCCCTCATAGCAACTTACATTTTCCACTCTGCTATAAATTGCATAATTATTTGTCTATGTCCTCCACCAGGCTGTGAGCTCTGTAAAGACAGGGACCTTGCCTGTCTCATTCACTGATGGAACCCTAACATGATGTATGTTCATGTCATATACAGGTCCTCAATAAATATGTTTTAATGAAAAAAGGTACATATGGAAGGGTTTTTTTTTTTTTTGCTCTATTTCTCCTGTCTCAATGTGTGTCTGTTTTCTTGTCTGTCTCTGTGTGTATATGTGTGTCTCATGATCCAATTATTTTTTATTCAGAAGGATCCAATGAAAACAAATCAGCAGGGTCCACAGATCTGATTAAAGGAGAGTGATAAGAATATTAAGCTCCAGGTGACATTCAGGGGTGGGCTTTGTGGAAGCTGGAGATTCTGTCTGCTTTCTGTACTGACTTAAGTAATTTAAAACCAACCAGGTAAAGCAAGTATTTTGTCAGCCTTTAAATCTGTGAAGTTGCACACAATTCAAGTAACATTACTGAGAAAAATTCTAGAGAATGCCTTGCCTCTGACTTCACTGGGGAATTTAGCACCAATTACATAATACTGTTTTATTCCTCTAGCTTTGGCTTATAAATATTCTAGGTAGGTATCACACATCCTTGAAATGTTAAAAAAAAATTCTGATGGACTCAAATTCCAACATCAATCTCCCCATCTTTTTCTCCACCAATAATGTCCCTTCAAAAGTTTATCAAAATTAACATTTTCTATGAAACCTTCCTAAGCTGACCACCTATATTAGCTTCCTGGGGCTGTTTTAACAGAATCTCACAAATTCAGTGGCTTGAAACAACATAAATGTATTACCTTACAGTTATGTAGGTCAAAAGTCCTACACAGGTCTCATTGGGCAAGCAAGGTATCAACAGAGCTACATTCTTTTTTAGAGGCTCTAGGGGACAATCGACTAGAAGCTGCCCATGTTTTTTGACTTGTGGCATCTTCCTCCATCTGTTTTTTTCTTTCTTTCTTTCTTTCTTTTTTTTCGAGATGGAGTTTCCCTCTAGTACCCCAGGCTGGAGTGGAATGGCACAACCTGGGTTCACTGCAACCCCTGCCTCCCGGGTTCAAGCTATTCTCCTGCCTCAGCCTCTCGAGTAGCTGGGATTACAGATGCGCACCACCATGCCCAGCTAATTTTTGTATTTTTAGTAGAGACAGGTTTCACCATGTTGGCCAGGCTGGTCTGGAACTCCAGACCTCAAGTGATCTGCCCGCCTCGGCCTCTCAAAGTGCTAGGATTACAGGCATGAGCTGCCGCGCCCAGACTTACTCCATCTTCAAAGCCAGCAACATTTCATTTCTCTGACTGTTCTTCTAACCTCCTTTTCCACTTTTTAGGGGCCCTTGTGTTTACATTGGGCCTATTTGGTTAATCCAGGATAATCTCCCCCATTTCAAGGTCAGTTCATTAGCAACCTTAATTTCATCTGAAAACTTAATTCCCTTTGCCATGTAACCTAACATACTCATAGGTTCTAAGGATTAGGTTGTAGACATCTTTGGGAGGTCATTTTTCTGCATACACCACAAACCATACATGATGTTATTTGGTAGCTATCGGCATTTGATCCTCCAATTTTTATGATTCCATAGCAGCCAGAAATCTAGTGACTTTAACTCTAGGTAAGATATTGTCAACCCTGGCTGCACAGTGGAATCACCTGGGAGCCTCCAAAAAAACAAACTAATGTTCCAAGCTCCATCTCTGGAACATTAAAACAGAACAATTCAGAACAGAAATTCTGAATTGAGCGATCTTGAGAGGGGCCCAGGCATCAATATTTTTTCAAAGCTCTCCAGGTAATTCTCCGTGTAGTCAGGGTTGGGAACTACTGCTGATGTTAGATGAATTCGCATTCCTCAGTCACTCAGGTACAAAACCTGGAGTTCCCTTTGATTTACTACACTCTGCCACCCACTGTGGCCAAATAGTCCCCAGTCCAAAGTGTTCAAACTTTAAAAAAGCCTCCTTCAACTTCCTTTCTTTCTATTCCAAGCACTACGATCGTAATTTATGTATTTGTATCTGAACCTCATTTCACCCTCTTCTCTCTAGAGTCCCTTGTCCTTGTTGGCAGAACAATCCCATTTCCTCTACTCTTTGCTTTACTCTCTCTCAGATTTCTTGATTCCTGGACTCCCCTCATTTGAGACCTGTATCCGAACTCTCTTTATTTTTGAAATCATTATCTTGAGTAGATTAGTAAAGTGGTTATTATGGATTAAATGCCTGTGTCCCCCCAAAATTCCTGTGTTGACACCTTAACCCCCAATGTGCTGGTATCAGGAGGTGGGCCTTTGGGTGTCATTAAGTTTAGATGAGGTGGTGAGGGTGGAGCGCTCATGATGGGATTAGTGTCTCTCTCTCTCCCTCCCCCCACCTCTTCCTTCCCACCATGTGAGGACACAGGAGAAACATGGCCATCTGCAAGGCAGGGAAGTGTCCTCATCAGGAACCAAATTGGCCAGCACCTGGATCTTGGACTTCCCAGCCTCTAGAACTGTGAGAAATAAATGTCTGTTGTTTAAGCTGCTCAATTT
The DNA here is from genome assembly GCF_000001405.40 of Homo sapiens. Taxonomy (NCBI): domain Eukaryota; kingdom Metazoa; phylum Chordata; class Mammalia; order Primates; family Hominidae; genus Homo; species Homo sapiens. The sequence continues at coordinate 76,910,282 of NC_000009.12, forward strand.
AAAATATTTTGTTATAGCAGCCTGAGCGGACTAACACAATGGTAGTGCTAGGGGAAAAAAAAAGAAAGAGACTTAAGGGATCCTCTGATGATGCCATCTCCTCATATTACTGAGATGGGACCAAGGCCTGGAGTAGTTCAGCATCCTGCTCAGACTAACAGAGCTACTTTGAAGCAGAGGCCAGGACTGGAACTCAGCTCTCTTTCATTCCTTCCTTGAGCATTTATGAAGCATAGACTATGCTCTTATAGGATTTTGTTTACCCTAAGATGCATAAGACATGATCCCTGCCCTCAAGGAGCTCACAGGCTAGTCACTACCAAATAGATAAATGCAGTGATTGAGAAATGCATCTGGTGTGATACTAGTTGAGATGCAATATGTTGTGGTAACTAAGACCCGTATGCTCATCTTTGCTCTGTGTGGTAGATTAATCATGGCTGAAAATTCCTTGATACTTCTCCCAGTGAGAGGCAGGGTCTATGTTACTTCTTGAATCTAGGAGAACTCTGACTTCCCAAGCAATAAAATATTACAGAAATGACATCATGCCAGTTTCTGGGACCAAGTTCTTAAGTGATTGGTAGCCTCGACCTCTTGTCTTTTGGAATACATGCTCTTGGAACCTATCCATCATGCTATGAGGAAGCCCAAGCAGCCATATAGAGAGGTTCACACAGAGAGGAGCTATGAACTCTGGGTAACAGCCCAGCTGCCAGCCGCGTGGTGAGCCATCTTGGAAATAGATTCTCCAGCCCAGTCAAGCCAGCTGATGCCACATGGAACAGAGCTAAGCTGTGTCTGCTAAGCCCTGCCCAAATTCCTGGCCCATTAAACTGTGGGATATAATAAAATGATTGCTATTATAAGCCATTAACTTTCTGGGATTTGTTCTGCAGCAATAGATAGGCAGAGCATCTGGCCAGTTACCAGCTCAGAAAGTTAGGGCAAGTTATCCTTTCTAAGCTTCAAGGTCTTCATCTATAAAATAGATGAATAGATAATACTCCCTCTTAGGACTGTCATGAAGCCCAAATGCAACAATATATGCAAAGTGCCCAATTCTTGGCCAGTTGCTGCCGTTATTCTGATTCCCAAGAGTCTGTTAAGGAGAGGAGAAACTTCATGCAATAGCTGTAAGTGGAAGAAAGAAAATCCATGAAGAGAACCCAACAAGAGGAAAATCTCCAGGTCAATTGTGGATGGAACAGCAGTCACTAAAAATGTGACATGATTTAATTATAACTTGTGTCTATTCTACACCAAGTAATATCTCCCAAGGTTATATTCCTTTGCAACCTGGGCTTCATATGATAAGAGGCCTGTTTCAGAGAAAGGCACTGCAGATGTTTCTCAGCAATAACACATCTACCTGTACTACTCACTAGTGAAATATAACTTGCTTAGGGGTTGTATCCCCAAATTACCATTCCTTACCCCCATGGGGCACTAGATCTTTCCTCTGTAGACTCTCACAGGAGCACTGTAGCTCTTCATCCATCTCATGGCACACCTATTACTGTCAGTGCCACCACAGGGGTATCTGAAGATTTCCTTATCTTAACCAGCTTCCCTGGTGCTCACAGCATGGTATCAGAAAATCTGGATATGAGACCTTGCTGTGTACTTTTGGGCAAGTTATTTATTATTAATCTCCTTATCTATGAAATAGAAGATAAATACCTGCCCTAGTTACTTTACATGATTGTCATTAAAGAATCAAATGCTAACATCCCTACAAATACTGGGAAATGTTAACAAGGGAAAACAGAATACTGAAGAAATCAGCTTGGTTGGCAAAAAAAAAAAAAAAAAAATACCTGACATATGCTATCCTTTTAAAAATGAAATGTAGCTGGGATGGCAGCTGCTGATTCACTATTTGGGCACATTTCCAAGCTAGCTTCCTCACTGACCAACAACACCTCTCACAGGTAGATTCTCCTTGGTGCAGATGGGTTATGTTCGCTGCTTTTAAATTGTTTCATGTGACACAAGAGGTTCAAGAAACTGCATCTCACACTTGAACTAAATTTAAAAGCATTTTAAGCTTATTTCAAGGACAAGAGATAGAAACAGGACTAATGTGCATTAACTAGGGCCTCTCATTTAGCCTGTAAGCAACTGTTAAATGTCTGTTTTTTTGTCCTGTGGGTGGTCAGATACTATCCATGTTAGCAAATAATATTAAGAGGAATTAACTATTTTTTTTATTTTGTGGTTTAGCAAGAATATCCAAATTTTTTAAGGTAAGCTTTGCAAGACTTTTTTTAAAAGGAGTCCATATAGCCATTGTCTTCTCTGAGTTTCTGTAAAGAAAGGAAAAAGAGGAGTGATTGAGATTGTCAGAGCTGTATTAGCAAGTGGCAGGGCCCAGACCACTTGGGAGAATGTCCTGAGAGTCAAATGCTCAGGCTTTGAACGGGGTACATACAACTTGCGTCATTTCTGGGAACCACAGACATCTTGAAGAGCAATGAATTTAATTTGAAAGGACAGTGGAGGAGAGAGGAAGTACTCCGGCTCTGTGAGTCATCAGAATAATAAGGCAGTGGCTGCCACTTTCAGGTCTGTTGCCTGTGGAAAGATGTAGATAGGGCCTTAAAGTCCCAGCTTCCTCTCACACTATACATTCAGGTGGCTTCAGTTTTATACACGCTCTTCCTGCAGAAAGGTATCTCAAGTACCTTCAAAACAACGCTGGCTCTCTCAGTTACAGTATAAACTTTAACTCATGATCCCATCCTGCATTTCCACTGAGGAAGTATTTGGCAAGGAAAGTAGAATGTTAATAATTTCCACACCCTGAGAGTCGACCAACATGATCTCTCATCCTTGCAATAATGCTGTAAGGCCAGAACAATGGGAACTGCAACCAACCTATTCTAGAGCTGAAGAAACAGGCCCAAAATTGTTTACTGACATGCCTGAAGATTGAAATCTAGACTCTGTATTCCAAAGTTCAGGCCTTTTTCATCAAAAAGGCTAATGTTTATGAAGAGTTTCTTTGCATGAAATATCACTTTAATTTTTTATGTGTATTAATAGCATTTAGTCCTCATAACAAATGTATAAATCAGGTACTATTATCCTCATTTTAAAGATGTGCAAACTGAGGTACAAAGATGCAATTTTCACAAAATTACTCAGGTAGTAAGTAGCCAAAGCAGGTGACCAGGTCCAGAGCCCAGGTACTAAGCGACTGCACATCACTGCCTGTCCACTGGCATGGGCTACCCAGCTGCTCACCCAAAAAAGCAAATGTGGAGACTGGAGAAGAAATGAGTACTCACCACATGGCACTTTCAATTGCTCTGCCACAGTTAAGAATGAGCTGGTCACCCCTTCACCTACCTCTTCACCCCTTCACCTACTTGGCCACATAGACCTCATACCTGATGTTTGCAGATGAGTCAGAGAAATCACCAGCAAGAAAGAGGTAAATGTCCCAGAAGCTTGATCAGCACACATCATTAAAAGCTCCTGTCATCAATGATGGCTCAGCTAAATCATTGCTTCTTTCCCATCAGGTTCTCCTTTACCCAGCCCCCGTCCTCATCTCTCCCCTCATCATTCTTGAACCTCACCCCTTCCCAAAAAGTGGAACACTATTATGTTCTGATGGTTAAATGCTTGAGTTTTAGTCCTTTGGATAGTGATGTTAGTCCTTTGGATAGTGATTTTAGCATCTCCAGGTCTTAGGGTCCTAGGAGAAACAGAAGGCTTGAGTGGATGTTTCCAACCTTAACATTCTATGATTACAAAATGGAATCATACAATTCTTAGATCCACAAGAAACATGAAAGTGTACAAGAGAAATTGTCTTATTTTTGTTAAAAAGTCTTTGAATATCTTTGTAGCATTAGATGTTTGTGTAGAACAGAGGGATTATGTTAAGATGGCATAAAAATATCCACCTGTAAAAAAAAGTAATCAAGTATTTTAAGGAACTTCAACTCAAAGGTCAGTAATTAAGACATGTAGACATGTAAATAACAAGCCTGGAAAGAGAAAAATTAGCAAGATTTGTTAGAGGTATGTGTTTTCTTAGGTATCAAATCCTAATGTCCTCAGAGAAATTTTCTATTCATGACAGGAAGCCTGGAACCAAAAAAAAAAAAAAAAAGAAAGAAAGAAAGACTCAAATTTCAGGCTAAAGGATGCTGTTCAATTGTTGTCTAACAAAGGCCATTGATCTCTCTTCTTATATAGTGGCAATATTTCACTTAGAAAAAACTGAATTCAGTATGTAATGTATTTTCAATAATATTGTGTAGAAAGCAGTAAAATAAAAAACTGGATATTTAAAAATGTCCAACAAACTGTCGATTTCAATGAGGGCAAAAATTATTTGCTCTGCATTTTCCTTCTCTAAATCTCTGCATTATAAAACCACTGAAGTTCCAGAGGAAAAGGAAGAAGGAAATCCAAATCCATTAACGCAGAGCCGCAGTGTCCACCTACAGCATTTGCTTCTTTGCTGTATTTTCTTTAAACTGGGCAGCAAAGCAAAGGACCTGCTTCCCAGCAAACATCTCCGTCATACTCTCATTGACCTACTCCCTGGAGACACCACCTGCAATTCATCACTCTTGGGAAATGCTGCCACCCAATTTCTTCTGTTTCTGTCAAGGATTCATTCACATTAATATTCCACTAGACTTAGCTCAGAAAGTTGTTAGAAACCGATACTACCTCTTCTGGATTCCAGATTCCTTCTACTATGTGCCCCCCGCACCCCACCCCCACCTCCTTCACCCTGTCACCTTCCTTTCTGTGAATGAAGGGGAAAAAAAATCCTAAAAACGGTTTTAAAATATGGAGTCAGCAGTTGGGGAAGGGCTGGACTATTACCACTCCAATACTGCTATAACAGCCTCATTTTCATGTTAGTTTATTTAATAATAAACTTCTATAGATTCACTTTTCCCAGTAGTTGTTAGTTGAAAAGATTTGTTGATGTACAAAAACCACAAGAGGAAAGTCATTGTATTTTGGAAAAATGTCATGGAAATCACCAAAGCCATCCAGTAACAGTTGGCAGCTTTTTGGGGGATGGCAAATGTTTTGTGTTGAATGCTGTGTCATCCACCAAATGTCAACTTCAGGTAACGAGTCTTCACATCTTCTCCTTCCTGTGGAACCATAAGGCTCCAGAGGACAGGGCTTTGGTCTTACTCCTCTCTATATTCCCCCAGCTGCTTCCAGCACAGTGCCCTTTCCATGGTAGGTCCTCAAATAATTATAATAACACGTGTTGATCAATTCTCCTCTAGCTGAAGCCTTGAAAGAGAGAGGCTCATCAACCAGGTAGAAATAAAAAGAAATGCAGGTACTTCTGAAATGCTTTATTAGGTTCTATAAAGGGGTTAAAATGGTGATTTTTCAATCGTATTCAAAGACAGCACAGCATCTTTTAGAAATCTGACTCTGGCTAGAGTAGACCTGGAAACACATTGGATGGAGGAATCACAGCAAGTCACTAAGATCAGAATTACTGCTGGACCATGAAAGTAAACAGGAAAAGACAAAAAATATTTTAAATTAATCCCAAATATACATCTGTTAATTGCCATTTCAATTCTTCAAATATTTGCATATGCAAATGTGCCCATTCAACACTGAATTATTAAAATTGAGGCAGACAATTGAGCTTTGCACACAGCAAAGGCAGCCTGGAATGGAGAAAACTGACTGGAGGTTGAGGAGAGAAAACATAGGAAACTTCCACTCTTTCTCTTTGTGATAAGGGAACCTGGTAATGACCCAGAGACCCTGGGAACTCTGGAAAAGGGCAGCTCTAAATGGAGGAAGGACACCTTGCAGGGGGAGAGGAATTAAGGATTTGTTTGGTTTTCACAAACATGTCTACGGTAAATCCCCGTGTGGAGAGAATGCTTTTTAAGCTCCTGTTATGTCCCAGACACTGGACAGGCACACAGACCTGTGGTCTCGCAGAGGCTTCAGGTGTGATACCCCAAAATATGACTGACACCTTGGAAACTGAAAAAACAGCAGAAGTAGGAAGGCGTCTCTGACCTTCTCTCAGGCTTTCCTCCCCTGAAGCAGACCATAAAACCCAGGATCGTCACTCTCCGACCTCTTCTGTTCCTTCTCCCCTGAAGACACTCATGTGGCAGGTGCCCACACAGAAGAAACTGAACAAACAGGTCTTACTACATTTCTCCCAGTTTGTTACCTTTGGATCAGACCCTTTTGTCCTTCAATTATACTTCTGTATGGCTGTCCATAAAAATACAGTTTTCCCTGGGTCTTTGGGGCTTTGCTTCTGAAGGCTCACATGTCATGTAAGATTTACATGAAATGCATTTGCAAGCTTTTTGCTTATTACTCTTTTGTCATAGGGTTGTTGGCCATGAACTTTACAATGAGTGAGGAAAGAAATCTTTTCTCCCCTACACAGACAATAAGCAAGAAAACAAATAATTCAAAATGTCAGAGAGTAGCACACACTACAAAGATAAAGCAGAACGATAATGATTGGAGTAGAAGCAGGTCTACGTTAGATTAAGGGGCTAGGAGTCTGTCTGAGGAGATATTGAGACCTGAATGGCAAGAAGAAGCCAGCCCTGTAAGAATAGATGGGAAGAGATCAAAGCAGAGGGAATACATGGTCAAAGGTACGGATAGAAGGCCGACCCAGCATGAGCGGGGGAGTAGATGTGCTCAGAGAGGCAAGGGGAACTCATAGGGCCCACTCGGTCAGGGTAGGATGTTAGGGTTTTATTCCAGATGTGGTGTGAAGCCATCAGAGGAGGAACATGTTCTCATGTGTGGTTTTATAAAGATCACTCCAGCTGCCATGTGGAGGGCAAGGCTGCTGTGTAGGGGCGGAAGAGTCCCAGACCTCTTAGTGCTCTATCTCATCACCTACCTAAGAGATAGTGATGGCTTGGACCAAGAAAGGTAGCAATGAAAATGAAGAAAAGGAAAACAATAATAACATAACATATATTTTGAAAGTAAAGCCAACATAGAAGTAAAATAAAAATCAGCCTCCACTAATTGACTACTTCTAATGCTGTACATATTTATACTATGGCATTAATAATACTAAAATAGATTGTGCTAATAAGGCATATTTCAACTGTGTGAAGATTTACCACTGTGAGTCACAACTCCTGATTTCCCAAAATGGAAATTACAGAAAGAAGCCAAAAAGACCAATTCAGAGTGACCCAGTGTAGCAGATGTTGGAAATTTCCTGGCTGCTACTATTTGAACATTCTTCCTGTATTTTGGGAATTCCTCCATAAATAAATCCTTGATGGGAGGCAGACCCCTAGCCGTAGTTCCCATTGCAAAACAATTTTTGCCGTAGCATGGATCTGTCAGTTATTCTTAGCATGGAGCCTTTAGAGCGCCATGTGCTCTAATTCACATGATCTCGTTCCACATTAACCAAAAAGTCTTTGATTGTGATTTGTCTCTACAAGGAGATCTTTCTACAAAGAAAAGAAAAAGAAAACGACCAGCATTTTTTTAAACCGCCTAATATGGCCAGCATTGTGATAGGAATCTGAAAATATATTGTTTCACTTAATCCTCAAACCATCTCTACCAATTTGGTATTATTGGCTTTATTTTACAAATTAGAAAAAAAGAGAGAGAATCAGAGAGTTTAAGAAATTTACCCAAAATCACATTGTTACTAAGTAGCAAAATCAAACTGCTCAATTCAAATCCTGGTTAATTCCAGAGTTTTCGGTGTAGATTTGCTTTGCGCTTTATGGATCTCATAAGAAGGAAACAGTGGTCAAGAAAATGAAAAAATACTACAGCCATCTAGACTGATTTACATGTAAAAGGGGATAAAATTGAGATCAGGAAAACCAGAGGACAGGGAGAAAGAAGAGCCAGAGTGCAAAAAATTTGGGGAGGATTTGCAAAATGTTAAGGGATAAAAAGTGGGAATTTTAGGTAACTGCCATCTGTGATGTGTGAAATATTAAAAAAGAAATGTGAGACGGAATTTTAAGAAAATATGCTATGTATGGGTTTCCTCTTCGGTGCAGCTTCATGAGATTTCAGGAAAAATTACATTGTTTTCAATGCTTTGAGGGCTACCTGACTGGAGTTTCCTTTATGAGGACATCATTGAGATGAACCATGAGGCAACCCAGCCTCTTGTAGGTTGCGTGAGTCTCTCACGGAATTTTCTGTTTCAAGCAGAGAGGAGTAGCCCATGTCTCTTTCAACCACACAACAGTGACTTCTGAATAAACAAGCAACCATAATATCCCTATGGCTGCCTCTGGCTCACACGGTTTTGAAAGATTCCAGTTGCTACATCTCCACCAGAGCCTTGTGTGGCAGTAGACTAGAATCACGTGAAGTACGTATATAATTTTCACAACTTTAATTCTGTAAGTGCGGCAAAGGGAAGAAAAGAAGAATTAAAATAATGTTAGAAGACAAAACCAATTATCATCCTAGGATGTGCTTCATCGTGTTCCTCAATTATCTCCATCCTGCGATTGTTTATTGTGTCTGAACCCCGTATTCAGATTGGAGAAACCCATTTAGGTGTACTTTATAGATGTTTTCAGAAGTTTTCTAAGGCAATTTTGACTCTACTTGATTGTAATCTTAGTGGCTGACTTGACCATGTGCAACTCCACTAAACTGCCAGCCCAACGCTGGATACAAACAGGGACAGAACATCCCAACAAGGCACCTGAGAAGGAGGTAGCCTTCTATGTTCCAGGAACAAAGAAAGTGCTCAATAAATGTTTACTGAATGGATGGATGAATAGACAAGTGAATAAACAGCCAAAAAAACACGCACAAAATGGTTCGGTCCTAGTCACATTCCCAGATTCTCTTATGGCACCAACAGCATAAGGGCCAGTGATTTCTCAGGCCAAAGAATCCCTTGCAAGGAGAACCCCCCAGGCAAAGTTCTTCAAGATTATCAATTTCCCTTTTAGAATGCTCATCAGTAAAATGGAAATAATTTCTCCAGGCCAGGTGTGGTGGCTCATGCCTATAGTCCCAGCACTTTGGGAGGCCAAAGCAGGCAGATCACTTTGAGGTCAGGAGTTTGAAACCTGACCTCAAGATGGTGAAACCCCATCTCTTCTAAAAATACAAAAAAATGAGCTGGGCATGGTGGCACATGCCTGTAATCCCAGCTACTTGGGAAGCTGAGGCACGAGAATTGCTTGAATCTACAAGGCAGAGGTTGCAGTGAGCTGAGATCACGCCATTGCACTCCTGCCTGGGTGAGAGAGTGAGACCCTGTTTCAAAAAACTAAAACAAAACAAACAAAAAAAAAAAAAAAAAGAAAGAAAGAATTTATCCTTCAATCTCCAACCCATCCCCCAATTCCAGCCTAGTGTTCTCATCCTACCTTTCAAATCTCTCTTTTTACCATCCCTTCCGTTCAGTACTTACTTGTCCTGTGTCTCTTTTTATCAGGGCTTCCCATGCTACAGTGGATTGAACAGTGCCCCTGGACCCTGACAAAAAAAAAAAAAAAAGATATGTCCATGTCCTCACCTTTGGAACCTGTGAATGTAAACTTATTTTGAAAAAGATCTTTGCAGATATAATTCTTTGCTTCTTCGCAAAGAATTCTTTTACATCTTTGCAGATGTAAAAATCTCGAGATGAGTTTATCCTAGATTTGGGGTGGACCTTTAATCTAATGCCAGGAGTCATAAGAGCAAGGCAGAAAGAAACTGGAGACACGGGGATAGAGAGGAAAATGAGATGTGAAGATGGAGACAGAGACTGAATCAATACGTCTACAAGCCAAGCAACACTGAGGATTGGCAGCAGCCATTGGAAGCTAGGAGATAGGCAAGGAATGGATTGCCCTCAGAGCATCCACAAGGAACCAACCCTGTTGACACCTTAGTTTTGGACTTCTGGCCTCCAAAACTATAACAGCATTTTTTAAATTGTTTGAAGCCTCCAAGTTCATGGTAATTTTTTTTTACAGAAGACCCAGAAAACTAGTTGGCCATAGTGGGTCACACCTGTAATCCCAGCACTTTGGAAGTCCAAGGTGCGTGGATCACTTGAGGTCGGGAGTTCAAGACCAGCCTGGTCAACATGGTGAAAACCCGTCTGTACTAAAACTACAAAAATTAGGTGTTGTGGCTGGTGCCTGTAATCTCAGCTACTAGGGAGGCTGAGGCACGAAAATCACTTGAATCTGGGAGGCAGAGGTTGCTTGCAGTGAGCCAAGCTCATACCTGCCACTGCACTCTAGCTTGGGCAACAGAGTGAGACTCAGTCTCAAAAAAAAAAAAAAAAGGCCAGATGCAGTGGCTCACGCCTGTAATCCCAGCACTTTGGGAGGCCGAGGCAGACAGATCACAAGATCGAGACCATCCTGGCTAACACGGTGAAACCCTGTCTCTACTAAAAATACAAAAAAAAATTAACTGGCGTGGTGGTGGGTGCCTGTAATCCCAGCTACTTGAGAGGCTGAGGCAGGAGAATGGTGTGAACCTGGGAGGAGGAGCTTTCAGTGAGCCGAGATGGCGCCACTGCACTCCAGCCTGAGCGACAGAGCGAGACTCCATCTCAAAAAAAAAAAAAATTGATACGCTGATACACTTGGTGATTGCATTGGCTATCTCTGGCCTTTAGTAATGACCAATTGACATTGCAATATTCTTAACAAGGGGGTGCTAGAGGTAAAAACCTAGAAAAAGGATTTCTTCATCTCAAGTGGCAAACCTTTGGTTTCAAAAGCATTGGTGGAAAAGATATTTTGGGGATGCGGTGGTGATTTCAGCTGCACCCTTCAACTTACATTGAGTGGGCAACTGCCATTGATACTTACAAGAAAAGAAGGCAATGCAGAGACTAAAGCTGGCAATGCTCTGTAGGTCATCAGCATGGACAGCTCAGAGTCAGAACTTGATCTTACTTTATATTCATATTATTTAATAAAAGGTACATATTTTATATATGCCTTTAAAATAATTAGAATTTTTCCAATGGCTTTGCAATAACATTTGATGTCTGTGTGTAAGAGAATTATAGTCCTTACAGTCATGGGGCACAAGCATTCCCTGATGGCCTAATTTCACAAACAGCCTCTTACATCACTGCTGCATTCTTCCAGTGAGAATCAAATTATAGCATACATATGACAACTTAACATCATGTTCTCACATAGCAGTCTCTGGAAGCTAACTCAAACGCTTCTTTTAAGGGAGTTTAGTTTCTATTGAAGGCACTAGTGTGATTCCACCACATTTACTATACAGGTGAATTGGTTTCATAGAATCATTGAACTTCAGGACTCACACATTGAGTGCAGTTCCCCCCGGCCTCTAAACGTGCGCGCGCATGCGCGCACACACACACACTGATATGGTTTGGATTTGCGTCCCCACCCAAATCTCATGTCGAATTGTAATCGTCAGGGTTGGGGCCTGATTGATTCTTGGGGGCACACTTCCCCTTGCTGTTCTCATGACAGTGAGTGAGTTCTCATGAGATCTGGTTATCTAAAAGTGTGTAGCACCCCACACACACATCCTCCTGGTCCAGCCATGAAGGATGTGCCAACTTTCCCTTCACCTTCCACCACGATTGTAAGTTACCCGAGCCCTCTCCAGCTATGCTTCCTATACCACCTGTGGAACCGTGAGCCAATTAAACCTCTTTTCAATTACCCAGTCTCAGTAGTTCTTTATTACAATGCCAGAATAGACTAACACACATGTACTCATTCTATTCATGTGAAAACTGAGGCTTGTCTAAGAGCATTCAGTTATCTAGAGGCAAAGGGGCTATTCCTATGCTTTTATCAAGTAGAAGACTATCACTCTTTCACATGGGAATTTCTTGAGTAGCTCCTTTGTAAATCCTTGGCGAAAAGATCTACCAGGAGTGATTAGGGAAAATGAAGCAGGAATCTAGTTGGCTAGATAAGCCAATCAAGCTGTGGAGTAGAAAATGACAGAAAATGCATAGCCCTGTGGCAAAGCAGGACTTAGAATTCTGGAGACCTTAACCCCCAAATTCATGCTATTTTCATTATGCCAGCTGACTCCCCCCATTGATCATTTCTGATAGAATCACAGCTTCTTAGAACTAGATGACTCAGTGGTCCAAATCTTTATTCCACTGCAACAGAAGCAACACAACCACATTAAAAGAGTGGTTTACTAGCTACCAGGGTAGCAGTACCAACAAGGTCAGGAAGATCCCCACCCGTGGGCTTAAATGGAGTATATGGTATGATGATGGAAAATTAGATAAAGGACTCCTGGAGATTCTAATCACTCTCTCCCCTTCCCTCTCTGTGTGTCACCAAGTTCCCTGCAGATCAACAATGTATGCCAAAACAATTAGTTAAAAGGTTTTTATAAATAACAATTTTCCAAAGTGCAGAGACTCCTTGGAATTATTGCATAATTATGCTAAATCCCTGCAAAATTTGCTTGCCCTTAATGGACCATACTGACCTGGCTGAGTATGAAATATGCCCAAATATACCTGAAATTTCTTTTAACCTCTAAATGAGCTATAGAAAAGAAAAACTAGAGATAGCAACAGGTACTATGAATCATCAGTATTAGAATATACAAATTACAACTAGCACATATTACTGTTTTAAGCATCAGTATGGATTTTGAGGTGAAAATAATGGGTCCTCATATACTGTTAGGACTGGAGATTTGTACACACTTTCCAGTAGTATGCTAAATGTTTAATAGTCAGCTCTCCATAGAAGAGGGGGAAAGCTCTAATTTGTTTCAGAGTTCCAGCACACCACTGACACTTTCTAAATATATATATATAAAAGGTGTTTACAATGTGCCTGCCATCTGACTCAGAAAACCTACCCTTAGGAATGTATTAGCAAAAAATAGTCAAAGAAGTGTGAAAAGATGCATATGCAAGAATATTTGCCACAGGTTGTTTATGATATCAAAAATTTGGGCCTGATACAGTGGCTTACACCTGTAATCCCAGCACTTTGGGAGGCCAAGGCTGGTGGATTACTTGAGCCCAGGAGTTGGAGACCAGCCTAGACAACATAACAAGACTCCAAGTCTACCAAAAATAAAAAATTAGCTGGATGTGGTGGCACATGCCTCTGGTCTCAGCTATTTGGGAGGCAGAGGCAGGAGGATCACTTGAGCCCAGGAGGCAGAGGCTGCAGTGAGCCAAGATCATGCCACTGCACTCCAGCCTGGTTGATAGAAAAATGATTTTTTGGGGGGAGAACTCATTGCTCATAAGTAGGGTAATGTAGCTCTGCCTACTTACCCTCAACGCCCTGCCCCAAACCTTAACCCCTGGAAACCACTGATATTTTTATAAACTCTATAATTTTACCTTTCCCAGAATGTCACATAGTTAGAATCATACAGTACGTATCCTATTCAGACTGGCTTCTTTCACTTAGCAATATGTATTTAAGGTTCCTGTATGTCTTTTCATGGCTTAATAGTTCATTTTTTTTATCGCTGAATAGTGGACTCGTATTTAAAATTCTTTGAATCTCTTTTTCTCATTTGTAGTAGGAGTAATAGTGCCACCTTCAAGGATTGTCATGAATGTTTGATGAGATAATATATATATATATAAAGTTTCCAGCACATAGCATGTAGTTAATAAACATCAGCTCCTTCCCTCAATAATTTGGATATGAACAATGTGGCAGGCTGAATAGTGACCCCCCAAAAGATGTCAACATATCAATCCCTGTGAATGTGTTTCTTGCATGGAAGATGGGAATCGCAGATGTGATTAAGTCAAGAATCATGAGAGGTGAGATTATCCTGTATTATCAGATGAACCCAGTGTAATCACAAGAGTCCTTATAAGACGGAGATGTGAAGGTTAGAGTCATAGAAGGTGATGTGATGACAGAAGCGGAAGTCAGAGCAATGTGGCCATGAGCAAGGAATGTGGGAAAGTCTTCTAATGCTGGGAAAGGCAGGGGATGGATGGATTCTCCCCTAGAGCCTCCAAAAGGAGCACACCTTGGCTGACACTTTGATTTTAGCCTTGTAAAACCTCCATCAGACTTCTGACCTCCAGAAATGAAAGATAACAAATGTGTATTGTTTTAAGCCACTGAGTTTGTTCCAATTTATTCCAGCAGCAATAGGAAGCAAATACAGGTGATTAACCTCAACATTCTCTTTCACTCCCTTCCAGTGTGTCTCCCCACATAGAGAGTCTAGAAATAAAAAAACTACATTTCCTGGAATCTCTTGCAGCTAGGGTTCTGATCACCTACTTATCCCCACTTGGATGCACTTGTGCAAGGTTTGGAAAGTGGAAGTGAGGCAGAGATAATTTTCCTGCTGCTTTTGGCTGAATTTCACTAGAAAATATGGTAGTGCAGATATATTTCTGCAGCAGCATTCCAGCAGGGTACTTGTAATTCCCAGCTTCATGGGAGTCAAGATGCATCTGTGAGGAAAAAATGGCAGATTCCTGATCCTATAGCAACTTTCTGACTCCCCACCTTCATGGAAGAGGTAGTTGTTCCCCTAGGTGGTAAGCTCTCAAGTGTCCTGGGAGTCTCCCAAAAACCATCTCTTCCACCAGCACTTCCATGCAGCTAATTCTTTGTATTAAACATTTCTGCTTAAAATAACTAGAGTTGCTTCCCTTTGCTGCAACTGAACCCTGACTGATACAGTCTCCATTTGCACACCACCCCAGGGGAGGCAGAAGATGTCAGCTGGGAAATCTGGATATTCTGAGATAGCATACATCAACTGGGAGGCGACTCTTAACAACTCCACTGCTGTGTCTCACAACACACCAGGGTTTCCTGTCAATCATTGTATTATATCCTCTACTCACTTTTCTTTAACCAGGCCCTCTCAGTTTTGAGTTTTCCTCTTAACTGGGTCAAAATGGGATTACAATTTTGGTGCATTCAGGAAGTAAGGATTGCTTTTTAAAAAAACTTAAAGATATTCTTAGCTCCTTGGGAGGCTGAGGTCAGAGAATTGCTTGAGCCCAGGATTTCGAGGCTGCAATGAACCATGATTACGCCACTGTACTCCAGCCTAGGCAACAGAGCAAGTCCCTGTCTCTGAAAGAAAAAATAAAATTGTAAAGACACAGTAGTGAGTTGACTCCAATCTCCCTCCCCTGCTGCAACACTCATTGCAATGGTTCCTATACCTACCACAATGTGCCACCCTTGAATGAAGTCTGCCTTGCCATTAAAAAAAAAAATAGAGACATTGTATAACATAATGTCTTTTAGCCTTATGAAAACAATTTTTTAAATTACCCACACTAAAGAAGAAATAGGTGATTGGCAGACTCCAGAAACAAAGGACATTTATTGCTGTTCTCATGAAGAAAGATGAATGTTTAAAAGGTTAGAAAAGGTCTTAGCAATTTATTTATATTGATTTGGATGAGTGATTCTGAAAGACAATGTTTTCTCTATGACTCTTCAACCATGTGAATGTTCCTTAAAATGCATGGCAACCACCCTGTCAACACAGTTTTCCAAATTTCCCAGAAATTATTTTAAAATTTTTAATATGCTTAATCCACATCTCACACTAAAAACAAACAACCTCCACCCTCCCCCCTCCCCGCAAAAAAAGGCTTGTTAGAATTTCCAATTATGCTACAGGAGAATAAGTGCTAGGGAAATCATGGCCACTGGAATTAATACATTTAGTTAAAGTGATTTGGGAACTCAGCTCCATAAAACTTAGGTTATCTTTGTAGAGCTCCATCCTGCTCTGAACTTTCTGTCTAGTGCTCGACTCCTTTGTTTTTTGTTTTGTTTTGTTTTGTTTGTTTTGTTTTTTGTTTTTGAGACAGAGTCTTGCTCTGTTGCCCAGGCTGGAGTGCAGTGGCACAATCTCGGCTCACTTCAACCTCTGCCTCCCGGGTTCAAGTGATCCTCCTGCCTCAGCCTCCCAAGTAGCTGGGATTACAGGTGCCCGCTATCATGCCCAGCTAATTTTTGTATTTTTTTAGTAAAGATGGGGTTTCACCATGTTGGCCAGGCTGGTCTCGAACTCCTGGCCTCAGGTGATGTGCCCATCTCAGCCTCCCAAAGTGCTGGGATTACAGGCGTGAGCCACCGTGCCCAGCACAGAACTTGGCAATATTTTTCTAAGCAGAGCCAGACAGGAAATGCTTTAGGCCCTTTCGGGACAGAGGATCTCTGTCACAACAATTCAGTTCTAGTTCTACCCTTGTATGACCAAAGCAGTGAAATCATCACAAGTGTATGTGGCTGTGCTCCAAGAAAACTTATGTGTGAATAGTGAAATTTGGATTTTGTACAGTTTTGCAAGTCACAAAATATTATTTTTCTTTTCACTTTTACTCAACCATTTAAAAATGTAAGCATCATTCTTAGTCACAGGCCACACAAAAACAGGCAGCAGTTGGATTTGGCTCACAGACCATAGTTTGCCAACCGCTGCTGTAAGCCTGGCCCTGTCCCTTCCAACTTACCCCAAAATTCTCATTCTGATAAAGATTGGTTTACAGAGCCAGGATGGAGATGTTGCCTCCTAAAGTTCAGTATTTCCTGGGAGAGGAGAAACAATTTTATTTTGTCTTTTTTACCTGGTGCTCAGCCCTTCCCAGTCTAGCTGCCACTTACCCTTCCCACTCCAATTCTTTGTCCTTCTACACCCAAACCAGCTTACAGATCTCACCTAACCTTTCTCTAGTCACATCAGATTACTTGCCTTTCCCTAGAAAAGTCAGACAGTTGTAAACTTCCACGATTTTGTTCACGCCCTCCAACTAGCACAGCCTCTCCCACGTCTCTACCTAGATTTTTGCTCATTCCTCAGCTCAGTGTCATTTTTTCTTTCCCCAGGAAAGTGAGGTGAGGGCAATGGACCGCACACAGGCAACATGCACAGAATCGAGTGAGTGAATGCGCAGACCTGGGCCTCCTGGCTGGGAGGAAAAGGGTTTTGGAGAGCCATGGGGTAGTATAGGGTACTCCATCCACCAAGCAATAATGACAAATTTGGAGGCTGAAGAGAGGGGACTGAAGACAAACAGCTTGCTTCTGAATGTTGCCAAAGGCTGCCCTGTCCAGAATGGCAGTCATTGGTCTCAGCAAGCACAGTGGTTCTCTGATGCTACTGGGGCAGCAGTCAACAGCTCAGGCTTTCCTTGGCACATCCACGACCATGTCACCACTGCAATGTCATGGGAAATCCTAACAGAGCTAGCCTTTAACATTTTTCATAAAAATCCCAATTTCTTTTCCTGTTTCTTTTTATTAATAGAAAGGTGAAATAAACCTTGAGCCCATAAAGAGTTTGCTGATAATTAAAGAAGCTCAAGAAGGTAAAAGAAATGGAAAGGTTGAATTTTAGGAAGGAGAGTGGAAGGGCGAATTGCAAATAAATGACAATGTTGTCATCTTTCTAAATTTTCTGAAGATGAAAAGCCACATGATTTAATCACAAAAAGAAATGAGTCATGGCTTTGCTATGACTTACGTCAACATAAGCCATCTTTATCTGACCACTTTGATAATTAAAAAGCAAAATTCTGTAATACTAAAGTTTTAAGTGGACAAGATAGTTTTCAATTCTAACCGTATACAAATGTCAACTTTTTACTTTTACCCATAGTTTGCTAATGTTTCCAAAACACGAAGACCAAACAGGGCCTAGACTTGTGAACGATGCTCCAATCCTGTTCTCTTTATTCTAATTTTACCCATATTCTCTTCACAAAATGCCTGCTGAGCTATACCAGCTCCTAGTTCCTTGCATTTTTCTCTTATGAATTCTTGGAGATTATGACAAGATAATGAGACAACTGCAGAAAGTTTTACATTCATTTTCTGCTTAGATAATATTGTAGCCTGTACTGATAAAAATTTTCAGCCAAGAATTTCTGATATAAATCTAATAGTTTGGCCATTAGTGATTATTAGTGTCACATCTAAGAAAAATTCTGGTTGGTGTTATTTATTAAAAGCAATCAAAATGTGCCATTATGGTCCTAATTATAATATTTACTTGGATGGTCTTATTTCTCTGCAAGAAAAAATAATGCCAGGCAGCTGCTAGAACTTCTACACTAAGCATGTAAGAAACAGGGAGCCTCAGTAGAGTGGAATGATGTCCTTGAAGAGAGTTACCCCTTACACTTATAGAATGTTTTGTTGATAATAGTCATAAAACCTTAGTAATCGAAGCATTGCACTTTCAAAGACACGCATAAGGTTAAATGAGACAAAACAAAAACTAAAAGAACTTCTGTCCCTGAAAAGATGCTGGAATACCACAAGTTGCTGGCCCCACCTCTACCCCCAGGTCAAGTATTGAACAAGTAATTGAGCAGGTTTACCCTACTAGTTTCAGTTCTATTTTATTTGTTTTTGTCTTTAAAAAAAATTAGGACTTTCCTTATTCTCCTTTGAGCTTAGCAACAAAATTCAAAGAGTGTTTACTCTAACTTATCCATTATTTGGGTATTTTCTAGTGGGAGGGCATTTCAACATATCTAGTCTTGATAAGCTCATGGAAATAGGAAATCTCATAAAATCATAAAATCCTTTTTTTTTTTTTTTTTTTTTTTGAGACAGAGTCTCACTTTGTTGCCCAGGCTGGAGTACAGCGGCGCCATCTCGGCTCACTGCAACCTCCGCCTCCTGGGTTCAAGCAATTCTCCTGCCTCAGCCTCCCAAGTAGCTGGGATTACAGGCTCCCACCACCACACCCGGCTAATTTTTGTATTTTTAGTAGAGACAGGTTTCACCATATTGGCCAGGCTGGTCTCAAACTCCTGACCTCAGGTGATCCACCCACCTCGGCCTCCCAAAGGGCTGGGATTACAGACGTCAGCCACCATGCCTGGAAAATCCATTCTAGGCTGGGTGCAGTAGCTGATATCCGTAATCCCAGCACTCTAGAAGGTGGAGGTGGGAGGATAATTTGAGCCCAGGAGCTAGAGAACAGTCTGGTCAACATAGAAAGACCCTGACTCTAAAATAAATCAACAAATCCCTATTTAGGTTTACTTGATGATTTTTACAATAAAACCTGTGATAAATGCTTGTGGGGTTTTTTGTTTGTTTGTTTGTTTATGTTTTACATTAATTTTTATTTTTATTTTTTTACTAAAGTAATGCGTGTACTTTGTTTTAAACATCAAGTGGTGAATTTTCTAGATAAAGATAGGAAGATAAAAGAGAGAGACAGACATGCCAGGAAAATCCTGAAATCCCAAAATCAACAACTGTGCTGAGGTGCCCACCTGCCCTGAAGCCACCAGGAAGCCTCTGTTCCCATCCAGGAGCCACCAAGACACAACAAGCGTGGCAGGAAGCGGAAGCTCAGGACCTCGTCTTCATCTTTGGGGCTGTATGTTTCATTGTCCACCAGAAAGACCTCTTCCAGTCCCTCCGCTGAAGAAACTTTTGCTCGAATAAATATTTCTATCCAGTTTCGGCAACTTTGATTCTCACACAAACACAACCTCTGAAGAGGATGACCTCCACTTTTTGTAATCAATGACATTTACCTTTCTCAATTACCACTGTCTCTTCAAATAGGAAAGCGAGGTTCTCTGTGCCATGATGTGGGTTGAGGTTTGACATATCCCAGGAATTTGGGCTGTGGGAAGGAAGGAGCCAGCTTAGCTGAGTGCTTGCTATGGCCAGGCACACGGAGGGAAGTGAGAGGGGCTATGTGTTCCTACCACCTTCCAGGATCCTTTATTTCAATCTGCTAAAATGACTTATTTTTTGAAATACATAATAATTTCATAAAGTAGTCAGTGGGGAAAAATAAGAAAACCTTCTATACAAATATTCAGCAACTTTTGAAAATGAAAAAAATCAAGTAATGACCCACCCACAGAAACTATCCCAGCCATCCCTTCCCCCATTCTCACATCTCACTCTTTGTGCAACTGTGGAGGCCCTCACAGAGCCAAATGCCCCCACTAAGCTTTCAGGAAGGGCAAGAGCCAAGTAGCTTCACATATCACAACTGCAGACACTGGAAGTTTGGGAGTACTTGAGTCTGAGTTCAGAAGCTGGGGAGCAGTCTCTGACCTGAATCTCCTAGTGGGGAATGGTAGGTGTCGTTCCCCAGGATCCTGATTTTTTATCGATGAAGTCTGGGGATTTGGGGCCTGCTTCTCACCTCTTGACTTAGTATTAATGTAAAAGGACAGCAGTCCACCCTGCCCTTTCTCTACCCTTGTGCATACTCTAGAACAGTAGGAACATAGACATTCCAGTGCTGTGGGTGTATTGGTGTGGAGCTGTCAGGGAAGTGGCTCTGGGCCTTGTTCATCTCCTTCCCCCCAAATAAAGGTGTTCATCAGTGACCTACCTTCCTTTCTGTTTCAACCCCAGTAACCCTGCAAACATCTCAGTGGGTGATGCAGGTGGATGAATGTATGTGCAGGAACCTCAACTACCTCCTGCTGGGCACTGTAGACCTATGTGAGGTGGGGAGGGTGAAGAGTCCCCTTTCTCATCTCTTGCTTCCCCCAACAGGTGGATTCTGGAGTGTGGGGTTGGAGGCAGAGGAAAGGTCTCACCAGACCTAAGGTCTTACCAGAGCTAAGAGGAAAAGGAGGACATTCCATTTTCAAGCTTGAACAAGACATCTTTATAGATCTCCAAGTGGCACTCTGGTCACTCTTCAGCTTCAAGATGAGAATTACATTCAAAGCCAAGAATAGAAAAATTGCCTTGTCTTACTCTGCTCAGGGTTCCACAAAAAAAGCCATAGACTGGATAGCTTAAACAACAGGAATTATTGCCTCACAGTTCTGAAGCCTGGAAGTTTGAGATCAGAGTGCCAGCACGGTCGGTTCCTGTTGAGGGCTCTCTTTCTAGCTTACAGATGGCCACCTTCTTGCTATGTTCTCACATGATGTTTGTAGTATTAATTTGTCTGGGAGCAAATTTTGAACTGGGCCATGAGGTTTCCCTACCAGTGGGAATCTTCTCAAGGGAATGCTCCTCACAGAGTCATTCTTGATGATTTCATGCAAGACAAAGGGATCACCTGCCCTTCCATGGTGGAAGTGCTCATGGTGCAGCCACACAGAGCCTGGAGAAAAATGGGACAGAGAGTGACAGAAAGCTTGATAGGTGCTTGAGTGGGAAAAAAAAAAAAAAAAAAAAAAGGAAAAGGGATGGAAAGGAGAAAGAATGAAGCAGATGGAAAGGAACAGGAATGTTCCCATCATACTTAATCATGGCTCCCAAACACACACAACCCAATCCAAGCCCCAGGACTTTTTGCCTGATCAGGTTAACATGGAACACTTTGGTGCCATTCCAACAGAAGTGTGAATAGGTTTATCTTTGAACACAAAGTGATATCTGCATAGATGTTGTCAGACAAGGCAATGCCCTGCTTAGGGAAGCCATGCTGGATGACAATATCCTCTCGATCCCAACAGTTTTCCCATCAGGGTTGGGTCACCACTTTGTGACCTTCGTGCACTTGGAGGAGCCATGATAGATTTATTCCAGAGATACCTGCACCATTTGAACCACAGGTCAGTCCTGACCCTTCTGCCAAGAAAACAGAGGTCCTGGTACTCGCTGTGGATCTCCACCTAGCTCATTGAGGAAGCATGGCCAAAGGCACCAATAGTTCCTCATTCTTATCCATATCCATGTCATCTGGAACAAAGCTGTTGAAGGGCTAAATGAGCTGACCATTCATGAAGAAGATTTTGAAGGGGCTGATGCCCCTAATGAACAAGGCAAAGGTGGAATCCACATGAATATGTAATGAAAGAAGCCACTGAAGCCATCTGATGTACAAACGCTGCTCTCTACACCTAGAGGGGTGGAGAAGTTAGGGGGACTGTGGCTCATCCTGGCTCCATTCTACGCTCTTGATCACAGTCCCAGAAAAGCAAACTTTGGCTCCTATACAGTAAGGTGAGCTTAGAGGGCAAGCCTAAAGCCCTGGGAAATTCATTTCTGCTTTTAATAATCTACTTAATAATACTGCACATCCATCATTGTATCTGATTATATCAACCTGAAGTTCAGAGAGACTCAGTCACCCATTAGGTGGAAAAGGCTTAGAGAAAGGGAATGAGACGCCCTGCCAGTGATCTCTTTCATGTGTCTGAGGCTCAACAAACTCTCACAAAAGGGAAGTTTGTAGCTTGAATGAGCTCAGGGACTGGCCTTGGGTCACATGGAAAGCATTCCTGGATCTCATATATTTGCATATCTCCATAAACACATAGGGAGTGAAGCAGTCAAGCTGGATTTCCATACTCATGGGCCCTGGTATGAGACCTGCCCCAAATGGAGAGGGGGAAGTGTCCAAAAGAGACCACCCAGTCTTGCTCTGCTTCCAACACTGTGTTTCTCCTCTCCTTCCCCAATCTTGCCCATATGGGAAAATAGAAGAGCCTAAACAAACAGAAAAGCTCATTGGCTAAATAATGGTGGGGGAGACGAGAACATATTGACTGGAAACATTTTCAAATGCCTTATGTTCATAATCAGAGCTCACAGTGTGGCAGGAACTGAGAGACCATCATTCACCTTGTACAAAGTTCGCTTCAGGAGGTGCTGGTGTCTTTTAACTCAACAGGAATAGGAATTTCTGGAGTTATATAATGCCAAGCCCTACACTCCATGCCTAATGTCAGGACAATGAAAATGCATGAGTGGCTAGATGCCTGTTATGCATTCCTATCCAGGCTCTCATATGGGAGGAGAATTTAGCTAAGTGTTCCTGAAACAGGAGATGAGGCTGAAATTGGTGTGTGTTGAAAGAGGAGAAGTTGCCCAAGCTTATCAGGGGCTCCAGGGACTTGAAGAAAGGAATGTGGAGGAGATAGGCTTAAAAAGCATCAGTGTCCTGCATGGAAGTGCCTAATGTTACAGCAGGACTTCTGATGGGTACGCTGGAGTAGTTGCTGGAGGACAAAATAATCATCCTAGTTTTGAGGGCTACGAAAAAGAGGCTGGTGCCCACATTCGGTACAGAGACTGTAAAGTTACTCACCTTTTAGTGGACCAAATGGCTTGCACTATGAATTCCCAGTAGCAACAATAATGGAACAAAGACCAGAAGATCCTTCCCAAGTATTTTACTGAGGCATATATTTTGCTAAAGAAAGTTTACTACCACAATGGTGTCTGGTATGAGGTGTATTCTCATCCTAGTAAATAGTAGAGACTGATAGAATTCAATTTTGAAAATTTATATGCTCTCTCACCTCAGCATTGTCAAACAAATTTATGCTTTTCTATTTATTGTATCATTTAATATTTACAACTCTTTGAGGTAGTAAGTGCCATTTATCTTTTTTAAACAGAAGAGAAAATGAGTCACAGAGAGGTAAATATATATTTAGCAGGCTAGCATAGAAGGAGCCAGCAATGGAGAAGACATTTTTTATTATTTGAATGCAAGTGAAAAAAAAAAAACACAATTCAACTGCTTTTTGTTTTGTTTTGTTTTGTTTTTCTGTTTTTTTGATGAAGTCTTGCTCTGTCACCAGGCTGGAGTGCAGTAGTGTGATCTCAGCCCACTGCAACCTCCACCTCCTGGGTTCAAGCAATTCTCCTGCCTCAGCCTCCCAAGTACTGGGACTACAGGTGTGCACCACCATGCCGGGCTAATTTTTGTATTTTTAGTAGAGACAGGGTTTCACCATGGTGGCCAGGATGGTCTTGATCTCTTGACCTCGTGTTCCACCCACCTCGGCCTCCCAAAGTGCTGGGATTACAGGCGTGAGCCACCGGGCCTGGCCTAATTCAACTGCTTTAAACAACAAAAGTGAAAATAAGTATTGACTCTGTGAATGACAAATCTGGGATGAGGGCTGCATTTGGGACTCAAGGTTGTTGCAGAGGCTCAAATGATGTTCTCGGGGTTCAGTTTCCCTCTAACTTGGCTCTATTCTGTTGTATTTCTTCATCAGCAGGTTTCATAAATGGAAGCACATCTGCCAGCAAGCTCAGAGTGAGATTCTCTTAGATGCAAATGCAGCTGAAAATGCATTGCCTCTTTCACAAGAGTCCCTGCAAACATCTTATTGTTTCTGCTTGGCTCCAGGTGGGCCACATGCCCCTCACTAAAATAGTCACAGGGCATGGAATATACTTCTTTTGACTGGACTGAGTCACATACTCACTACATGTTGACTGAGACTGAAGAATCAAGGTACTTTCCCTGGAAATTATTTTTGTTTGGCAGGGATATAATTGGCCTTCACTGTATCTCAATGAGCTAAACTCTTCTTTGATGACTACAAAATTTTTACTTGATTTGAGTTCAAAATAGGCATAATGACATAAAAACAAAAGACTAGCAATCCACATTATCTCCTATCTGTCACCCAGTGGAAAACAGATCTCCGTAATCTATTAATCCATTTATACAGGTCACCGGATGGTCAAGAGCATGAAACCAAATTCCCAATCATTGCTGCCGCCAATGGGGAATAACTTTTCATCTGTAAACAAACCAAAACATCAAAAACAAAACCCAAAATTAATAGAAGGAGGATAATCTACATAAACAGAGACTGAGCAAAATTAAAGTTCTATTGTTGCTTGAGACTCACGTCTACAAGTCAAGAAAAGACATGCTGGGCTAAGCTGCCCACAAACCGCACTTCTCTGTCAATGAAGTTTACCTGGCTCGGTCAAGTGACTCCATCACTCACCTCCATGAATGACTTCCAAAACTATTTAAAAAACAAAAGATTATTTTTGAAAGAAGGTATAATCTTTTTTTTTTTTTTTTTTTTTTTAAGACGGGGTCTCATTCCAGCCCAGGCTGAAGTAGTGCAATGGCATGATCAGGTCAGGGCTCACTGCAGCCTCGACCTTCTGGGTTCAAGTGATGCTCCCACCTCAGCCTCCCAAGACGCTGGGGCTACATGTGTGCACCATCACACCTGGCTAATTTTTGTATTTTTTGTAGAGACTGGTTTTGCCATGTTGCTCAGGCTGGTCTGGAACTCCTGGACTGAAGCAATCCGCCCGCCTTGGCCTCCCAAAGTGGTGGGATTACAGGCATAAGCCACTGTGCCCAGCTGAAAATATATTTTTAAAACATAAATGTAAATTTATTATTTTAAAACATTTTGGCAAACAGGAAACGTCCTTAACTAGGAAAGAGTTATAGGCCAAAAATGCATGTTAAATACTCAATAGGGAATTTTAAAGATATCTTTCTTAGGACTTGGCTACAAGACAAAAATACACAGTTTAAGAAAAAAATTTCTTTTAAGAAAAATCCACTTGGAAATTTGACTGGAAGTTCATTACATTCGTGTATTAATTTGGGGAGTAATCACAGTTTCATAATATGAAGTCAACCCAACCAAGAGTGTGGAAACTTCTGCATTTATTCAGGTTTGTTCCATGCCTTTTAGTAAAGTTTTACCTTTTTCCTCACAGAGGTATTATAAATTTTTATCAATTCTTAGATATTTTACTAATTTTGTTGCTACTATGATTTTTTTTATTATACTTTAAGTTTTAGGGTACATGTGCACAACGTGCAGGTTTGTTACATATGTATACATGTGCCATGTTGGTGTGCTGCACCCAGTAACTCGTCATTTAACTTTAGGTATATCTCCTAATGCTATCCCTCCCCGCTCCCCCCACCCCAAACAGGCCCCAGTGTGTGATGTTCCCCTTCCTGTGTCCATGTGTTCTTATTGTTCAGTTCCCACCTATGAGTGAGAACATGTGGTGTTTGGTTTTTTGTCCTTGCGATAGTTTGCTGAGAATGGTGGCTTCCAGCTTCATCCATGTCCCTACAAAGGACATGAACTCATCATTTTTTATGACTGCATAGTATTCCATGGTGTATATGTGCCACATTTTCTTAATCCAGTCTATCATTGTTGGACATTTGGGTTGGTTCTAAGTCTTTGCTATTGTGAATAGTGCCGCAATAAACATACGTGTGCATGTGTCTTTATAGCAGCATGATTTATAATCCTTTGGGTATATACCCAGTAATGGGATGGCTGGGTCAAATGGTATTTCTAGCTCTAGATCCCTGAGGAATCGCCACACTGACTTCCACAATGGTTGAACTAGTTTACAGTCCCACCAACAGTGTAAAAGTGTTCCTATTTCTCCACATCCTCTCCAGCACCTGTTGTTTCCTGACTTTTTAATGATCGCCATTCTAACTGGTGTGAGATGGTATCTCACTGTGGTTTTGATTTGCATTTCTCTGATGGCCAGTGATGATGAGCATTTTTTCATGTGTCTTTTGGCTGCATAAATGTCTTCTTTTGAGAAGTGTCTGTTCATATCCTTCGCCCACTTTTTGATGGGGTTGTTTGCTTTTTTCTTGTAAATTTGTTGGAATTCATTGTAGATTCTGGATATTAGCCCTTTGTCAGATGAGTAGATTGCAAAAAGTTTCTCCCATTCTGTAGGTTGCCTGTTCACTCTGATAGTAGTTTCTTTTGCTGTGCAGAAGTTCTTTAGTTTAGTTAGATCCCATTTGTCAATTTTGGCTTTTGTTGCCATTGCTTTTGGTTTTAGACATGAAGTCCTTGCCCATGCCTATGTCCTGAATGGTATTGCCTAGGTTTTCTTCTAGGGTTTTTATGGTTTTAGGTCTAACATTTAAGTCTTTAATCCATCTTGAATTAATTTTTGTATAAGGTGTAAGGAAGGGATCCAGTTTCAGCTTTCTACATATGGCTAGCCAGTTTTCCCAGCACCATTTATTAAATAGGGAATCCTTTCCCCATTTCTTGTTTTTTTCAAGTTTGTCAAAGATCAGATGGTGGTAGATATGCGGCATTATTTCTGAGGGCTCTGTTCTGTTCCATTGGTCTATATCTCTGTTTTGGTACCAGTACCATGCTGTTTTGGTTACTGTAGCCTTGTAGTATAGTTTGAAGTCAGGTAGTGTGATGCCTCCAGCTTTGTTCTTTTGGCTTAGGATTGACTTGGCGATGCGGGCTCTTTTTTGGTTCCACATTAACTTTAAAGTAGTTTTTTCCAATTCTGTGAAGAAAGTCATTGGTAGCTTGATGGGGATGGCACTACCTATAAATTATAAGAGTTTTATTCCTTTTATACATTACCTATAAATTATAAGAGTTTTATTCCTTTTTTCTAAGTCATATATTCATTTTTTTCTGATCTATTAGGATTGGCCAGGACTTTGACCAGGGTATGGCCTTTTGTTTTGGAGGGCAATCTGGCCAATATCTTTAAAAATAATAATAATAGCTTTAGTGAGATATAATTTATATGCCACATATTCATTCATTGAAAGTGTACAATTCAATGGTTTATAGTATATTCACAGAGTTGTGCAAACATAACTACAATTAAAATGATTAATTTGATTACTTCAAAATTAAAAACTTCATTTCCCTGAAGAACACTATGGGCAAAGTTCAAAAACACTGATGGGGGTCGGGCTCTGTGCCTCACACTTGTAATCCCAGCACTTCGAGAGACCAAGGCAGGAGGCTTCCTTGAGGCCAGGAGTTCAAGACCATCCTGGGCAACATAGCAAGAGCTTACCTCTATAAAAACTTAAAAATTAGCCAAGCACGGTGGCATGTACCTGTCTTCCTAGCTAATCGGGAGGCTGAGGCAGGAGGATTGCTTAAGCCCAGGAGTTCAAGATTGCAGTGAGCTATTATCACACCACTGCACTATAGTCTGGGAAACAGCAAGATCCTGACTCAAAAAAAAAAAAAAAAAAAAACTGATGGATCGAGAGATGTTTTCAATATCTAAAACCAAAAAGAGACATACATAGAAAACAAGTAATTCCTATAAATCCAAAAAAAGACAGGAAACACAATTGGGTAAAAAATATAACAAGCAAGCTACATAAAATTAAGCACAAAAACGTTAAGAAATGTAAGAAGAAATAATCAAACCCATTTGTGGTTAATCAAATGCAAAATAACCAAGCATGGTGGCTCACACCTATAATCCCAGCAGTTCGGTGAGCTGAGGTGGGAGGATTGTTTGAGGCCAGAAGTTCAAGACCAGCCTAGGAAACATGGCAAGACTCTGCCTCTACAAAAAATATTTTTTTAACTAGCTGGGTGTGGTGGCATGTGCTGTTGTCCCAGCTACTCGGGAGGCTGATGCAGGAAGATCATTTGAGCCAAGGAATGCAAGGTTAGAGCGAGCTATGATTGTGTCACTGCAGTCCAGCCTAGGTGAGAGAGTGAGACTCTGTCTCTTAAAAAAAAAAAAAAAAAAAAAAGATAGAAGAAAGAAAGATAAGGTGGCTCACGTCTGTAATCTCAGCACTTTGGGAGGCTGAGGCAGGCAGATCACCTGAACTCAGGAGTTTGAGACCAGCCTGGCCAACATGGTGAGACCCTGTCTTTACTAAAAATACAAAAATTAGCCAGATATGGTGACGGGTGCCTGTAATCCCAGCTACACAGGAGGCTGAGACAGGAGAATAGCTTGAACCTAGGAGGCAGAGGTTGCAATGAGCCAAGGTCTTGCCACTCCCCTCCAGTCTGGATGACAGAGCCAGACTCTGTCTCAAAAAAAAAAAAAAAAGAAAAGAGAAGAAAAAAGAAAGATAAAACAACAAAGAGACATCACTCTATGCTATCAGATTGTTAAAAATTTGAAGCCTGGACAATGTAAATGTTGGCAGTTATATGGGATATAAGGGCTTTTTGGAACTCCTGGTAGGAGCATGGATTTGTGCAATCATTCTAGAGATATATCTGCCAATATGTTTTGAAAGTAAGTATACAGATTGCTAGCACATGGCATATATTCTCAGTCTCACACAAGTTCTTGAGGGAGCATGCACAAAGTTCATCACTGTGTCATTTATAGTAGAGAGTTGGGAGAAACCTAAATGTATATCATTAGGAAGAATGGATAAATGAAATGTTTTAGAATACTAGGCAGCAATCAGAAGTGATGAGCTGCATAAATATATGGCAACATGAATGATCTTGACAAGATCAATTCAAGATGATAATACATCAAGAACTATCATTATAAGCACAATCTTAAGAAGTACATAGATCAATATAAAAACAAGTAGCTCAGATAGTTCCTTGCTTGCCTCCAGGGAAGGTAGTAGAGGTGACAGTGTGACTGGTCCAGGGAACTGCTACTGGGGGTTATAATGCCTTTGGTAGTATTTGATTTTTTTAACCTTTATTAAAAATATTTATGAAGCATTTGTAAAGAAAATCATCCATAAGAGGGAAAAGTGTGTTTCCTGTGAGTCCTTGGCCAGCTCCCTTAGGGAATGATTTCTTCCTCCACTGAGCCCCAGGAAGACCGTGCATGGCTCTGTTCGAGTGCTCTTCACATTTCACAGTGATGGTTAGCTCCTGCTGAGCTTGCCTGCCCGGGTGGATCCCGCTCCCTAGCTCAGCTGACTTCACCTGGCACCTAAAGCAGCCTAGTCTGATAGGATGTGAAGGGCAACCTCCACATGAGAAAAATCAGTCTCTCCAGGTCTAATTATAAACAGACCTTGAATCAACCCCTGGGAGAGGAGAGGGCTGCCATGCCACTTGCCAGTCCCCTCCCTCCTACCCCACCCCATGTGGGTGGGGAGCCTGATGGGTTTGATTTCTACACAGATTCCTTGCTCCACTCCCCACTGAGGGGCCTTGCTATGATTACAGCTTATTTCTGGACCCTCAAACTTCGTAGTTAGTATCTTTCACTCTTATCTAGCTTGTCTGAATCTTCAGGGTGGACTGTGCTTCTGACAATCTTTCTTCCACTCCTCCTTCTGCCCCAGCAGCTCACTGGTATCTGCATACATGTACCTCACAGTCCTGGCAGAACCTGAGACACTGGCATTCCTCTGAGAATGAAACTCCTCCTTGCGTAGAGCTCAGAAGTCCCCAGCACCACATCCTACCCAGGCCTTTTCATCTTAAATCTCATAGATATTTATTCTAGGCTAGAGTTGACTCTAATTTACCCATTTCCTAGGAATGTGTCCATTAATACCATCAGCAAAAGGGCTGACACGGCTGGGCATGGTGTCTTGTGCCTGTAATTCCAGCACTTTGGGAGGCCAAGGTGAGAGAGTTGCTTGAGCCCAGGAGTTCAAAACGGGCCTGGATGACAGTGAAACCCCATCTCTAAAAACAAAATTTTAAAGAAAAAGGGCTGACTCTTTCTTTTTTTCCTTTTTGTCCAAATACTGTGTTTACTTCTACAGCCCTGGTACTAAGTCAAGTGGCTAGACCATTTTAGCAAATATTTGCTATTGGATGTTAACTAAATTAGTTCTTCTCAGTTAAAACCTTGTACCCTGCTCAGCTGTCTCCTTCTTCCTGTCTCCTCTAGATGACCACCATTTTTCAGTTGTTCCAGTCATAAGAGAAACAATTCATTTGCAGTTTTGCCTCCAACATTCTTGACTGTGAGATCCTAGAGTTTTCTATTTATTTTTGTCTCTCTCAGTGCCTAGTTCAAAACACAGGACATAGAAGGTGCTCAACAAATTTTTACTGAATAAATAAATGAAATGAAAGTTTGAATGAATAAATGAATCTGTTTCTCAGAAGCTCAATAGAGCCTACAAATGCACTTTTCCATCCATTAAATATTAATGTAGAAGCCAGCAAAGTTTCCCGTAAGAACTGTTATCCCTTCTTTAGGAAGCTTTAGCTGTCTCATGACAATGTAAAAAAAAAAGGATAAGATTGTTTACTATAAGTTGCTTGGGAATTCCATACACTCATCAGTGTCAAACAGAGGAAATGTGCAGTTTTCCAAACTCATTATGACTGAAAATCAGCTTTAATCAGTATATCAGCATTGCTATATGTAACTGTAATTTTTAAAGACCCCCTTCAGGTGGTAAAAGCACTCTATCAAAGAGGCCTCAGCTCACTACTCTCCTTAAAATTGACACCCTCATACACCCTAATGCCATGCCCCAACTCTCTGTTACCTTTCCTTCTCTGCTTTTCTCTGTAGCACTCGCTACAGTCAAGGAAACTCACCTAGTGCCCCAGGAAAATCAGAGACTTTCTGTAGTGATGGACATATTCTGTAGTGATGGACATATTCTATATCTTGCCATGGTAATGGCAACATAGGTATATACACTGTTAAAAATCTTGACCTGCTAAAATTTGTGCATTCTAGTGTATATAAATTATACTTGAATAAAGTTCTCAGAATTAGGAAATTAAAGAGCTATAAACATAAAATTATGCAATTTTTTTATATTATATACTGCAATAAAACATTTTTTAAAGATGAATGCCTCAAATCTCTGACTATGGTTAGTTATAAACTGAATGCCTGTGGCCCCCAAAATTCACATGTTGAAACCCTAATCCCAGTATGTATGATTGTATTTGGAGATGGGGTCTCTAAGAATATAATTAAGAGTAAATGAAATCATAAGAATGAGCCCTGCTCTAATAGAATTTGTGTCCTTATAACAAGAGACGCCAGGGAGCTGTCTCTTCACCTATGCATAAAGAAGTCAGGTGAGCACAAGGAGAGATGGCGGCCATCTACAAGCCAAGAGAGAGGCCTCAGAATGAAACCTACTTTGCTAGTACTTTAATTCTGGACTTCCCAGCCTCCAGAACTATGAGAAATAAATTTCTGTTGTTTAAAAGGCTATTCAGTCTGTGGTGTTTTGTTACGGGAGCTATATTAGTCCGTTCTCACACTGCTAATAAAGACATACCTGAGACTGGGTAATTTATAAAGGAAAGAGGTTTAATTGACACACAGTTTAGCATGGCTAGGGAGGCCTCAGGAAAGTTACACTCATGGCTGAAGGGGAAGCAAACAAGCAGCAAGGAGAAGTGCTGATCAAAAGGGGGAAAAGCCCCTTATAAAACCATCAGATCTCAGGAGAACTCACTGACCTATCACAAGAACAGCATAAGGGTAACCACCCCTATGATTCAATTACCTCCCACCAGGTCCCTCCCACAACATGTGGGGATTATGGGAACTACAATTCAAGATGAGATTTGGATGGGGACACAGTTAAACCATATCAGAAGCCAAGCAGACTAATAGAGCAGTGTAATCAACTGACAGCCCCAGCTACTGCCCACTCTGAAGTTCATCACTTTATTAGAGCCAAGGCCACTTTCCCTGCCTGCTGCTCCTCACCAGTCATTGAACATGGCAGGAACGCTAAATCCCGGAAGAGGTGGGATTCCTCTGATGAGCCATTTGGGCTTCAAGACTCCACATCAGCCTTATCAAAACTTTGTTAGAACTATGCTACAGTCTTAAGATTTTTCCTTTTCTCTCTCCTCCACAGTAGTCAATCTGGCATTCCGGTCTGACAGCTCTCCCAAGCAACTTCAGCTCCTTCATATTTTTTCTCTGACAAGCATTTCCCCCAATAAATCTCCTGCATGTATAACACCATCAAGACATTTGCTTCCCAAAAGACCCAAGATAACATAGCTCCCTAAAAAAGGAAAAGAGATCAAATCAATAAGTTAGGTGCCAGGGGAAACAAATAAGCTGTCAGTTAACAAGAACAATTAGAATAGTTAAGAAAATTGAAACAGTGACTACTTATATGACAAACTCGCCTGACTATTTACTGGTGTAAAACTGGTGTTAACTGTGCTATCCAAGGGAATTGAGCTTTCTTTGAAATCACTGACTTAACTTCAGTTTGTTGAAAACTCCTAGCCACTCTCAAAGTACTTCCAGTTTTGGCTTCTCACCACACCTCTACTCAAATCTTGAACAAGCCAAAATAAATTATTGTTCTTAGTCATTGTTTATTGTCAAGGATATGCTAATAAGATTGTTGGAGAAAATCAGGTCACAGAGATCATGAAGCTGGACATTAAGCTACCAAAGACTTTGAGGGACTGGCTGTGTCTGGATAGCTCTGGAAACATCTCACCTTTATTTAATTACTTAAAGTAATTCAGTTCATCACCCTGCTTCAGGCAGGAACACAGTGTATAGCAACAGCACTTAATCTCATCGTTCCCTGCCCATGACTCCTTCCTGCAGGGTTAGTTCGAATGATGGAGGATGTTCTGTCATTACCCATGTGCAGCAGTGACTTTATGATCACAGGGGTGTGGCTTGAGATTGGTCAACAAGTCATAAATTTTCTACCTCTAAGATCTCTGGACATTCCTGTCTGAGGAGCGATGTTGTGTGGAACGCTTTGTGCTTCCCAAGCACTAGGACAGAAAATGCAAAATAACTTGGATTATCTTCTTCTCTAAGTGGTCCCGTCTTCCAATTTAGAACTGCAGTTTGTTTTTTAGTGGTTGTTTTCATAAAAACAAAAGAAAGCGACTCAAGGATCCATAGGTTTTGTTTGTCCAGAAAAAGAGAAACTCTATTTTGGTTCAGGCCTGCTCTCTATAATAGATGCTTACTCTCTGACTTTATCACGAGTAAGTCATATTTTACTTCCCTAGTCCATTCACCCTCTCATTCCTCTAACCTCTAACCTCAAACTCTAACACCTCAAACCTCTAACACCTCCTGCCTACCTCTGCTCACAGCTCAAGATGTTGCTTCCAAATCCCCTAAGAACATCACAGCAATCAGCAGAGAATATCCACCCATCACAAATGCATGTATTTACCAGCATCCGTACATATACTCTGCCTTCCTAACCATTACTTTAGATGGACGACAGTCCACCTTTCTAGCTAACGCCAGCTGCCCTTGTACACACATGCATTCTCAAGGCTATCAGGAATGGCATTTCTTTGTTCTCTCCTACATGAATAATTTTCCCATTGCTACTAGGTCATTCTCTTCAGCATACAGACAGGCTATTGTTTAGCCAGTCTCTAAAAATGACAACAACAATAACAACCACATCATCATCAACAACAACTAAAGAATTTTACTCCTCCCACTTCCAGAAACTGCCTCATATATCTGCTTTCCTTCCAAACAAAACAATGCCTCAGAAAAACAGGCTATATTTGTTATCTCTAATTCCTCTCCTCCCATTCTCTCTCCAGTGAGGCTTCCTCCCACATCACCACCAACATTGCTCTTCTCAAGGTCAACAATGACCACAGCATTGCTAAATCTAAGGTTGATTCTCAGTCCTCATCTTATTGACCCAAAGACAGCATTTGACACCATTGAACACTCCCTTATCCTTGACGCACATTTTTCACTTGACTTCCAGGTTACCACACACCGCTGGTTCCCTCCCACCTCCTGGTTGCTTCTCAGTCTCCTCTGCTGAGTCCTCTTCTTCTCCCTCCTGGAGACACAGGACACAGTCTTGCATCTGTTTTCCTGTCTGTCAACACTCACTCTCTTGTTGACCTCATCCAGCATTCACAGCTTTGAGTAACATATATCTCAAGGATTCCCAAGTTTACATCTTCACCCTAGACCTCTCCCTGGAACTCCAGACTCTTATATCCACCCTCCTGCTTCACACATGCACTTGAATGTCTCATAGAAATCTGAAACTGAACATGTCAAAAGCCAAAGTCCTGACCTTCCTCATCTCAATGAATGAAAATCTCCTCCATCTAGCTGCTCAGACCAAAAATCCTGTGTCTTCTCTCTTTCTCTTACTCATTCAATTTATTCTAAATTTCTGTTGACTCTATCCTCAAAATATATCCAGAATCTGACTGCTTCTCAACACTTCTACTGGTGCTGGTCCAAGCCACTGTCATCTGTCCCTGGAATTATCACAGAAGACTTCTAACTAGTCTTCCTACTTTCACCCTTGCCTCTCTAGAACCAATTTTCAACATGGCAGCAAATTATTTTTAAAAGGCAGTCAAATAATGTCATCTTCATGCTCAAAACTTTCCAGTGGCTCCCACTTCTCTCAAACAAAAGACAAAGACAGAATCTGGCCACTTCTCTGTTCTGATCTCTCACTAACCACCTTCACTCACCTTACTCCAGCCATAGTGATCTCCTTACTTTTCCTCAAATCAGCATGGTTTGCTTCTACTCCAGGGCATTGGCACTGGTTGTTCTCACTGCCTGAAATGCTATTCCCCTAGATAGTCTTCCAAACACCCATCTTTTCCTTTCTATGCTTCAGTTTCCTCAATGGTCAACTGATAAACTTGAGGTAACAAGATGACCCAACTCATATGTGTGTAAGCCAGACCCTTTTGACATCAGTGGAATCACACTATGTGTATTATGCTATAACTCTCTTTCCAACTTTAAAATATGTCCTTGAAATGCCACATTTTACTCATATGATCTTTCTTACTTTTAAACCATATTTATTTCACCTGTTGCAATGTATTCCACAATATAGATATATAATACTTTATTTATAAGGATGCTTAGATTATAATCTATTTTTCTCAAACTAAAACAATTCTACAAGACCCTTTTGTGCATAGGTGCAAGTGTTTCTTTAGCAAGAATACCTAAAAGTGGAGTTGTTGGGTTAAGGCATAAGCACATTCCTAAAATGGAGGCTAAGAAAATGCCTCCACAAAGATCATGCCCTTTTACATACTTAGGCATTTCTCTGCATCTTTTCCACCATTGGATATTAGTAATCTTTAGTTTCTGCCAATCAAAAGAGCAAATCTATCACTCCCCAACGATGTGAAATGTCATCTTTATCATATTTCAAGTTACTATATGTATTCAAACACCATATCTTACCCTTTTGATGATTTTATGTTTTAAGGCCTAAGAAAAATGACCTCCCATTACTCTTTAAAAAATTTGTTTTTTGCTAGCTATTCTTGCCTGTTTGTGTTTCCGTATATTATTTAGGATTAGACTGTCAAGTTCCAATAAAAATCCTACTGGTAATTTTGGAGGGAGGGGATCATGTCAAATATATCTATTAGGCTGGGCGCGGCAGCTCATGCCTGTAATCCCAGCACTTAGAGAGGCCAAGGTGGGTGGATCATTTGAGGTCAGGAGTTCAAGACCAGCCTGGCCAAGATGGTGAAACCCCGCCTTTACTAAAAATAGAAAAATTAGCCGGGCGTGGTGGCTGTAATCCCAGCTACTCAGGAGGCTGAGGCAGCAGAATCACTTGAACCCAGAAGGTTGGAGGTTGCAGTAAGCCAAGATTGCGCCATTGCACTCCAGCCTTGGAAACACAGCAAGACTCTGTCTCAAAACAAAACAAAACAAAAACAAAAACAAAAAAAAGGATAAGGAGAAGAGACATATTTATGATATTGAATCTCTTGTTTGAAAATATCATGTGCCTTTCTACTTATTTAAGTCTTCTTTTTCCATCCTTTAGAACCACTTTTAAATTTTCTATTGATCCCTCACATTTCTTGCTATTGTAAGTGCCACACTTTCTTCCATTTTGTCATCTAGTGAGCCACATACATGAAGACATATGTTTATTAATTTGTGGCAGCCAGCTAACTAAATTCACAATTTGTGAAAACATTTTAGTTGTTTCTCATGGATTTTCTAGGAAACTAATTGTAATATATTAGTATTTAATCTCCTATTTGATTTTTGGGCATTTTTTTCTCATTGTGCTTGCAAGTACTTTCAGAGTAATCGAGGCATCATTATCAGCAGGAATACGAATGTTTTCAGCGGATGTACGTCACGGTTTCAAGTGCCTACCTTCTGCATCCCTTTCTGGGTTTATACCTACATTATGAGGCTTGGTAGACAAAGGCCACCTCTTCTAAAGAAGGTGAAAATGCTAGATATTTTCCTAGCCTCGACTGCGGCCAGGGTACAGGCACGTGATCTGGGCTTGGCTCATTTAGGTACGCTCACGCCAGGAGTTGGTAATGCAAGAAGGAAGAGCGGATTCTCTCCTTCTTGGGCCAGTTGGAGCAATAATGGCCACACATTTGAGTTCTTGGGGCAGAAGCACAAACAAATGCTTTGGGAGGGACTACCCTTTCACATTTTTTCTATTTCTGCTAGATAGTTGCTCTGCAGATTTTTAAACAATCTATTCATCAATCTTATTCATGTATGGAGTTTTCTTTGGTAGCTCTCGATAGCGTATTATAAATTTCTGGGAAGGAGTCTCAGATAACTTTCATTAAATTTATTGCTAGATGTTTGAAGCTTTAATGATATTGTAAATAATACATTTTAATTATTCTTTTAAAATTTGTTGCAAATATGTGTAGAAATATAATTGACCTATTGTATTTCACTTATTATGTCCAACGGTTTATCTGTACTTTTTTAAAAAAAATTCTACATACATAGTCTTATCATCTG
Source organism: Homo sapiens (assembly GCF_000001405.40). Taxonomy (NCBI): domain Eukaryota; kingdom Metazoa; phylum Chordata; class Mammalia; order Primates; family Hominidae; genus Homo; species Homo sapiens. The sequence goes on from NC_000009.12 coordinate 76,947,400, forward strand.
TGAATAATAAGAGTTCTATTTTTTACCTTCCAATTCTCATAGCTTTAATATTTCTTTTTCTTATTTTGCCACTTAGGGCTTCTAGTACAAAACTGATAAAAGCAATTTTAGTAGGTATCTTTCTCTCATTGCCAGTCTCAGGGGGAAGTCTTGTAATATTTCTCATCAGATATAATATTTGGTTTATTTGCAGGTTTGGGGTGTTGTTCTTTTAGATTTATCAAATTAAAGATTTTTTTCCATTTAAAGTTGTTTTTAAATATAAATAGATTTTGAATTTAAATCAAATGCTCTTCTATATCTACAAAACTGGCCATGATTTCTTTTCTTTATTCTGTTACTCTGGTGAGTTACATTGATTTTTAAAAATTGTTTTAATTGACAAATAATAATTGCATATACTGGGTACAATGTGATGTTTTATATATGTTTACAATGCGGCATGATTAAATCAGGCTAATTAACAAATCCATCACCCCACATACTTTTTTGTGCTGAAAACATTTAGAATCTATTATTTTAGTGATTTTGAAATATACAATGCATTATTATTTATTATGGTCATCATTCCATGCCATAAATAACAAAAGCTTATTCCTCCTATCTGACTGAAACTTTATACCCTTTGATCAACATCTCCCTTTTTCCCATCCACCCTCCTTCCCCAGCCTCTGGTAACCATCATTCCACTCTCTTTTGATGCTAACCCAGTTTCACATTTTCTAAATAAATCACATTTGGTCATGATGTATTATCCTTCTAAGTATCACTAGATTCAATTTGCTATAATTTGCTTAGGATTTTTTGCATCGGTGCTCATGAAAGATGTTAAATTTCTTTTTTTGTAACATTCTTTACAGATTTGGAGATCAAGTTTGTATAAGCATCAAAAACTTGTAAAGCTGTTTCCTTTTTTCTCTTCTCTGGAAGAGCTTGTGTTAAATTTCATGTTATTTCATCCTTTGATGAGGGACAGAATTCACCTATGAATGTGTTCCATCTTGCTCTTTTTTTTTTTTGAGACAGAGTCTCGCTCTGTCACCCAGGCTGGAGTGCAGTGGCACGATCTCAGCTCACTGCAACCTCTGCCTCCCAGGTTCAAGCGATTCTCCTGCCTCAGCCTCCTGAGTAGCTGGGATTACAGGCATGCGCCACCACACCCAGCTAATTTTTGTATTTTTAGTAGAAACAGGGTTTCACCAGGTTGGTCAGGCTGGTCTCAAACTCCTGACCTCGTGATCTGCCCACCTCAACCTCCCAAAGTGCTGGGATTACAGGTGTGAGCCACCATGCCTCGCCCATCTTGCTCTTCTTTAAGAACTTTTCTTTAAAGAAAGGAGTTTTTTATTTGTGGCAAGTTTTTAATTACCTATTCAATCACTTCAACAGACATAGAACTGTGAAGAGTTTACATTTCTTACACAGTTTTAGGTAAGTTCTGGTTTTCTAATAATTTCTCTCCATCTAAATTTTCAAATGTATTGGCTTGAATTTGCTCATGATATTCTTTTGTTGTTGTTTTGGGTTTTTTGTTTGTTTGTTTGTTTTTGAGACAGGATCTCACTCCATCACCCAGGCTGGAGTGCAGTGGCATGATCTCGGCTCACTGTAGCTTTGACCTCCCAGGCTCGAGCTATCCTTCCACCTCAGCCTCCCACCTCAGCCTCCCAAGTAGCTGGGACTAGAGGGATGTGCCACCAAGCCCGGCTAATTTTTGTATATATCGTAGAGACGGGGTTTTTCCATGTTTCCCAGGCTGGGCTTGAACTCCTGAGCTCAAGTGATCCACCCACCTTAGCCTCCTAAAGCACTGGGATTACAGGTGTGAGCCACCACATCTGGCCTACTCATAATATTCCTGAGGAGATGATAAAAATCAGCAGCTTTGGGGATGTTCACAAGGTAGGCTCTCTCCTCTATACTGCCTACCTGACAGGAAGCTGAACTGAAAATATGGCTGGTATCAGTGATTTCTTGTTCAGCCCCAATCCCCTTCGTCTTCATGCAAAGCATGGGGACTGACAAACCCATCCTAGCATTATTGGATTTGTTGGTTTCGCCTCTCAGGTGTAGCCTTACTTCAGAGAACTGTGTTTTAACAGTTTCATTTGAATTCTGCATTCACAGAGTCCTCTTTGCATCTTCCCGCATCCTGTTTACATTTGGATAAATTTGTTAGCTGTTCTCTTACACTGCAATTCAGAGTTACAGATGTGTCTCCCAGATTCATTGAAAATAGTGTTTAAGTTTCTATTTCTCTGGGTTATTATGTTTTGTTTGGGTTGGTTTTGCTTTGGGATAATTTCCAAAAGGAGATGTAGGAAAATGCTATTACATATTTAGTTCACTTTCTAAAATAAGATTAGACAATTGTTACATTCAATAGAATCTGACTATAATACATTGAATGTATAAATATTTGAGAAGAATTATCATTTTCAAAATACTGTATTTTCCAATTCAGGAATATGGTATTTCTCATTTTTTCTTTAGGTCTTCTGTTATGTCTTCCAACAATGTTTTTTAGTATTGTCGTTGTCGTTGTTGCTTTCAGATAGCATGGCACAAATACTTGAAGGTTTATTCATAGCTACTTCTGATTTGTTTTTCTATCAGTAACTGATGGTCTCATTGGTTATGGACATATATGAAAACTCTATTTCATTTTGCATTGTCATCATTTATTCAAGTATTTTTGCAGTAAAGTGTTTATCAGTGTGCCATTTTATGGTCTTGAATCTTCTAGGAAGACAATCATGCTTTCTGCAAATGCAATCATAGTTCCCTCCGCTGTTCCTTTCAAATATTTACCTGCCTGATTTATTTCTGTGTGTTATTCCATTGTCCAATACACACAGTACACGTAGTGGTGATTAGCACCCTTATGCTATTTCCAAGAGAATGCTTTCAGGTGATCCACCCGCCGCGGCCTCCCAAAGTGCTGGGATTACAGATGTGAGCCACCAGACCTGGCCCTCTTCTATATGTTTTAATTATGCATCTTTCAAAGTTTCCTTCTACTTTTTCTTTCCTTAGGTGTAAGTTCTTCTGTTCATTGAGTCATCAGCTGTCTTAAATGGCATTCATTGTTTCTAAACATTTGATGATCCTGAACTGTGGGTTCAGCTTTGAATTTGTGATTCCCTTTCAAATGTGAGCATGTTTGCAGATTTTCTCAGTCTACTTCTGGTGACTAGGAGAAAGAAGCAGGTTGTACAACAAGTTAGGATCCAAGAACAATTTGTTGTCTGTAAAAAGGGCGCTCACTCCTGCCAGGTGTTGCCAATCTTCCAGAGCACAGCCCTAACTCTTCCACCCCAACACTAACAGTCACAGGTGCATCTGTGGACAAGCCCCTCTGCTGCTGAGTGCTTGGCAAAAGTGTGTCAAGAGGCGTCAACACACTTTAACACCAGAATATTGTTTCCCAACTAACCACCCTCCTGGTTACACCAGGGATAGTCCCTCTTTTACCTTCAAGATTTTACCAACCTCACTGCTGCTCTCACCTTTTGCATCCCTCTTCTCCTGGCCATATTCTCTTATCTGCCTTCTCTCTCCTAGTGTGTAGTGATAAGAATGATCACTGTTTTCTGGATTTCAATGCAAGTAAACTCACCTACAAAATACGCCATTAAAACAATTGTGTAGGCTGGGCATGGTGGCTTACGCCTGTAATCCCAGCATCTTGGGAGGCCGAGGCTGGAGGATCACTTAAGGTCAGGAGTTTGAGACCAGCCTGGCCAACATAGTGAAACCCCGTCTCTATTAAAAACACAAAAATTAGCTGGGTGTGGTGGTGCACACCTGCCATCCAAGCTACTTGGGAGGCTGAGGCAGCAGAATCGCTTTAACCTGAGAGGCAGAGGTTGCAATGAGCTGAGATCATGCCACTGCACTACAGCCTGGGTGACAGAGCAAGACTCCCTCTCAAAAAGACAGAAAGAAAAAAGACAATTGTGTTCAGCCATTATGGAAAATGCTCAGCAGCTCAGCAGCAGAAGGGCTTGCCCACAGATGCACCTGTGACAGTGGGTGTTTGAGCGAGAGAGTTAGGGCTGTGCCCTGGAAGACTGGCAACACCTGGCAGGAGTAAGAGCCCTTTTTACAGTATGGAGGGGCCTCAAAAAACTAAAAACAAAATTACCATGTGATCCAGCCACCCCACCTCTGGGTATTACCTGAAAGACTTGAAATCAGTATGTCAAAGAGATGTTTGCCCTCCCATGTTTATTGGAGCATTATTCACAATAGCCAAGATAGGGAACTGACCTATGTGTCCATCAAGTAATGAACAGATAAAGAAAATGTGGTATATATACACAATTAAATATTATTCAACCTTTAAAAAGGAAGAAATTCTACAATTTGTGACAACATGGATAGAATTGAAGAACGTTATGCTAAGTGAAATGAGCCAAACACAGAAAGACAAATACCGCATGTCCTCACTTACATGTGGAGTCTAAAACTATTGAATTCATAGAAGCAGAGAGTAGAATGGTGGTTAACAGAAACTAGGGGGATGGAGAAAATGGGGAGATGACAGTAAAAGAGTACAAACCCTCAGTTGAGCAGAAGGAATAAGTTTGATTTTTTTTAGGTCAGTGGCACAGCATGGTGAATATAGCTAATAAGTGAGTTCTGCACATTTCAATATTGCTAAAAGAGTAAGTTTCTAATGTTTGCATCACAAAAATGTTAGACTTTCAGATATGGATATGTTAATTAGCTTAATTGAATCTTTCCACATTGTATTCAAAAATCATAACACCATTGTGTACCCATAAATATACATAACTGTAATTTGTCAATGTATAATAAAAATAGTCTGCATGCAGTGACTCATGCCTATAATCCCAGCACTTTGGGAGGCCAAGGCGGGCGGATCATCTGAGGTCAGGAGTTCGAGACCAGCCTGGCCTACATGGTGAAACCCTATCTCTACTAAAAATACAAAAATTAGCCAGGTGTGGTGGTGCATGCCTGTAATCCCGGCTACTCAGGAGGCTGAGGCAGAAGAATCGCTTGAACCTGGGAGGCGGAAGTTGCAGTGAGCTGAGATTGCACCACTGCACTCCAGCCTGGGTGACGCAGCAAGACTCCGTCTCAAAAAAAAAAAATAAATAAATAAATAAATAAATGTTTAAAAATTTGTTTTAAACAACTGTACAAACTTAAATAGAAACTGGCATTAGATCAGTGATTCCCAACCAGGTGTGATTTTCCTCCCACTCTAGAAACATTTTTGGTTGCCATGATGAAAGGTGTGCTGTTAGCATCTGGTAGTAAAGACCAGGATGCTCCTAAACTTTCTACAGTGCACAGAACAGCCCCCAACAACAGAGAATTATCTGGCCTCAAATTTCATATTGCCAAAGTTGAGAAACCCTATATTGGATGATATTAAGAAATTATTAATTTTATAAGGTATGATGACAGCATAGTGGTCAGGGTTTTTTAAAAGTTCTTATTGGTTAGAACTGCATATTTAAGCATTCAAGAATAAAAAAGCATGATGTCTGAGATTTGATCTAAAATTCTTAAAAAAATAGAAGGGGATAAATTCAATAAGATGGGGGAAAATGTTCATTTTTGAAGCTGAGTAATAATTACAGGTGTGTTTATTATATTAGTCTCTACTTTTATGTTTGACATTATCTGTAATATAAAGCTAAAATATTTGAATTATTTTTAAAAGCAAGACATTTCTGGCATTTTTACAATCTATGTGTTTCTTAAAAATACAAAATAAAATAGATATTATTTAAATTGCAATAATTTTATTAAAATGCTGGGGTTGGGCAGGGTGGCTCATGCTGTAATCCCAGCACTTTGGGAGGCTGAGATGGGTGGATTACCTGAGGTCAAGAGTACCTGGCCAACATGGCGAAAGCCTGTCTCTACTAAAAATACAAAAATTAGCAGGGCATGGTGGCAGGCGCCTGTATCCCAGCTACTCGGGAGACTGAGGGAGAGAGAATTGCTTGAACCTGGGAGATGAAGATTGCAGTGAGCCGAGATGGCGCCACTGTACTCCAGCCTGGGCAACAGAGTGAGGCTACATCTCAAAAAATTAAAATAATAATAATTTTTAAAAGACACTGAGTTTAAGGGCTTGGGGGTCAGAGACATCTCAAATGGAGTTCCTCTGTGCCTCTTGATATCTGAGCAGGAAACACAGAGTGTTTTGGGTGAAGGCAAGATATTAATAAAGGTATGTCATGAGAAAATGAGGAGACCACCCTAACTAGTAGATTGGGATGCAAAATGAGTGAAAATAGGACTAGAATAAGGCAAGCCCAGGCTAGGAGCTACTTAAAAGGCAGGCAGAGAAGTGAAATTTTGCTATGATAGAAAATAGAGCACTGTAGTTTAAGGGGCAGATTAATTTTCCGGAAGTAGTCTGCATGAGGATTTTTGGAGAAAAATATTCAATACACAATAATTATCCTATTAGGTCTAAATTAACAATTATGATCATATTAGGAGAAAATATTTATGATATTATTTTTGTCATGCAGCTAACACAATTATTCCTGGCTATTGATGACAATGGGAGAAATGAAAGGTGATGTGGATAAAATCCAGGGACAAGGAGAAGGACTGGCTTTGGCTGCAAGGGCAGGAGGTGAAGGTGGGTGCAACTGTAAGTCAGGCTGCAGGTTCTGATGAGCAGGGACACTAAGGGTCTCTAAGTCTGAGGATGAGTTATCAGCTAAGACTAATGATGGAAGAAGGGCCATTGGACCCGTAAAAGAAGAAAAAAAATAATTCCAGGAAGAAGCCCACTAAGTAGGATTAATGCCGATTTGAGGCTTAGGAATAAACTTAAGCCTCAAATTGGCATTAATTAAGCTAAGTTCATTCTCTTGTGCAATTTAAGTGAGCCAGGTCCATTCGCTTGTACAATTTTGTCCATCAACATTGAACTGCTCAAATGGAGGCACAGGGAAGATAGATGGGAGGGTTATTCCAAGGTTGGGGTTTTGTCAAGTGAGTATGAGTATGATGAACAGAAAATGGGGAGGAAAGCTGACAGTGTTTGCAAAGGAATGACTGTGTTGAACCTTGAAATCTACCTGGATAAGAAAGAAAGAAAGTAACAAGAAGGTGATGAGGATCAATGGATTGATTGGCTGTCTAAAGAACATCAAAGGAACATGCCCGTGGGTTATCTTAGCAAGCAAACTGGAAGGACAGGAGGTCTCAGTAGAAAACAGGATATCTGGGAAATAAACAGCCATGTTGTTCACACAAAGCCTGTTTGGTGGTCTCTTCACAAGGACGTGCATGAAAGCCTCCAGTGGTATACTGAGTTGGTCAGGTCCCCCATTTTGTCTGCTTCCAACACCCCCAGTTCTCCTCTTTGGTGATTGAATGGTTCAGGGAAACTGGCCTTTATAAGAATTGAGAATCTCTCCCTCTCCCTCTCCCTCTCCCTCTCCCTGTCCCTCTCCCTCTCCCCACGGTCTCCCTCTCCCTCTCTTGCCACGGTCTCCCTCTGATGCCGAGCCGAAGCTGGACTGTACTGCTGCCATCTCGGCTCACTGCAACCTCCCTGCCTGATTCTCCTGCCTCAGCCTGCCGAGTGCCTGCGACTGCAGGCGCGCACCACCACGCCTGACTGGTTTTCGTATTTTTTTGATGGAGACGGGGTTTCGCTGTGTTGGCCAGGCTGGTCTCCAGCTCCTAACCGCGAGTGATCCGCCAGCCTCGGCCTCCCGAGGTGCCGGGATGGCAGACGGAGTCGCGTTCACTCAGTGCTCAATGGTGCCCAGTCTGGAGTGCAGTGGCGTGATCTCGGCTCGCTACAACCTCCACCTCCCAGCCGCCTGCCTTGGCCCCCCAAAGTGCCGAGATTGCAGCCTCTGCCCGGCCGCCACCCCGTCTGGGAAGTGAGGAGCGTCTCTGCCTGGCCGCCCATCTTCTGGGATGTGAGGAGCCTCTCTGCCTGGCTGCCCAGTCTGGAAAGTGAGGAGCGTCTCTGCCCGGCCGCCATCCCATCTAGGAAGTGAGGAGCGTCTCTACCCGGCCGCCCATCGTCTGAGATGTGGGGAGCGCCTCTGCCCTGCAGCCCCGTCTGGGATGTGAGGAGCGTCTCTGCCCGTCTGAGAAGTGAGGAGCCCCTCCGCCTGGCAGCCACACCGTCTGAGAAGTGAGGAGCCCCTCCGCCTGGCAGCCACCCCGTCTGGGAAGTGAGAAGCCCCTCTGCCCGGCCAGCCGCCCCGTCCGGGAAGGAGGTGGGGGGGTCAGCCCCCCACCCGGCCAGCCACCCCGTCCGGGAGGTGAGGGGCGCCTCTGCCTGGCCGCCCCTACTGGGAAGTGAGGAGCCCCTCTGCCCGGCCAGCCGCCCTGTCCAGGAGGTGTACTCAACAGCTCATTGAGAACAGGCCATGATGACAATGGCGGTTTTGTGGAATAGAAAGGGGGGAAAGGTGGGGAAAAGACTGAGAAATCGGATGGTTGCCGTGTCTGTGTAGAAAGAGGTAGACATGGGAGACTTTTCATTTTGTTCTGTACTAAGAAAAATTCTTCTGCCTTGGGATTCTGTTGATCTGTGACCTTACCCCCAACCCTGTGCTCTCTGAAACATGTGCTGTGTCCACTCAGGGTTGAATGGATTAAGGGTGGTGCAAGATGTGCTTTGTTAAACAGATGCTTGAAGGCAGCATGCTCGTTAAGAGTCATCACCACTCCCTAATCTCAAGTACCCAGGGACACAAACACTGCGGAAGGCCGCAGGGTCCTCTGCCTAGGAAAACCAGAGACCTTTGTTCACTTATTTATCTGCTGACCTTCCCTCCACTATTGTCCTGTGACCCTGCCAAATCCCCCTCTGCGAGAAACACCCAAGAATGATCAATAAAAAAAAAAAAAAAAAAAGAATTGAGAATCTAAATTAATGCAATTTAAACCATTGACTGTGTATGTGAGAGGAGAGAAAGACCCTCTCACATTGTTTTATATTCAGTAAAAACCACAAGGAAGTAAAACCAAGACAGGCAGCCCAGCGCCAGGCCCGAAACCAGGCCTGGGCCTGCCTGGCTTAAACCCAGTAGTTAAAAATCAACTTATGATTTAGAAGCTGATGTTATTCATAGATTCCTTACATTGTATAGAAGAACACGGTGAAACTCCCTGCGCTGTTCTGTTCCTCCCTGACCACTGGTGCGTGCAGCCCCTGTCATGTACCCCTTGCCTGCTCACATCAATCACGACCCTTTCAAGTGAAATCTTTAGTGTTGTGAGCCCTTAAAAGGGCAGAAATTGTGCACTCAGGGAGCTCAGATTTTGAGACAGTAGCTGGCCGATGCTCCCAGCTGAATAAAGCCCTTCCTTCTACAAAAAAAGAAAAAGAAAAAAGAAAACAGGATATCTGAAATTAAGACTGCAGATGGAGTAGTTTCTGAAAATGACAGGGTCCAAGGTGTGACCACGGGACCAAGTGGCTGAACTGGAATGAAGTTAAGAAGCAGTAAGGTAGGTGATTACCAGAGACCCAGCGTTAGTGCAAACAGTCTTTCTTTTCCTCTTCTGCTTAATTTTCCACAATCCCTTTACTAAAGCAAATGACTGCTTTTAAAGGAACATGTGATGACATGTATATGTTACATGGATGCCTGACGAACCTCATTTCATTCAGGATGCTAGGGTTAGGTGGGGTATGGAGGAGCCTGGGGAGCAGGGAGATGGCATGGGGCTTTTCTGCGGCAAAGCAAGAGAGCTTGAAGAAGAAATGGAGAAATCAGGGCTACTCCATCAATGTTGCCTTAAAGCCAGCCCTGGCCAATTTTCACATACTGCACGTTGAATTTGACATGCATCTGAAAGAAGTTTATAACCTAAAATGCATCAGATAAATTTGATTTCATAGTGATCAGTTATTTTAATAATACCTTAAAGAATCTCATCTATTTCAGAAAGGATTACCCAAAAGGTTGATATCTCTTTTTGAGCTATCCACAGCAGCTCAAAACAGGATCTGACTTCAAGCTAGATGAGAAGAGATTCTTTTTGTCACTGAGTAGCTGCCCAATAGTGGAAAGGTCAGTATGTTCTTGTTAAATTATGAACAACGTAAGTAGCCTCCTGCCTTCCTGTGGCTGCTTAGGGCAGAAAAAACCATACCCGAGCCAGAAATGCCCACTCCGCCCGTGTGAATGTATTAAAGCATCAATAACGTCTGTTGTTTTCTGTACTTTTTTACTGTCAGGCTCAGTGTCCACCTATAGGGATAAGCAAAGGCAGAAAGATTAACTTAAATTGCACCAATTGCAAGAATATCCACTTTGCTTCATTCATTTATCCAACAAATATTTACTGAAACTGTCCTGTGAGCTGGGCATTCTGCAGGTGCTATTGACAGAGACTAGAGACAGTTCCAGCCCTCAAGAGATTACAGGCTAGGGAAGGTGGAAAACCAGATAGTTTCAATATAGAGGAGATCCAATTCCTTAGATTCATTTACTTACTCCATAATGTTTGTAAGCTATGGGCCAAGTATTTTGTTAAGCCCCAGGAATAAATACAGATATAGTCCCTGCCTTGATGAAGTTATGTACAGCATGTGACATGAGCAAAGAGGAGGTAATCCTGACTGGGCAAGCAGGGAAGCCTCCATGGAGGATTTGCCCTCTTGTTGAATCTTGAATGCAGAACAGAAGCCTTAAGCACAGAGGCCTGGGAAACATCCCGAGCAAAGCATCAGAATCAAGAAATCTCAATGCATTTGAGAAACTGCAGGTAGATTAGAATGGTTGGGACTGATGTGTGGTATGGGGAGCTGCAAGAGATGAGGCTGAGGAGAGACTGTAAAGGAAGGTGTACATCATGTTCAGAGATCTCAGCTGTACTCTGCAGATGATGGTAGGCTGTTTAAGGACTTTTTTTAGCCGAGGAGTAATATGATTGGACTGCATTTCATATAGATCATTCTGCAGCAATGTGGAAATTGGCTTTGTGTCAGGCAGGACTGGAGACCAGGAGCACAGTTAGAAGTTGAGTGCAATGATCTTGGCAAGAAATAATAAGGGTTTGAACTAAGACAATGGTACTGAGGGTATAACAACAAAATAGGATGAATTTGAGAAATATTTAGCAAGACTAAAAAGCGCTTTGAGTTGGTGGTTAGAGATAGAAGCTGTAAGAATTGGAGGACTCAGAGATGACTTCCAAGTATGTTTGGGGTACCACTAAGCAGATTATGGCATTGTTGACATATAGAACGACAGGAAAAGAAATGTGTTTCCATTTAGATAACCACGATGCAATTTTTGCACTAATGGAAAAAGAGCAGCAGAACAGGTTAGGTTAAATATGTAAGTTTAAAATATAGTAGAGAGGCCAGGCGCAGTGGCTCACACCTGTAATCCCAGCACTTTGGGAGGCCGAGGCGGGTGGATCACCTGAGGTCAGGAGTTTAAGACCAGCCTGGCCAACATGGTGAAACCCCATCTCTACTAACACTACAACAAATTAGCCGGGTATGGTGACACACGCCTATAATCCCAGCTACTCGAGAGGCTGAGGCAGGAGGATCGCTTGGACCCGGGAGGCAGAGGTTGCAGTGAGCCAAGATTGTGCCACTGGACTCCAGCCTGGGCAACAAGAGTGAAACTCCTTCTTTAAAAAAAAAAATATATATATATATATATACACACACACACACACACAGATATATATATATACATATACATATATGTGTGTGTATATATATGTATATATATGTGTATATATATATGTGTATATATATGTGTGTGTATATATATATGTGTATATATATATATGTATATATATATATTAGAGAGACTTGTCAAAATTTAAAAACTTTTGCTTTGCCAAAGACTCTGTGGAAAGGCAGGCTATCCTTGGAGAAATATTTCCAAGCCACATATTCAACAAAGGCCTTGTGTCTAAAATACATAAATAACTCTCAAAACTTAATCAACAAACAATCCAATTCGAAAATGGGCAAGATATTTCACCAAAGACATGAGCTGATATTTCACCAAAGAAAATTTATGGCAAATGAGCACATAGAAAGATGTTCAACATCATGGACCATTAAGGAAATGAAAATTAAGGCTGGGTGTGGTGGCTCACTCCTGTAGTTCCAGCTACTCTGGAGGCTGGGGTGAGAGGATGGCCTGAGCCCAGGAGTCTAAGGTTGCAGTGAGCTTTGATTATGCTGCTGAACTCCAGCATGGATGACAAAGCTAAACCCTGTCTCAAAAAAAAAAAAAAAAAAAAAAGAAATGAAAATTAATGCCACAATAAAATATCACCACACATATCAGAATGGCTAAAATAAAAAACAATGGTAACACCAAATACTGGCAAAAATGTAGAGAAGCTCATCACTCATACATTGCTGTGGGAACATAAAAATGTCACAACAACCCTGGGAGAAAGTCTGGCAGTTTCTTACTCTCACAAAATTGAATCTGGACTTAAAATTCAACCCAGCCATTGAACGCTAGGGCATTTATCCCAGAGAAATTAAAACTTCTGTTCACACAAAACCATGCATGTTTATAGTAGCTTTCATCGTAACAGCCAAAAAGTGGGAAAAAATCAGATGTTTTTCAATGAGTAAATAGCTAAACAACCTAAACAAACTGTGGCACATCTGTGCTGCGGAGCACTAGTCAGCAATCAAAAGGAACAAATTCTTGATACAGAAAACTGGAATGGGTTTCACAGGAATTAGGATGAATGAAAAAGCCAGTTTCAAAAGGTTATATACTATATTATTAACATTCTTGAGTGTTACATAAATTATATAAATCTAGATATATATACATACACACACAAATGGGTGCATGTAAAACTGGTAAAATCTTAAGAAGCTCTGAGGATTGCACCAATGTCAGTTTCCTGGTTTTCATTCTGCACTATAGTTATGCACCATATTACCATAAGAGAAAACTGGGTGAAGGGTACACAGGATCTCCCTTTATATTTTTTTCAAACTTTCTGTGAATCTATTAAATATAGAGAGATATACATTTACAGATTCGTATGCAGTATATACGAAAGAAAAAGCAGATAATTGATAAAACCTGTTCATTGAAAGACAGAAGAGTTGATTCTAGTGCACAGATGGAGAGATTAGCAATAAACAGGAAGGATGATGCCTCTTCTCTAAGAGAGGTTGAGGAAATAGCCACAGATGCAAGGAAGTAGGTGCTGGGGATAGAAGGACAAAATATAAAAATATAAAAAATATCTACACCTAATGTTGTCTACATTTCTTATAGCAGAGGAGTCACAACCACCTGTCAAAAGTGATGAGGGTGTGGTGATTACAAAGCTGGAGTGAGCTGAAAGTTTGTAGTAACCACTGAAGAAATAAGAAAAAGTTTTTTTTTTTTTTTTTTGTTTTGTTTTTTTTTGAGACGGAGTCTCCCTCTGTCTCCCAGGCTGCAGTGCAGTGGTACAATCTCGGCTCACTGCAAACTCCACCACCCAGGTTCAAGCAATTCTCCTGCCTCTGCCTTCCAAGTAGCTGGGATTATAGGCATGTACCACCATGCCCTGCTAATTTTGTATTTTTAGTAGAGACAGGGTTTCATCATGTTGGCCAGGCTGGTCTCGAACTCCTGACCTGCAGTGATCCACCTGCGTCAGCCTCCCAACATGCTGGGATTACAGGCGTGAGCCACCACGCCCAGCCAGAAAATGCATTTAATAGAAACATTGTATTTCCCAAATTTCTTAACCTCACATTGTCTGCAGTGCTGTCTAGTAGAGCTTTCTGAAATGATGGAAATATTCTGTACCTGTGCTGTCCAATACAACAACCACTGAGCACCTGAAATGTGGCTAATGTAACCGAGGAGGTTCTGTGGCTGGAATGTGTCCCCCAGATGTTTCCAACCTATGCAACAGTGTTGGGGGCTGCAGCCTAATAGGAAGGGATTAGGTCATGAGGGCTCTGCTCTAATGAATGAATTAATGTTGTTATTGCAGACATGGGTCAGTTATTGCGAAAGTGGGCTTGTTATAAAAGCCTGTTGAGCCCCTTCTCGCTCTCCCTCTGCTCTCTCTCACCCCCTCACCTTCCATCATGGGATGATGCAGCATGAAGGCCCTCACCCTTGATCTTGAACTTCCCAGCCTCCTGAACTGTAAAAAATATGTTTCTGTTCTTTATAAATTACCCAGTCTGTGGTATTCTGTTATAGCAACATAAACTAAAACAGAAAGTAAATGTTTAATAGTATTTAATTTTAATTTAAATAGTCACATGTGGTTAGTGGCTATCCTAACCACTTAGACGGTGAAGCTAACAGTTGCACATCATATAGAAGCCGTAAATGTCCAACCACAGTATAGTCCTATTGGATAGTTAGTAAAGATCCAGGCCTAAAATCCAAAGTATATCATTTTCTTCCTAATATTCAAAGTATATCATTTTCTTCCCTTTCTATGTTTTTCATAATTCAGTTTGTACTGAAACTGCAATTCACTATGAAATCCTTGGTTCTCAAAGCTCCAATAGCCAGCTTTCAAGCAATTCCATCTACTATTATTTCTGAATTTCAAATTCTCTTTGTTGCGCTTATATCTCAAACTACTTGGCGGTGAAGTCTTATTGAAGTACAGCCTTAGAAGGTCTAAAACTATAACATATACGTGGTTTTGTTTTTTTTTTGGAAACTTTCTAAGCCCAGAGCAGACTCTGGATGGTGCATGAGCCTACTCACTCTCATGGTGTGGCTGAAGGGCTGAGGCTCTTCTGATAGGTCCTCAGGCCAGTGACAGAACAACTTCCAAACTCAACCACAGACTGATGACCCCACCTCATTTCTTACCACTCTCTACATATCTTGCTAAGTTTCAAATACACCAGCTACCTGACATTTCTGAAACCCAGCAAGGACTTTCTGGCCATGGAGCACTCAATAAATTACTTCCATAAGTGAATGAACAGAACAATGGAGAAATGCAAGAGGTTAACAATGTTCATGATCAGTGCTCCTCCCACCTTTACCACCAGGATATTTCTGCCCGAGTACCAAGTCAGCCATCAGGATCCTGTCCTTCTCCTTGTACCTGCTCTTTACAAATTCATGTCCCACTCCCTTTAGGCCCTTTCTCCCAATCACATAAGGATAAAGAACAAGAAGTGCCCATCTGCAGTGATCCTTAACAGAAATCCAGTTAGCCAGGACAATCACCACTCCTCATTCAAATACTGCAGTAACTCCTCAGATGACATCCTTGAGGCAAGGGCGTGACTATCCCTCCAGAGACATTTCACCAGGGCCTCCAATACCATCAATACAAACTGCTGTGCTGGCATGTTCTAGATGATTCTCTTCCAATCAGCAATTCTTTGCAAGAGGTAAGCCCTAAAATCTGTTGACTGAAGAACTTCCTGGGGTTGCAACTTCCTGAGTACATGACTGGTTAACACAGTTTTGGAAATAGAGGCTTTAAGTAATTCAGAGCCAGCCTGCCCTCTGCTCACAGATTGGCTTTTCAGAGGTGCTCTGAGGAGGGTTTCAGTGTGGTCAGCCTTTTCCCTGTAACCTGAGAGCTTGGCTAGTGCCCCTCAAGTGTTTCACTGATAGGGAAGAGCAGCCTGGTGGAGACTTTCAAGGAGAGCTTACACATTAAAAATTGATGTGGCACTTTAAAGTTTAATATTTAAACAAAACACTTAGTGTTTACTGGTACCGCACATTTTGATCAGTACCAAATGTGGGGAAAATTCTGTTGAACTGGGGGAGCATTATTAAGAACACTATTTAGTATTCATGGCCTATATGCCTAAAAAGTCAATTTAGGGTTTTTAGCCTCCAATTATTCCAGAATAATGTTTTTTTTTTTCAGCCTAGAAATGATAAGTTGGAAGGACTGACTGCCATCTCTTCCAATAGCCATGAGTGCTGAAAAGCCCCCAATCTCTGCTTCTATAACAGCCACTCTCAACCTTTATTTCTGCAAAACATTTAAGACTGCCACCATTAACTATAAATGATAATACAGAAATCCAATTATTTTAAAAATGCATGCACCTTAAACAGGGTTCTTTCTGAGGAAGTGAATAAAAGATGCATGGAAACACAAAAACTGACCAAAATTTCAGAGTGGGGATTGGGTTTCTATATGTGACAAGTCAGGAAGAGGGAAAACAAACCCAAAATAAAAGAGAATGATGAAAACTACCTATAATGAAATAGCCCAGCTACATCCAGGTGGTATCTGTTTTTTTAAATTATTTCTTTATTTTTATTTCTTTATTTCTTTTTTATTTTTTTTGAGACAGAGTCTTGCACTGTCATCCAGGCTGGAGTGCAGTGGTGCAATCTCGGCTCACTGCAACCTCTGCCTCCCGGGTTCAAGTGATTCTCCTGCCTCAGCCTCCTGAGTAGCTGGGATTACAGGCATGTGCCACCACACTCAGCTAATTTTTTGTATTTTTCGTAGAGACGGGGTTTCACTATGTTGGCCAGGCTGGTCTTGAATGCGTGACCTTGTGATCCACCCACCTTGGCCTCCCAAAGTGCTGGGATTACAGTATCTATAGGGGTAAAATAGTAAGAGTGAGCTATAAAGTAATGCGGCTGGCTACACAAGCCACACACAGGGACCAGTCTCAATACCTTCTCATGGCACCATCTGGGTGCTGACTGTGCAAGGACAGTGTGTTGGGGAGTGGAATAGCGTGTGTTCCCATATGAGTATCAGTTAAGGTTCTTGTGGCAGGTAACAGAGACTCACTTTACCTAACTTAGACCAAAGGGGATTTGTGGAAAGGAATATCAGGTATGCCACAGAAGTGACAAAGGATGGGGAACTAGTTTGGTAATGGGCTGGGGCAAGGGCCCTGCAGAGGACCAAGCAGTTGAGGTGGGAACCCCAGCTTGGTTAGTTCATGCCATCACTGTCCCTCGGCAACCAGGAATGATCTAAAGTGTCTCCCTCGGCCATTTACTGCTCTGACAGTCCCAGAGGAGAGGCCCTGACTGGCCAAGCTTAAGTCACTTATCTGCGCCTGGCTGTACTGGAGGAGGAGAGAAAAGGGCTCATTCATTTGGCACCTGTTTTTTGAATGTGTACTAAATGCTAGGCACTGTCCTAAGGCACTGGGATACAGCTATGGCTAAACAAAGTCTCTGCCCTCCTGGTTCTTATATTCTAGTGAGGAGTCAGATGTGAAAAACAGTGAAGAGGGCTATGAAGAAAGGTAAGAAAACTCAGGGTCATAGGCTAGGGCAGGGGAGACTGTTGTAGGTGTGATGGTCAGCAAAGCCATTTTTGAGAAGGCAATATCTGACCAGCAACATGTAGCAAGTGAGGAAGGAGCCCACAGGACCATCTGGGGAAATAGAAATCCAAGGTGATTAGTAATGGCAAAAGCCCAGAGGCAGGCATGCGCTTGGCATGTTGGAGAAAGTAAAGCAGCACAAGCAATTGGGAGAACTACAGCGCTGGAGGAACGCTTTCCTCCCCTGAGGTTTTATTCCACAGACAGGGAGCTCCATTAGCAGAGCACCCCTGGCAGTCAGACTTGTTTGCCCACTCACAGGGGAGGGGAAATTCTCCAATGAGAAACTGAGATGCTCTTAGGGGAAAGGCCTCTGTCTGGTGGATGAATGTTGAATGTCTACTGGAATTTCCATCCCCCTCTAGCTTGGTGGGCACCCTTCAGTGTCCTGAAGTGGGTCTGTATTTTAGTATTTCAGTGGTCAAAACACTTTTCGCATGGTTTTTTGTTTGTTTTTGTTTGTTTGTTTGTATTTGTTTTTTGAGATGGAGTCTCACTCTGTCACCCAGGCTGGAGTGCAGTGGCGCGATCTCAGCTCACTGCAACCTCCGCTTCCTGGGTTCAAGCAATTCTCCTGCCTCAGCCTTCCTAGTAGCTAGGATTACGGGATTACAGGCATGCACGACCACACCCGGCTAATTTTTGTATTTTTAGTAGAGACAAGGTTTCACCATGTTGGACAGGCTGGCCTCAAACTCCCAACCTCAAGTGATCTACCCACCTCGGCCTCCCAAAGTGTTGGGATTACAGGCATGAGCCACCGCACCCAGCCTTCAGCACTGTTCTCACTCAAGCAAATATATCTCCTTAGTTGCACTAGCAGATTAATTTAAGCAGAAGAAAGGTGTGATAAATCCGTATTATTTATCATAGGTATACACTGAACTCACTCTCATCAAAATGTAAAAGCAATTGAGATGTTTTGCCAAGTTCATCAAAGTAAATTGTGCATAAGGAGAAAAAGGTAAATGAACATTTGCCCATCTTATCATTTTAGGTTCCCTAGGATGGCCTACTGCTGGACTAGAAAAATCAGAGAGGAGACCTCACTCTTATATTAAAATCTAATGGGCTCAGTCTTAAAGTGTTCCACATGCCTTTCTAGATATCTTTTTCTTATAGACCTCCAATATTCCCTACTGATAAGATGCAGGAATAGGAGCCATAAGGGATTAACCAAACAGTGACCATTTGGGAGAAATCATATATAGAAAGAGCAGTAATAACGTTTTGGTATGCATATAGCCTCTTTGCTAAAAATGCCTAATTTGAGTTACAAAGCAGATTAACTGATTAAAAAAAAAAAATCACTGCAGGCTTGATGCCATGGCTCATGCCTGTAATCTCAGCACTTTAAGAGGCCCAGGCAGAAGGATCGCTAGAGGTCAAGAGTTTGGGACCAGCCTGAGCAACATAGAGAAACCCCGTCTCTACAAAAAAAAATTATTTAAATTTGCTGGGCATGGTGGCATGTCTGTATCCCCAGCTACTCTGGAGGCTGAGGAGAGAGGATCACCTGAGCCCAGGAGTTTAGGGCTACAGTGGCCTATGATCATGCCCCTGCACTCCAGCCTGGGTGACCGGGCAAGACCCTATCTCTAAAAAATAATAAGAATAAATTTTTTAAAAAATCACTTTAGGTAAACTAGGGAAGATATTAACACTCAGCTGGTTCTTCAAAGCTGGGGATGAACACTGTGCTCAGTATTGCTTTCCGAGCCCCCTGTTCATAATGACAGTTATCAGGGGGCAGAAATGGCAAGCATTTGATTCAAGGAGTGAGCCTCAGAGTGTCAATGAAGTGTGGGGCAGCTTTGGTAATGGCAGCTGCAAACAAGATGCATGGATTTGGAAGGCCACCCAAACTCCTATCACCACTTAAAGTACTTCACTCATTCAGCATGTGGATATATGACTTTAGCTTATGATTTTGCTCCCTACTAAAATGCAAATACCCCTGGAATGGTGGATTACATATACTACTTAGGTTTTCCTAGAAGAAGTGGAAGAACTTGCTGGAACTCTGGCTTCCTGAGGGACAATGGTGCTAATCAGTAATAGAAGGTGGCAGCTTGAGTTGGACTGAAATTTCGGAATTGCCCAGGACTAGCCCCAGCCTATTACCCATGTGGGATCTCATCTTCTCATATGCCAAACCCCTTCCAAGTGCCCCAGTGCCTAAGCACCCACTCCCCAAGCACCCACTCCCCCACTTCTGGCCTGAACCTGGTCGTTACTATCCTGTGAGGCGTTTCCTAGATGCTCAACAACCCCATATACGTTCACATGCATCGTCTCGTTTAATTCTGTGCTTTGTTCCATCATTCCCTCTGAGCAAAATGGCTGCCACCTCTACACCACCAACCCAAATTCAATCCTTCAAGTTCAAACCTCACCTCTTCCACAAAGTCTTCCCGTGATCCCTCCCGCTAATAGCAATCTCCTCCTGGTCTGAATTTAAAGCACTTATTTTCTGAAGTAATCACTTGGCAATGATCCATACTAGTCTTATGATTTCTTTCCATTTTCAATGGTCTCATATGTTTGCTTCTGCAACTTGGCTATAAATGAACAGGAGGGGCACAGCCTATGTCTTTTTGTAGTATTACACAAGATCACCTTCTTCTAATAACCCTTTGAACCACGGGTATCACCACTTTTCTCCAGCCCATACCTACACAATACCACCCAACTTTGCAAAGTTATAGGTGACAAAGTACATATTGGTCCTAACCCATAAATATCCATCCTTTTAAATGTTCAACAACCCTGTGAAGAAGGTTTTATGATTTCTATTTTAGAGGAGACAAAATTGAGACGCAGGATGTTAAGTAATTTGCCCCAATCTCATTGACAATTTGACTAATCACATTGCTAAGAAGTGATAGTATTGTCAAGTGACAGTTTCACTTACTGTGCCAGATTATGCTGCTCTAGAATATATTCCCAGAATCTAATACTGTTTAGATCCTTATAGCACTTCACATAGTAAGTGAAAAGAACTGAGATTGCTTTTAAGAGAGCAAGAGAGTGAGAAAGCTCACAGGTAAATATTGGTAGAGAAATTAGCAACGAATATATAATTGGGAAGTATAGTTCTCATCCTTTAGTTGGATCTTTACAGAATCAGTATATAGGCTTCAGGACGCCTGTGAACCACTTGAAATTAAAATGAAATTGTACCAGGAATGTGTACATCTGTGCATATTGTGGGAGGGAGAGTCCACAGCTTTTATAAGATTATTAGAGTAATTCTCTGCCAGTCCTCAGGGTGATCACACATCTTTTGCTTTTCTCTCTTCCTGGCCCATAAGCAGATGGCACTGTCCCACCTCTAGAAGCAAATACATCCATGTGACTTGGGGCACTGAAATGTGAGAGTGACTTTGGGCACTTTTGGACAGAAACCTTAAGAGACAAAGCTTACCACATTTCATTTCCCTCTGGTATCATGGTTGGCAATGGTCAAAATGGCAGCAACTCCATTAGCTCAGGCCCCTGAGGCTCTGCAAATCGGCCGGTCCCTCCTGCCAATCCAAAATGGACATGTAGTGTGAGGAAAAAAAAAAGCTTTGATGTTTTATTCCAAGGAGATCATACGGCTATTTGTTCCTACAGCACACCCTCATTTGTCATCGCCGATACACATCTTTAACCCCTCAAAAGTTAAAGATCACTTTAACCCTAATGAATGAAGTCCTAACAGAAGACGAATTCCAGGAAGAATTTCTTCTTCTCTTCATACCGATGAGAGCCATATACTATATTGAATTCTGCCTTAGTATTCCAATTACCTCTGAGTAACATTTCTCCCTATGGTAGCATATGACACATTGCTCTTTTTTCCTTCGTAAGTCACACACAATCACTCATGAAGGAAAAAATTGTGCACGTAAGTGCCAGAAGCTCCTAGGAGAAGGAAGCATGATCATGAACAGCTTACAGAGGGGAAGAATTCCTCAGAGATTTGGGACCATTTTCTCTGTTTGTCCCATTAGTAGCTCTGAACATCCATATGAATGGAATATTCCATTAATCACTTAGTCAGTTTCCATGGCTCAAGACAGTTCTCCAATTATCATGCACAACTTGGCAATATTCATCTCTCTAAAATGTCATTTGGAGCATGTCATTTTCTTTGTCAAAATCAGGCAGTGTTTTCCTAGTACCAACAGGACAGAAGTACAAAGATGTTGCCTTAGCAGTCAAGCCCACTTGCACACAGCAACTATCAGTATCATGGGTATTGATGCCATCACCCAGCTTCCTGCCCTCTGTATACCTCATACTAACCAGACCAGTTGTCTCTTAATGCCCTGAACAAACTGGCGTGTCTCCACCTCAATACCTTTGTTTACTCTGTTCCCCTTGCCTGGAATGTCTTCTCTCCCTCCTCTCACACAAATCCTCCAAAACTACAAATTCACTTACTCTCTGATGAAGCGATTGACCTCTAGGTATCTATCTCAAAGACTGACTGGAAAAAATATGAAATGCTATTTATTGCAGCACTATTATGATAACAAATGACTGAAAACATCAAACTTTCCATTAAAAGTAATGACTGAACAACTTGTTAGAGCTGTGCAATGAGATACTGTGCAGTCATAAAAAGTACTGAGAAGTATCTGGATATAGAGTGATCTCTAGGATATATTAAGTGAAGACAGTACATTGGGGGAAAATGTGTGTTCTGTGTTAATAAATAGCTAAGGCACATGGGCTCATACTGAGTGCTAGGGAGGCTTCCACAGCCTGGGATGGGGCAGAACACCTGTAAGAAATCCCTTTGAGGCAACCCAGCCTTCTTGAGTTAACTGCAGCAGCCTTCCAAAGACTGTGAGTAAGGTAGCAAACCAGATATCCCCAGGCATAGACCCCTACAGGCACAAGTGGAAAGCAACGAGAACTTCCCAAAGACCCCAAAAGCAGACAGCCAGGCTGTAAAGCAAAGAGAGATCTCCCAGGGCTCAAAATTCAGACAGTTCATCTGTAAAGCAAAAGGAGATCCCTGGAAATTCACCAGTGTTCAGACTCTAATTCTTACTGAAAAGAAAGTCCTGATTCTACCCTCGAAACATTTGAAGCCAGTGGAGAATGGAATCAAACTAAAATGGCAACAAAGCCCAGACCCAAATCAATGACAAATTAGTGTGCCTTACTCAGAGCCTGAGAGAAGAAGGAGTGTGTCCTTTTATGGGAGTAAATGTTCTTTATCTCCACCTCTACTGTTGTTTAAGGAAAATGACTACCACACAATCAAAAATTATTAGTCACATGAAGCAACAAGAAAATGTGATATATGAGAGGTTAAGTGAAAAAAAAACATCATTGGAAACAGATCCAGACAAAGGAATTATTACACAGGAACTTTAAAATAAACATGTTAAAGCTTCTGATAGACAATGTGGACAGAACACATGAGCACATGAGGATTTCAGCAAAGAGATGGAAAGTATAAAAAGAAATAAATGGAAATGCTGAAAGTAAAAATTATACCAGTAATGAATAATTAAGTGTACAAGCTTAACAACAGATTGGACACTGCTGAGGAAAGAAATTATAAACCTGAATTCGGGTCTAAAGAAACTATACTACTCTCTTCCTCCATTGATGCTTCTTCTCCCATCCCTCCTAAAGGCACAGCTGGGCTGAGCCCTGTCCACCATCCGGCTCCCTCATGTCAAGTACATCCATATCTGTCCCCTTGTGCCTAGGATCCCTGTGACACTGAACATGAAGACGGTGATGCCCTCCTAGTTTGACCCAATGGGGCTGAGTCCAGGTGCCTCAGAGGACGAGGCTGGCATCAAGAAGGCAGTAGAGAACTTAAGGTCCCAGCCTCTCCTCGGCCTCCTCCCTTCCCTGTCCC